>NW_018654715.1:0-680662 GCF_000001405.40 Homo sapiens
TGTGGGGTGGGGGGAGGGGGGAGGGATAGCATTAGGAGATATACCTAATGCTAAATGATGAGCTAATGGGTGCAGCACACCAACATGGCACATGTGTACATATGTAACAACCTGCACGTTGTGCACATGTACCCTAAAACTTAAAGTATAATAATAATAAAATTAAAAAGAAAACAAGAAATTAACAGACATACAATTTATCTTCGTGAATTATATTTACTAATGCACTCAATATCTAATACTGTTTTTTCTGCATTTGAAGGTGTTATTGGTCTTTAAGTCCATACTGTGGTCCCAGGAAATATGAGATTGTGTTGACTTTTGTCCTATAATTGGAGAAGAAGCAAAAAGGTGCGAAATTCCATTAGTCTCCCAATCATCAGCCTTTCTGAGTGTGTTGTGGAATTAAGAATAATGTTTATGGGTTGCCAGAGTATAAGATGTGCTCCCAAGGTACTGTTAAAAGCTCTTTTGAGCACAGTGGATTTCTGCCTCTGAATTATCGATGAGCCTCACTTCGGAAATCTTTGGTCATCTGCCATCTCTGCCCTTGGAATGACATTCTTTCAGTTGAGCCCTCATTTCATTTATAGAATAACAATTACTTTTAATTTTCACAATGAAGTTGCTGCAGATTTGTATTGTATTTCTGATTAACAGCCTTGTACCCCTTGTAAGGGTCAATGAAATTGGGAAATTATGCTAAAAAGCTGCTATATTTTTCTTGAAGGATAGCAACAGCTTTCTGTTAGTAACTTTGATTTTATTTTATGTTTACTATAAGTATTAACTTAAATGTAGCTTTTTACAGAAAAATATTCTTGTTTCTAAAAAATAGAGTTAGCATTATTGATATGGTTAAAATGAGTACCTTAGTTTGCCTCCTGGGATAACATAGAGCATAGCTTGTTGATTTTCTTTATTTTTATTTTTTTAGTTTCCCACCTATCTCTCTGATCTTTCTTCTTGTTCCCTTTTGGAGATGTATCTTTCTCTGTCCATCTTTAAAATATTGGTTATTCTTAAGATACTGTTCTTGACCTTCTTTTTTTTCTCGCTAAAACTGCTTTGCTCTCCTTGAATACTCTTATCCATTATCATGACTTTAACTATCTGTTAAATCTGTACTTTGACCCGGATGTCTCTAATAAACTCCAAAACTATTTAGTTAATTCTTTATTTTTCGTCCACCTAAATATCCATCATGTTCAAAATTATATTCTTTTTTTAACTTTTGCTTTTAAATAATATCTTCCTTAGTTATTCCTCATATAATTGAGTGAAAACACTTTATATACAGCCACACAAAACAGAAGCCTGGGGAGCACACAAACCAGAAACCTGGGGAGCACCCCAGCTCTGCTTGGCTTCCTCACCACACACCAAGTCACTGAATGCTGATAATTACATTTCCTTCACATGTTCCATACCCATTCCCTCCAGCCTGTCCCCATGGATACCATCTCAATTCAGGTACTCACTGTCACTTGAAAATGCAGACTCTACAGATAGCTTGGGCTCACAGTATCCAATCTCATTCTTTTAAACAATCCTTCACATTAACCAAACATTAATCTTTGTAATAACATATCTTAGTCAAATCGTTCTACTCTTTATTTCCAATGAAGTCCAACAGAAGCTCATTTTTGAACCTCTTTCCCAGTATTATTATTGGTTTTATTGCTGTGCCCTCCTTATACCTTAAGGTGCATCCTGGTGTGTCTTTTTTTCTTGTGGTTACTTCTTTATTATTCTTACTCAGTTTTACAATTTTCACTGAAATCTCTTAACTCCTCCATGCAAAGTCAAAGCCTTCCTAGATTGGACCTAATTCCTCCGGTACCAATGGGAAAATAACTTATAATCTTCTAAATCTCCAGACTCAGATGTCACTTCAGGCATAATTGAATAGGTGAGGTCCAGCCTGGCATGTCTTCCTGAAGAGTGTCTAAACTTTCCATCCACAGCAAAGCCTTTCCCTATCCACTTTCAGAAGGATCTACCCCACCTTTCCTTGCTGCCTGCAGTATACTGTGCACACGTGTATCCCAGGTCCTACACCGCTTATTTGCATGGCTCACTTGTAGGCAGACCGTAAACTCTTGGAAGATGGAGACAGTATCTCACTAGTGTTTGCTTTTCCAGTGTCTAGGATGATCCCACACAGAGCAGATGCTCAATAAATGTAAATTGAATGAGCGAATTAATAAATGAATGATTAATTATTCAGTATCTACACATGGATAATTGTGGATATAAAATATCTATATGTAGATAATATATGAATAATTGAAAAGCATCCTGGCAATATTTTATTTAGTCCTCCAGTTTTAGGTAGTTAGTAAGCTTACTTTATTTTTGTTAAGTGCTTCAGCTATTTTTTCTAACCACTGTCCATAGTTACAAAACTTTTCTTGTTATTCTTCCAGAGATTTCAGGACAAATATTCATTGAGCTTCTTTATTCTGTGCATAGAAATACACCTGCTTTGAAACCTTTATAGTCTGTGAGCCAAAATGATAGGCATATTTCCGAGTCTCCCCTGTTAGCTCACACATTAACAACCTACATCTCTCTGGAGTAAAGAACCCAGTGTGTTCTGACAAACGAGATTTGGATGTTTCTCTCTAAAATGTTGCCCAACCAGCAAACACACACACACACACACACACACACACACACACAGATATATACATAATACATATACACATAAGGGACGTACACATAAAGGGGATAATCAGAAACATTTTCAAGGCATCCTCTGTCTATGCTTTATTATGTGAATATAAACACAGCCCTTACACCTGAGGCATCATTATATCAAAAGTTTTGTTGAACTTTAGGAGTATATCATAGTAAAGGTGAAGGTGTGAGTTACACATTTGCTGCCCTTGAAACACCAGGGCTTCTCCCATGACACCTCTTCAAGGCCAGCCTTACTCTGGCTTCTGTCTTCTCTTATTTCCTACACCCTATATCAAATCTCAGGTACTATGTGGAAAGGCCTCAATCTTTCTCACCACAGTGTGGGAGGGTTGATAGAAGTATTTTTTTTCTAATCTATCAATACCAAGTTAGAATTAACTAAGAAGGAGAAGATTTTCAAGCATTTATGACAGAAGCATGATGCTCTGCCTCCTCCAAGCTCCATTTAATCCATCCAGGGCAAGACTGAGATCCACGAACTTATCACAATCCAAATACTTACGGGGTGTAATTTGCAATGTGGCCCCTGGAGAATGCATGCTCTTGTTACTACAAGAGTTTTATGTGTAGAGATCCAGCTGGTTATTAAGCCATCACCTGCCAGCTTTTTTTTTTCTGAATGCCCATCCCCAGGGCCCAGAGAAATGGAGACAGGAGGATAAACTACTTTTGTTTGTTCTGGTAGACACAGAGTCTGACTGCTGTGTATCCTGTTTCCCTTAGGGACTCTACCTTGTCCTCAGGGACAATCCGTGAAGGCTTGAGTGGAGATAACCCCACCATAAAACCTATACTGCTGGTGTTCCCAGAGAGCAGGCTGCAGTCTGCATCAGCCTATGCTAAGAAAAGAGAGACAACTCCTGCATCTGGAAATTCCTTCTCTCAGGGGCTGCTGGTGGGAGCAAGATCCTCAGCTCTGGCCTTCAAAAGCTCCTGTGATCTCTGCACAATTTCTCTAAATAGAATTATATTTCTGAGACAAGACCAGGCCTGATACCACAGTGAGTAAAGGGTCTTTTGCAAAGTCTGGTAGTTTAGAGAAGCTAGGGTCTGGATGAAGGCAGGGCTCCAGAAATCAGTACATTGAATGGGAGATACAGAGGTAATTTATTGGCAGACAGTTTCCTGGGCTAAAGGTGGAGTTAGCATTTGCAGAGGTGGAGTCATAAGCTGCACATTGAGAATGACGCATTGATCATTTAACATTTGTGTACTTCTATGAAACATCCTGGTTTCCCCTTTCTATAGCCCCTGTGGCTATGTGGTTGGGGGAATGACAAGCAGAGAAAATTTAAGAAGAGTCTGAAGACTTGATTGAAATCTAGGATATGCTCTTTGAATGTTATTCCTAACGTAATGCCTTTCATTCGTCCATCCATCCATCCATCCATCAATTCATCCAACAAGTGTAGTGGGCATTGTGCCAGCAACAGCACCTGGTAAGAACCAGGGAAGCAGCCCTGCAAAGGGGTGGGGTGAAGGCAGGAATCAGAATATTATCCTGTTAACTCTTCACATAGATAACCACTTGCCCTGGCCATATATCAGAAATGACTTCAGTGAATGCTTGCTGGATTAGTGATGGCAAACTTTCTTGGCTTGCATGCAAAGGGAAACAGCCAGATTTTCCTGAGTTGCTTCAGGAAGTAAAACATTTAATGCAAGCTTTATTTTCCCTAAAACTAGTAAACACAGGGAAGGAAACCTCTTTGAAATTGCATTTGTAAACCTCATTTCCTAATTCATGCTTTTACGTATTTTCTCTAATCATTTACTGGAGCACCTGCATGTGCAATGCACTCTGCACAAATTACAAAATAATTGAAAACCAAATATGGAAGAGAAAGTGGGGGAAAATATGCAAAGTAAATAAATTAGAAAGTAAAACACATAAGAACATGGCTGTGATCCTTACTCTAAAATAAAATGGCTAGCCATTCTGAAAAACAACTTACTCTGTGGCTGCCCTTCTGATAGCAAAAATGTGGGTCTTGCAATCCAAGTTAAGTAAAATTCTGTGGGACTGGATATAGTATACATCACCCTGTCTGCATTTACACTAGTTCTCTGAACCAAATTTATTTTCTGCTTTACTCTGGATTAAAGGATTTGGCATAATGGCTCCGAAAAACCTTGCTGACTGAGTCAGCACCCTGTGTGCACCATAAACCCCCTCCTTCTGTTAACTGACTAATCCGGATCTGCATTTGCTCCTCAGCACATAGCTCATTGCCACAGCAGAGTCCAACGCAGGTACTGTCACAAGGGCATGACAAAAAATCAGACATGGGTCACAGAATTCATTCTCCTGGGATTTCCACTCAGCCTAAGGATTCAGATGCTCCTCTCTGGGCTTTTCTCCCTGTTATACGTCTTCACCCTGCTGGGAAATGGGGCCATCCTGGGGCTCATCTGGCTGGACTCCAGACTGCACACCCCCATGTACTTCTTTCTCTCACACCTGGCCATCATTGATATTTCGTATGCTTCCAACAATGTCCCCAAGATGCTGACAAACCTTGGCTTGAACAAGAGAAAAACAATCTCCTTTGTCCCATGCACAATGCAGACCTTTTTATACATGGCTTTTGCTCACACTGAGTGTCTCATCTTGGTAATGATGTCCTACGATCGGTACATGGCTATCTGCCACCCTCTGCAATATTCTGTCATCATGAGATGGGGAGTGTGCACAGTCCTGGCTGTCACTTCTTGGGCATGTGGTTCCCTTCTGGCCCTGGTCCATGTGGTTCTCATCCTGAGGCTGCCCTTCTGTGGGCCCCATGAAATCAACCACTTCTTCTGTGAAATCCTGTCTGTCCTCAAGTTGGCCTGTGCTGACACCTGGCTCAACCAGGTGGTCATCTTTGCTGCTTCAGTGTTCATCCTGGTGGGGCCGCTCTGCCTGGTGCTGGTCTCCTACTCGCGCATCCTGGCGGCCATCTTGAGGATCCAGTCTGGGGAGGGCCGCAGAAAGGCCTTCTCCACCTGCTCCTCCCACCTTTGCATGGTGGGACTCTTCTTTGGCAGCGCCATTGTCATGTACATGGCCCCCAAGTCCCGCCACCCTGAGGAGCAGCAGAAGGTCCTTTCCCTGTTTTACAGCCTTTTCAACCCGATGCTGAACCCCTTGATCTATAGCCTGAGGAACGCAGAGGTCAAGGGTGCCCTGAAAAGAGTGTTGTGGAAACAGAGATCAAAGTGAGGGATGCCAGGGAAAGTCTAGAGGGTTGAAGATTTGCTCCCAATGAGATTTGTAGGAACAGTGGTGTAAATGCCTTACAGTCTCATCTCTTAGATTTCTGATATCAAGAATGTATATTGATTGGATTCTATCCCTAAACGTGGAGTACCATGCAGATCACAAAGCACATGCAGACAGGCGCTGAGCCGTGTGGTGCAGCAGAGGTGCAAAGTGCCATGAACTCCTACTCCCAGGTCCCACCCCTACCCAGGATCTGCTTTCTGTTCTTTTGAGGCTTAGTTCTCTCAAGCTTCCTCTTAAATTCCTCTATTATTTCCATCTCTTTTTGCCATAAGTATATGCTGGTAATCCCATACCATATGCTACTATAAGAGAGTACTTGTAATCACACAGAATAAATACTGACCTTGGTTAAGCAGCCCTCTACTGGGAATGTAACAACAACTAAGAGTATAGAAAATGCCTGGTTTGGAACCTAAAGCCTAAGGATGATGATATTAGTACTGGAAGTTCATCTAAATCACCCTAACAAATCTAATTCTGTAAAAAGCAAAGTTTAATTGTATAGATTTTTTTATATAAAAGGCAGAGAAATATCAGGATCTTTGTTTCATTTCACTTAATTCTGCACCATTTAATTAGAAAGAGTTTGGAAAGATTTTGCATTTAAAATAAATATGAGAGAATGTTATTAGGGATAGTTACCTTTTTCATAATTCAGATCGCAAAGCCGGGTGTAGGTGACAATTTATCATTACGGTGATTACATAAAATATTGTAGTAGTAAGAAAATACTGCAAAGGAAGAAAGCATCAAGGGAAACTGACAGCTTGATGTAACATCATAGACCACCGCTTAGAACCAAGAACATGTCAAGTCTTGATAAAGACTTTCAGGAACCTCAACAAAATTCCAAAGAGAAGCTATTCCAGGTGACATAAATCACTTTTCCTGGACCCAAGTGGTCAGAATGACATGGACAGGTAATTTGTTTTATTTTAACACAAGTCTGAGTCCTAAATGATCAGCATAATATGATAATATGATTTCTTTAACACATTGAGTATGGTACCTTTTGGAATTCTCTCTTTTTTCTCTCAACCCTTGTAGTATTGTGTGAATTCAACTGTATGACCCATGATGTTATTACATTATCTGCTGCCTGTACCTTTTCTATTTTTACAATTTTAAAATATATTCTTATCACTTCATATATTTCTTCTTCCATGAAAGAAAGAAGCAAAGGGGGAACTCTTTCCTCCCACCCCCTCTCCAAATGCACTGTTTTCTTTTCAGTTCTCAAAAAGCCTAGTTGCTGACTATTCTGCTCATCCATTCATCTCGGTTAAACATTCTGCCTCTGGTGATGGTCTTTGTTTTCATATCTCCATACTGTGAGGACATTTTTTGGCCTGCAGAAATTCACAAACCTTGCTCTGCCCCTCCCAAAGAGAGCAATTTGAATTTAAAAAAAAATACTGGATCTAAATTTAACTATCAACCACTATGGAATTATTGTGTGCACTACTCTGAAGCTAGAAAGAGAAAACAGGCAGTATTTTCATATAGAAAGGACTTTCTAACTATATCTGAAAAAAATTATTACATTCCCTAAAATATGTATACTTCATGTTCTGCTTAAAACCTTTAAAAGAAAAGGGAAAGAGGAAACATATAGAATAGTTCATCTCATATAAAACATAAGCAATAGATTTGGATTCAGAATTTTTTTACCTAGGGTACAGTGGAAAAATCAGGGGGTATAATTCATCCTATGTCAGTTCTAAGTGATTGGGAAAGAATAGACCAAAAAGACTACATTTCTACAGAAAGTGACAAATATAGATAAATTATAAAGAAATGTTCTCTAGCAGGTCTTAATAGTGGCTCTAATTTTATATATATATATATATTGAATACATTACAGAAAATACCTGAGTATATGAAAAATTTCTATTAATTGTTTCCATATTTGAGTTGTAGGATTTTAACAAACTAATTAAATGTTGGTGTTATGACCGCTTTATATATACATATTTTCAACATTAATCAGTTTTTAAAGGTCTGGGGGAAAGTGAAAGAAACAATTGCATTGTTTTAGGCTGCAAGTTCTACTGACTGCTTCACAAATGTTACCCCGTTTATCTTGCATAAACATCACAATGGAGTCGCTATTATTTTCTCCACTTAATAGATAAGTAAACAAAGTTCAGAATGATTTAATAACTTATCCTATACTATGCAACCAGTAATAGAACTGAGTGTTATGGATCGTACTGATTGCAAACCCAAGCTGCTTCTTAGCAGCTTTCTGCCCAAAACATTACAAATTTTAGCTCAACAGGGGTTAGACTCAACATCCACATGATGGGGCAGAGTCTGGAACAAAACGGAGTTTACAGTATTATAGCCAAAGTCTTAACACCAGAAAGAATACATCCTGTAGCCAACCCATCTTTGGAGGATTCATTACCACCTTTGGGAAGAGTAGAAACACTCACATTAGCAGCATCATCATTTTCCAATAGTAACTCCCTCCTAATGCCTGTCTGCAAAATCACATGGCCTCATAAGGCATTGCCCCAAAGGGACAATCTGAACGAGAGACACCCTGCTGTTCTCAGTGATCATCTTACCTATGATTCTGGTCTTCTTTCTATCATTAGGTGTACCCACCTGTGTTCTTTACCTTTATGATGTGATTAATGCTTTTCCAGGAAGTGTCCCCATCTCTCCTGTGTACAGATCCGTGATGGACCTACCTTACCAGTGCTCTAGGCTGCTAGGACTGAGAAAGGGGGAACCCAGCACAGGTGCAAGCTGAGATGCTTGCTATGTTAGATTCACATCTCAATTGTGCTACAACTTGCTAAATAGGTCTGCTTCTAGGAATAATATAGCCTCCTCAATCCTGAGTTTTATTTTAGGTCAGATGTGGCTAACAAGGTTTCAGCTAGGTGCCTTATATAACTTTTATGAATGCTAAATGAAAGACTTTATGTGACTCTGATTTGAAGTGATGTATTTTTGTGAGAAGGATATAAGGACAATGAAAATGAAAAATGATTACATAGTAAGACTAAGAGCTGGTAAAATTCATGACTAAACAACTATAAAACTACAAAATCCAATTTTATTTTAATGATTCATAAATTATTATGATACTTACTGAACAATGGAAGTTTCTCAAAAAATCTCAGCTCTTTGTGTTTGCAACTTTCTGTGCCTGTCTTTGTTTTTATTTGGTTGGTGATATTGGGGAAGGTCTCCACCAAAGGAGGTTGAAGGTTAGTACACAGGAGGTTGGGTATGAAATGGTGTTCATTGTTCCTGCTAGTAGACAAAACTGTAAGAAGAATCCTACATAAAATTTTACATTCTCTATATAGCTTCAATTCGAAAAGGATTCTTGAGATAGCATCCAGATAGGAAATATATACAAAAATAATTAGTCCATAGCTTTGTTACGTTCATTCTCCTACCCACACACTAAGAATTCTCATCAACTGTGTATCTAGAATAGCTCCTCTAGGAAATCTCAGTCTCTGTATGTAGAGATAGAAACTCACCCTGGTGACACCTTGTTAGTTGGCTGAAATTTTGGCACTCATAGTAGCCAACTCCTTATATTGGTCTCCCTGGCCTTACTATTGCCCTGGATACTAATCATATTAGGAAAGAAATATATAGATGAGCAAATAAATGAGTGCATAGCCATAAATAATTTTTGAAATGACTGTGTTTCCATAGCCCGGAAAAAAGGAGGAATAAAGCAAACAGGATAATTGTCTTCATATGTCCCATCGAGAATCTTGCAGGAGGCAAACATAGTTGTTTATTGCCTTCCACAAAGTGGGGAAAAATACCCTAGAATCAAAAAGTAGGTTTACATAAAAGTGGAATTAACATCAATATGAGAAAATATTTTTGAACATTATAAGTTATGCAACAATGAGGTCTTGTGAATTATTGTGCAGCCTTACTATAAATAGAAACATAAAGGTTGAGTAAAATATAAATACGTTGAACAGGCATTTGCAATAGAGTCTTTCCAATGTCTCTTCAATCTTGAAAATTTAAGATTTCATAATAAACTTTTTCATCTTTTTAATGAGGGGCGGAGTTTAACCTGATTTTAAACAAACTTACAGTCATTTAAAGATTTTTAAATGGTAATTCTAAGATAATCTTTTTTCTGTCAAAATCCCGTCTTGTTCTTCCGAGGATTCAGCAGAGTCATCAAAAGAAAATATTCAAGTAGGAAAAAATTGTTGTATAAGCTTCATACTTGTGGTTCTCATACTTTTATTCCCACAATGCCATCACAACTTTATTTCTAGATATACATGGTTTCACATTTTAAAATATTAGCCTGATATTCAGTGATAGTGGCTCAATGACTTTTGCCTTAAACACAGGCACAGGGGCTTGCACATGTAATCCCAAAAACTGAAGAGATTGAGGTGGGAGGATCGCTTGAGCCCCGTAGTTTGAGGCTGCAGTGAGCTATGACCATGCTACTGCATTCCAGCCTGGGCAACAGAGTGGGACCCCATCTTTGAAAAAACAAACAAACAAACAAACAAAAAACCCCACAGAGCAGTGACAGATTAAACCACAAGGAGAGGAAATGAAAAAGACAAAATTAGCCCCCAAGGCAAGATAAACATCTCTGTGGATCAGAAACAAAACATAAAATCAGATGTGTGAGTGATGCAGAAGCCACGGGTTAGCCGACTGTTTGTAAGCTGGCCTGAGTGGAGATAGCTTTGCTCTTAGGAACTAAATATATTAAAGTTCTTCATGCAATAATGGGGAACTGAGGCTTAGCACCTTCCTTGAAAATAAGGTATGGAGGAGGGTGGGAGGGACTGACTTCCTTTGCTTACTAATGAAGACCAAAAAATGTACTGTGCTGTACTGCTTCCCTATGTAGCTAGCTGAAGACTTGTGAGAACCCAGGCCCTGCGCTGCAACCAAATGTGGAATCCAGACACCCACTCTGGGTGCTGGGATTCCCAATATACTCAGTCTCACTATAGGTACATAATTCTAAACCATTTACGTAAGATCCAGGTCTGGATAGGAAGCCCAAAGAGCTGGGCCAAGACAACCCCTGAGCTTCTAGATGAGAGAAGAGGGAGGGAGAGAGACAGACAGAGAGAAATGGAGAGAGAACTGGGTTTTTAAATCTATTTTCAGAAGCTGCCAAGAGAAGCAGCCCAAAATATCAACAACTGGAAAATAAATTCACTTCTGATGATGTCCCTTGTGCATGTTCAGGAATGAACAATTGATAAATATTTATGTTTATGTTTAAATGCATAAAAGATTTCTTAAAGATATGCTAACTATTTTAGATGGCCAGGGATTAAGACGGAAAATAATTAGAAAATAACAGATGGATCCCAAAAGATAACAATTACAGAGCTTAGAAATAAAACACGCATTCCCTGAAATAAGGACTAACTCTTGTTTTTTTTTTTTTTTTTTTTGAGACGGAGTCTCGCTCTGTCGCCCAGGCTGGAGTGCAGTGGCACAATCTCGGTTCACTGCAAGCTCTGCCTCCTGGTTTCATGCCATTCTCCTGCCTCAGCCTCCCGAGTAGCTGGGACTACAGGCGTCTGCCACCATGCCCGGCTAATTTTTTGCATTTTTAGTAGAGACGGGGTTTCACTGTGTTAGCCAGGATGGTCTCGATCTGCTGACCTCGTGATCCACCCACCTCGGCCTCCCAAAGTGCTGGGATTACAGGCGTGAGCCACCGCGCCCGGCCAACTCTTCTTAAATATGAAAAAAATTCAACTAACAGGATAAATTCTAGATGGAGTACATTATGGGAAAAAATGTGAAATAGAACATGGAATGCATAATTTTCCCAAAATGCAACAGAGACTATTTTTTAAGAAAATGGAATAAAAAGCACATAGAATCTAGACTCAGATATAATATCTATTTATTTTATAAGGACGTAAAAATAATGATGAAAATAGGATAGGACATTATTGCTGAAATTTTTTTCCTGATGGCTAAACACATGAATTCTCAGAACAAAAGATACTCTGAGTATCAAGCTACATGAATAAAAATAAATTAATATCTAGACATATCATAATGAAAGCACAGAACATTAAGGAGGAAAAGAAAATAATAAAACCTTCAGAGAATAAAAGAATAGCTACAAAAGAATAACAAATAATAGTGGACTTCCCCTCAGCAAAACAGATGCCAAAAGAGAATATTCAAAAGGATTAGGAAAACTGTTACTCTACAATTTCACACACAGTTAAACTGTAATTCAAGAAAAAGAGAAAAATGAAAATGTTTTCAAACAAAGTCTAAGGAAAATTACCTCCCTTAGGTCTTCAACAGAATTATTAATAAATATATTGGATAGAAAAAAAGATGAAAACAGAATAAAAGTATATAGGGTACATGCGAAGCATACGAGTTGATAAAGAATAATAGTAAATATAATTGTTGAATGTAAACAAAATAGCTTTTTATATGAAATAATAAAAGCTCTTAGCAGCTGTAACAGGTTGATGTAAATAATACCAATGAATAATTAAATCACGGTAAAGCTCTTGACTTGACTAGAAAGGTGAAAATGCTGAATAATTGTAGATTGCATTAGAAAAATTTATAATTTAGTGTGTGTTAAAAATTCAAAAGTAGATCACATTTGCCATCTTTGAGCCCCCCACCTCTGCTGCAGTTGTAGCAGGCAATACGTCTGTCATCCACTCCTCAGTGGCTTCACCAGCCTTTCAGCCAGATACAAGGCTGTTGTCCTAGTGATTACAGCCACATGAGTCACTGGTCAGCTCAGCGGCTATCCCGACCTGCTGCCTGACTCCCATAATCTTCACCCATTTATGAGTGAGAACATGCAATATTTGTCTTTCTGTGCCTGGCTTGTTTCACTTAAGATAATGATCTCTAGTTTCATCCATCTTGTTGTAAAATACATAATTTCATAGTTTTTTAATGGCTGAATAGTATTCCATTACATATGTATAATACTTTTTTTTATACTTTCATTTATTGATGGACACATGTTGTATTAGTCTGTTCTCATGCTGCTAATAAAGACATACCTGAGACTGGGCAATTTATTTTTAAAACAGGGTTTAGTTGACTCACAGTTCAGCATGGCTGAGGAGGCCTCAGGAAACTTACAATCATGGCGGAAGTGGAAGCAAACACATCCTTCTTCACACGGTGGCCAGAAGAACTGCCAAGCAAAGCAGGGAAAGCCTTTTAAAAAACCATCAGATCAGCCTGGCATGGTGACTCACACCTGTAATCCCAGCACTTTGGGAGGCCGAGGTGGGTGGATCGCGAGATCAGGAGTTCAAGACAAGCCTGGCCAATATGGTGAAACCCCATCTCTTCTAAAATACAAAAATTACCGGGCATGGTGGCACGTGCTTGTAGTCCCAGCTACCTGGGAGGCTGAGGCAGAAGAATCGCTTGAACCCAGGAGGCGGAGGTTGCAGTGAGCCGAGATTGCACCACTGCACTCCAGCCTGGGTGACAGAGAGAGACAGACTGTCTCAAAAATAAAAAAATAGCATAAAATAAATAAAAATCAGATCTCGTAAGAATTCACTCACTATTATGAGAACAGCAGCATGGGAGTAACCACCCCCATGATTCAATTACCTCCCACCAGGTCCCTCCCACGACAGAGGGGATTATAGGAACTACAATTCATGATGAGACTTGGGTGGGGACACAGCCAAACCATAACATTTCACCCTTGGCTCCTTCCAAATCTCATGACCTCACATTTCAAAACCAGTTGGCCTTTCCAATAGTCCCCCAAAGTCTTAGCTTATTCTAGCACTAACCCAAAAGTCCAAGTCCAAAGCCTCATCTAAGACAAGGCAAGTTTCTTCTGCCTATGAGCCTATAAAAATCAAAAGCAAGTTAGTTATTAATACTTCCTAGATACAATGAAGGTACATGGATTGGGTAAATACACTCATTCCAAATGGGAGAAATGGGCCAAAACAAAGGGGCTACAGGTCCCATGCAAGTCTAAAATCCAATATGGCAGTCGTTAAACCTTAAAGTTCCAAAATTATTTTCTTTGACTCCATGTCTCACATCCAGGTCACGCTCATGCAAGAGATGGGCTCCCATGGCCTTAGGAAGCTCTGCCCCTGTGGCTTTGCAGGGTACAGCCCTCCAACTCAGCTGTTTTCATGGAGGCTTTGGGTGTCTGTGACTTTCCCAGGCACAAGGTGCAAGCTGTCAGAGATGAGGCACTTGTCGGGGACTGGACTAAACGTGACTCTTGCTATGCTTTATCAAAGAGACTGGTGGCATTTTGCCCCTGCCCTAGAGATCTGTGGAACTCTGAACTTGAGAGTGATGATTTAGGGTATCTGGCAGAAGAAATTTCTAAGCAGCAAAGCATTTAAGATGTGATGTGGGTGCTGTTAAAAGCATTCAGTTTTATGTATTCACAAGGATATGGTTTGGAATTGGAACTTATGTTTAAAAGGGAAAGAGAGCATAAAAGTTCAGAAAATTTGCAGTATGACAATCCAATAGAAAAGGAAAACCCATTTTTCTGGTGAGAAATTCAAGCCCACTGCAGAAATTTGCGTAAGTGACAAGGAACCAAATGTTAATCACCATTTGGGGATTATGTCTCCAGGGCAGTGAGAGGTCTTAATGGCAGCCACTCCCATCATAATCCCAGAGGCCTAGGAGAAAAAAAAAGTTTCCTGGGCCAGGCCCAGGGCCTTGCTGCTTTCTTCAGTCTTGGGACTTGGTGTCCCACTTCCCAACCATGGCTAAAAGGGGCATACACAGAGTTCAAGCTATTGCTTCAGAGGGTATAAGCTCCAAGCTTTGGTGGCTTACATGTAGTGTTGAGCCTGTGGGTGCACAGAAGTCAAGAACTGAGGTTTGAGAACATCCACCTAGATTTCAGAGGATGTATGGAAATGCCTGGATGTCCAGGCAGAGGTGTGCTGCAGGGGCAGATCCCTCATGGAGAACCTCTGCTAAGGCAGTGTGGAAGGGAAATGTGGGGTTCAAGCCCTAATACAGAGGCCTCATTGGGGCACTGCCTACTGAAGTTCCTCCAGAACCCAGAATGGTAGATCCACAGAGAGCTTGCACCATGTGCCTGGAAAAGCCACAGACACTCAATGCCAGCACATGAATGCACCCAGGAGAGGGGCTGTACCCTGCAAAACCACAGGGTCAGAGCTGTCTGAGACCATGGGAACCCACCCCTTGCATCAATGTGACCTGGATATGAGACATAGAGTCAAAGGAAATCATTTCAGAGCTTTAAGATTTGACTGCCCTGCTGTTGTGGGAAGTCAGGAACACCAAACAGATGGACCAGCTGAAGCCATCTCAAAAGAACATAAATTGTGAAGATTTCATGGACATTTATTAGTTCTCCAAAATTAATAATTTTGTAATTTCTTATGCCTGTCTTTACTGCAATCTCTGAACATAAATTGTGAAGATTTCATGGACACTTATCACTTACCCAATCAATACCCTTGTGATTTCCTATGCCTGTCTTTACTTTAATCTCTTAATCCTGTCATCTCGTAAACTGAGGAGGATGTATGTCGCCTCAGGACCCTGTGATGATTGCATTAACTGCAAAAATTGCTTGTAGAGCATGTGTGTTTGAACAATATGAAATCTGGGCACCTTGAAAAAAGAACAGGATAACAGCAATGTTCAGGGAACAACAGAGATAACATTAAACTCTGACCACCGGAGAGCCGGGCAGAACAGAGCCATATTTCTCTTCTTTCAAAAGCAAATGGGAGAAATATCACTGAATTCTTTTTCTCAGCAAGGAACATCCCTGAGAAAGAGAATGTGTCCCTGAGGGTAGGCCTCTAAAATGGCCCCCTTGGGTGCGGCCATCTTCTATGGTCAAAACTGTAGGGAAGAAATAAGCCCCAGTCTCCCATAGCACTCCCAGGCTTATTAGGATGAGGAGATTCCCGCCTAATAAATTTTGGTCTGACCGGTTGTCTGCTCTCAAACCCTGTCTCCTGATAAGATGTTATCAATGACAATGCATGCCCAAAACTTCATTAGCAATTTTAATTTCGCCCTGGTCCTGTGGTCCTGTGATCTCGCCCTGCCTCCATTCGCCTTGTGATATTCTATTACCTTGTAAAGCATGAGATCTCTATGACCCACACCCTATTCATACACTCCCTCCTCTTTTGAAAATCACTAATAAAAACTTGCTGGTTTTACGGCTCAAGGGGCATCACAGAACCTACCGACATGTGATGTCTCCCCCAGACGCCCAGCTTTAAAATTTCTCTCTTTTGTACTCTGTCCCTTTATTTCTCAACCCAGCTGATGCTTAGGGAAAATAGAAAAGAACCTACGTGACTATCAGGGGCAGATTCCCCGATACCCTGCTAGAGTTTGGACTTGCATGGGGCTTGTAGCCCCTTTGTTTTGGCCAATTTCTCCCATTTGGAATGGTTGTATTTACCCAATGCCTGTACCCCCATTGTATCTAGGAAGTAACTAACTCACTTTTGATTTTACAGGCTCATAGGCAGAAGGGATTTACCTTGTCTCAGATGAGACTTTGGACCGTGGACCTTTGAATTAATGCTGAAATAAGACTTTGGGGGACTGTTGGAAAGGCATGATTGGTTTTGAAATGTGAAGACATGAGATTTGGGAGGGGCTGGGGCAGAATAATAGGGTTTGGCTGTGTCCCCACCCAAGTCTCACCTTGAATTGTAATAATCCCCACATGTCAAGAATGGTGGCAGGTGGAGATAATTGAATCATGGGGCAGTTTCCCCCATAGTGTTCTCATGGTAGTGAGTAAGTCTCAGGAGATCTGATGGTTTTATACATGGAGGTTTCCCCTGCACACTCTCTTGCTCTCTTGCCAGCCACCACGTAAGATGTGCCTTTGCTCTTCCTTCACTTTCTGCCATGATTGTGAGGCCTCCCCAGCCATGTGGAACTGTGATCCATTAAACCTCTTTCCTTTATAAATTACCCAGTCTCAGGTATGTTTTTATTAGCAGTGTAAGAACCGATGAAAACACCCACATTATTCTGTCTTCTGAGCTATTCAAACTGTTGCAACCTCTGCCTGTTACCCAATTCCAAAGTCACTTCCACATTTTTGGGTATCCTTATAGCAGTGTCCCACTCTCTGCTGCACCAATTTACATGTTGGTACCATATCTTTGCTATTGTGAATAGTGCTGTGACAAACATGAATGCAGTAATCTTTTTGATACATTAATTTATTTTCTTTCAGGTAAATACCCAGTATTGAGATTGCTGGATTGAATAATAGTTTTGTTTTTAGTTTAAGAAATCTTAAAGGTTGGGAAGTTTAAAGTTCAAGGCATTAGAGTATCTTTATGCACTGGTGACATTGCACCTTTAAATTTCTGGTACCACAGTGGGTAACACCAGACTGGCTGGCCTAAATTCCATTCTGCATTCTTGGAGTGAGCTATGGAGATACTGACCTTGAATTCACACAGTTTGCTCACAGGCTCAGAATGCTCCACTCCTACTCCATCACTGAGGGCTCAGAATTTTTTAATGACATAGTTGTCCCTTCAATGTAAGATATCCAAATTATAGATTACACAGGAAAATATGGAATATTTTATTAATATACATGTAAAATGAGTCAAAGTAACTCCCGAGAAGATATATCCCTTATTTTGTTTAATGAAGGAAATGACCAATAGAAATTACTGTAAACCCAGAGAATAAGAAGGCAATTCTAAAAACATGTACCTGGAAAGCTCTGTCTGTATCTGGAGATCAGGTTTGCTTAGATACTCAAAGTGCAATTAAAGTGGTTTGAAAATTCAAAGCAGCTTTAGAGTACCATTATAGGAGCACTGGAAAAATAAAATGATATAAAAGAAAATTAGTAAGCTAGACAAAGGGAGAAACTTCCTTACGAGAAAGCTTAATATCTTAGAAGAAGGATTCGGTAAATACAAAAGAGGAAAAAAAGTGGTGCCCATGGTAATGGTTCTTAAAGTTTTCGTTTTTAAAAAGAGATGTTTTTGTCATTGGTGGAACTGAAAAGGTAACGGGTAATCAAAGAGCAATTTGAGTGAAAGAGGCATGATCTTAGTGAGCAAATTAAAGTGCTGCCTCAGAAAGTGATATGATCCAGAAATTAGTAGATGGTGAAAAACACCTCCTGTATAGAAGGTCTATGATAACATCAGCCAGAAGTGCATACTGTGAGTCCTCTAGAGGTGGATACAATGAATATTAGGATTTTGTGTCAATTAAAAGGTAGCGACATCTTAGTATGTGGAAAGGCTAGTTGCATCATACCTAACTAAATCATAAAGTTGTTATTGTTTAGATGTTTAAATGTATATAAAAGTGTGTTTATAAATGCCAAGCTGCCAAAGGGGGATACTGTACTAATTCCTAAGTTACTGTCTTTCTGCTCCAAACTCATCCTTCCACTCTATGCTTAGTGGTAGCTGAAAGTCCCCAAATTACCTTTGCCTTTTGCCCGGATGACTTCCATTTAGGTTCTACCAATAGGGGGCGCTAGAGGAAACTGGGAGCGTTGAGAGGGCAAAAGAAACTTGCTCCTCCTACCTGTGTGCTTGCTGCTCTTTTTGGTGTTACCTCAACTCTTCACTTGGGCAGTTCCCAGAGTCAGCCTCATCACTCCCAACCTGGGGCCATAGTTTTAGTGGGGTTTGTGGGGGGCACTTTCTCCTCAGAGGTTGAAGTTCCCACACCGTCTCTCCTCTGAATCTGTAAATTGTAATCACTCTAACCTCTGTTCTTTCCTGACTCTGTCCTGTCTGTTCGTCTGAGAGCTTCTTTGTTGCTGCTTTCCTTCTTCAATGTTCATTTAACCACGTATTTATCTAAATTCTCTGTTGAAGTACCAGAGTGCTTTGTTTTCCTGGTGGATTCCTGCTGGTTCAAAAACAAGTTAGAAAAACATTTAGAAATTCGGGACAATTATTCAAGTAATTATAAAAAAAAATCTGGCCATGTATGGGAGTTTACAAACAGCATTAACATAAAATATTTTTTATCTGGTGTGTTGCAAAGCAATCTAGTTATTATAGTTTGGTGTATGCATTACTTGCATGCTGAATGAACATGCCAAAGAAATTTAGGAATTGACTGCCAAGCAAAGGCAAAATGATGATGAGCCAAAAAAGTGGGAGCCAGGGTTGACAATCTTATACCACCTCTTTATTAAACTAGCAGAGGGAGAGAACAAATATAAAAGCTAAGTAACAGGATGCTAAACACAAAACACAAATAATAGAAAGCCCAAATATCTCAATATTTACACTGAGAGAAAATTGATTATATTTTCCCATTTTCATATTGTATTGTATTTCATATTTTTAAGCCCATAAAATACAGTTATATATTATTTGTAAGACTAGCTAAAACACAATCACAAAGAAAGTCTGGGAATATGAGAATGAAGAACACAGCCTATGCAAATATTTAATAAGTTGATGCGGCAATATAAATACAAGCTGGATGTTTGCACTCATGTTTATATCAGGCAAATGCACTAATTGGTATGAAGAGTACTCCATAATAATAGAGGTAAAACTCTATCAAGAATATGTAACAATCATAAATATGTATATACAACAATATAACCTTAATGTAGAAATAGGAAAAAAAATAGAATTACACTGAAAAGATTACCAACTCAACTTCTTAGTGGGGGAATTAGAAAAATGCTCTCAGAAAATAATAGATAATCCTGACAAAAATTGGAAATAAAAACTACAAAAAATTTACATGCTTGATCAAACAGATATATAAAGATTCCTACATTCCCTAAAATAAAGCATATACATTAAAGTCAATATAACAATTGCAAAAAGTGAATATATACAAAACAAAAAAACCCCTCATATTTTCAAAGAATCAATATCACAAGGATTCATTCTCTTACCACAGGTGATAATAAATGTAAAATTAACAACAGAAATGTAACAAAAATATTTGGAAACCTAAAAATGCACTTCTTCATAATTTGTCCTTTGAAGATGAAATCAACCATAATGAAAGTTCTAAATGTCAGACTTAAAATGTATGGCTAAAATGGTGGGGGAAAATAAATTTACAGCTAAAATTACATTTATTTTAAAAGTAAGATTTATAATAAGTTAAATATTCAACTCAGAAATATACAATGACCAAAAATTAAAATAAAAATAGTATATAATTTATATAAGAGCAAACGTTATTGGAAAAATAAAGAATGATAAACATTATTAAAATAGAATCTTAGTTCCTTTTTCAAAAAATACTAATAAAATAGACTGATCAGAAAAAAAGGGGAAAAGATGTGTATATAGAATATTAGGTACAAAAAGTTATAAAAACAAGATGTAGATTTTTTAAATGACAATAGAATGTTATAAGCAAAACTTATTTCAATAAATTTAAAAGATTTGAAGATATTCCAGTTCTCAGAGGGAATGCTTTCAACTTTTTCCCATTCAATATTATGTTGGCTGTGGGTTTGTCATAGATGGCCTTTTTTACATTAAGGTATGTCCCTTGTATGCCAATTTTGCTGACAGTTTTAATCATAAAGGGATGCTGGATTTTGTCATATGCTTTTTCTGCATCTATTGAGATCATGTGATTTTTGTTTTTAACTCTGTTTATCTGGTGTATCACATTTATTGACTTGCATATGTTAAACTGACCCTGCATCCCTGATATGAAACCCACTTAATCATGGTGGATTATCTTATTGATATGTTGTTGTATTCGTTTAGCTAGTATTTTGTTAAGGATTTTAGCATCTATGTTCATCAAGGATCTCGGTCTGTAGTTTTCTTTTTTGGTTATGTCCTTTCCTAGTTTGGGTATTAGGATGATGCTGGCTTCATAGAATGAATTAGGGAGGGTTCCTTCCTTCTTTACCTTGTGGAATAGTGTCAAAAGGATGGGTACTAATTCTTCTTTGAATGTCTAGTAGAATTCTGCTGTGAATCCATCTGGTCCTGGACTTTTTCTTGTTGGTAATTTTTAAATTACCATTTCAACCTTGCTGCTTGTTATTGGTCTGTCACTCTCACCACCCCTCTTCAACGTAGTACCGGAAGTCCTAGCCAGAGCAATCAGACAAGAGAAAGAAATAAAGGGCATCCAAATTGATAAAGAGGAAGTCAAACTGTCACGGTTTGCTGACTATATGATTGTTTACCTTGAAAACTGTAAAGACTCCTCCAGAAAGCTCCTTGAACTGATAAAAGAATTCAGCAAATTCTCTTTGGATACAAGATTAATGAACACAAATCAGTAGCCCTTCTATAGACCAACAGTGACCAAACAGAGAATCAGATGAAAAGCTCAGCCCCTTTTACAATAGCTGCAAAAAATAAAATAAAATACTTAGGAATATACGTAACCAAGGAGGCAAAAGACCTTTACAAGGAAAACTACAAAATACTGCTGAAAGAAATCATAGTTGACACAAACAAATGAAACACATCCCATGTTCATGGATGGGTAGAATCAATATTGTGAAAATCACCATCCTGCCAAAAGCAATCTACAAATTCAGTGCAATTCCCATGAAAATACCACCATCATTTTTCACAGAATTAGAAAAAAAAATTATAAAGTTCATATGGAACCAAAAAAGAGTCCACATAGCCAAAGCAAGACTAAGCAAAAAGAATAAATCTGAAGCCATCACACTACCTGATTTCAAACTACATTATAAGGCCTTAGTCACCAAAACAGCATGGTACTGGTATAAAAATGGGCACATAGACCAGTGGAACAGAATAGAGAACCCAGAAATAAACCCAAATGCTTACAGCCAACTGATCTTCAACCAAGCAAACAAAAACATAAAGTGGGGAAAGGACACCCTTTTCAACAAATGGTGCTGGGATAATTGGCTAGCCACACGTAGTATAATGAAACTGGCTACTCATCACTTATACAAAAAATCAACACAAGATAGATTAAGGACTTAAAGCTAAGACCTGAAACTGTAAAAATTCTAGAAGAAAACATTGGAAAACCCTTCTAGACATTATCTTATGCAAAGATTTCATGACCAAAAACCCAAAAGTAAATGCAATAAAAACAAAGGTAAATATTTGGACTTAATCAAACTAAAGAGCTTTTGCATGGCAAAAGAAACAGTCAGCAGAGTAAACAGACAACCCACAGAGTGGGAGAAAATCTTCACAATCTATACATCTGACAGAGGACAAATATTCAGAATCTACAACAAACTCAAACAAATCAGTAAGAAAAAACACAAAATTCCATCAAAAAGTGGGATAAGAACATGAATAGACAAGTCTCAAAAGAAGACATACAAATCGCCAACAAACGTGAAAAAATCTTCAACATCACTAATGATCAGGGAACTGCAAATCAAAACCACAATGTGATACCACCTTACTCCTGCAAGACTGGCTATAATAAAAAACTCAAAAAACAGTAGATGTTGGCATGGATGCGGTGACCAAGGAACACTTCTACACTGCTGTGAATGTAAACTAGTACAGCCACTATGGAAAACAAGTGTGGAGATTCCTTAAAGAACTAAAAGTAGAACTACCATTTGATCCAGCAATCCCATTACTGGGTATCTGCCCAGAGGAAAAGAGGTCATTATATGTAAAAGATACTTGCATATGCATGTTTACAGCAACATAGTTTGCAATTGCAAAATCGTGGAACCAACACAAATGCCCATCAATCAACGAGTGGATCAAGAAACTGTGTGTGTGTGTGTGTGTGTGTGTGTGTGTGTGTGTGTGTGTGTGCATATAAAATAGAATACTACTCAGCCATAAAAAGAAATGAATTAACGGCATTTGCAGTGACTTGGATGAAATTGGAAACTATTAATCTGATTGAGGTAACTCAGGAATGGAAAACTAAACATTTTATGTTCTCACTGATATATGGGAGCTAAGATATGAGGATGCAAAGGCATAAGAATGATACAATGGACTTTGGGGACTAGGGGGAAAGAGAGGGATGGGGACGAGGGATGAAAGACTACAAATAAGGCGCAGTGTATACTTCTCAGGTGATGGGTGCACCAAAATCTCACAGATCACTAAAAAACTTACCCATGTAACCAAATACCACCTGTACCCAAATGACTTATGGAAAAATAAAAAATATTTGGAAAATATTACTTACACTGCCTTATGTAGAAGTAGAAAATCCAAAACCTTAATGTTCAAAAAATTGAATTGGTTACCAGAATTTTCTTCTAATCAAAGAACACCATGCCATATAGTTTTAAAGACAAATTTTACCGATCCTTAAGGAACAGCTAATTTTCATACTATGTAAAACTTATTGAGAATAGACAAAAGAAGTACAGCAATCCAGCTTGCTTTATAGGGCTAGTATAACAATGATAACAAAACTAGAAAAGTACAGTAGAAGAAAAGTGATTTATTGAACAAATCTCAAAAATGAACATAAATGCAAATTAGCCTAAGTGTTAGTAAACCAAGTTCAGCATTGCTATTATCAAACAAAATACATCTTTTTCAGATAAAATATAATTTTAGGCAAAAAAATTATAAGACATATAGAAGGCTTTTATATTTATAAAATTAGAAATAGAAAAAGAAGAGATATAATTTATGAGTTTATATATTTAATAAATTGGACCGTGAACAACATATGGGTCACAGTGATTGTTTCTCTCCAGGCATTAGATGCCCTTGGGCATCAATATGAGGAAGCAGCATCTTTTCAGTATATGAGGACACAATCTGAACACCAATCACCAACAAGCCTCTTACTGAACAGGTCTGATGGGGAAAAGCACATTAAAACCTGCTACAGGTGAGCTCTCTCAAGGTTAAAATAATAGGTTTTTTTACTTTCTTAGTTGGCAGTCATAAACATTAAAAAAACTTTAATTTAGCAAATTACATCCTGCCTCCTTTATATTTAAGTATAAGAATGGATTTAGGTAAAAGACTAAAAGAAAAATTTAAAGCACAAAGACACCATCGGATTGTCTCAGCTGGATTTCCGGAAATTATAAAATAGGGTCAGTTCATTTTCATTTCTTCATTCTCAGAAGACAGAGAAAATAGTAATAGTCACAGACCTCAGGGATTATGGTCGTCCTCACTTCACCTCACACTCCCCTTGCATTCAAAATCACTAGAAATTAAAGAACAGGGATTGCTTCTTGGTAAGAACTGTCCTTCCTTGTTTGTGCTCCAGTTAAATTTTACAAAAAGGGTTCAACAAATCCCACTGGGATGCTTTATCCTTCTTTCTGATCCCTTAACATGTTGCCCACAGCTTCTATAGCTCTTGCTACCTGGTCCTACTTTGGGAATTGGATTCCTTGTGGAGATTTGATGGAAAAAATTACAGAATATATGTTCGGGTTGCACAGAAGATAAAACTCAGTCAAAATGGGATGGGAATACTATATGGGTTCCACCTGCCCTGAAACAAGTGATTCTATTTGGAAGGTTGAATCTATATGAGTTCCACCTGCCCTAAAAACAAGTGAATCTATTTGGAAGGTTAGTAGGTGGGGATATTTTGGAGTTCCTGAAACTAAAATAAGCCTGGGGAATCTGTAATGTATGAAGAGGTCCTGGAAGTAATTGTATTCCTGCTTAAATTTCTGATCATGAATCCTACACTGACTGAAGAAAGTAACAGCAGCAACATCTTGACATCAACATCCTTCCAGAGAAAACCAGAGAGATAAGTACAGGGAGAGCCCTTTTCCCTAGGACAGGAGCAGATGGCAGTGTGCGTGATGGGTCTTTATCTCTCCACTGCAACACACTTTCATAGCATACTGAGGCATGGTTGATCTAAGCAGAGAATAACGTCATCTCTTCTGAGAGCTATCCAACCTCCACTGGGGCACTTTTTTCCCCCAATAATCTTTTTGGAATGAAAGAGTTTCAACACTAGCTTACAGATGCTTTTTACTAATTTGTGAAGCTTTACCTAACTCATATCCACCTTGTTTTCTCATTTTTAGTTGTTAATCCTGATGTAAAATGTAAGTTTTTATATTATCCAACCTTTATTTATTATACAATTTCAGAAGCACTGTAATAAAAAATCACAACGCAAACTGTAATTCTTACCTGTTAATGCCAAATTTCTGCTATTTACAGACTTAGCTACTAGACTAATTTAACATTTTTCTCTTTCAGATATACCTAATGTAGATAATTTATTTTGATGCTTTTGGTGTTGAATTTCTTGTTTAAATTGTAAGGTAAAATAGTTGTTTGTGGGGGGTTGCCTCATGTTTCTATTGCCTCATGAAATTAAGTAGTGGTTTTATAGAACAATGGGCCTAATTGACTGCAAACTAGATTTATGTTACATAAGAAGAAGAGTGACACAAAGGATTTGTTTTAAAATATGAAATTCATTTTTCTGAGCTATTTAAACATGAGAATTATCATATTTGTGAGTCCCTTTTTTCTAAATTTTTGTAGGTACATAGTAGGTGTATATATTTATGGGGTATATGAGATGTTTTGATACAGGCACGCAATGTGAAATAAGCACATCATAGGGAATGAGGCACCCAGACCCTCAAGCATTTACCCTCTAAGTTACAAAAAATCCAATTACATTCTTTAATGTGAATGTAATCCAATTACATTCTTTAATGTGAATGTAAAGAATTACATTCTTTAATTATTTTAAAATTACAATGAAGTTATTGACTATGGCCACCCTATTTTGCTAACAAATAATAGGTCTTATTCATTCTTTTTAATTTTTTTGTACCCATTAATGATCCCCACCTCCTCCCAATACCCGGCTACCCTTCCCAGCCTCTAGTAACCATCCTTCTACTCTGTATGTCCATGAGTTCAATTGTTTTGATTTTTAGGTCCCGCAAATAAGTGGGAACATGTGATGTTTGTCTTTCTGTGCCTGGCTTATTTAATTTAACATAATGATTTCCATTTCCATCCATGTTGTTGCAAATGACTAGATCTCATTCTTTCTTTATGGCTGAATACTGCTCCACTGTGTATATGTACCACATTTTCTTTATCCATTCATCTGTTGATGGACACTTAGCTTGCTTCCAATTATTAGCTATTGTAAACAGTGCTGCAACATAGGAGTGCAGATATCTCTTCGATATACTGATTTCCTTTCTTTTGGGTATATGCCAGTGGGACTCCTGGAATATTTGTGAGTATTTTTAATAGTCTTATCAATCCAACCAGGTTACATGTGCCTACAAACAAGTACAGTCTTATATGCCCTCAGCTAAGACATGTAGCAGGACGTAATATATGTTCAGTTAATACCTGTGGATTTATATTTTGTGATTTAGCTACTTGGAGATGGGGGAAGATGAGATGACACCATTGGTCCTTCTATTTTATTGTGTGCCTTTATTATATGAAATTTTAAAAGTAGCATTGTTATCTTCATTGGACTCAGATATTGCAAGGAAGTTGAGGTGAAAGTGAATAACACTTTTCTATACATTTGGGACCACTGAATCCTATTGTTGGAAAGGATCTTGGCATTCTTCTAGTTCAACTTCTCACATGACAAAGGAATCCCATCTTGAATAGATGGTTAATTAATCTATGAATTAAAACACTCACTGAAATCTTCATTCCTAATAAAATTACTAATTTTCAAGAAGGCAATTTCAATAATGATCAGATTATTTATTGACTAAGATAATATCACCTTCCAATAATTTCTACTTTGAATTATGATTCTTGCTTTGAAGCAAAACTTATCTACCTTTGCTGATGAAATCTTTCAAATATTACTTGAATAGGGAACTCATTGATAGGAACTCAATTATGAATTTTTCTGTTTTTATTTTAGTGAAATCCAGATGGATTATGGGCTGAAGAAGGCTATAGAGTCAGGCAAAAAAACAGAAGCAATAATTTAGAAATTACAATGATTCAAACCTCAGTATACCCTCTTGGCTTTGGAAGGATTTTAAAACATTTGATAGGCCACAAAAAAAAACTAAAGAGTCACCATAAATAATAAGTAGTTATTTATTTGTACATGATAGTTAAGAAGCTATAAAATATGTTAAACATTCTATGAATATAAGTATATGGTTAGAGTTTTAGCTCTAGTTTTGGATAGAGATCAGTATTTTTTAAATCCCAGGCTATGACCCATCATGAAATAATTCAGCCAGCACTTTTACTAATGAAATAGAATACATTAGACTAGAATAAAACAGAAAACAAGCACATTACACAGAGTAAGGATTCAATTGTATATGTACTCATGTGTGTATGTACTGGGTAGACATTTATTACTGTAGGAATATAGCAGAATTTTAGAAATTTCCAAATGCAACTAAATAAATCATATGTAACAATTTCACTGCTGGGTATATATCCAAAAGAAATGAAGTGAACATATCAAAAAGATATCTTCACAGCCATGTTTATTGCAGCACTATTCACAGTAACCAAAATATGGAATAAGCCTAAGTGCTCATCAATGAATGAATAAAGAAAATGTGATATATATACACAATGGTATATTATTCAGCCATGTAAAAGAATAAAATCCTGCCATTTTCAGCAACATGGATGGAACTGGAGGTCATTACATTAAATGAAACAAGCTAAGCACAGAATGACAAATATTGTATGTTTTCACTTATATGTGGGAGCTAAAAATGTGCATCTCATGAAGACAGAGAGTAGCTTGGTGGTTACCAGATGCCAGGAGGGGTAGCAAAAGGGAAACAAAAGAGAAGTTGACTAATGAGTACAAACATATGGTTTCATAGAAGAAATAAGACCTAGTGTTCAATGGATTAGAAGAGTGACTATAGTTTACAGTAATCTATTGTATATTTCAAAATAGCCAGAAGAGAATAATTTGAATGTTTCTAACATAAAGAAAAGACAAATATTTAAGGTGACAGATAGCCCAAGTACACAGATTTGATCTTTATAAATTAAATGAGTATATTAAATTATCGCATGTACCCTAAAACTATTTACATCTATTATGTATCAATTAAAAATTGTTAAAAATAAATTTGCAAAAAACAGAAAAATATATATACAAATAAATAATATAAATACACATTTATAGTATAAGAAGTATACTATATATAGAGTAGATTACTGTATGATGAAATGTACAATGAAATATACAATAGATTACTGTAGTCCAAGAAAGGTGACAGGTAACTACATTCTGATCATAAGACAACACAAACAGAGTAGACCCTCTATGGGTACAAAAGTCAAGACACAAAGATCTCTGTTTAAATCCAGCCAAAGTTAGGGCAAACTGCCATTCTCTTAACTTAATTCAAGATTATGCAATCAGTAAAAATCACAAGTTTAAAAAATAATTCATAAAACAAAGGCACAAATTGGTGAGAAGACCTGATAGCAGGATCATTGACATGGTCATCATCCCTCTTTCTATCCTTATATATAGACATAGACACCAGCACACTTCCACATGCATGGATATAAGTACCCTGCAATGAAGGAATACAGAAGGCAAGCATCTGATGTAATCATCACAAACTGAGGAAAGAGTCCATGCTATTAAGGCAATTTAAGTATTAACATATTTTGAACTGTAACGAAAGTAGATTTGAAAATAAGATGTAATGAATACTATAATATCATACTAACACTGAATTTATCATAGATGACAAAATGTCCTTGTGCTTCATTTGTAATGCATAATTTTCTCTTAGTAAGTGACTAAGATCAAAATATAATTGAAGGTGTTTTCTTAGAAAACACTCAAACAATAATATGTACAGTTGCAGCATGCTTAAACATTTGCCTTAGACATTCAGACTTGGTGAGCTCCTTGTTTCTTCTACAGGGAAATGGGGGGAAATCAGACTTCCATCACAGAGTTCCTCCTACTGGGATTTCCCATTGGCCCAAGGATTCAGATGCTCCTCTTTGGGCTCTTCTCCCTCTTCTACATCTTCATTCTGTTGGGGAACGGGACAATCCTGGGGCTCATCTCACTGGACTCCAGACTCCACACCCCCATGTACTTCTTCCTCTCACACCTGGCGGTCGTCGACATCGCCTGTGCTTGCAACACGGTGCCCCAGATGCTGGTGAACCTCCTGCATCCAGCCAAGCCCATCTCCTTTGCTGGCTGCATGACCCAGATGTTTCTGTTTTTGAGTTTTGCACATACAGAATGTCTCCTCCTGGTGGTGATGTCCTATGATCGGTACGTGGCCATCTGCCACCCTCTCCGATATTCTACCATCATGACCTGGAAAGTCTGCATCACTTTGGCATTGACTTCCTGGATTTTAGGAGTCTTATTGGCCCTTGTCCATCTAGTGTTACTGCTACCACTGTCCTTCTGTGGACCCCAGAAACTTAATCACTTTTTCTGTGAAATTATGGCTGTTCTCAAACTTGCCTGTGCGGATACCCACATTAATGAGGTAATGGTTTTGGCAGGGGCAGTGTCTGTGCTGGTGGGACCCTTCTTTTCCACTGTAATATCTTATGTTCATATTCTATGTGCCATTCTAAAGATCCAGTCAGGAGAGGGGTGCCAGAAAGCCTTCTCCATCTGCTCCTCCCACCTCTGTGTGGTTGGACTCTTTTATGGCACAGCCATCATCATGTATGTTGAGCCCCAGTATGAGAGCCCCAAGGAGCAGAAGAAATATCTCCTGCTGTTTCACAGCCTCTTCAATCCCATGCTTAATCCCCTAATTTATAGTCTTAGGAACAAGGAAGTCCAAGGTACTCTAAAGAGGATGCTTGAAAAGAAGAGAACTTCATGAAAGCCTGAAAGAATAGTAAAATAGCTGGCTTCAAAGGGCTTTGAGATTACATCTGAACCCATCCCTACTCAGGATACATAATCACACTCTAGAGAACCCTTTCCATCTTCTTGAAATTTTCCTATGACTACCTCCCGAGAAAGCCCATTCTGCTTTCCTCTCTCCAGCATTGAAGGTCGGAGCTGCACAATTAATAAAAATATGTTTATACTAGCTGTATAGTGTACACACTTTTAATATAATTATGTGAAATATTCTGAAAGTTGGAAATAAATGTGTATCTTTTTGTTCTGTAAATAAGACTTGAAGGCGAATTTTTGTAGAATAAGGATATGGGAGTTAGGAGAGACTGATAACAAAGTCATTATTTAATTATTCTTAATTTAGAACGTGCCGGCCAGACACGGTGGCTCACGCCTGTAATCCCAGCACTTTGGGAGGCCGAGACAGGTGGATCACGCGGTCAGGAGACCGAGACCATCTTGGCTAACACGGTGAAACCCCGTTTCTACTAAAAATACAAAAAATTAGCCGGGCGTGTTGGCGGGCGCCTGTAGTCCCAGCTACTCGGGAGGCTGAGGCAGGAGAATGGCGCGAACCCTGGAGAGGCGGAGCTTGCAGTGAGCTGAGATGGCGCCACTGCACTCCAACCTGGGGGACACAGCGAGACTCCGTCTCAAAAAAAAAAAAAAAGAAAGTGTCATATTTAGGCCAGGCGTAGTGTCTCATGCCTGTAATCCCAGCACTTTGGGAGGCCAAGGCAAGGAGATCATGAGGTCAGGAGATTGAGACCATCCTGGCCAACATGGTGAAACCCCGTCTCTACTAAAAACACAAAAATTAGCCAGGCATGTTGGCGCAGACCTGTAATCCCAGCTACTTGGGAGGCTGAGTCAGGATAATTGCTTGAACCCAGGAGGTGGAGGTTGCAGTGAGCCAAGATCGTGCCACTGCACTCCAGCCTGGGTGACAGAGCGAGACTCCATCTCAAAAAAAAAAAAATGCTATATTTAAAAATAGGTCTACATATAAAATATTTGCACATATTTCTCTGGTGGTGACATTTTCTAAGGTATAATCCACGTAGATTAGAAAGAGCATGAGCCATGTCTTCACAGGAAAGAGAATGGAGAATATAATAACTGTAATGCAACTAACAAGAAAACCTGGGCAGATGTCATGCTAGTAAATATATAGACATATTGGAGCCTTCTCCGTTCCTTTTTCTCTGCTTGTGGAGTGCAGGGGAAAGCCATGGGACGTAGAGCTGAGAGGAAGAGAGCACAATGGGAATAACAGAGCTCATGGAAGAACTATATGTTTTCTCTCATGGGTTTGGTCAATTGTCTCCTATTGAAAATGATTAAAACTCAGAGGAGATAATCCTGAAAAGTAAGAACAGACTGTAACTGTTGTGGCTAGTTGATCAATATTACTACAGCTGGAAATTATCAGGAATAATTTAATTTTAAATTGAGGTATTTGAAGTAATTTTAATAATCTTTTTATTCAAACATGAAACTCTTCCACTTAGTTATAAAGTGATAGAAAATAATAGTGAAGAAGTATTAGGAAAGGATGTATAAAGATACTTCTGTTTCTCAACTCTTCTCTCAAATTAAGTATAACTTAATTAAGCCTAAATATGCAAACTGTATAAAAGGGAAATATTCAACTTTGTTAAAAAGATGTTTTTTTGTGAAAAAGTATGTTGATGAGGAAAATACATGGATTTTTCTCTCACAAAGCATCCCTTTTGTTAGGACATCTGTTATTGCAGACATGATCACATAACCAAAAAAAAAGTGGGGGAGTAAAAACACATGTACTTTGGGTTCAGCTAGACCTGGGATTTTACAAAGTTCTGCCAGTTGCTAGATGTGGAAACTTTTGTAATTTACTTAAATTCTTCAGAAATTATTATGTATAAAATGAGGTCAGTAATGCCAAGCTCACAGATTGTTGGGAAGATTAGAGGAAATACATGAAAATGTTTAGCAAGATCTATAACTCATAATAACACAGTAAGTAGTATTCATTAATATTATCCACTACATATACTTATTATGTCCTTAAAGAACTAGAACACCAACTTATAAGTGCAATAACAAAATATCAGATTTCCCATTTTACCAGAAAGAAGGAGGAATGTTGCAAAATTTAGCGTTTTATCTGATACAAAATGCCATGATGTCAAATAATTTATGAAGTAAATGATTCACAGAGCTTTTCCTTTGCAATCTCAGTTCTCTGAAAGAGTAATGACTATTTTAAAATACATGGATAAATACAATTCAAAATTGCTAAAATTCATATATGTGTGTGTATATATTACACACACACATACACACACACATCAGTGCTAGGTCCTGGAAACAAAAGGACGAATAGGGCACATTTCCTATTACTTTATTCATGTGTAGTAGGAGAATTAAATGGATATATGATGGAAATTATCAACTTATATAATAAGTTAATAACTGAGCTCTGCCCAGGATGCTATTGTAGCCCAGAGGAAGGATAACTCCCCCAGAATGGGAGTGTTTCAGTAAGACTTCCTGGAGTGGAAGTCTGCATCACTCTGGCATTGACTTCCTGGATTTTAGGAGTCTTACTGGCCCTTGTCCATCTAGTGTTACTGCTACCACTGTCCTTCTGTGGACCCCAGAAAGTTAATCTTAAGTAAGCATAAGTAAGAGTTAGCCATCAGGGGCTGGGAGAAAGGCGTGGTGTGGCAGGAAGGGGTGTTCCATCCAATGAGTGAAAGAAGCAAAGACCCAAAGGGAGTAAGCAGCTTGTAAGCTGCGGGGGAAGCAAACATAGCTCAGGGTTTTCCAGGTATAAAATACAAGGCAGGGACTGATGACAGGTGAGCTTGGAGAGAACAAGCATGGAGGAACACATATTCCAGGCTAATGACCCTGAAGTACGGCCTATATGAAATGCGAAGCCAGATTATAAGTATGAAAATGCCAAGTAATCAGACCTGAATTTAGAAAGATCTTCTGGAGCTATGAGGACTGAGTATTTGAATTGACCAAACTGATATCAGAGCTACTGTAATATAAAGGCTATCATATCAGTTGAAGCAAGAAATGCTGGCAGAGGCTGAACGGAAAAGTACACATGAGAATAAAGTGGGGGTGATTTCACTGGGAGATGATAAAGTAAAATGAGCATAATTTGGTGGTTGGTAAGTATAAAGAATAAATGGAGGAAAGAATTTTTTTTTTTTTTTTTGAGACAGAGTCTCCCACTATCAACCCAGGTTGGAGTGCAATGGCGCGATCTTGGCTCACTGCAACTTCCGCCTCCTGGGTTCAAACGATTCTCCTGCCTCAGCCTCCCAAGTAGCTGGGATTACAGGGGTGCATCACCATGCCCAGCAAATATTTTGTATCTTTAGTAGAAATGGGGTTTCACCATGTTGGCCAGGCTGGTCTCAAACTCCTGACCTCATGATCTGCCCACCTCAGCCTCCCAAAGTGCTGGGATTACAGGCGTGAGCCACCGCACCCAGCCGAATAATTTTTTTAAAAATTTTTTAAATTAAAGACACACAGAGAAATGTATAAATCATAAGTTAAATTCAGTGAAAGATCATGAAGTAAACACATTATGTAACCACTTTCGGGGAGGAGAAATAAAACATTCTGGCCTTCCGGAGCTACCATCATGCTCTCTCCCAATTACTGCACCTTCCCTCCTCCCACAAGATACCTATTACCCTAACTTCTAACAGCACATATTAGCATTGTATTTTCTTGGACTTTATATAAATTGGATAGGTACATAAAGAGTGTACATTCTTTTCTATCTGCCTACTTTCATTCATTATTGTCTTTGTGAGATTCACCCAGGTTGCTGTATGTAGCATAATTTATTATTTTTCTTTGTTTTATAGCATTACATTGCACAAATATTTCATAATTTATTCACCACATTCCTAATGGATATTTGAATTGCCTACAATTTTGGCTATAACAAATAATTATTCCATGAATGGTATTATATGCACCTTTCAGGAGACATATATAATCACTTCTGTTGGCTACATATGAATGGGAATACTGGGTTATAAAAACTCTAGACTTTCGGTCAGGCGCGGTGGCTCACGCCTGTAATGCCAGCACTTTGGGAGGCTGAGGTGGGGGGATTACAAGGTCAGGAGATCGAGACCATCCTGGCTAACACGGTGAAACCCTGTCTCTACTAAAAATACAGAAAATTAGCCGGGCATGGTGGCAGGCGCCTGTAGTCCCAGCTATTCAGGAGGCTGAGGCAGGAGAATGGTGTGAACCCAGGAGGCGGAGCTTGCAGTGAGCGAAGATCACGCCACTGCACTCCAGCCTGGGTGACAGAGCAAGACTCCGTCTCAAAAACAAAACAAAACAAAACAAAAAAAACCAAAAAACAAAAAAAACCCTCTAAACTTTCATCTGCTTTGGAATGAACTCTTGAACTCTTGAAAGTCAGCCTATAGAATCATGACCTGCATTGTGTCTCACACTGAGCTCTATATTGTAAATACAATGATGAGCTCTCTATATATATACAGTTTCTGCCCTTTGGTGTTTCATCCCTCCCTATCTTTCTCCTTGCTGGTGCTATGAACCTCTGACTTGGTTGGATGGCCCCAAAGACCTCTTGTATGCAGTTTTTTCTCTTGCACCATGATGTTTTCCTCTGAAGTCACTATCCTTACTTTTCTGATATTTGCATCTACCACCTCTTAGACAATAGCTGACTTTCATGGGCACTGTGTTGCTCTGGATTGAAAAGAAAAGAAAAAAAAATTCTGGCTGTGAAAATCTGGGTATAGATTGACTCTTTGTGCTTGCATATTTGCTATAATTATCTTAAGCCCATTGGAAAACTCTAAGTTTGAATAATTACAGTGTGGCTCTGTTCGTAGCATGTAACTTATTTTCAAAAGAGAATAACATGGCTCCCTTCTGCGATTATTTAGTTTTTGCATTTCTCATTTCTGTTTCCAGGAATAGAAAATCATCTTACGACAAGACACCTAAAAATGCTTGGTAGAATGTTAAGCAAACCAACATCACTTTAAATGTAGAGCTGTGTCTGCAGGAGAGTCAATAAAATTCTCAAGAGGACAAAGATTAGACAGAAAATAAATGGACAATTATGAGAACACAAGCTAGCAACTAGCAGAAAAACAAGTTAGGAAAACGGAAGACTATACCTGCTTTTAGGGTATTTGTCAATCCCCCAAATCACAGATTAAAATGACTCCAGAGGTCATATTTTATAAACCCTTCACCTGTGTAAGGTGTTATGTTAGAGTAAGAATGCCTTCATAAAAACTGGAACCTCTACCCATTGCTACCAGGAATCAATAATAAGAGTTGTGACTGACATTTGATTGAAGCTAAGGAATTCAGAGGAAAATAAAATATTATTTAAATTGTTGAAAGAATTAACTGCCAACCTAGAATTCTACATCCAGAAAATATAATTCAAATTTCAGATGAAAGAAAGATGTTATCACAGAAGATAAGAAAGAAAAAAAGAAACACCTCAGAGTGTTCATGCACTTCAGGAGACACAAAAGGAGATTTTTTCTGGCTGAAGAAATGCTCCCGGTGGTGTTAATGAGTGGTTGTGTTTTATGCTCCTGAACACGATGATTTTTTTTGTGTCCTTGGTTTTTTTAAGTGAGGCTGTGATACGACCATGATATGCCTATGTCATATTTTCTTTGCATGTATCCTGCCGTGAATTGTTAAACTTTCTAAATTCATGGAAGGGTTGACTTTATATATTAGAAATGCTCAGACAAAATGTGATTTGGGCCCACTTTATTTTCTCTTCCTCTTGGGAATATGATGGCTTTTTTTTTTTTTTTTTTTTTTGAGATGGAGTCTCACCCTGTCGCCCAGGCTGGAGTGCAGTGGCAAGATCTTGGCTCACTGCAAGCTCCGCCTCCCGGGTTCACGCCGTTCTCCTGCCTCAGCCTCTCGAGTAGCTGGGACTACAGGCGCCGGCCACCACACCCGGCTAATATTTTGTATTTTTAGTAGAGACGGGGTTTCACCGTGTTAGCCAGGATGGTCTCGATCGCCTGACCTCGTGATCCACCCGCCTCGGCCTCCCGAAGTGCTGGGATTACAGGTGTGAGCCACCGCGCACGGCCTATGATCGACTTTTAACATCAACCTACATAATCTGCTCCATATCTGTTATTTTGCTTTTATGCGTTTATCTGCATGTTTCCTATTTATCTTTACTTGACTTTAATGATCTTCTAATGAATCAGGATAATCAGTTAAATTATCCAATGTTTCTTAATTTCAGATATTACAGTTTGTTGTTTTAGAATGAATATTTGATTATTTCTATAGATTATATTTATCTGTGGAATATGACAATTTTTTCAATTTTTTATATCTCTGCCTCCATTTTCTTCAAAATATGAATTATTGTTACTTTGAAGCCTTTATTCAGAGCTTTGGTATCTGTGTTATGTTTGGCAGTCTCCCAGTGACTACATTCTCTCTTGATTATTGATCAGTTTTTTTTCTTTTTTTTCAAGTTTTCAATGAAAAGTTGTAGAGGTTTTCTGTTATGTAATTTTCCTCTAAAGATTTTTGGTATTTTTTTTTCATAATTACGATTGTGGCAGATCTACTGTTGTTTGTAGGGCACAATTTCTCTTTCTATAATGTGGTCTTTATCAAAATCTCTCAACCCTGGTAGATTGTAACTCCAACATCCCCAGCACTTCGAAATTTCTAAAATCACTTTTCAGTTCTGTTCAGCACTTCTCAGCAGTCAGCCCCACAGAAACCAGCCTTTGCTATGCCTCCAGGAATCTTGCATGTTTGGATTCAGCCTAGACTTAGGAGAAACACCTATGCATACTTTGGAAGTTCCTTTTGTACATATTCTTCTTCAGTGCCCTACCCTGAAATCTCAGTTTCCACATTGGCCCTCAACTTCCCTGTTATTTGTACCCAAGGAGACTTCAGCTTTCTCCTTGGACTCCGTTTTGCTAGTTGCTGCTTGGAAAATGACTCTTGGGAGGAAGTCTGTTTGAATGTGAGGCTTGTGTCATATTTCCCTTCTCACAAGGATCACATCACTGTACTATCTACTTTCCTGCAACTGAAAATGGCTGTTCCATATATTTCATTTAGTTTTATATTTACAGTGGGAGGGAAAGACTGATACTACTCCAAGTTCCTTACAGTTATTTTCTTCTATCTCACTTCTTGATTTTCTGACCTTTTTAGGACTGGTAATCTGGCTGTTACCAATCTATATTCTCTATAGTTATTGCATGAAAATTAGCGACTGAATTTACTAAGGACACAATTACTTCTAAGACACACTCATTAGAAGCTTAAGCTCACATCAGATTGATTTGGCAGCTTTAGCTTGCTTGAGAAAGCACTGAATTTTGTGAAAGAAAAAATTCTTTGGCAAATTAATGTTCAGGACTTGGCAAATGTTTCATAAGTTAACTAATGAGTGAAGTGGCGGAAAGAGATTGTGCCAATTTAAAGAGGCACGTGTGTCCAACCAGTTCAGTTCTTAGTTTTGTTTTTTAGAGTAGAGTTTGTATTTGTAGTTAGGTAAGAATTGGGACACAAGAAGAAACAAGAGAGGACTCAAATTACTAAAATCAGGAAAGAAAAAGGGGACATTGCCACTTCCTTATGGAAATAAAATGTTTATAAGAAATATGAGCAATTGTATGCCAAAAAATTAGATAATCTAGATGAAATGAACAAATTCTTAGAAAGATACAAAGTATAATACTGACTCAATAGGAAATAAAATGTAAATAGAACTATAAAAGTAAAGAAATTGCATTGATAATTTTAAAACTTTTTAAAAAGAAAATCCCAGAACTGCGTGGCTTCCCTGATGAATCCTACTAAAGGTTTAATGAAAAATTAACACTAAATCCTTCACGAAGCCTTCCAAATAGAGAATGGAATACTTCCCAGTTCATCCTCTGAGGCCAGTATTATATTCATACCAAAACCAAGAAAAAGATATTACAAAAAAGAAAACTAAAGAACAGTACCCCTTTTTATATACATGCCCAAATCCTGAACAATATGTAATACTAGCAAACAAGTTTAAATTGCATATCAAAGGTTTTACATATTATGACCAAACTGGATTCATCCCTAGAATCTGAGGTTGCTTTCATATCCAAATACCAAATCAATAAAGTATACCACATTAATTACATAAATGAGAAAAACAACATGATCATTTTAATAGCCAAATTAAAGCATTTGACAAATCTAATAATAATAAAAATACTCAACAAAATAAAAATGAAGAGTACTTTCTCAACCTGTCAAAAGGCATAGATGAAAAAGCTCACAGCTAACATTGTACTTAATGGTGAAAGATAGAATGCTTTTTCTTAAGATCAGGAACAATACGTGGATGTCCACTCTCACCACTTTGATTCAACATTGTATTGGAGGTGTATAGTGGGACAGTTAGACTTGTCTTGTTCCAATAGCTTGGAACCTTAGCCATGAGATAGCAATACCAGCTTGCCGGTTTTACTTTGCCCCAACAGACAATCCAATGAAGACTGTGAACCAAAATTTTGGGTAAAACAGTCTCCATGGCAGTTTGATTTTTAAAGGCCAAACCTCCCCAGACTCCATAGATCACTGGGGCCAAACAGTACCAAAGGAGGGTGTCATACATTAACCAGGCCCCCTGCTTAGAACTACAGCACAAAAGCCTGGATACATGCAATGCTGTTCCACTTTCCCAGTAGACATTGAACCCCAGGTTCCAAATAATGTTGGGGCCAAGCAGCATTGCAACTGTGAGAGAAAATTCTAACGAGGGCTTAATACTAGACCGCAGAACCTCTGCCAAGAGCGTCCTCTTTGGAGAGTTTGAGGTCTAGAGGATTCCCCGGGGTGTCCTCCTGTGGGGTCCAGTCTTAGAGTTCCAGACCTCTCTGGCCTCAGGTGGGCACTGGTGCCACCTTGCATGCATTCCCTCCAGAGCCTACTATGAGCTTTAGAAGAATAGCCATGAACTGTAATGTGAACTGGATGCTGGGTGGGCCTTTATGTTCCTTAGCCAGTTGAGTAGATAAGGGAAGATTTTAGCATAAGAAAAGAATGTTCAAGTTGCTTGAAACACATGCGAGTTTGCTGTGAGCTGGTGCACCACACGTAGGGATCAGGGACCACGCGTGGAAAATATGTATATATATATAAAAGTTTTTCCCCCTATGGGTAGGGTAATTATAACCTCATTCCTAGGCCTTAAGACACTACCAGGGAGTGACCCCAGCCAATTGCCCTCAATTTCCAAGGAGCTACTAGGAAACAGCACTGAAAGACTGAAAAAGAAAGACAGGGAAAAAAATGAAAAAGATCCTGGTCCCTTAAGCGAACCGGCGGCGGCAGTCAGTCTTCTCCACATGGAAAGCCCCTAGTTTCACTGGCCATGGCCAGAAACCTGCAGTTGCTTCCATGTTTAGTTGCTGCCCACCAAGGGTCCTGGTTTGGAAAGAAAAACAGAAAGAGATTCCCCTGTATGGAGCACAAGGAAAAGAATAAATCCCAAACTTTGGGCTTACCTCTTACTCCTGGGTGGCTCGCCAAAATATGCTAACGGTGGAGGGTGTCCAGGTTCTTGGCATCTTGAACAAAAGAATTGGACAAAATGCACAAAGAAAGAAACGACAAAGGGCTTTATTGAAAATGAAAGTATACTCCACAATGTGGGAGCGGGCCTTAGCATCAGGGTTCAAAGGCCCTGTTACAGCGATTTTGTGAGTTTAAATGCCCTCTTCTTGGGGTACACCCCATTTAAATGAAGAGGATGAAGTAAAGTTAGAAAGTCATTTATGGTGTATGCCCTATAGAGAGGATATTTCCTGTTATAGCTGAAGTATGAATCGGCCTTATGTTTCCTCCCTCCAGACCCTATTTTCCTGCCCCACTGATCACCCTCATAATACTGAAGTTTCTTATTAAAGTAGCTACAGAAGATTTTGACGCACTTGATTCTAGTAATTGTAGGGAGATACTTTAGGCCTGAGGGTATCATTAATAAAATAAGTAAGAGAAATAGTTCCTTATAATATCTCTCTTTAAAATCAGAAATGACAGAAAAATCTTGGAAATTACAGGTAGGGATTGATGAGAAATATATTATATTGTAATTCAAATATACTTTTTTAAAGAGAGTGTCCTAGCGGCATCCTCTTTAAATAAGGGTCCAACTGAGATGAAAAATCATGAACTTAAAATTCATTATGGCTCTGTGTTTTTCTCCAAGTCTGTTGTCTACATGACAGACATGTCATTTGTCTGCCATATAATTTTAATCAAACACCGAAATGCTTAGAGTTGAGAGATCTTTATTATTATTATTATTATTTTGAAACAGAGTCTTGCTCTCTAGCCCAGGCTGGAGTGCAGCGGCACGATCTCGGCTCACTGCAACCTCTGCCTCCCGGGTCCTGGTTCAAGCAATTCTCCTGCCTCAGCCTCTTGAGTAGCTGGGATTACAGGCACGTGCCAACATGCCAAGCTAATTTTTGTATTTTTAGTAGAGATGGGGTGTCACCATGTTGGCCAGGCTGGTCTTGAACTCCTGACCTTGTGATCCCCTGCCTTGGCCTCCCAAAGTGCTGGGATTACAAGCATGAGCCACTGTACCCGGCCGAGAGATTTTTTAAAAATTGAATCTAAAGGTAGGATACATATTTGAAAGAAAAGATATGTTTTTTAAATGGAACAAATAGAGAGTGGCTTGAAATTGAAGGAAAGGAAAAAAGCACAGGGGAAATAGAATCTGATCTCTATCAGCTTCCAAATTTAAAAATATACTGCAATGGAAATTTTTGCAATTCACACACAATAAGACTTTCGGCAGACCAAGACTCCTCTCCTTGGAGGAGATACAGTCCTCTGAGGTGCTGCCTTAACAAGCTCCATGGGGGCCACATTTATCACATCATCAAATTTCAACCTTTTTGAAAGGGGGGTATGTAGGCAGGCAAAATTTTGAGATCACAATAAGTCTAGATGCTTGGAGACTGTGCCATGTGACATAACCCATATAAGGTGACTTATCTGTGAAATGTGCATGCCAAGATTCTCCTGGGTAGGAACAACCTTGCCATTCTTCCTGAGTTCTCACTTCTTTGCATAAGCAGGAACACAAGTGCACATGCGTGCACACACACACAAACAGAGGCATACACACCTGCCCCACACCTACACACGCTGACACTCATACGAATAACAAAGCTGGAGGATAGAGAGGAGAGGGGAAGGTGTTACACTGCTCAGTAGGGAAGACATAGGATGGTGGGAAGACGCTTCATATGTTGTTCTCTGGACTCCACAGGTATGTCTCTGGATAATGGGCCTCTTTTAAGTAATCAGAGTATAAAGTCTACATATCTAGAAGCCCCCTGAACATCCCTGGGTCCTGTCCCAGTCCTCAGGATAGAAAGAGATCTGGGACTCATCGTCTACCCAACCTGCTTCAGGTGCAGGCAATTCAGCTCCAACCTTTCCGCATCTCTGTGTTTTCCTGTGCATTCAAGGGCAATTTGAGGCAAATACCAGAAATAGTATCTTCCTTTGTATTAATCATTATTTATACACTGATTAGTGGTTTCCAGGAGAAGGCAGAAGACTGGCAGAAATGTTCAGGTTTAGGATGGAGGAAAAAAAGAGAGAGCGAGCGAGAACACCTTCACGGAGACCCCTTCCTGGCACTATGCCAGGTCTCAGAGTAACATCTGATACTTACAGTGTCAAAACGTTACATAGGTTTCAGACTTGCCTTTGTCCCACCCTTTTCCTATCACTTGTGGGAAGGAGCTGGTAGCAGTAGATCACTCTGGTTCATGGTGTCAAACTGGAAGAGGCATAAGAGTCATATATATATTCCTGCTGCCTCCTTTACAAATGAAGGAGGTGAAGCTCCAGGTGTTACATAGTTTTTCCTGTGATTTCTTCATTTCTTCTACCGAGAATCATCTGCTTCTGCTACATCCTAGGAATACCCTCCAGCCAGCAAAGTAACATTAGGGTTCCTTTTCTTTGTTGCCCTGGAGGGAGATGTCAGGTGCCAGGGGAAAGTCCTAGAGTTATTTGACAAGGATTTCTCTCCTATTTCTTCTAATAGCAGAGAAGCCCATATAGGTGCCAGACAAGCCAGATAAGCTTTTCCTGATTTGTGTACCAAGAATGGTTGTCTTCATCTTATGGAAACCCTTTATCAGATCCTAGAGTGGGATAACTTGACTATGGTGTCACATATTAAATTTTGGGGAAAAGTCCTGGCTAGTGGAAATACGGTAAAATATTCCTACTACAAAAATAACTTCTCTGATTCACATGTATCTGGCAACACATTAAGTGAAAATTTTGCTTTTAAAAAATAAACACAATTGAATGCATTCTTATTCCCTTTACATCCATTTAAAGGGAGAGATGTTTCTCACTTTTGAGAAGGAAGTTTTTTAAAATAATGTGTTTTCTTACAATTTAAAAATGGAAAAGGAAAACAGAATCCTGTCTGTATTTGTAACACTGTAATGACACAATCTTTTCAGTGTGGATTGTTTAAGAAACGTTCGCTACTCTCAAAAACATACCCCTAGCTTGTATTCTGGAGAGTTTGTTTTGATCCTTCCTATTTAGATCTAAAACTGACCTGATGTTTATTTTTGTGCATGGTGTGTGGTAGGGGCCATGTTTTGGTGTTCTTCGACATGGATAGCCAACCGACACAGCATAATATTATTTTTCAAAAACACCAGTGCCAACTTTGTCTTAGATCAAGAGTGTGCATATTCTTCTGGATTTTGTTTTGTTTTGTTTTGAAACAGCGTCTCGCTCTGTCTCCCAGGCTGGAGTGCAGTGGCACGATTTTGGCTCACTGCAACCTCTGCCTCCTGTTCAAGCAATTCTCCTGCCTCAGCCTCCCGAATAGCTGGGACTACAGATGCCCAACACCACGCCCTCCTAATTTTTGTATTTTTAGTAGAGACAGGGTTTTGCCATGTTGGCCAGGCTGGTCTCGAACTCCTGACCTCAAGTGATCCACCCACCTCGGCCTCCCAAAGTGCTGGGATTACAGGTGTGAGCCACCGCGCCCAGCCGTTCTTCTGGATTTTTGAGTTAACCACTCTGTGTCACTGGTATATTTGTTTATCCTTCTTCCACTGCCACATTCACTCAATTGCTGTGGCTTTATAAGTCTGGAGAGTCAATGGAGTAAGTTCTTCCATTCATTCTTCTTTCTCAAGATTTCCTTGACTATTCTGGACCTTCTGCATTTCATATAACATTTAGAGTACAATTATTAATTTTCATTGATAAAAAAACTTGCTGGTATTCTGATTTGAATTTCATTGAAAGTATAGATCAAATTGAATAGGTTTAGAATCTTTACAAAACTTCCAATCTATAAACACACAATTATATTAATGTATACATGCATATATGCATATCTCATTAATTTTGTACATTGACCTTGAATCCAGAAGTTTTTATAAATACACAGTAATTTTAATAGTTCATTGATTGAGTTTAAAATTTTTCTACAAACAAAATCATGGTGGTGTAAATAATGACATTTGATATTCTTCATTTTAATTCTTATGCTTCTTACTCTTTCTTTTGGTGTTATTACTGGCTACTTTATTAATCAACATTAAATAGAAGTGGTTAGTACCTTCTTCTTCTTCGAAGAACACCAAAACATGGCCCCTACCACACACCATGCACAAAAATAAACACCAGGTCAGTTTTAGATCTAAATAGGAAGGATCAAAACAAACTCTCCAGAATACAAGAGGAGCACCTTATATTCTAATGCAAGGGGAAAGCTTTTAAACATTCACCGTTAAGTATAATGTTTCTGTTGGTTTTATGGATATTCTTTTTCAGATTTAGGAAAAGTTTTTGTCTATTTGAATCTTGCAGTCTTTTCATAGGGCATAAATTCTGAATTGTCTATTCTTTGTGGATTTTTCTTTTCATTATTATTGTATAGTATCACCTACATGCTTACACATGCTGATAACAAAATTGCTACTACCAGTTTCTACAACATGTTTTCCATTATTTTATTTTTAATCTCGGTGTGGGGGTGTGCGTGTGCATGTGTGTGTGTGTGCGCGTGTGTGCGTGTGCGTCTGCGTCTGTGTGTGTGTGTTAGAGAGAAAAAAGAGAATTTATGTTTAAGGGGTTTAGGTGTGGCACATAAGGATTTTGTAACTCGATTTTCTGTTTTCAACTAAAGTGCCTAACTCTGTCTTTTAATGCCCTATAAGTACATATAATGTGATAATTTATATACACAGACTTATTTATACTTGCTTATTTTGTGTTTTCTATTTGTCAAAAAAATTGCTTTTTTTTCTTTTTTGGCCTGCTGTTGGATTGATAACGTTTTCAAATTTCTTTTATTTACTTTGTAATTTTGGAAACCACATATTTTGTTTATTTTTTATGATTCTCACTAATTGCTAATACACAAGTTTAATACATTATTTTAACAAATCTAAAGTCACTCCTAGTTTCAATTTTCATCAAGAGTCTTAGCATTCTTTATTTTTCACACATCTCCCTCTGTTTACTTATTATTTCCAAAAGATTTAATTTTACCCTTTCAAAACACCAAAATAATCATTTTATAGCCCATTGTTTATAAAATTTACTGAGATATTCTATTTGAAATTATGTGTAAATATTGTTTTCATATATTCGATTTACCTCTGGGTTCACTTTTGTTCTTATTAAGGAATATAGGGCTATATTGAGGATCTATAGGTCCTCAGTGCCCTTCTGATTTGTATATCCAATAATATCTTACTTTGCTCTCATTCATTCAAGAGAGTTACTGCAGATATAAAATTGTGGAATGACAGCTTCTCCCCTTCTTGGCAAAGTAACAACAGTAGCTCATTATCTTCTGAACTCTTCTTGTTGATGAGAAGTCTCTGTCAGTGGAATTGTTGCTCTTATTAGATCATTGCTTTTACCTTTGATAATTTTTAATATTACCTCTTACTACTAGAAAAATTAAATTTTAAGAGAATATAACAAAGGCTTTAAGAGACAAATAAAATTATAGTTTCTATTAGAAATCAAAAAGGTTATGAAACAAAAAGGCACTATAATGAACCAAGAAATATGTGTAGATATGTATTATAGACATATATAAATATATATATTTATATGTATACATACATATGTGTATCAACTTAAAAATCTAAGAAAAACAAAGTTATTAAATTTTTAAAAATTAAGATGAGATAAATTTTAAACCGATGTCAGTCATAGGATAAACTCTGTAGGTTTTATGGATACTCTTTTTCTTCTTTTAACTTTTAAATTCAGGTGTACATGTGCAGGTTTGTTACATAGGTAAATTCATGTCATAGGGTTTGTGGTACAGATTATTTCATCACTCAGGTATTAAGCCTAGTACCCATTAATTGTTTTTCATGATCCTCTCTCTCCTCTCACCTTCTGCCTTCTGATAGGCCCCTGTGCCTGTTGTTTCCCTCTACGTGTCCATGTGTTCTTATCATTAAGCTCCCACATATAAATGAGAATATGTGGTATTTGATTTTCTGATCCTGTTTTCATTTCCTAAGGATAAAGACCTTCAGCTCCATCCATGTTCCTACAAAGGACATGATCTCATTCTTTTTCATGGCTGCATAGTATTCCATGGCGTATATGTACCACATTTTCTTTATCTAGTCTACCAGTTTTTAATATTTAGGTTGATTCCATGTCTTTACTATTACGAATAGTGCTGCAGTAAATGTACATGTTTATGTGTCTTTACAATGGAATGATTTATATTTCTTTGGGTGTATACCCAGCAATGGGATTGCTGAGTCAAATGGTAATTCTGTTTTTAGTTCTTTAAGAAATCTCCAGGGCTGGGTGCGGTGGCTCATGCCTGTAATCCCAGCATTTTGGGAGGCCAAGGCAGGCGGATCATTTGATGTCAGGAGTTCAAGACCATCCTGGTCAACATGGTGAAACCCTGTTTCTACTAAAAATACAAAAATTAGCCAGGTGTGATGGCGTGTGCCTGTAATCCCAGCTACTCAGGAGGCTGAGGCAAGAGAATCGCTTGAACTTGGGAGGCGGAGGTTGCAGTGAGCCAAAATTGTGCCATTGCACTCCAGTCTGGGCAACAGAACAAGACTCCGTGTCTAAATAAATAAATAAGAAAGAAAGAAAAAGAAAAGAAATCTCCAAACTCCTTTCTGCAGTGATTGAATTAGTTTACATTCTCACCAACAGTGTATAAGTGTTCCCTTTTCTCTCTGCAGCCTTGCCAGCATCTGTTATGTTTTGACTTTAACAGTAGCCCTTCTGACTGATGTGAGATGATATCTCATTGTGGTTTTGATTTGCATTTATCTGATGATTAGTGAGGATGAGGATTTTTTCATATGTTTGTTCGCTGCTTGTATGTCTCCTTTTGAAGTGTCTGTTCATACCATTTGCTTACTTTTTAATGGGATTTTTTTTTGTAAATTTGTTTAAGTTCCTTTCAGATGCTGGATATTAGACCTTTGTCAGATGTATAGTTTGCAAATAATTTCTTCCATTCTGTAGATTGTCTATCTACTTTGTTGATAATTTCCTTTACTGTGCAGAACTCTTTAGTTAATTGGATCCCATTTGTCAATTTTTGCTTTTATTGCAATTGCTTTTGGCATCTTCATCATGAAATTTCTGTCCATTTCTATGTCCAGAACAGTACCACCTAGATTTTGTCTTCCAAGGTTTTTATTGCTTTGGGTTTTATATTTAAGTCTTTAATCCATCGTGAGTTGATCTTTGCATATGGTGTAAGGAAGGGGTCCAGTTTCAATCTTCTGCATATGGCTAGCTAGTTCTCCCAGCACCATTTACTGAATAGGGAGTGCTTTCCCCATTGCTTTTTTCAGTCAGCTTTGTTGAAGATCAGATGGTTGTAGGTGTAAGGCCTTATTTCTGGGTTCTCTATTCTCTTCCATTGGTCTATGTGTCTGTTCTTGTACCAGTACTGTGCTGTTTTGGTTACTGTAGCCCTGAAGTATAGTTTGAAGTCAAATAGCATGATGCCTCCAGCTGTGTTCTTTTTGCTTAGGTTTGCCTTGGCTATTTGGGCTCTTTTTTTTTGTTTCATATGAGTTTTAAAGTAGTTTTCTCTAGTTCTGTGAAGAATATCATCGGTAGTTTGATAGGAATGCCATTAGGCAGTATGGCCATTTGAACAATATTGATTCTTTCTATCAATGAGCATGGAATGTTTTTCCATTTATTTGTGTCATCTCTGATATCTTTGAACAGTGTTTTGTAGTTCTCATTGTTGAGATCTTTCACCTCTCTGGTTAGCTGTATTCCTATGTATTTTATTCTTTTTGTGGCAATTGTGAATGGGACTGCATTCCCGATTTGGCTCTTGGCTTGACTGTTGTTGGTGTATAGAAATTCTAGTGATTTTTGTATGTTGATTCTGTAGGTTTTATAGGTACTCTTTTTCAAATTAAGGAATTTTTTTTCTATTTAAATTTTGCAGTCCTTTAGTCTGAGTAGTAAATGAGTAATGAAAAAAATGAATTTTGCAGTTCTTTTGTAGGAAATAAATTCTAAATTTTGTATTCTTTGTGAATTTTGTTTTGAAGAAAATGTCAAGAACATGGTGAAGAGTGAAAGAGACAAAAAATATCTTAAAGGGCAGATAAGAGACATACAAGATATGTTGATAGATGATAATATTGATCCAATAGAAATTCCAGAAAGTCTACACACAGTGAAACGTAGAGTATGGAGGAAAGATAGTCATCCACGAAAATTGTCGGTCATTTACATTTATTTAGAATTTATTTTTTATTTATTCTATTTTGTTCTCAGGGTTCATTTTTAATCTAAAGACTCAGGTCATCTTCAGTTATGAAAATTTCAATTTGCTTGAGTATAAATTTACCTTTATTGTATTCATTAAGTGGAATGCATTTTTTTAGTGATTTAAAGACAAATTGTTTTCAATTCTCGAACATTTTTGGTGAAATCTCTTCAAATATTGTTTCTTCCCCATTTTCTTCATTCTTTTGCTTAGGAAACTATCACATCTAAATTTAGCCTCTCAATCATTTATGTCTCTAAGTGGTGCTTTCAAAATGTTATCCCTTTGCCTATCTGTATTAAAATCTGGGTAGATTCCTTCATGACATCTTCCACTACACAACTTCTTCCCTTTAATGGTAGATGTGGACATTATCCTCTTTATTGTTTTTTAAAATTGTGTGTTATATTTCTCTTTTTTTTAATACTTTAAGTTTTAGGGTACATGTGCACAACTTGCAGGTTTGTTACACATGTATACATGTGCAATGTTGGTGTGCTGCACCCATTAACTCGTCATTTACATTAGGTATATCTCCTAATGCTATCCCTCCCCCCACCCCCCACCCCGCAACAGGCCCCAGTGTGTGATGTTCCCCTTCTTGTGTCCAAGTGTTCTCATTGCTCATTTCCCACCTATGAGTGAGAACATGCGGTGTTTGGTTTTTTGTCCTTGTGATAGTTTGCTGAGAATGATGGTTTCCAGCTTCATCCATGTCCCTACAAAGGACATGAACTCATCATTTTTTATGGCTGCATAGTATTCCATGGTGTATATGTGCCACATTTTCTTAATCCAGTCTATCATTGTTGGACATTTGGGTTGGTTCCAAGTCTTTGCTATTGTGAATAGTGCCGCAATAAACATACGTGTGCATGTATCATCACTGGCCATCAGAGAAATGCAAATCAAAACCACAATGAGATACTGTTGTTCTATACATTTAATTGCATCTTCAATGAATTTAAGGTTCTAATTATTTACTTTGTTTTCCCTTTTTAGTGTTAAATTTGTGTTTTAAAACAAACATGTTTATTAGGCAAATTTTGAGTGGAGAAGTTTTTGTTTTTATTGTTGTTATTATTATCATCATTATTATTATTTGATTTTCCTATCTTGTTTCTCCCTCTTGTGGTCTTTAGATTTTGTTGTTCTTCACCTGACTCCAAGGGCCCCTTATAAAAATCAGGTCTTATAACACTTTCTCAGGTTCTGTTGATCAAATTATAGAGCCGGCAAGCATATTGACTTCTTGAAAGTCACTTTATCCAGCAAGCCAATAGTTGTTTTAAAACTTCTTTCATGGCCCCAATCCAAGCCCTGAGCTTCAAACAATCACATCAGTACCACATCTCACAACAACTTGCCTTAACCCCATAAAAGCTAAGTTCCAGGTATTACTGTCTGCTTCCAGACTTGGAGCATATTATGTTTCTGATTCATTTCCAGTGTATGAAGGAGTTGTCACATTTTAAACTCTTTAGGGTTTGCATTTTGTATTTTATCTCTCATATCCATGTATTTGAAGTAGAGGAGAAATTGGGAACCCATCTTGAGCAAAAATCTTCACTCTCTTCTTATGTAAATATGTCATCAGTAGAGTAGGTACAATGATAAAATTGTTCAGTGTCACTGAGCTCAACTTCTGGGAGAAAATAAAGATTGGTGAAAACAGTGGTAAATGAAAGAGGACCAGCCTCTATCTATTGCCTCATTAGATTTAGCTGATTATTGCTTTCAATGAATATCATGAAATGACAAATCTTCTATTTTTCTCAAAAGAATCTAGAGACACCAATTTTATCATGAAATCGCCTAGTTTTTAATATTAGTCAATAACTACAGATTTTAAATATCTCTAAAAGCCAAATTTGTAAGTCAACATCATAGGACTTTGGGCTGGATGTACCCATGAAATACTGATTTGTGGCCTCTGGCATAAAATTCATGCTCTATAATGAAATGTTTTTTATTTTCTCCCATTAGCTGTGAAATTTCTGTCTTAAGTACATCACAAGATTTTTCTGTCACGAGAACATGGAAAGCAATCAGACCTGGATCACAGAAGTCATCCTGTTGGGATTCCAGGTGGACCCAGCTCTGGAGTTGTTCCTCTTTGGGTTTTTCTTGCTATTCTACAGCTTAACCCTGATGGGAAATGGGATTATCCTGGGGCTCATCTACTTGGACTCTAGACTGCACACACCCATGTATGTCTTCCTGTCACACCTGGCCATTGTGGACATGTCCTATGCCTCGAGTACTGTCCCTAAGATGCTAGCAAATCTTGTGATGCACAAAAAAGTCATCTCCTTTGCTCCTTGCATACTTCAGACTTTTTTGTATTTGGCGTTTGCTATTACAGAGTGTCTGATTTTGGTGATGATGTGCTATGATCGGTATGTGGCAATCTGTCACCCCTTGCAATACACCCTCATTATGAACTGGAGAGTGTGCACTGTCCTGGCCTCAACTTGCTGGATATTTAGCTTTCTCTTGGCTCTGGTCCATATTACTCTTATTCTGAGGCTGCCTTTTTGTGGCCCACAAAAGATCAACCACTTTTTCTGTCAAATCATGTCCGTATTCAAATTGGCCTGTGCTGACACTAGGCTCAACCAGGTGGTCCTATTTGCGGGTTCTGCGTTCATCTTAGTGGGGCCGCTCTGCCTGGTGCTGGTCTCCTACTTGCACATCCTGGTGGCCATCTTGAGGATCCAGTCTGGGGAGGGCCGCAGAAAGGCCTTCTCTACCTGCTCCTCCCACCTCTGCGTGGTGGGGCTTTTCTTTGGCAGCGCCATTGTCATGTACATGGCCCCCAAGTCAAGCCATTCTCAAGAACGGAGGAAGATCCTTTCCCTGTTTTACAGCCTTTTCAACCCGATCCTGAACCCCCTCATCTACAGCCTTAGGAATGCAGAGGTGAAAGGGGCTCTAAAGAGAGTCCTTTGGAAACAGAGATCAATGTGAAGAATCATTTGAGATATCCTGAGTGTGTAAGCATGGTTCTCATGACCCTGGGTCCTGAAATTTCCTTTTTAATTCTTTAATTTACCACACCCAATACTGTTTATCTTTAGACTTCTTATAAAAAGAGAAACTGGCCTGGCGTGGTGGCTGAAGCCTGTAATCCCAACACTTTGGGAGGCTGACCTGGGCGGATTACCTGAGGTCAGGAGTTCGAGACCAGCCTAACCAACATGGCGAAACACTGTCTCTATTAAAAATACAAAAATTAGCCGGGCGTGCTGGTGGGCGCCTGTAATCCCAGCTCTACTTGGGAGGCTGAGGCAGGAGAATCATTTGAACCCAGGAGGCGGAGGTTGCACTGAGCCGAGATTGTACCACTGCACTCCAGCCTGGGCGACAGAGCAAGACTCCCTCTCAAAAATAAATAAATAAATAAATAAAGAGAGAGAAACTAATTACTTTTACTATTTAAGGCATTGATACCAAACCTGAGATAAACTTATGAAACAGAAAATCACAATCTAATCCTACTCATGAACATAGATGCAAACCTCTTAAAGAAAATATTAATGAAACAAGTCCATCAGAATGAAGTAAGGATGTATTATAATGAAACTATGTATACCCTTAAAATGCAGCAATAATTTAACATTAAAACAAACAACAAAAATAACTTCCCCACATTAACAAATTAAAGAATACATTTCATATGAACATCTCAGTAGATCCAAGAAAGTGTTTGACAAGATTTAAGATCAATTCTTTATAAGCTAATATCGCAGTAAGACTTTCTAAACAGAATCTACCAAAAACAAAACAAAAATAAAAACAAAGCAGACGTCATGGTTAATGGTGAAATGTTAGCATCTGTCCTTTTCGGGTAAAGAATCAGACACAAAAAAAATCACTTGTTTTTCTTGATTTCACTTTTTACTAGAGATCCTAACCAATACAGTTAGACAAAAAGAACAAATACACCCATGCATGCGCACACACGCACACACGCACACACACACACACTCACACGTGCACACACATTTGAGAAAGAAGAAACAAACTGTAATTACATACAAATGACATTACTGTATATGTAGGAAATTCAAAAGAATTATAAGAAATTTTAAAGTAGCTTGATACAAAATCAATATAAAAATATATTATATTTTTAAAGCAGTAACAAACAATTAAAATGAAACTTGAAAAAACGCTACCATACACAACAGGATTTAATTCTCAAATGCTTAGGAATAATTATAACAAAGATTATACAAAAGCTCTAAAGAGACAATTAAAAATTTATTGAGAGACTATGGTAAATAAATAGATACACAATGTGTGGTATGCCAAGTTCTTGGACTGAAAAACATAATATTACAAAGATTCAATCTCCTTAAATTGATTATTAGATTTAATACAATCCCAATCAATATCGCAGCAGGGTGTGTGGATGTGTGCAGAACTCAACAAACTAATCTTAAAATTCAAGGGACCAAGGCTAGCTCAAACTCTATTAAAAGAGAAAGAGTACAACGTGGGAGGATTTGATCCTTCAGATATCAAAACACACTATATAGTGCTAATAAACAGAACAGTGTGGTATTTATACACAGATAGACCAAAAAACAAACAGAATAGAAAGAAAATTAGTGTATATTTGCTTTTATTAGCACTTGCTATATTAGAGGTGTGGCATGGCATATCACTGGGGAATGAAAAAGCTTTGAAGTAAATGGTGTTGGGACAACCAAGTCTTTATAAAGATATTCAAATCATGCAGAAAATTCAACTTCTGGTGTATTCAAGATTTAAGTGTCAAAGGCAGAACTCTAAAGCTTTTAGAAGATATACAAGAGAAGGATTTTTTAAACAATACACATAATTGCTATTGTGAAATAATATCTGATATTATAAAATCTTTAAGCTGCATTAAATAAAAATATTAGTGTATGTGACTGGGTTGAAATTAAGAACTTATGTTAATCAAAACAGGGCATAAAAAGTGAAAGGACAAGCCACAAAATCTTCTGGAAGACTTTCTGATTTATCAGCTCTCAAGCAGTACATCCCCAAAGACCAGCATATTTCAGAGTCTCATGCATTGTCTTGACTAGGTGACTTTCAATCATATCTCTTCAGTCTGTCTTTTTATGGCATTATTAAGTACTTGAAGTTTTTCCCTTTATATATTTTTTTCACATGTGTGTTGTCAGTTTACAATCAGTAATATACAAGATCGTCGTACACATCAATTTTGTCTTGTCATAGCTGTGTCTCTAGTATCTAGAGCAGAGCTAGGTACAGAGAAGATTCTCAACAATTATCTGTTGACAGACGACCAATAGGTATCCCCAGGAAAGTGTAAGCCTATCCACATTCTTCCTGAAACCAAGAAGCAACCAAGTTAGGGGGAGAGAGATGCATTTTTATGTTCTATTTATTAATAATTTCTATTTTGCACATGAGAAGATCGAGGAACACAGAGGTTGAGTAACTTACCCTGAGTCATTGAGTTAGCATAATCAATGGAAAATATAGAGTTTAAAAAAATAGGTTCTCTGGCTCCAGAGCTGGTATTCTTTTATTGTTAAACAATAGAAATTTATGTCCAAGATCAGGTGCCAAGCATCGTCGAGCTCTAGTGGGGACTTTCTTCTGGCTTTCAGAGAGTGTCTTCCCACTGTGTCTACACATGGCAGAGAGAGAGAGAGCCCATATTCTCAATACAATACTAACTCTATGTACAACTGTAGCTTACACCAATGACCCATTGATTCAAGACAAAAGATAAACATATCTCCCTTCTACCACCAGGAAGGAAAGTTATCAGGATCATTGAAGGAGGACTTTCTTTCTCTCTTTCTTCCTTTCTTTCTTCTTTCTTTCCTTCCTTCCTTCCTTTCTCTTTCTCTTCCTTCCTTCCTTTCTTTCTCTTTCTTTCTTCCTTTCTCTTTCTTTCTTTCTTCTTTCTCTTTTCTTTCTTCCTTTCTTTCTCTTTCTTTCTTTCTTCTTTCTCTTTTCTTTCTTTCTTTCTTCTCTCTTTATTTTCTTTATTTCCTTCCTTCCTCCCTCCCTCTTTTTTTTAATGAAGGAAACATTATTGTCTCCTATGGAATTCTCAACTGTGAATACTCTATTGGAAATAATTATTATTATATTGGACCACTGTCAATGAAGGGAATTAATATTCCCTTCAACCATGAGATCTAGTGATCATTAATTACCATGTGAGATATGGGGGGTGGTAGTTTTATAAACTTAACAAAAAAATTATTTGTCAAAATGTAAGTAAAAGATAACTTATATTAAAGGTAATATAGACACTAGGCTTGAAAAACTAAAATTAGTAGGGGAAAAAAGATAAATCATTCAGGTAAAAAGAACAGCAAGAGTCATCATAATGTATGGCATCTACAAAAATTAAGATAAGACAAAAGTAGGATAAAAATAGAATTTTTAATTCTAAAATCACCTTAAAATAAATTTTAAAATGAAAACAGAAGGTTTTTGACAATACAGTATATGAATCATTTTCAGATTTTGTTGTAATGAGAAAATTTTCTGACATAACAATGTCTAAAACTAATAAAGAAACAAGAGAAACTTATTTTTTGTCTTTCCCCCTTTTATCAAGAAGAAAAATCTTTTCCAGAAAGACTTACTCTCAGCAGATTGTTTGCTCGTATTGCTTTGGCCAAGAATGAGTCAAATGGAAGTCCTTAATCCACTTACTAACAAAGAAGATGAGATCGAATTCTTGGCTTATATCAGTCATGGTTTAATCTCCCCTGGCTCATAGCAAGGACCATGTTCTCTGATATCTGCACTGCCTGAGAATCAGTATAGGGTCAGTAAGGAAGTGGGCAATGACCACTGAGCACACAACTGGCTTATCGGCCAAATGGTTTAAATTCTGAAGCTAACCTCTTGAAAAGAAGTAGGCCATTGAAGTGTGCAAATTTTCTCATCCATCAATTTTTGGGACCCAAATGATACTCTGTGAAAATAAGGCACAATGTTTAAAACTATAATGGCTACAATCTGTAAATATAATAAAAAATTATTCTCACACCAAAGGGACTCCTTTAAGAACCTAATCTGATACTGCTTAAAAAAAAAAAGATTCTGAATTAGAATAAGTATTTTAGTTACACAGTAGATGCTCTTCCTTCTGCTATATTAAATATATACATATATATACTTCAAAAAGCGTGAGGAGTATGAAAACAGTTTTATAAATATATCTAAGATTGTCAGTTTATCCTTCTAGCCATATGTTTCTTTAAGATCACAGAAGTATCTTCAATTCAATTAACCAAATGTGTAAGGGATGTGATTGTATTTTCCCTGTATTGCCTAACTTATTTTCATATTGGGCAAATGTTCTTTTTACACAAAAAATAAAAGTCAAAATGCTTTCCTGAAATATTGTCGGATCTCATTTTTGCTAAATTATTTATCTGTCTGTCCTACTGTCTTTGCATCTGTATATGTTAATGAAGAAATTTGGGGGATATTGAGCTATCAATCAGAATTATTTCTGGGTGCTGTGACCTAAAATAATTTTAATTTTTTTCATTGAACTTTAAAAAATGTCTTTATTTTGTACATGTTGAGCTTAAGTCCTTCTTACCAAAAAGAAGGCAGTTTTTTTTCCCTTGAAGTGGGTAGGGAGACAGGATGATAAAGAAGTATTAAGACTTTTAAGAAACAGGCAACGTGAGTACAGATTTCCTGTTTACCACCAGCATGTGAGCAAAGGGAATGCAGACAATTTTCTCTCTTGATCAGTCGTATCCCTCATGCCTATAACCTGAACTATGCCTGACACATTACTAGTGTATGATAAACATTTGATTAAGGTAGACACTGGGGGCCAGCACCAACTTTCTAACTGTTGAACAAAGTGGAATGCAATACTATTGTCCCATTAATAAGCCCAAACATGGAGACTAAATCGCTGGAGAAGTCTGTGGCTGTAAGAGAGAAAGGCAACATCCCCCTTCAAGCCTGTTCATCTACAGTATATCAACAGTGGCAGCAAGTTAGAAAACTCTCTATTTGGCAGTATTTTTCTCTCACTTGATTTTCTAGGAAGGAAGTATGTATTCATTAGAATGCATCAGCTGCAAGTAACAAAAGTCAAGTTAATTAATTGCCCCTTCCCTCCTCTGCATGGATTCTTTGTGCCAATTGCTAAGACTGCCTACCTCTTCCACCCCCTCATATGATACATCCATTCCAACTTTTTATTGAAGACTTCCCTTAATAGTCTGCTATTCTCTTTCTGTCTGGACTGGTTCCATCCCAACAATTCCATCTGCCTTTACCTTCTGTTGGACTCTCCAGTTCATTAATCATGCCATCCTCTTTTTTGATTTACTCCTTTGTTTTGATGGAGCACCTCCTACAAAAGCTTTATAAGGTTAAGGTGAGATGCAATCACAGAATTGATGGCAAAAACAGCCCTTAACATTTCAAATCCCTTCTCATCATTTATATTATTTTATCTTCTTCAATAACCCATTGAAATCCTATGAAGGAAGTAGAATTTTTAAAAAAGAAATAAAAACAGTAAAAACTCAAGCCCTGCAAAGGAGCTATTTCTCTCTCGAGACAGCAAATGTTAAAATATGCTTAGGCCAGCTGTAGGTATAGTAATTGATATAATCCACAAACACCTACTTCAAAATTGACTCACTTAATAAAGGTCCATCACCACTGATGGAGCCATGTATACTTTACAGTATTTATTATTGCTAAAATATAAAATGTTAATCAGTGTAAATTTAACACTCACAAGAAGTCTAAGACTTTCCATGAAAAATGTTTTGCTGTCACCTTTTCAAAGATTAGAAGCAAAAATAGACAAATTATGATATATGAGTTCGTATCTATAGTAGACTGTGTTAAATGTCATTATATTGTACTCAACAAAAGGAATAAAATTGTGCTACTAATGCCAGTCTGAACAAATATGCAGCAGAATATTATTCTTAGCTCTATCCAGGTGTTGGTGAGTCAAATTTATTTTTCTGTAATAACCTCATATGAAAGATGAGCAATAAAAAATACTAAAAGTAAAATATTACTTAAACACAATCTTGAAGCATTCTTATAATAAGTGCTCCTTTGGTCTATCACAGAAGGGAGACTGATTTGGGCTGAAGTAGTTGAAGAGGGCTCCATGAGTGCTTTGAAGGATTGGTGTTATGTATGAATTCAAGTGGGTAAAACAAGATTAAATGGACTTGAAACAAGGAATAGGAATTTCAAGAATGGGAGCTGCTGGGAGATAGTACTTGAAGGAAATAGAGTGTGTGCATTGGAGAATAAGGAGGTAAGTGGAGGGAAGCTCTACTGGCCCACAGATCATTTTAAAAGAAAAATAACCCCATTAGCCTCCTCTTGAATAGATATATTTTAGTGTTCTCCACAATAGATTAAATACATTACTATTCTTGTGAAGTGCTTCTTCCACCATAGTTCAAAAACTAAAACTCTATAGAGAACTAGATTGAAAACAGACATGTAGTAAGAAAGAACTGGAAGGATTTTTGCAATCATCACTCAGTGAAAATGAGAGAAAGAGAGAGAGGAAAAAGCATGCTCATTTTATCTGTAGACCCTAACTTAGGATGAGGAAATCAAAATGTGGCTAAGAAATTTAGAGATGTTTGAGATAAAGACACATTGACGAAATTTAAGGAAGAAGATGAGGTATACCTGAACTGCAGAGTCAAAAATATTTGTAAGTGAGAAATGTGGAATGATTACCAAGAAGTCACGGCCTCTCCTCTACAGTCAAACAGCAGGAATTGGAAAGTGGGGCAATTTTAAGGCTGATAAAATAAGTAAGTTTTAAGAGAATTTAATTGATATACTATCTTGAATATTTTGTTTTCTCTCCAAGGTCTTATCTCATATACAGAAATCCTGTCCCCATCCAATTTCAAGTTAACACACTAAAATAAATCCCATGAGAATACAGAAGGAACAAAATGAATAAACATGTGAGATGCTTTGATTGGTTTACTTGCTAATAGAAAAGCAATAAATTCTATAATTCCCTCTAGGGAGAATGTGAGTAGATGCAATCTCACATGGTTCTGTTCACTGAATCATTATTTTTGTCTGGAGAGTTAGTTGTAGACAAATGATAATAGAAAAAGCCCTGGCTTGCACAAACTAAGTCTATCATAAAGTTCAGGAGAGCTCTGTTGCTGGGCTTCACCTCCCAAGGAGGCCCCTTTAGAGACAAGAATCAATCTCAGTCTATTTATCCTTCCCTCCTGTCATTGAGGTTTCTTCTAAGCCTAAGGCTGTGTTTGAAGAAAAGACTACATATTATGCCACTGTAAGTAAAAGTGGCTCATTGACGCTGAGAAGAAGTTTGCAGGTGGGAAAAGGGAACCAGAAGTGAATGACATTTCCAGCTTAAGGTATTTTTGACAAAACACTGCCCTCGTGTAGTTTCCTTCTGGCCCTAAGCCTATGTTTATAACTGGGGTCCTGAGAGGAGCTCTGGGGACCACTACTGGTCCTTACAACCATGGGGTGGCCATGGTTCCTCTCACCCTCCTGGTCCCTCATCCTCACATGCCAGTGCCTGGCTTTGTCATGACTCCGCCAGAGAAGAGGAAGAGATAATATCATGTAGGATATTATCTGGCTAAAGGGCTAAAAAGAACTCCAGAGACTACATGGCCCAGGTTCCTCTTCTTACAAATAAGAAAACACTAAATCAGAGTTATCAAGTAGTTCACTTGTCCTGAGATTGATTGATCTTCCTTCTGCCATTGCTAACTGTCTGCCCTTCCGATTCTTGAACCATTGTCTGGCTAACTAGGACCCACTGCTCAGTTGTTCAAGACAGAGATGCCACTCTCTCATAGGGCAACCCAGTGCCTGTGGGGAAAAGATTCTCTTTTTGTTTCCTTATTTAGCAGAGGAACTGTTAAACATATAACGCATTTCCTTGTTATTATTGGACCCAGAAGTCACTTTCCAATGATTGCTGCAAATCATCAATAATGGTTTTTATGCACTTATTAAGTGTCTTATGATAGATAACTCATTTAATCCTCACAACCATCCTATAAGGTAGGGTTTGTTACCCACCCCATTTTGCAGATGGGGGCACTGAGGCACAGTAAGGCACAGAAAAGTCGTAAATTTAGTGTGTAGCAAAGCCAGGATCTGAACCCAGGCAATAGGGCTCTATCTAGAATCTTTGCTTGTTTTTTTTCTAAATTATGCTATTCATTAGGATCAAATTGAGTATCAAAGTAACTACTGAGATGGTAAGTAATTTTTGAGTGATTGCAAATATTTGAAAAATCTGTGCTGTCCCAGAACCCCGTCTTTGATAGCCATGGCTTCCATTCTGACTAAAATATCAATAAAAACGTTTACTTTTGATCGGTGTTAAATATCCTAAATATGTCCCCTTTTCTTCCATAAGATTCTCTCTCTCTCTCTCTCTCTCTCTCTCTCTGTCATAGGCATGGCAGAATAGCACTTTGAGTTTTGAAAACTTGTATTTTCTTCTTTAATACAGGAATGAGGTTACATTAAATGATTCTTTTCATCTCTTCAAGTTTCTTTTTAAACTTAATTTTATGAATCAAAATAGAAAAACAATGGCAATGAAAGCAAAATGTGTTTTGATTTAAATTCAAAAATAACCAAAAAGGAATGCAAAATAAATGTGAAAGAGTTTGCAAAACTGTAATGATTGCATTGGATTTTTAATTCCAATGATTTAGATTCTTTCCTCAATTTTGTGGTCTCCATAATGCTGTTAATAACAGCTAACATTTATTAAACCATTAACAGGTATCCTAGTGGTACTCATTCTTCACATCAGCCCTTTAGATATCTGTTGTCATCATTTTACAGATGAAAATAGTGAGGTTCAGAATAAGGTACTCAACTTTGTAATGTTCACCGTTCAGAATCAAGGTCAGAATGATTGTCTAAAGAGCACTGCTAACAATGCTCATCTCATTGTTCTTCAGAGATCATATTTTTTTTCAATTACTGCTACTTTTGTCATGCTATGGAAGAATAGAGAACAGTATCCATGAAGGCTTTTTCCTCATTCTATGCACTGAAGATCTTTCTTTGATGTGTAGCTGGAGTACACTCTCAAAGAAAACTTTATTTCAGGCAACTGTGTCTTTATTGTATCTGCTCAGGCTTTTTACTCAGAGAAAAAAATAATACTGACTTCTTAAACTATGAAATCCAAAATGCAAAACCATGCCAATAATGAAAAAAAATGTGTTCAGTTTATAGTATACTTTTCTATCATCCTTGGCTTCACAAATGAGCTGATACAACATTAGTGTGTGTGAAGAATCACCATTATGGAGTTGTCACCTTATGACCCTTGCTAGCAAACTCTTAAATGTACATTTGACATCTCATGTTAGATGTGGTTTGGATGCAGTTCACATCTAATTAAATAAGACTAACAGTTCTATTTGCTCCTTTATTTATTCCATTCCTTTAGAAATAGTTTATTTTGGCTACTACTTTCTTTCAGAAATGTCATACCAAAAAAATCACATGTAAAATTCTATAAATGCAGATTATTTTACTTATAAACTTTGATTAGTCAAACAATTCTAACCATTTGGCAAAAGGAAGCTCATGATGCATTTGTAACTGCTGAGGCATCCAAGTGCTTGCTACCCTGGGTCCCTGAACTGGGTGCAGAAACACAGAGATGCACACAGCACAGTTGACAGCCACGGGGTTTGTCACATCCCACTCCCAGGATTCTGTCTCAGGCTGCCCTCCCTCTGTAAGTTGTGACCCTGCTTCACCTCTGGGAGGTCTCCTATGTCTCATCGAAAGACTATCTTTGGAAAGAAATTTAGTCTTTTCAGTTCCCTGTTTCTTTCTTTTGATTTTTAACCGGAAATTCCCAGAAGCTACTTTACAGATGAGAAAATTAAAAGACATTGAAATGTAGTTCTCTGTATGATGAAGCTCATTTTCTTTGACCTGTGCAGATTTATAACTTGGCTTTGCTTCTGCCCTTGTTCATAATTTGGTGGACGTGGCAAAAATTTTCAACCTGGTTTAAGATCCACTTCCACTTTTAGTCAATAGATGATGTTGATTGTTTCTCTATCAGGACAACTCGGGAAAAAAGTACATGCTTCTGTAGGAGAAGTGATACTGAGATTTTTCAATTTCTACTTACTTGTTAAGGATTAATACTTTCCCATAATTTAGTGACATTTCTCCCATTTGAAGCTCTACGAAAGTCTTCTAAGTTCAGATGTTCCTGTTAAAACTTGGTGAGAAGACCGGGCACAGTGGCTCACACCTGTAATCCCGGCACTTTGGAAGGCCAAGGTGGGTGAATCACTTGAGGTCAGGAGTTCGAGACCAGCCTGGCCAATATGGTGAAACCCCATCTCTACTAAAAATACAAAAATTAGCCAAGCATGGTGGTGCATGCCTGTAGTCCCAGCTACTCTGGAGGCTGAGGCAAGAGAATTGCTTGAGCCCAGGAGGCAGAGTTTGCAGTGAGCCGAGATTGTGCCACTGTTCTCCAGCCTGGGCAACAGAGCAAGACTCCATCTCAAAAACAAAAAAACAAACAAACAACAACAAAAAAAAACAACTTGGTGAGATGCATAGAAATAGTGTAAACTTTAACTCTGTATTTCACTGTGAAGTTTTTCTAAATAAGAAATGCCCTGTTTTGTTTCCTGTAAAGCACAAAGTTCATTAAAAACAAATGAACAGGTGTGCAATTTACACAAAAGATAAGTCGCTGAATATTCCAACTTTGTAGAGATCATCAGTATAAATAATTTCATGCTTAAAGAATTTTCCTGCATATATGTGAATAGATACAAAAGACATAAATATGTTTATATTCTAAAATATAAATCAGGTCATATAATACACACATACGTTAACTTCATGGAATGACCTAAAGATCAAAATTGTCCTTTTTCATGGCTGCATGGTATTCTGTGTTGTAATAACAGCCAAATGAAAATAATTGATCCCCAACTGATAAACTTTTAAGTTGATTCCAATCTTTTTATTTTTTTATTTTTTAAATTTTTGTGGGTATATAGTAGGCATATATATTTATGGGGTACATGAGATGTTTTGATAGAGGCATGCAATCTGAAATAAGCACATCATGGGGAATGGGGTATCCATCCCCTCAAGCATTTATCTTTCGAGTTACAAATAATACAAATACAATTACACTCTTTAAGTTATTTTAAAATGTACAATTATGTTATTACTGACTATAGTCACCCTATTGTGCTATCAAATCATAATTCAAAATTTTTAAATATATAAACAAGATTACGAAGAATAAGTATGACCTTTTGCTCACTATGCTTCAGTTTCATTGTGTTTCTTTCTCTTCCCAGAAGTCACCAAGCGCTTCTTGCCCAGAGACTTTGCCTTTACTGTTCCCTTACTGTTCCCTGTGAAGAGAATGGTCCTCCTTTGGCTCTGGGCAGGGTTGCGGCCTTCATTGTTTAGGTTCCTTTCACCTGACTCTGCTTGAGAGAGACCTTTCCTGACCATCTCATCTAAAGGAGTCTTCCTCAAACCAAGCAACTTTCTATTATTTTACCCAGATTATTTTTTTACTGTTCTTTTCACAGTCAGCAATTATTTACTCATTTACTCCTGGTGTTTTAGTGGTAGTAACTAACCATTCCCTCTCTCTGCTCCAGAAAAAAATCAGTTAAGAAATGCACACAAGAATCAGATATAATTTTAAAATATATATATTTTATATATTTTGCTAGTAAGGCTTATTGAAAAGCATGGTTCATATCTTCAAAAAAATTTCTCTCCAAATTAAAATCATAACCATTAGCTGACACCTCTCCCGACCTCCAAATGGGAAGAAACATGTTCCTGATGCCTTATGCTAAAGGGGGTGGAAATTCGTGTGGGTGAAACAGAGAAGGGGTATCCTTAGTTTCTCTTTCTGGTTCACAATCATATAAATTAGGGGACAGAGAAAAGCAGGTATATTCCAAGACAATTTCATCCAGGGGCATAACAATTTCCTCCTCTAAATGGGAATGTGAGGAGTTGAAGAGAACACTGCCTTAACTTCACTTCTTCATGACCTGGTCCCCTTCTGAATGCATCTACCTCCACCACTGTGCCTCCTGCGCTTAGAACAGTGGCTAAAACAGATCATGCACTCCAGGATCGTTTGTTAAAGGATGGATGAAGTACAAATTGACACTGGATAATATTGTTCTCTTATTGAATTAGCAAAGGTTGAAAATAAAAATACATGGTTGTGATGACCATGTGGGAAAGAGGCATGATTCTGAGGTACACATCAGTGATATATTATATTGGTATAAAATAATAGAATTTATATAGATAAAAATTAGTAGAATTTGTATTGGTAAATTTTCTGAAGCAAAGCTGGAAATAGATATCAAAAGCTTTGAAATTTCAATATATTTAGCACCTGCAAATTCACTTTTAGAATACATTCTCAATTAAAAATCATCAATATAAGCCAAACATAAGCTTGTAAGAATATTTATCTCAATGCTACCAAACATAAGAGAATTAGAAACCAAAAATTTCTGACAAGAAAAATGATTCAATAAATTATAATAAAAAGGATATTGTACTGCTTTTATATATTATTATATATTTGTATATTGCCTTTTTATTTTTTGTATATTATATATTTACTATTTTGATTTACAGACTTGAAACTATTTTCCTACATTTTCTTCCATTTTAATTCTTTCACGTGTGACTAAATTTTAGCATCAAGTGCTGATGAAGAATTAAATAAAATACTTGAAATAGAACTACAAACCCTAGAGATGGAAAATAGGTACCAGAGGTGCTTCCAGGGAGTATGGGCCAGTGGCTGAAAAAATGACGGTTGTAGGAAGTTTTAAAGAAATTACAAAGTTGAAAAGCTATTTACAAAAGATTTTCAATCTTAAATATGAAAGTAGAATTCATGTGAGAAGGTAAATGGGTTGCTAAGCAAGAATATGAAGAACAGAATGCCCTAACCACTTCATACTGGGTAGAAAAACTCAAGCATGCCCAGGATATAAAACCATCTTGTATTGCAGCATTTTGTCAGTGTCATCTCTAATTTCACTATGTTAATAACTAAGGATTCCACCCTATAAAAGAAGCAGAGTACCTGAATTCTCCTAAATGACACGTGTTTCCATGCATGTATGTGTATACAGTAATACAAGATATATTATATTACACCTTATGTTAATTTTTTTTTATATAAGAAGTATTATAGCTATACTTTTTTTCCGATTACTCTATTGGTAGAAGAGGATTTTTTTAATTTCATGAGCATAATTGAGTTGGTTCCAGTAACATATTTGAAAACAAATTCAACAAAGAATCCATTCAAAATAATACATTTCTTAATGCTCCCTCTGAAACACTCAGCAAATATTGTGCATCTTTGACCCACAGCTCTGACCTTCCTGTCCTAGATGAGGGTTTGTCTTTCTCTGCCACAAGAGCATGGAAGGCAACCAGACATGGATCACAGACATCACCCTGCTGGGATTCCAGGTTGGTCCAGCACTGGCGATTCTCCTCTGTGGACTCTTCTCTGTCTTCTATACACTCACCCTGCTGGGGAATGGGGTCATCTTTGGGATTATCTGCCTGGACTCTAAGCTTCACACACCCATGTACTTCTTCCTCTCACACCTGGCCATCATTGACATGTCCTATGCTTCCAACAATGTTCCCAAGATGTTGGCAAACCTAATGAACCAGAAAAGAACCATCTCCTTTGTTCCATGCATAATGCAGACTTTTTTGTATTTGGCTTTTGCTGTTACAGAGTGCCTGATTTTGGTGGTGATGTCCTATGATAGGTATGTGGCCATCTGCCACCCTTTCCAGTACACTGTCATCATGAGCTGGAGAGTGTGCACGATCCTGGTTCTCACGTCCTGGTCATGTGGGTTTGCCCTGTCCCTGGTACATGAAATTCTCCTTCTAAGGTTGCCCTTCTGTGGGCCCCGGGATGTGAACCACCTCTTCTGTGAAATTCTGTCTGTCCTCAAGCTGGCCTGTGCTGACACCTGGGTTAACCAAGTGGTCATATTTGCTACCTGTGTGTTTGTCTTAGTCGGGCCTCTTTCCTTGATTCTGGTCTCCTACATGCACATCCTCGGGGCCATCCTGAAGATCCAGACAAAGGAGGGCCGCATAAAGGCCTTCTCCACCTGCTCCTCCCACCTGTGTGTGGTTGGACTATTCTTTGGCATAGCCATGGTGGTTTACATGGTCCCAGACTCTAATCAACGAGAGGAGCAGGAGAAAATGCTGTCCCTGTTTCACAGTGTCTTGAACCCAATGCTGAACCCCCTGATCTACAGCCTGAGGAATGCTCAGTTGAAGGGCGCCCTCCACAGAGCACTCCAGAGGAAGAGGTCCATGAGAACGGTGTATGGGCTTTGCCTTTAAAACATGTGGTTTGCTGAAGCAAGAATTTTGAATATATTTTGCAGAAGAAGTTTAATATAAAAATGGTGAGTGATTGAATTCAAGCTTTGAAAATAGGGCAATATTCAATGGAATGTATGTTCTCTAAAATCGAGGAATCATCTCAGTAGATAGGAGAGCAAAATTATCAGAATATTTAGCCTTTCCTTTAAAAGTGTTAGAACATCTTTTTGCTTTTATTTTTATTTATTTACTTTTTATGTCACAGTGCCATTTTATATAATTTCCTGAAATAGGCAAAATGAAACTCTGATGTTAAAGGAGATAACAGCATTGTTTCATAATAGCTAAAACCTGAAAAGAATCCAAATATCTATCAACAGGGAGAAGTTGAGTAACTTGTATATTCACACAGCAGAATACTAAGTAACAAAGAAAATGAATGAACCTCAACATACAGTAACATGGATGAATATTACAAACACAAAATCTGGAGTGATACAGATCTGGAGTGATACAAAATCTGGAGTGATAGAAGCCAGACACAAAAGGATGTATGATTCCACGCGTACATAAATTTCAAACATAGGCAATAACTAAACTATAACGTTAAAGCTAGGATATTAGACATCATTAGGATGAAGGGAGTAGATAGTGACTGGGAGGGGTAGGAAGGCAGCTGGGTAATGGCCATTTACTGATAATCCCTTGCACTATACATTTATGCTTTGTGTACATTTCTCTTGTGTACATTTTAAAAATAATTTCTACATTTATTTTAGATTCAGGTTGTACATGTGCAGGTTTGTTACATGGGTGTATTGTGTGATGATGAGGTCTGTGGTACAGATGATCCCTCCCCCAGGTACTAGGCATAGTACCCAATAGGTTTTTTTTCGGTCCACACCCCCTTCCTCCTTACACTCTCTAGTAGTCCCCAGTGTCTACTTTTCCCATCTTTATGTCCATATGTACTCAAAGTTTAGCTCCCAGTTATAAATGAGAACATGTGGTATTTGGTTTTCTGTTCCAGTATTAATTTGCTTAGGATAATGGCTTCCATTTGCATACATATTGCCGCAAAGGACATAATTTCATGTTCATTGGCTATGTAGTATTCCACGGTGTATATGTACCACATTTTCTTTATCCAGTCTACTTCTGATGGCCACCTAGGTTGATTCCATGCCTTTGTTATTGTGAATAGCACTGTGATGAACATACACGTGTATGTGTTTCTTTGATAGAAATATTTCTTTTCCTTTGGGTATATACCCTGTAATGGGATTGTTGAGTTGAATGGTAGTTCTATTTTTAGTTCTTTAAGAAACCTCCAAACCTCTTTCTGCAATGACTGAACTAGTTTACGTTTTCACCAGCAGTGTATAAGTGTTTCCTTTTATCTGCAGCCTTGCCAACATCTGTTATGTTTTGACTTTTTAGTAATAGCCATTCTGACTGATTTACGATAGAATGTCATTGTGGTTTTGATTTGCATTTATCTGATTATTAGTGAAGATGAGCATTTTTTCATGTTTGTTGGCTGCTTGTATGTCTTCTTTTGTAAAGTGTTTGTTTATATTCTTTGCCCATTTTTAATGGGGTTGTTTTTTGTTTGTTGATTTGTTTGTTTCTTATAGATTCTGAATATTAGACCTTGTTGGATGCATAGTTTGCAAATTTTTTCTCACATTCTTTAGACTGTCTATTTATTCTGTTGATAGTTTCTTTCGCTGTGCAGAATCTCTTTAGTTTAATTACATCCCATTTGTCAATTTTGGTTTTTTACAATGGCTTTTGGGGACCTTGCCAACAATTCTTTGTCAATGCTGATGTCAAGTAGGGTATTTTCTAGATTTTCTTCTAGAATTTTTATAGGTGTGATTTTACATTTAAGTCTTTAATCCATCTTGAGTCATTTTTTATATATGGTGAAAGTAGGGGGTCCAGTTTCACTCTTCTGCATATGGCTAGCCAGTTATCCCAGCACCATTTGTCAAACAGGAAGTCCTTTCCCCATTGCTTATTTTTGTTGACTTTGTCAAAGACCAGTGGTTTTAGGTGTGCAGCTTTATTTCTGGGTTTTCTATTCCGTTCCGTTGGTCTGTATGTCTGTACAACATCTTGTATCCCTTGATGAAATAATTTAGGAGTAAAAGGGAATAAGATACGGAAAGCTTTAGATCAATACTAAACTGTGTAAAAAACCCTAAAATATATTAAAGCTTCAGGATTTGGTAAAATGAAGAAAATCCATGAGTAAATATTCAAATGGCCCAGGAGACAACAATGGTTTTGAGCATTATTCAAACTTTACACTTACTCTTGGGTGATGCTAATTACTGAAAAGGCAAGATTTAATCACCTGTTGAAGCTCTTGAAATTTTTTTCATCAATACTTTTTAATGTTTGAACCAACTTGTATGTAGATGGTGACACCAAACATCCCAACACAGCTTTGTTATAACCAACATCATTTATCTTTCATGGTGGCAAAAGATCTCCTAGATTCATGAGATCGGATTGAAACGTTGTGTTTATGATGCTGATGGTGATAAAATAAATAATGAATACTCTTTGTGTAGTTGTTAGCTAAGGCAGTATATTAATAAATCAGTTTTACAAGTATTATCTTTATTTAGGATTTTAAAAACTGATTTCCTTTGGATGTACAATACTGTCAAGTTATTAATTTCTTTTTCAATTATTATTAGGGTGTCTGACAAAGTTGGTAAATTTTTATATTTTTATAACACACTAAAACTATGATCTACCAAAAAGTCAAATTTTTACTAAAGGTGTAAATATTTAAACTTTTAGCAAGGAGACATGGTTGTTTCAAAGCTATCAGGTTAACCATTTCAGCAGATTAATATTGGAAAAAGAGGTAATTTCTACATATATATTTAACATTTATGGCATATACAATGCAAAGGATACATTGATTATTTTTAAGTATACAAGTGATAATAAAGAATGACATGTCAGGGTTAACTAACAGAATGTACCTCAAACTAAAGGAGGAGTCATTTAGAATTTGAACAAGTTATAGACAATCACGAGGTTCACCTTGATCAGAAGAAGAAAGCAGGTAAATGAAGTGGGTTAGAGCAATATTTAACAGTAAATATGGGGGGCAGATAGTAAAGCTTTGATAGGCATTAGTATAGTTGGCCAAGGTCAGTTATTTTTATGAATATTAGGACTTTTACCACATGAGGGCCCTTTTAGACAGAGCTTGCCAAGGCTTTCATCAGTTTGGGTAAGATTACTATGGAAATGAAGTGTAGAATGTCATACAGAAGGTCGTGAACTATGGTAAGTAAACAATGTCTTGTGATGAATTCATAGTTGTTTGTAGGCATATCTATAGCACATTGTTTTTCATGTACAAACCATGAGAAAAGTTTAGCTTATTTTTTAATGCTCTTCTCCAGGATTTGCTGTAATGTATGATAAGAAAGGAGAAGCCTATTCAACACTTGGATCTCAGCTATGGGCTACTCAGCTCAGAAAGAAGTTGCATTAATCAAATATGGGACATACCAAACAGGACTATTTTTATCATTTTTTAATAAAAAGAAGGAACAAATCATCATGGATACTTAGTAATATATGGAAAACCCTAAATATAATTTAAGTGTAGAAGCCATGAAAAGAGTTTTATTACTTGAAACCTAGGAGTCATATTAGGAAAGAAAAATGAAAGAAAGAAGAAAGAAAGAGAGAAAGAAAGAAAAAAGAAAGAAAGAAAGAAAGAAAGGGAAGGAGAGAGAAGTTGTTAGATAAAAATCAGTTATCATATTGAAATTAGGTCATATTTTTAGGTGTTGAAAGACAACAAAGTCTTCAGCCTTGCTGTAGAATAACAATATTTAATCACCAGTAAGATGTTTTTAAAATTTTGTTATGAGAAACTCTTTTAAATACAAAAGTCTGTCAAGAGCATACAGTATATAAAATGTCAATCTATTGTTGAACTATTACATTTCTTCTTTATATTATTAGTAGGCATTTCATCTACTAAGCTTGATAACATGTGATACATAACACATGCTACAACATCAATGAACCTGAATGACATTATGCTAATAAAATAATCCAGTCACAGAAGAACAAGTACTGCATGATTCTACTTATAAGAGTTATCTGAAAATAGTCAAATTCATAAAAACGGCATAGATTCTTGTTGCCAGGGACAGAGGGCAAGGGGAGACATGAAGTTGCTATTGAATGAATATGCATTTTCAGTAATGCAACATGAGTAAGTTCCAGAGATCTGGTGTACAACATTACGCCCTATAGTTGATCATACTACATAGTGCAATTAAAAACTTCTTAAGAGAGTAGAACTCATGTTAAAGCCTCTTGACAAAATAATAAATAAATAGATGATAAATAAACAGATAGATAAATAAGAAATCCTAACCTATGTCATTCAGGAAAGATTAGGGACTTGGTTGGGATACATTCCTTTATAATTTATTTTAATTGAGAACTTCTGGAAATATGATGCCTTAATACAGGGGAATAAATCTCAGTCACTCTGAAAGCCCAAAGGATAAGATGCTGTGGGGAGAGAAATGTATTTTATTGACACCTTTCAAGTCATGAAAACAACTTTACCTAATTATACAGCTTATAATATACACTGAAATAAAATACTCTTACATTTCTCCATGCTTAGTATTATTCATTTGTAATTATCCCACCTGTGTATCACAAAACATAAACTTTACAATCCAAGTCATTTAAGTACTGTGTGCTTCTAAGTAACTCAGAGTGTGATGAACTTGAACTGTAATTTAAATAAAAAATAATTTTAAGATAAAATGTTTTGTATTAGCTAAAATCAACATTAAGAAGGAAAAACAAAATATTAGTAAGTCAAATTTCGCAAAATAAAGTAGTAGCAGATTATGATTAAGTTGTTTTTATCCCCAGAAAGTAGGAAATATTTAACATGAAAGCAAATAATGAATATAATTTGTCACATTAATAAATTAAAGGATGCATATAATATGGCCATCTCGGTAGATCGAGAAAAGTATTTAACAAAATTCAATGCCAAGTCATGATAAAACTTTTTATAACTTATATGGCAGTAAGCCTTCTTAAAGATAACCTACAAAAAAAAAAAAAAAACACCAAACAAACAAAAAACGCAGCAGATAGCCTACTGAATGGTGAAATGCTAGCATCTTTCCATTTAATATAAAGGACAAGGTAAGGATGCACATCATTGTCACTTTTTTTCCTTTTTCTCAGTTTCTTACTAAAGATTCCTACCAGTACAATTAGGCAAAAGGAATAAATAGACACCCATGCGTGTGCGCGCACACACACACACACACACATTTGAGAAAGAAGAAACAAACTGTAATTAACGCAAAGGACACAATTGTCAGATATGCAGAAAATCTAAAATAATCTTCTAACATATTATTAAAATTATATGAAAAGTTAAGGTAGCTTGTTACAAAATTGATATGAAAATCTATTTTTGAAAAGCAAAAACAATTAAAATAAAATTTTACAAAATTCATACAAGGATGTACCAAGAAACAAACTGAATAGAATATAAATTATGGAAGTAGATTTATGCCTCTTTTAGCTCTTGCTAAACTACAGGTAGCACAGCATGATCAATCATTGGAGAAGGAAGGACTTTGCAGTAAATGGGGCTGGGACAATTGAGTCTCCCTAAAAATACTCAAAGCCTGCAAAATCACTCAATTCCTGTGTATTCAAGACCTTTGAATATTCAAGACCTATTTCAAAGACACAAATATAATGTTTTTATGACATATCTAAGGGAAGATTTTTAAAAATAATGCACAAAGTTGCTTTTGTAAAATAATATACCAAGTTGAAAAATCTTCAGATTGCATTAAAAGCAAATATTGATAAATTGGACTAGATTGGAATACTGTTGACAAGTTATGAAATAGATTTATTTTTGTTTCATTTTGCTTTTAGAAATCAGGGATTCATCATTTCATAAGCTTGAAGTTTACAATCAGAAGGTATTTTTTCATATTTAAATTACATCACTGTACTTCCTTTATTACAAGTTTTAAGACAAATGGTAGCTAGGAATGCTCAAATCTTTTTGTGAGAAGATGGCAAACCAATATTTGAAAGCAAATGGCACGGAGCATTTTATCCATGGAATATTATGCACCAGGGAGCTGGGAGACACTGAGAGAATGTTTATGTACAGGTATATGAAGGCTAGAAATGGGTGTGTTGATTTAAAATTGGCTGAAGAGAAACAAGAAAGGGAGAAGAAAATCATAACACATACTGTTACACAACAATTTATTTCAGGGTAAGAAAAGAAGCTTGATAGATGTAAAATGTTCTGAGATGACAAATTAAGATAACTCAGTCTCTGAATATTGGAGTAATTCTCAGCTTTAGAACTTTCCTGCCCTATTAGGGTATGTGATTCCCCTCTTTACACGGAAAAAGTTTCTCCACTATAAGAACTCCAACTTGTCCTGAGGCTTAGTTATTTATAATCTTTCCTTGTGATTCCCTATGCAAAATTATTATCAGCTATCAGATGAGGGTCAAGAATTACATTACCTAGTAATCCACGATGAGATAAGAGTGACTTTCTGAATGTATAATTAAAACTAGAATGATTTTAACATAAAGGTATAAACAGCTTCTAGTAAATTGGCTGTAAAGTTTTAAAGTAAATAACTAAAAATCTAAGTCCCTGATATGTCCAGCACTGAAAAAGCTAATCTGTACCAGATGTCTCTGTGCTTGTTTTTATTGGATTGCTAATGTTATTATTGAATTATATTGGAGCAAGCATGGGTATTTATAGTCCATAAGCCATTATGTCATATATTTTATAAGTTATCAAGAGAAAAGCCTCACTCTGGAATGACTCCAAAGTGACCACTGGGTCTTGTTCTTAAAACACATCTAATCATATGGTATGGTCCCTGAGGCCCTACCCAGTGAAGATCTCTGACTTTGAATCAGCTGGACCTAGACTAGCTCATAGATCTAGAACAAGTATTGGCAGTCTAGTGTCCTTGGGCCCCTTTGATCGGTCATTGTTTTTGCAAAGAAAATTTTACTAAAACACAGCCACACCCATTCATTTACACATTGTCTATGACTGCTTTTGCCAGAGTTGACCTTTTACGATGAAGAAGATGGTCCTCAAAGTCTTATATATTTTTCTGTGGACTTTTACAGGAAAAAGTCACTAACTATTGACCCAGAGAATATATAATGTGCTCTAACATATTAATTCAATGGGTACAAACTTTACTAGTATTGGCTGTTTCCCAATTATTGGAGTTAGATTTCCAATCATTTCAATAACAAATAATCCATTACAAATTTTAGACAGTTGAGGGGATATAAAATGCTACCTGATGGTGACTGTAATTTACATTTTCTTGCTGACTAATGGTGAAGAGCAGCATTTTACATGTTTATTGACCACTTGTATTTCTTTGGAGAAGTTTCTATTCAAGCGCTTTGCTCATTTTATAAAATTTGTTTGTCTTTTAATATTAATTTGAAAGAGTTCTTTCAATACATTGTCTTTAGTTTCTTTGCTAGATAAAGAACAGTGAATTTTATCACTTTCTGCCTGCATTTCTTGTTTCTTAATGGGGACTTTGATAATCACAGTGATTAATTTCAAAGATTTTCAATGTTAATCAATTATTCAAATTTTACTTCTATGGATTATTGTGTCTTTTCTACAAATATATTTCTACTTAATTAATGAAAATATTCTTCTATTTTCCTCTCAAGAGTTTAAGATTTCAGTTTATATGTTTAAGTCAATAAATAGTTAATTTTAAGGTGGCATTTATCCTAGCAGAAAACAAAAAAGCCAACTTACACATTTTGTACGGAGCAGGGCCCTCTCCTCGTGGTGCCCTTTGAGATGTCTTACATCAGCCTCTCCTTCCTCAGTGCCCTCTTCTGGGCACTCTTGACCTCTGCATTCCTCAAGCTGTAGATCAGAGGGTTCAGCACCTGATTCCAAAGGCTGCAAAACAGGGAAAGGACCTTCTGCTGCTCCTCGGGATGGCGGGACTTGGGGGCCATGTACATGACAATGGCGTTGCCAAAGAAGAACCCCACCACACAGAGGTGGGAGGAGCAGGTAGAGAAGTCCTTTCTGTGGCCCTCGCCAGACTGGATCCTCAGGATGGCCGCCAGGATGCCCAAGTAAGAGACCAGCACCAGGCAGAGTCACCCTACCAGGATGAACATGCAGGCTGCAAAGATGACCACCTGGTTGAGCCAGGTGTCAGCACAGGCCAACTTGAGGACAGACAGGATTTCACAGTAGTGGTTGATTTCATGAGCCCACTGAAGGGCAGCCTCAGAATGAGAACTAAATGGACCAGAGCCAGGAGGAAGCTGAACACCCAGGAAGCCACAGCCAGGACAGTGCACTCTCTCCAGCTCATGAGGACATTGTAACGTAAGGGGTGGCAGATGGCCACATAGCGATCATAGGACAAAACCACCAAAATCAGACACTCTATGTGAGCAAAAGCCAAATACAAGAATGTCTGCATTATGCATGGAAAAAAGCACATGGTGCTTTTCTAGTTTGCAAGATCCACCAGCATCTTGGGAACATTGTTGGAAGCATAGGACATGTCAATGACGGCCAGGTGTGAGAGGAAGAAGTATGAGAGTGTGCAGACTGTGGTCCAGACAGATGAGTTCCAAGGCTATTCCAAGGGAGAAGCTCCAAAAGAGGAGCACTTCCATCTCAGCACTGAGCTGGAATCCCACCAGGATGAATTCTGTGACCATTGATTGGTGACATCCCATTTCTTTTTTTTTTTTTTTAATTATTATTACACTTTAAGTTTTAGGGTACATGTGCACAATGTGCAGGATAGTTACATATGTATACGTGTGCCATGCTGGTGTGCTGCACCCATTAACTTGTCATTTAGCATTAGGTATATCTCCTAATGCTATCCCTCCCCCCTCCCCCCACCCCACAACAGGCCCCAGAGTGTGCTGTTCCCCTTCCTGTGTCCATGTGTTCTCATTGTTCAATTCCCACCTATGAGTGAGAATATGCGGTGTTTGTTTTTTTGTCCTTGCGATAGTTTACTGAGAATGATGATTTCCAATTTCATCCATGTCCCTACAAAGGACATGAACTCATCATTTTTTATGGCTGCATAGTATTCCATGGTGTATATGTACCACATTTTCTTAATCCACTCTATCATTGTTGGACATTTGGGTTGGTTCCAAGTCTTTGCTGTTGTGAATAGTGCCTCAATAAACATACATGTGCATGTGTCTTTATAGCAGCATGATTTATAGTCGTTTGGGTATATACCCAGTAATGGGATGGCTGGGTCAAATGGTATTTCTAGTTCTAGAACCCTGAGGAATCGCCACACTGACTTCCACAATGGTTGAACTAGTTTACAGTCCCACCAACAGTGTAAAAGTGTTCCTATTTCTCCACATCCTCTCCAGCACCTGTTGTTTCCTGACTTTTTAATGATTGCCATTCTAACTGGTGTGAGATGGTATCTCATTGTGGTTTTGATTTGCATTTCTCTGATGGCCAGTGATGATGAGCATTTTTTCATGTGTCTTTTGGCTGCATAAATGTCTTCTTTTGAGAAGTGTCTGTTCATGTCCTTTGCCCACTTTTTGATGGGGTTGTTTGTTTTTTTCTTGTAAATTTGTTTGAGTTCATTGTAGATTCTGGATATTAACGCTTTGTCAGATGAGTAGGTTGCGAAAATTTTCTCCCATTTTGTCGGTTGCCTGTTCACTCTGATGATAGTTTCTTTTGCTGTGCAGAAGCTCTTTAGTTTAATTAGATCCCATTTGTCAATTTTGGCTTTTGTTGCCATTGCTTTTAGTGTTTTAGACATGAAGTCCTTGCCCATGCCTATGTCCTGAATGGTAATGCCTAGGTTTTCTTCTAGGGTTTTTATGGTTTTAGCTCTAACATTTAAGTCTTGAATCCAACTTGAATTAATTTTTGTATAAGGTGTAAGGAAGGGATCAAGTTTCAGCTTTCTACATATGGCTAGCCAGTTTTCCCAGCACCATTTATTAAATAGGGAATCCTTTAACAGGATCTGAAATTGTGGCAATAATCAACAGCTTACCAACCAAAAAGAGTCCAGGACCAGATGGATTCACAGCCGAATTCTACCAGAGGTATAAGGAGGAACTGGTACCATTCCTTCTGAAACTATTCCAATCAATAGGAAAAGAGGGAATCCTCCCTAACTCATTTTATGAGGCCAGCATCATCCTGATACCAAAGCTGGGTGGAGACACAACCAAAAAAGAGAATTTTAGACCAACATCCTTGATGAACATTTATGCAAAAATCCTCAATAAAATACTGGCAAACCGAATCCAGCAGCACATCAAAAAGCTTATCCACCATGATCAAGTGGGCTTCATCCCTGGGATGCAAGGCTAGTTCAATATATGCAAATCAATAAATGTAATCCAGCATATAAACAGAACCAAAGACAAAAACCACATGATTATCTCAATAGATGCAGAAAAGGCCTTTGACAAAATTCAACAACTCTTCATGCTAAAAACTCTCAATAAATTAGGTATTGATGGGACATATTTCAAAATAATAAGAGCTATCTATGACAAACCCACAGCCAATATCATACTGAATGGGCAAAAACTGGAAGCATTCCCTTTGAAAACGGGCACAAGACAGGGATGCCCTCTCTCACCACTCCTATTCAACATAGTGTTCAAAGTTCTGGCCAGGGCAATTAGGCAGGAGAAGGAAATAAAGGGTATTCAATTAGGAAAAGAGGAAGTCAAATTGTCCCTGTTTGCAGACGACATGATTGTATATCTAGAAAACCCCATTGTCTCAGCCCCAAATCTCCTTAAGCTGATAAGCAACTTCAGCAAAGTCTCAGGATACAAAATCAATGTACAAAAATCACAAGCTTTCTTATACACCAATAACAGACAAACAGAGAGCCAAATCATGAGAGCCATTCACAATTGCTTCAAAGAGAATAAAATACTTAGGAATCCAACTTACAAGGGATGTGAAGGACCTCTTCAAGGAGAACTACAAACCACTGCTCAATGAAATTAAAGAGGATACAAAGAAATGGAAGAACATTCCATGCTCATGGGTAGGAAGAATCAATATCGTGAAAATGGCCATACTGCCCAAGGTAATTTATAGATTCAATGCCATCCCCATCAAGCTACCAATGACTTTCTTCACAGAATTGGAAAAAAACTACTTTAAAGTTCATATGGAACCAAAAAAGAGCCCACCAAATGTTGGTGATCAAATTAATTTTCTGTGGTAACTTTTTAGAAAACGTTAATGATAAAGATACTGGGAGTAAAAAGCTATTTATGTACAACCTGAAAGCATGCTAAATGTAAATGTTATGTTCTATTTCACAAGGGAGACCAGTTTGGGTTGGATTGGTGAAGAGGGCTCCAAGAGTGCTTTGCAGAATCAGTATTAAGTATGAAGTCAAGTGGGTAGAACAGTTAAAATTGTCTTGAAATAAGGAATAAGAATTTCAAGACTGGGAGCTGCTAGGGGTAGTACTTGAATGAAGTAGAGTGTGTGCTTTGAAGAATAATGAGGTAAGTAGAGTAAGCCTCTATTGGTCACACAGATTATGTTAAAAGAAAAATAACTCCAATTATACTCCTCTTGGATATATCTTTTACTGTTCTCCATGATAGGTTAAATCTATTACTATTATTTTGAAGTGCTCCCTCCACCATAATTTAAGAATTAAACCTCTATTGAGATCTAGGTTAAGAAAAGACACTCAGAGGGTAAGAACTGGAAGGATTTTACAATCGTCAAACTTTATCACTTAGTGCAAAAAAAAAAAAAGGATAGAGAAAGAAAGAGTATGGCCATTTTATCTGTAGGCACTAACCCACAATAAGGAAATAAATATGTGGCTAAGAAATGCTTGAGATGGAAGGCACACTGAAGAAATTCAAGGAAGAAGATGAAGTATACCTGAACTACCAAGTCAATAATATTTGTGAGAAATTTGCAGTAGTTATTTTACAATGACGTTTTCTCCATTGAGAGAAAGCTATTTCTCTGAAGTGATGCTTTAACAGAATTCAGGGACCTCTAACCAGCAGAGACCAAGAGATCATTGGCTCTCCTCTAGGGAAACTAGGAATTAGAGAGTGGAACAATTTTAAGATTGATAGAATAAGTATTGAAAGAAATTAATTTAAGACATGATCTTGGTTTTTAAATCTTCTGTTCAAGAGTCTTGTCTTTTAACAGAAATCCTGTCCCTGTCCAATCCCAAGTAAACACACATAACACATCCCATGGGAATGCTGAAAGAACAAAATGAATAAACATGGGCAATGCCTTCACTGGTTTGCCTGCTAATAGGAAAGTAGCAAATATCTTTAATTGTCTCTGGAGAGATATGATTAGAAGTATTACCACTGGGTTCTGTTCTCTCAATTATTATTTTTCTCTGCAGGGAGTGAGTGTCTAGTCAAATGATGGTAGAAAAAGCCTGGCTTACACAACTAATTGTATCATAAAGTTCAGGAGAGCTTTGTGTCTGGGCTTCACCTCCCAAGAAGGCCTCATTAGCGAGGAGAATCAATCCCAGTCTATCCATTCTGCCTTTCCTGTCTTTGAGGTTCCTAGCAAGCCCAAGGGTATGTTAGAAGAAAAGACCACAGATTATTCTACTGTAAGTAAATGTGGTGTATTTGCCTTGAGAAAGGGTTTACAGATGGGAATGGGAAAGGGGCAGTGAATGAAATCACTGGCTCCAGAGAGTAGCGATGAAATGCCTGTGCTATGTGGTCTCCTTCTGCTTCTAAGTCTGTATTTATAGCTAGGGTCCTGAGGGGACCTCTAGGGGCCACCGTCTATCCCAGGATATGGCCATGTACCTCTGACCTTCTCGGCCCCTCCATCCATATCCCCTCATTACCCTGTGGCAGCTCCTGGCTTTGTCATCACTGTGCCATAGAAGAAGATCAGATAACCATCCCTATAGGGTATGATCTGGCTAAAGGGCTCCAATGATTGTCAGGGGCTATGCGGCTCAGGTGACTCTTTTTTACAAATAATGCTAATTTTAAAAACTGAAGTAGAGTTTGTAAGTGGTTTGCTTACCCAGGGATGTATCCTCCTTGCCCCTCTGCTAACTGCCTAGTCCTGCACATTCTCAGAAGCGTTGTGTCGCCAGACAAGATCCCCTTCTCAGTTGTTCTGGATACAGGCACCATTCACTCACAGGGAAAAGCCAGTGCCTGTCAGGGTACAGGTTCTCTTTTTTTTTTCTGATTTTAGCAGAGGAACCATTGAGCACAGAACATGTCTCCTTATGATGACTGGATCCAGACATTCTCACCAACGATGGTTCTCATATCCCTAATTATATATCTAAAAAACCCAAGTTCTTATGTGAGTTAATGCATTTAATCCTCACAACTATGTTATGAGACAGAATTTATTACTCACCCCATTTTGTAGATTGGGAAACTGAGGCATGAAGAGGCACAGAGAAGTCATAAAGCTAGTATGCAGCAAAGCCAGGATCTGAACCCAGGCTGCAGGGCTCAGGAATCCATGCTTGTTCATTTGTTTTTAACACTAGGCTGCGGCCGGGTGCAGTGGCTCACGCCTGTAATCCCAACACTTTGGGAGGCCAAGGCAGGCAGATCACCTGAGGTCAGGAGTTTGAAACCAGCCTGACCAACACGGAGAAACCCCATCTCTAATAAAAATACAAAATTAGCCAGGCATGGTGGTGCATGCCTGTAATCCCAGCTACTTGGGGAGCTGAGGCAGGAGAATTGCTTGAACCTGGGAGGCGGAGGTTGTGGTGAGCCGAGATCTCACCATTGCACTCCAGCCTGGGCAACAAGAGCGAAACTCCGTCTCAAAAAAAAAAAAAAAAAAAAAACTAGGCTGCTCCCTAGGACTAAGCTCAGTGTCAAAGTATATTATTGGAGATGGCAAGTTATTTCTGAGTAATTGCAAAGATTTGACAAATCAGTGCTGCCTTACAACCCCACTGCTGGAGGCCCCAGGGCTCCCATTCTAAGACAATTTTCAATAGAAACTTTTCTTTTGTGTCAGTGCTAAACACCCTAAATACGCCCCCCTTTTCTTTCCAAAAAATTAATCCTCTCTCTATCATTGGGATATTTAGCATGGTGGGATTGACCTCTTACTATTACAGCCTGTATTTTTTTTTCTTCAGTAAGGGAGTGTGGTTACTTCAAAGGAGTCTTCTATTTCTTTAAATTGCTTTTTAATTTTAAAAATCAAAATATAGGAACATTTATATTAGGAAATCAAAGCAAAATGTGTGTCTTATATTTAAACTCAAAAACAGCCAAAAAGAAAAGCAAGATAAACGTGAAAGTGTTTGCAACACCATGATGATTGCACTGGATTTCCAATTCCTATGCTTTAATACTTCCCTCAATTTTACGATCGCTTTAATATCATTAGTAACAGCTGACATTTATTAAATTCCTATAATGTACCAGTGCGATGGTATTTCTTCTTCACATCAGTCCTTTTGGTATCTGTGGTCAACATTTTACATTTGACAATAATGAGCCTTAGAATACGTGACTCAAATGCGTCATGTTCATTGCTCAGAATCAAGACTGGAATAGTATTCTGGCCAAGACTGTTACTCCTGTTGCTTTCATTCTTATTCAGAGACCATATTTTTTTCTGTCACTGCTAAATTTGCTTTGCTCTTTAAGAACAGAAAAATGTATCCATGCAGTTTTTTCCCTTACTCCATCCACTGAAGATTGTTCTGTAATGTGTAACTGGAGTGGATGCCTAAATAAATCTTCCTTTCAGATATCTGATTCTTTATTGAACTTCCACAGGCTTTTCTAAAAGAAAAGTCTGACTACTTGAACTGTGAAATCCAAAATACAAAAGGATGCCAATAAATAAAAGGAAAAAAACTATTTTCCTCTTATACTATATATTTGTTTACTTAACTTCACAATTGAACTGATGGACAATTTTTGTGTGTAGGTAGCCACCATTATAGACTTTTCTCCTTGTGGCCTCTTGTACACAACTGTTAAAAGCACAGTTGATGACCAGAGTTTTATACAGTTTGGATGTAGTTCACGTCTGATTAAATTTCACTTTCACTAAGAATTCTATTTGTTTCTTTCTTTATTCCTGCTCTTTAGAAATAGTTTATTCTAGGCTGCTGGGGTTTTTTTCCCCGAAATTCCTTACTTCACAAAAATTACAAATAAAACTATAAACCCAGATTTGCTTAATTATGAATTTAGATTAACCAAACAATTGTATTTATTTGGTAATGACTGGATTTTTTTTTTACTCCTAAAGCATCCAAATGCCTGCTACCTAGGTCACTGGGCCTTGGAACAGTAGGAGCACAGATGTGTACACCACAGATGGGAGCCAGGAGGGACTAAAAATATGCAAAATATCCATGTGCTTGGAGGTCTCAGGGATAAAAGGCTTCTCCTTTTCAGCTTGATTCATTGGGACATTAACACAACATTTGCTGTGTCCAAAAATTGACAACTACCATTCTGGCATTAAAATTATATTGTGCAGAAAATTAAACAGTTTCCTATTTCAAATATGTGCTCATTGGAAGTTCTGTACATACATATCTTTTAACTGTATTCTGCTTTCATGAATCTAAAAGTAAATCAATTATTATAAAGTCAAAAGTATATCAGCTAAACTGATGAATTTTTTATGTCAATTTCAGATTGTTAAAAATATAAACAAGGTTACAAAGAATAAGTACAATCTCCTGCTCACTATGGTTCAGGTACATTGTGTTTCTTTCTTTCTCTTCCCAGAACTCACCAAGTGCATCTTGTTCAGAGACTTTGCGTTTACTGTTCCATTACTGTTCTCTGTGTAGAGAATGATCCTCTTTTGGCTCTGGGCAGGGTTGTGGCCTTCATGGTTTAGGTTCCACTCACCTGTCTCCTCTTAAGAGAGACCTTTTCCAACCATCCCATCTAAAGGAGACCCCCCTCAAATCAAGTAGCTTTCTATTATTTTACCTAGATTATTTCCTTCATTGTTCTTTTCATGGCCAGCAATTATCTTTACTTGTTTACTCCTGGTCTTTTACAGTGGTAATGAATCATGCCCTCTCTCTGTTCCAAGTCTGGAAAAAATGAGTTGAATAATACATGAAAGAATCGGATATAATTCAAAAAGGTATTTTATTAATAAAGTCTGTTGAAAAGCATGGTTTATATTTTCAACAAAGTTTCTCTCCAAATTAAAATCACAACCGTTAGCTGACACCCCTTCCCCACCTCCAAATGGGACTGAACATGCTCCTGATACCTTAATCCCAAGCAGATAGAAATGCATGCAGGTGAAACAGAGAACAGAGAAAGGTCACCCTCAGTTTCTCTTTCCTGTTTCACAAATCATATAAATTAGGGGAAAGAGAGAGGCAGGTATACTCTAAAACAATTTTATCCAGGGGCATAGAGGTTTCCTTCCCTAAATAGAAATGTGAGGTGTGAAAGAGAAGCACATCACCTTAATATTACTTCTTTATAATCTGCCTCCCTTTCAGAATGTGTTTACATCATCCACAGCTGGGCCTCTAAAGCTTAGAACAGTGGCTGAAACAGATCATGCACTCAAGGATCATTCGTTAAGGGATATACAAAATACAAATATAAGTTACAGAACATTGTTTGCTTATGAAAGTAACAGAGATTGTAATTGGTAATGCCTAGTACTGACTATGTGGCAAAGAGACATGATTCTTACACACTGTGGGAGGGAATTGCAATTGGTCAGATTTTCTAGATGGAAGTTAAAATAGGGATAAAAACCTTAGAAATGTCTGTATATTTAGCATCTGCAATTTCACTTTTAGAATATGTTCTAATAAATAATTATGAATATAGGCAAATCTTAAGTTTAAGAGAAATGTATCTCAATGCCAATAAAAATAAGAAATAAACAAAAATTCAAACAGTAAGAAATTCAGTAAATTGTGACAGAATATTGTGCCCCTTTAAAATAATGTCCATAAAATATAATTTCGATACAGGAAAAGTATTATATTAAGTGAAAAATTGTAATGTTTAAATACTCTGTACAATACCCTATTTTAATATATAAATTTGAGGATCTACGTATTTACTAAAATAAAAGACATCAAAATTGTTTTTTTAAAAGTATCCTGTTGGATTTGAACCTTTAGCCTGATTTGAAAATAAAGATAGTCCTCAGGCTGTTTCTGGAATAAATGTGAAGTGTTAACAGAACAGCACCAGGTCACATGGTTTCTCCACCTGATGAGGCCATCCGTCCTGTTCATGGCCCTTGGTCGCCCCCTGCTGGCTGGATAGACCCAGACCCTCCAGGAAGAGCTCCTTAGAAAGAGCTCACCAGCTGGGGCTGCACCTGATCCCATCCCCATCACCTGCTCAGATTCCATCTGAACAGCAACAGGGCTGCTGGCATGATCACAGGTGATGGAGAAGAATACAGTTAGGGGAACCGACAGCAACCCCAGTTGCCATAGCTGGGAATATATTGATGACAAAAGACTCTGTCACACTGGAAAGTAAGATAAGCTCTGAGAGATGTCAACATATTAAGTTATAATCGAGAAAAGAGTCCAATAAAATACAATTACGATACAGCGATCATCTTTAAATGTAACCACTTAATGTAAATTGGTTTTTCTTTTGAATTTCTTATTTAAAAGACCTCAGAAATGTCACCATGCTTAGTTATTTTAAAGATATATACACGTATTCATTGTATGTAGCCAAGAATTATTTCACTCATGCCTAATTTACAATAACAGATGCTGATGAAGAAGTAAGGAAAACTCTCAAAATAAAACTACAAACACCAGATATGGAAAAGAGGCACCTAAAGTTGCTGCTAGGGAGTACTGGCCAGCTTCTGAAAAGCAGCATCTTATCTCAGAAAGCTTTAAAGAAACTACAAAATTGAAAGCTATTTAAAAGTGATTTCAAATCTGAAATAAGTGGGTAGAAAAGCCTGTGAGGAAGTGAGGGACAGTGAGCAAGCCCATGGCAAACAGAGGGTCCCCGTCCCTGCACATCTCAGACTGAGAAGGAAGCAGGATGAGCAAGTGAAACCACCTCATAATGCAACATTTGTCAAGGTCCTCTCTTCTCAAACTACGTAAAAATCAAGATTTCACACTGAAAGGGAAGCAAGGATACTTGAGTTCTTCAAAATAACACATGTGCGTGTGTATCCCCTTATGTAGGGTATATTATAATAGATCCTGTTTTGTTATATTTTATTAAATGTTATATACATGTACACATACACACACAAATATATATACAGATATACATGTATGTATTCTTATTATTCCATTGATACAATGCGATTTTTTTCTCATTTTTATGAGCACACTTGGTTAGTTTTGGCAACATATCTGAGAATAAATTCTAGAAAATTCATTCAAAGTTATAATTTCTAAGTGCTCCCTCTGTGCATCTTTGACTGGCCCACAGCTCTGACCTTCCTGTCCTAGATGTCCACAAGAGCATGGAAGGCAACAAGACATGGATCACAGACATCACCTTGCCGCGATTCCAGGTTGGTCCAGCACTGGAGATTCTCCTCTGTGGACTTTTCTCTGCCTTCTATACACTCACCCTGCTGGGGAATGGGGTCATCTTTGGGATTATCTGCCTGGACTGTAAGCTTCACACACCCATGTACTTCTTCCTCTCACACCTGGCCATTGTTGACATATCCTATGCTTCCAACTATGTCCCCAAGATGCTGACGAATCTTATGAACCAGGAAAGCACCATCTCCTTTTTTCCATGCATAATGCAGACATTCTTGTATTTGGCTTTTGCTCACGTAGAGTGTCTGATTTTGGTGGTGATGTCCTATGATCGCTATGCGGACATCTGCCACCCCTTACGTTACAATATCCTCATGAGCTGGAGAGTGTGCACTGTCCTGGCTGTGGCTTCCTGGGTGTTCAGCTTCCTCCTGGCTCTGGTCCCTTTAGTTCTCATCCTGAGGCTGCCCTTCTGCGGGCCTCATGAAATCAACCACTTCTGTGAAATCCTGTCTGTCCTCAAGTTGGCCTGTGCTGACACCTGGCTCAACCAGGTGGTCATCTTTGCAGCCTGCGTGTTCATCCTGGTGGGGCCACTCTGCCTGGTGCTGGTCTCCTACTTGCGCATCCTGGCCGCCATCTTGAGGATCCAGTCTGGGGAGGGCCGCAGAAAGGCCTTCTCCACCTGCTCCTCCCACCTTTGCGTGGTGGGACTCTTCTTTGGCAGCGCCATTGTCACGTACATGGCCCCCAAGTCCCGCCATCCTGAGGAGCAGCAGAAAGTTCTTTCCCTGTTTTACAGCCTTTTCAATCCAATGCTGAACCCCCTGATATATAGCCTAAGGAATGCAGAGGTCAAGGGCGCCCTGAGGAGGGCACTGAGGAAGGAGAGGCTGACGTGAGACATCTCAAAGGGAACCATGGGGAGGGAGCCTTGCTCCCTGCAAAATATAGAAGTTGGCTTTTTTTTTTGTCTTCTGCTAGAATAAATGCTACCTTAAACTGGAATACTATAGACCTATACATATAAACTGAAGACACAAATCTTTTAGAAAAGATAGGTAAATGCATTTATAATCCTGGATAGGCATAAATTCATAAAGAAGACACAAAAGTCCCTAGATATAAAATTTTTAAGTTCGATAAATATAGGACCTCTTCACATTAATCATTGTGCTCATCAAAGTCACCATTAAGAAAGAAGAAATGCAAGCCACAAACCAAGTGATCGTATGGAAACTACATGTACCCAGAAATGGAACTATTGTTCATACAGTACATAGAAAGAACTCCTTTAAATCAGCAATAAAAAATATAAACAACCAAATTTTATAAAATTAGCAAAACATGTGAACATATACTCTTACAGAAAATACAAGGGGCTGATAAACATACAAATGCTGCTTTCCACCATTAGTAAGCAAGGAATTGTAAATTAAAACCACCATGAGATACTATTATATACCCACTAAGATGTCTGAAATTTTTAATGGCTTATTTATCATTGAGGTTATTGGAAATCTATTTCTAATATTGGAAATGGTTGATACTAGCAGAGTTTGTGCCAATAGTAGCCAAGTCACATTGAGTTAACAGGAGCATAGTACACATCCTCAAGATCAATAATTAGTGACACTTCCTGTGAAGATACACAGGTTAATGCTTAAGGCTTTGAGGGCCATCTTCTGCGTCAAAACAACTCAACTCTGACAAAAGCAGCCATAGACAATGTGTAAACAAATGGGTGTGCCCGTGTTCCAATAAAACTTTATTTGTAAAAACAGGTGGCTGCTGGAATGGTGCCCAGGGACAGTAGTTTGTGAACCCTTGTTCTAGATCTTAAAACTAGCATAGTTCCAGCTGATCCCACTTTAGAGACCCTCACTGGGTGGGGCCTCAGGGAGCATGTGATTAGACATGTCTTGCAGTCAAATTCCTGTGATCACATTGTACTTACTTGAGAGTGAGACTTTTCCTCCTTTGACACTTTCTAAAATATGCCATGACTCAATAGCCAGTGGACTGTAAATATTCATGGTTTCTCCATCACACAGGAATTAAGAGCAGGCTCCTCATACTCCATCACTAATTTGAGCCTGAGATCTTAGGATAAAAGTTTGCAACTCAACATTCTAATTGGAGCACAGCAGTCCAGTGAAAACAAGCACAGAGATATCTTGTACAGATTAATTTTTAAGAGTGGATTTAACAAGATCGTAGATTTTTAATTGTTTTCTTTTATATTTAGCAACCATTTTATTAAAAGCATCTTATATCTTGATATTGAAAAAGTCCTAGTTTTAATTATATTTTGAGAGAGCCACTCTCATCTTAGCCTGGAATACCCAGAAATGTAACTCTTAACCCTAAGCTGATAGCTGATAATAATTTTGCCTGGAAGAGAACATAGAAGGAAAAATTACTAATATCAAAACCTCAGGATATGTTAGAGTTCTTTTTAGGATGGAGTCTTGCTCTGTCACCAGGCTGGAGTGCAGTGGCACGATCTTGGCTCACTGCAACCTCTGCCTCCCAGGTTCAAGTGATTCTCCTGCCTCAGCCTCCCGAATAGCTGGGATTACAGGTGCCCACCACCACACCCAGCTAATTTTTGTATTTTTACTAGAGACGGGGTTTCACCATGTTGGCCGAGATGGTCTCCATCTCCCGACCTCATGATCTGCCCGCCCCAGCCTCCCAAAGTGCTAGGATTACAAGCGTGAGCCACTGAGCCCGGCCTGGAAATCTTATGCTGTAGAAATCTTTACTATGTAAAGAAGGGAATCACTAGACTGATACGACAGGGATTTCTAAAGCTGAACACTACTCTGATATTCAGAGCACAAGTTATCTTACTTTCACTAATCTCAGAAAGTATTAACCTATCTTGCTTCCTTTTTATTCCTGAAATGTAAAGTGTTGTATACTAATGTATTATTGTTTCCATTTTTTTTTCTTGGTGCTCCTCAGCCAATTTTAAAATCAACCTGCCCATTTCTAGCCCTCGCACAATAGCATACGATTTTCCTCTCAGTGTCTACCATCCATTATGACAAAATATTTCACTGATAGAATTCTCTGTGACATTTGATTTGACAACAAAAAGAATGGTGACTGTCCCACAAGATAAGAAAAGCTTTTAGAGGAAATAGATGCCTACCTAGGCATCCTGGGATGAGCTGAATTCACTTTAAGAGGGGGAGAAATGTTAACTAGAATAAGCAAAAAAGAGGGAATTCTCTTCCATGAGGAAGGCAAAGGAGTGAACTCAACATAGAAACGTAATGAAGTTCAGGTGGAATGGGTCATGCAGACTCAGCAAATAACGCAGGATACTGCTAGGACTCAGTGTTAGAGGAGGGGTTTGTGCCCTGACCCAACAGGACTTATTGGCTGGTTTTTTTGTTGCTTGTCGGTTGGTTGGTTGGTTTTTTTGTTTGTTTGTTTTGGTTTGGTTTGTTTGTGTGTGTGTGTGTTGTTTGTTTGTTTGTTGAGACAGGGTTGCTCTGTCACCAATCAAGGCTGGACTACAGTGGTGTGAAGTTGGCTCACTGCAACCTCTGCCTCACAGGTTCAAGTAATTCTCCTGCCTCAGCCTCCCAAGCAGATGGGACTACAGGCAAGCACCACCATGCTCAGCTAATTTTTATATTTTTAGTAGAGGCGGGGTTTCACCATGTTGCCGAGGCTAGTCTCAAACTCCTGAACTAAATTGATCCACCCGCCTCAGCCTCCCAAAGTGCAGGGATTACAGGCGTGAGCCACTGTGCACTGTCCCTATTGGCTGTTGTGATGCAGACAGAAGCAAAAGCAGCCCTGGGGCAATGGCCTTCCATTCTACTTGAATAGGCACAAGGGGATCACTGAAGGGAACCTTGTAGACCTTATAACTTATCGAAGTTCTCTGAGGCACTGATAATTTTCACTGATGGACTATGACTGCCTTCATCCCAAGAGTAGATCTGAGTAAGATATAACCTGTAGTACAATTAGGAGTTCTGGGAACTATTCTGAAAACACCGTGCCCTCACCTGAGGACAGAGGTGGGTCCCGCTATATAGCAGCACACAATAGAAACTAGTTTCAGTGGAAAGCTTTTAAACCTAGATAGGGTAACTGAACTTGTCCCCAACAGAGTTGGAACCCGGAAATAACCAAATCATGGCTAATTGTAATGATACTTGTCAGTAATAATATGGTGTACGAGCATGGGCCACAACTGTTAGAAAGGGATAGTAAATACTTCTCTAATTCTTACTGATTTGTTCTGGAATGAAACTGCTTATACCATGATCACACTGCAGTATGGTATAACATTGGCATTGTTGGTAATATTTAACTATTTTATGTAAATAACTCGTGTTAATATTGAAACTGATGATGAAATATATTGCAAAATCAGGTTAAAACTTCCTGATACCAATGGAAAAGGATGGCCTGTAGAAGAACTTAATATAACTAACCATCAGCTAATATCTACGCTAAATTGTTCTGTATAAGGTTATCACAGGGTGCAAATAAAGGGGGAAGCCGGTAATCAGATTAGTGCGAAAACATGAAAATGTATGTGTATGTCACGACTTTATAGGATGGATTAGCTGTTTTCTTAGGTCTTTCCCTACCCCACAGTGACTCACAGATATTAGACATATTTATGCTGACACTATTGCTGTATCTGTTATATAAATGCTTTTCTAAATATAGATACTCTGAAAAGTGTGATCATTCTGGTAAAAGAGCCTAAGCCAAGTGCCTGGTGAGTGAACTGTACAAGAAAGGGTTAACTCAGTTAAATTTATATAAACTCATATAAAACTTTAAAATACTCTAATCATATCACTTAGAGTAAGACACAGAAATGGAAATTTTTCCCTTCGGAATTTGGATTCAGGGCCATGTTATTTTGGGTGGGAAATCTGAAGCAATAGCTTGAGGCCTATAATAAAGATAGCATTGATAGAACAGCATGTGTTCAAGGAAAAAATATAGGATCAGAAAATGAAAACAATGCTCAGTGGTTAAGATGAAATGGCTTTATGGGATAGGCAGAATTCTCTAAATGGCCCCCCTTAGACTTTTGTTATTTAATCAAACACTAATCTAGGTTCTGCTGTGAAGGGGCTTTGTAGATCAATGGGTCCTAAAATGTGAAGGTTACCATGGTAACAATCAGGTGAGTCTTCTAAAGGCTGGGAATTTTTTTCACCTAGTAACAGAGGAGGAAGTCAGAGAGATTTGAAGTGTGTGAAGCACTCAACAAACATTGCTGATTTAAACACGGAGGTGGTCCCATGTAGGCACCAGAGTGGCAGCAGGCAGCTCAGGCCATCCCAGATCCCAGAGGACAGAAAACAGCAGTGACAAATGGACAGAGATTTCAACCCTACAACCACAAGGAATCTAATTTTTCCAACAACCATTAAACTTGAAAGAGGATCTCAAGTCTCAGATGAGAATTGCAGACCAAGCTAAAATCTTGATTTTGTTTTAAAGAGAATCCAGCTGACCACCAGGACTTCTGATCAATGGAAACTGTGAGATAATAGATATGTGCTGTTTTAAGCCATTAAGTTTTTGTTAATTTGTTGCAACTGCAATAGAACGTGAATGGTGAATACACTTTTGGTATTAAATAAAGATCATTTGTTTCCAGCTCTAGTCCTTGCTAGATTGGTGATCCATAATTTAGCGCAATAATTCTCTAGCTCTTTGGTCTCAGAACACTTTTAAATTCTTAAAAATTACTGAGGGTCTGAAGATATTTCATTTATGTAAGTATATTTGTTGATGTTATAATAGAAATCAAAACTGACAAATTTATTATTTACTTTTAATTAATTTAAATGGCTTCCAATATAGGTTAATATGATATTCTTGATAAGATATTCTTATAAATAATATATTTTATAAAAAGTAACTTTATTTTACATTTTTGCAATTCTTAAAATATCCAGCTTAATAGAAAGCTGCATTTTACGTTTCCTTCATTCTATCTGTTGCCATATCAGCTAGCCTCTGAAAAAATTCAGTGTGCACTCGTGAGAGAACGAGGGTAAAAAAATATTAAAACTGTCTAAATAGTATTGTGAAAATAGTTTTTATCCCACAGACTCTTTGAAAGCTTGTCAGAAATTTTCAGAGTCCCTCAACCACACTTAAAGAATAGCAGACAGCATATCAAAATGTCAGTCTTCATATATGTAAAATGAGGATAATGATCAGATTAAAATATATAGTCCATATAAAGCAGAAAATGTGTCACATTTTCTGAAACACAAAAAGGGCTCAATAATTGATACTTATGTCTATTTTAATCCTTTTTCATTTGTATCTATCACTTCCTACAGGAAATAGAAATTTATGTTGGCATTGAGAGATCTGTTCCTTCTCAGAGTCCCCATACCAGGTTCCATGAAAATCACCTCTCAACTATCTGAAAGTCACGGCCTCTCTTATACCTTCATGGAGATTGTAGGGAAGTATAAAGTAATAAAACCATAATCATTTTAAGAGTTTGGATATTGTAATTTGTGATGTCTGCCTCATGTTTATGACCCTTGAGATCTGTGAAAGCTTGTGCAGAAATAGTGTGATGCCATCATCTGCCCTGCCTGGTCCTGATAATTTTCCTGTAAGGACAATCAGAAAATCTTTGTTCTCCTCCAGAGAGAAGATCCGGAGATCTTCCCTATACTCCTTAGAGAGAAGACAAATAAGTATATATTATTATCCTCCTGGGAATTTAATTCTCAATAGAAACTCAAGAATGTTTTTATTCATCTGATTCTAAAATAAAAGCTATGCTCCTGGAGTTAGCTAAAGAAACTTCAGTGAGTCCAGTGAATCTGTCTGTATCTGGGATTTAATCCTATGAAGGCTTCCAGAGGGAGTAGGAGTCTATATTCATTTTAGCGGTATGTGTCTCATCTCTGTAGGGTTTATTCTAGGTCAAAATATTATCCTGAGGAAAAGTCTAGTGCTAACATCTCCTTATATAGAAGACATTCATTTCTGCTGGGAGGTGTTTTCCTGTATAGGTAGTTGAACTAGAGCTGGATGACTGCAGAAATCACCGTGGCTATGCTGGAAGAACAACATCCCTGGGTGACTTTCCCTCCTGAATCAAAGTGTAGATTGCAGGTAGTTGGAATACACACCAATGTCCCTCTCCTCCTCCCAGGGAACGTCTTCCTGCTCTGCTGTGAACAGGGGTCCCAAGGCTCCCCCAGCATCTCTCGCACCATCACCTGCCAATGTCCCTTGATGGTGGAGGTCAGAGCTAGCCCCATTGTCTCAATGAGAAGGAGCTCAGAGAAGGAGGGGCTTTGTATCCAGGTCTCTGAATAAGGCTTTGAAATAGCCAAATTAATGCAAGGACTCTATACATTACCCAGCCTAAATAAAGATATACATGGCCCGGAAAACCTTTCTCAATGGAAACGAAAAATCTATCACAGTTACATTACATCTTTTTCTATCTGAAAGAGTTTAAAAGGTAAGTCTGTCATAGAATTATGTCTTTGGGGGAACTATCCCAGGCTATCACTACTACTAAGAGTTGGAGAAATAGAATAAAGCACTCTAGCTGAAGAAACATTCTGGGTTGCAGGACTGCCTGGGTGGAAAATAGCTCATACTGATCAAGAAAACCTTTTATTTTCTGATCTGCTATTGTTTTATTTATTCTATTGGAAAGGTGAAATTTTAGGCATCATCACTGTGATATTTTGTTCTCCATTCCAGTGTGTTAGCCACTTAAAGATGTTAATCTGCCTGCAATTTTATTTTTTTTAATTTTGTCTGTTTTTCAACAGCAAATGGTAAGGGTAATGACAATAAAAAGATTTATAATCCAGAAAAAATAACTAGACTAAAATATCAAGAAACGAATGTTCCTACTGGGTAACAATAGATTGAATTATCTTCAATAATATTGTTATCCTTTATATTCAGAAATTAAATATGTTTCAGACATGAGTATTATGTCCAACTCTGTTTAATAAAGATTTTGCAATATGATGTTACTATCCCCACTTGGCGTACTATAGGAATATATCTTATTGTAACAAAATAATTTAATGCATATTTATATAGAACCCTCTTCAAATACAATGTATTTATAGAAATTTAAGAATTTGTGATTTTGCCTTTCTGTTTTATTGAGTTATTGATCTCAAAGAAACACTGCCCATGTGACTGATCCCTCTTAGGCTTAGTTTGCAAAAGTTCACAATGCTCACACATGTATCTTCAAGCTTACCTCTCAGGTTATTTTACCTCCATATGAAGTACTTGCTTCAAAAATCCATTACTCTAAAATTGTCCTCAAGCATTGATTCAAAGCCGGTATATGATACTATATTTGTTTTTTACAGCTTGTGTAACAAATTACCACAAATGTGGTTGAATAAAACAATAGAAATTCATTCTCTCACAGATCTGGAATCTAGTAAAATTTTGCTCCCTTTGGGAAACCTAAAGGAGAACATATTTCATCCCTCTTCCAGCATTCCTCAGTGTCTGGCCACATCTCTGTCTGCTCTGTCGTTGCATCACCTTGCCTCTGTGTGCCTTCAGCAGTTTGTTTCAAATCTCCTTCTGCCTTTATTGCATAAGAAATGTTGTCATTGGAATTAGGGCTCATCCATAAAATTCAGGATTATCTTAAGATTCTTAATCACACCTGCAAAGACCCTCTTTCAAAATAAGGCAATATTCACAGGTGCTGAGGATTAGGATAGGGATATATCTTTTGGGGGTCACCATTCAATCCACTACACATACAGTACATTTAAGTGGGGCCATTTTATCTACAGACGCAATATAGTCCCTACCATTATGCTAATTTGAATGTATCCTTTGCAAATACTGTTTTTAATTATTTTGACATTTCAAATAATCAAATTGTAGCTGTAATGTTTTTTTAAAAAGTATAAATTATTTTTACACTTTTTTAAAAAAGTATAAATTATTTTTACACTTTTTAAAAAAAGTATAAATTATTTTTACACTTTTTCTAAAAAGTATAAATCATGTCCTGGCCAATAGACAAAAATATATATTATATATATTTACCATATATATTCTATATGTTATATATGTATAGTTTATAGAGTATATTTAATATACATATACATGAATAACTAAATCTATAAGTAAAAATGTCATTCATCTAAGTATTATACTTTTTTTAAAAAGTATAAATCATGTCCTGGCCAATAGACAAAAATATATATTATATACATTTACTATATATATCCCATATATTTTATACATATAGTTACAGAGTATATTTAATATACATATACGTAAATAACTAAATCTATAACTAACTAAAAATGTCATTCATCTAAGTAATAAGCATTTTCTGAGTGTCTACTTTTATCTACAAGTATACTACTTATTACAAGAGATGAAGAAGTATAAGATATATTACCATTCATTATCTGGTGAAGGCATATCTCCATTCAAATAAATGACATTTGATATCCTTGCCCCTTCATCTTTGATTTTACCTTGAGAATTGTCTATATCGTCATAGTGAGGACATAACTCTTTTAACTGTAATGATTGACCAAGCCTATACCTTTAATATGTGCCTAAAGAGCCTACCCTTGTGCCTCTACTCTAATTTGCTAGAATAGAAAAGACTCTCTTTATAGGCCGTCTATCAAGTAGGTTTTCAATGGGGCCTAGACAAGTTCAAGCAGGCTGCTTCCTTTCTTTTTATAGTAACTGGTTGTAAACATGCAAGAAAATCCTTCCAAGAAGAGGCTATGATTCCACTACATTTCCCCTTCACACTTATACAATGAGGCTAGTGGATAAGCATAGTAATGACATTAGTATTTTTGAAAGATTCATATGACTTTTGCAACTTAAATATAGGCCTGCCTGAGAATTTACATTTACCTATGCCTCAAATCCTCCAAACGGATAGTCAAAATTCTCAAAATTTTATTACTGAATCCATCTGACATTCTTATGCACTAAAAAATAAAGTCAGTAACAAGTATAAACTGAAAATATATCCATCATAGAAAGAGATTTATAACTATCTGGGAGTGTGTCTGCTTTATAGAAACCTTGCCATTTGCCATGTGTGATAAAATGAAATTATATTTATACAACATTTTAAGTGCTATGTTATTGATTATTTTAAATTATTTTTTAACTTGTCATTTCTGTGTGAGTAAAGATATTATCTTTTATTTAATATATATGAAGTGTTAACTCATTCTCAATGTCATTCACCTATGAAGCAGGACTTCCCCTCAAGGCAGAAACTGAAATTGAGAAGGAAACACTAGATTAGATAAAACATGAGAAATCTGTATTTGTTGTGCTTAATAATATATGTAGAAAGATGTCTAGGTGGGAAATCTGAAGTGCAATGTTAAGATGGTTCTTTCACATGGGACCGCATGGAACCTGGGGAGTAGCAGAAGGTTAATTTGAGATTACAGCATCATGATTGATAAATTAGACATCCTCTTCCACTAGGAGGCATCTTACAGTGATACACCTTAATATATTTGGGATTTTTGCTTGTTTGATTTTTAGATGAGTACACAGAGATATATAAATACATAAATTGATTGACTTGACTGAGCACTTCTAAGTCTCAGAATTTACTATTAAAAATGTCATGAAAAAAGACAACAAATACAAACATATACATATATAATTTAATTACTGAAGCATTATATAGCACACAATCTAATGATGAGATAATACATTAAGTCCATTAGAATATTTGTATTGAATAATAGCTGTTCAAACTATGTTTCAGAGAAATATTTTGACATGGGAAATGGTTCATGATATATGATAGAGCTAGTTAAACAAATAGCATTTTTCATATAATTTTTATAATAATGATATATATGAAATAAACAGTAGAAAAGTATAACTGCACAATTATTTAAAATGATCACTTTTGTTTGTATGTTTCAACATGTCATCTCTTTAGTCCTTTAACTAGAGTTTCACGTTTTTCTAGGTTTTTAAAACTTCAAGTCAAAATCTCATACAAAGTAGGTATCACATTGTTTACACAAGGGTTCACACAAAATCTAAAATATTCAAGATTCTAAAATTTCTAAATAAGAATAAAAGCAGGAAAATAATATAAAACCTGATGGTTAATAAGGTAGTAGAATTACAAACATGTATTTTTCACCAAAAATAAAATAATAAATATCAAAACCATTTTCTTCAATGCTAACACCATAAAGGAAGTCAGTTAAGTTATATTATTTTCGGAAGAATCTTGAGAATGTATTATCCCCATAATAATTTGTATGCTTTCTCAAATTATATGCTCTTGTTTTTAATGTAGAATACCAGAAATTCATGCTATCCTCATGATAAAAATCATGATAAAATACAAATTATCATGATAAAATATAAATTATTAAAAATCCAATAAAACCCAGATGAATATAAATATCGGCTTATAAATATAATTATTTATTAAAAATGATTATAACTTTTGGAGGAAATGGCTGTTTTGTGATTGAAGTGGGGAGTATACAAAGGGAGCTTGAAACATCTGGTCATATCAGAAGGAAATAACTGCTCAAATATTATGGGAACATGTTAAAAAGACAGAGGAGCATGCTTAGAAGGCCTAGATATAGGAAAATTAAGCACCAAAAAATGACAACAATGAAGTACAACCCACTGAATAAAAAAATCCATGAGTCTATACTGATGGATAGATAGATGACAGATAGCAGATAGATAACAGATGATAGATAACAGATAGAGAGCAGATAGATAATAGATAGGTAAGTGAATGAAGCATTTTTTATACTAAAGTTGCCAACTAATAAATGTAAAAGCAATTATAGAGTCAGAACAACACATTTTGGAATCATTATTAATAACTGAGTTAGGCAAGATAATCAATAGATGCTAAAACTAGTGACTGAAAGGAACTAGTGAAGTGACATTATGAGGAACAAGCTACATATATAATAATTTTTAATGGGTACTCCAGAAACTAATTAGGGAAAAAAAAAATCACATAATGGAGATATCTGGGAAGCACCATCTTCACCAAGTGGATCCAAGTTAGCTTCACCCCAATAACAGGACAAATTAATATCATATACTTTCTCAGAACACACAGAGGAGAATACTATTTTTCCTGCGGAAAGTGAATAATTTGAACAAAAACATTGAGGAATATTGTACACTCTCAATTTGTTGGACATTATGCTAAAGAACTCTTCAAAATATCAGTGTTCAGAAAGGCACAAAAAGGCTGAGTAAATATTACAGGTACAGGAGACTAAAGACAGATGACTTTAGATATAATGCATAATCTTGGGTTAGGTCCTAGACTGGTGTGGTTGGAGGGAGAATATTGTATATTAGAGAAAAGAAACATGTCAATATCAATATCAATATCAATATTAAACATGTCAATGTCAATATTAAATTTTCTGAATTTAATACTTATATTATGGTCAAGCTAGTGGGAATTAGTTTTTTCTTACTAAAAGATCAGAAATTTAAAATTAAATTGGTATTATGTCTACACTTTAATCTCAACTGGTTCAAAAAATAAAAATTACATAGAGAAAGAGAATAAGACAAATAATAAATGTTAACATTTGCTGAATCTGTATGAAATTAAGTGGGAGTTCTTTGAAAACTTTGTGACACTATTTTTAAGTTTAAATTTATTTCATAATTAAATGCTAAAAACAGAAAGGTAATAAATCTTGGGAATTTGAAGGGGCTTATCTAATAGGAACAAACATATATAGCCTTTATCTTAGCTCATTTTCAGATAAAAACTCAAATTTTCTGACCTTTCTATCACACTTCAGTCCTTGACAGACTTCCATTAAGGAATGGGAGTCAACCAATCATGGGTCACAGAATTCATCCTGGTGGGATTCCAGCTCAGTGCCGAGATGGAAGTGCTCCTCTTTTAGATCTTCTCCCTGTTATACATCTTCAGCCTGCTGGCAAATGGCATGATCTTGGGACTCATCTGTCTGGACCACATTCTGCCTACCCCCATGTACTTCTTCCTCTCACACCTGGCCATCATTGACATGTCCTATGCTTCCAACAATGTTCCCAAGATGTTGGCAAATCTGATGAACAAGAAAAGAACCATCTCCTTTCTTCCATGCATAATGCAGACCTATTTGTATTTCTCTTTTGCTGCTACAGAGTGTCTGATTTTGGTGGTGATGTCCTATGATAGGTATGTGGCCATTTGCCACCCTCTCCAGTACACTGTCATCATGAGCTGGAGAGTGTGCACGATCCTGGCTCTCACATCCTGGTCATGTGGGTTTGCCCTGTCCCTGGTACATGCAATTCTTCTTCTAAGGTTGCCGTTCTGCGGGCCCCGGGATGTGAACCACCTCTTCTGTGAAATTCTGTCTGTCCTCAAGCTGGCCTGTTCTGACACCTGGGTTAACCAAGTGGTCATATTTGCTACCTGTGTGTTTGTCTTAGTTGGACCTCTTTGTTTGATGCTTGTCTCCTACATGCACATCCTCTGGGCCATCCTAAAGATCCAGACAAAGGAAGGCCGCATAAAGGCCTTCTCGACCTGCTCCTCCCACCTGTGTGTGGTTGGACTCTTCTTTGGCATAGCCATGGTGGTTTACATAGTCCCAGACTCTAATCAACGAGAGGAGCAGGAGAAAATGCTGTCCCTGTTTCACAGTGTCTTGAACCCAATTCTGAACCCCCTGATCTACAGTCTGAGGAATGCTCAGGTGAAGGGCGCCCTCCACAGAGCACTGCAGAGGACGCTGTCTATGTAAGGAGTGGACAGAGTGTTAGTTGGATAGGACTTTGCTTTTAAACAAGTGGTTTGCTAAAGCAAAAACTGATAAATTTTTTTCAGTTAGAAGTTTGATATAAATATGGGAATTTTTCGAATTCTGGCTCTGAAAATACGACAAGATTACAGTGAAAAAAACAGCACATTATATTTTACACTACCTTTCCCACTGAAAACTCTATGGAGTATGAACCCAGTTTCTGGATTAAATTTTAGTGTTGAGAGTCACTTCTATTTGCAGAGTGGAAGAGATGGAAAAGCTATTTTCCTTTGGAATTTGCATCATTTTCTCAGCATTTTATTGCAAATCTCCCATTTTGAAAGAAAAGCAAACAAAACCCAAAGCAAGCATAAATAGATATAGATTAAAATGTGTATAAATAAAATAGAGAAATGAAAAAGAATAAGTAAAATCAGTGAAAACAAAAGTGCTTCTTTGAAAAGGTTAACAAAATTGACAAACTTTAGCTACATTTACCAACAAAACAGTGAAAGACTAAAATTACTAAAATTAGGGATATAGAAAACATCATTAGCAATCTTACAGGTACAGAAAGGATTATCAAAGAACACTGTGAACAACTCTGTGTGAACAGTTAGAAACTTACTTAAAAGGAGAAATTTTAAGAAAGTCACAATCTACCAACTCACTCAAAAATAAATAGATAATCTGAATACACTTCTAGTAAGTAAAGAAGTTGAATCAGTAATTTTAAAACTAACACCAAATAAAGTTGCCAATCACATTGCTGTAGTAACAAATACTATTTAATTTTTAAAAGAATAATTACTACTATTTCTTCATAAAAATCTCTCAAAATAGAAGAAAATGGAACATTTCCCATCTTATTCTATGAGGCCAATATCACCTGATATCAAAAAAATCAAAGGCATCACAGGAAATAAAAACTATAGACCAATTTCTTTATGAATACAGATGCAAAATTATTCAACGAATACCAGCAAACCAAATGCAGCAAGCATAATTACCAAGTGAGGTTTATTCAAAGAATGCAAGGTTGTTTAAACATTCAAAACTCAATGTAATAGACCATGTTAATAAAATAAAGAAAAGAAAACACATCTAATTATACATACTAAAGGCATTTGACAATTCCAAAATCCTTTCCTGACACACACACTCACACACACACACACACACACACACACACACACACACACACCAGACTAGAAATACAAGGGAATTTCTTCAAACTGATAAAGGGTAGATAAGAAAACCACAACTAAAATTACAATTAACTGTTAAAGACTGGGATGCTTTCCCCATAAGAAACATGATCAAGGAAGTCTTTTGTTGCTGCTTCTGTTCAGCATTAGACTGGAAGTTCTAGCCAGAGCAATTAAACAAGAAAAAGAAATAAAAGGCATCCAGATTGGAAAGGCATAAGGTGAAATGATCTTGTGAATAGAAAATTCTAAGGAATTTTTTAAAATCAGCTCAAACAAATAAATTCAACAATGCTGCAGAATAAAAGTTTTGTACTCAAATATCAATTGTATTTCTGTCAAGAAGCTGAGCTTGAGACAGCTGAGTTTCCAAGTGTCTGAGTAACCAAGCTAAGCAACCAGCCAAAATAAAAGCAACGGTCAAGTGTTTCATCATTTACTGTGATCGCATAAGCAAGAGGTTGAACTAGAGTAAGTTCCAACTCCCACACTGTTTCATTTATCCCTGTGGAACTGCACTGTGCAAAGGTCAGGTGGATCGATACAGAAGTAGGGATCATCTCACAGCTGAAGGATCCCCAAGCAAAAGGTCCTAATATTTTATGAGCCTGAGAATACAAGAGAGGAGAGAAGAGGGAGAGAGAAGGGGAGTAGAAACATACTAAATACTGAGTCAGAGTGGAGAAAAGGTGTCTTCAGGGTCTCCCCTTTTCCTCATAAGATCTAGGCCAAGCTTGTCCAACCCAACTCACTCAAAACTAAATAGATAATCTGAGTAGACTTGTAATAAGTGAAGAAGTTGAATTAGTAATTTTAGAACTTACACCAAATAAGGCCATCAATCACATTGCTGTAGTGGCAAATTATACTTAATTTTAAAAGACTAATACTATTTCTTCATAAAAATCTCTCAAAATAGGAGAAAATGGAACATTTCTCAACTTATTCTATGAGGCCAGTATCACTTGATACCAAAAAATCAAAGACATCACAGGAAATGAAAACTATATTTCCAAAGACCTATTGATCAACTGTTTGATGTGGCTTTCAGGGTATTCAATAATAGGGATAGGGCTGAAGAGGCTGAAAGAATCCAGCATGGCAAATGATGGGATAGACAACAAGCCCGATTGATAGCAGTCTCTGTAAGCAGCGCCCTGCAACCTCAGGGTCACCCAGGGGGATGCTTCACCCACAGATCAAAAAAGCCTAATAGCAAACCTGCAGGTAATGGCTGCTACTTTAAGTGTGGGAAGCCAGGACATTAGAGCAAGAACTATCCCAGTCAGGGCAGCCCACCCAACCCTGTTCTCACTGCAGGCAGGCGGGTCATTGGAAAAGGGATTGTCCTGAGCTGTGAAGGAAGAAGACACTTTATGCCATAATGGCCCTAACTGAGGACTGGCGGCCATAACTGAGGACTGGAGGGTCCAGAGGTTCCTAGCGACTCCCACAAAAGGCATAGTAAGGAGTCTTGACTGATTGTTAACATGACAGGTAAGAATATTAATTTCTTAATTGATATGGGGGCCAGTTACTCTGTCCTAAATGGCCACTCTGGGTTCTTATCCTCCAAAAACTGTACTGTCATCGGTGTTGATGGCACCCTAAAATCAAAGATTAAGCCATTTTTCTACAAAAAAATTTTTATGTAATCAGAAAGACATTACATTTAGGTTTTGGTCAGTAAAATTCCTAATCTTCTAAAGAAACAAAATGTGTTTACATAACCTCCCATCCATTGCTGTTTGATTACTGTTTAATCATCCATATATTTGTGTCTTTATAAAGATATTGAAAGAGATGGAAGATGCTTTCAAGGTCCCTTATAAAAGTCAAAGTGTCAATTATCAGTAAATACAAAAGAAGTCTACAATTGAATGAGGTGGTAGACAGCCTGATCAAACACAGAGCACAATGAGAAGTGCTCTTTCAGGGAATTACTTCATTGAAACCACAGACCTCACCTGAGGTATGTAGTCTAAGCTGAAGTTATTTTGTCCCATCACATTAGCTGCTTAAGCCTGTCCTTTAATTGTACACTAAAATGCTCACTCACATTTGCATCTTAGCCCTAGCTCCCTCAACAATGAGATTATTTCCCACATCAGTACTGATCCATTTGATCCTCAACTGATATTATTTCATCAGAGAAAATGAAAATTGGGCAGGCCAGCACTTACTTCTTCTTGACCTCTTGCTTATAGTATCACACAAAGTGATTAAAGGCATAAGTGTTACTTTCATTTTGGCCTGTTGTTTTAATTGTCTACTCCAACACCTGGAGGCTCACCTCTCTCTAGTCTGTCTTAACTCTCATATACAAGCAATGAACAATCCTAAATAAACTGAAGAAAAGAATCCAATTTGCAAGACTGAGAAAATAAAATGCCTAAGAATACATCTAACAAAAAAAGAAAGACTTACATACTAAAAGCATAAAATATTGTTGACTGAAATTAAAATTTTAAGTAAATAAAAATACATTCCATGAACTATGAATTGGAAAACAATTGTGCAGGTTTTTGGCTTAGAGTGACATCAGCAAGATGGTAGAATAAGACTTTCCCATACTTGTCCCCTCTCAGAACCATCAATTTGAACAAGTATCCATGCACAAACATATTTTCACAGGAGCTAAAGAAACAAGGTGAGTGATTACAGCAACTGTGTGTAGCACAGAAATAAGAAAACATTCATTGTAAAGAGTAGGAAGGGCAGTTTCACAATACCTGCATCAACCCTCCCTACTCCAGGCAGAACAATGCAGAGAGAGATACCCTCTGCATAGAGGAAAAAGAGGGGAGTAAATAACAGATTTTGTCTCAGACTCCAACGCTGGGCCAGCCTAGATGCCAACAGTGGGTCTGCACCAGGCAGACTTTCACAACCACAGTCTCTGAGCTGTTACCCACAGATTCAGCCTATCTGCCACTGCCAAATAGGTCCCCACAGATTCAGGCTCCTGGCTGGCCCCATGGCTCCAGAATTCAGGCGGCACATGCAGACTCAGTCTCCAGTCTCACTCCAGCACTAGGACAGCCCACCCCAATGCCAGGCTATCCCAGCAGCTTTGGCCTCCTGACACCTATGGGACTGGGCTGGCCTCCACAGCCCCACGTTTCAGTCCTGCCCCAAACTCTCTACTGGCCTAGAGTAAGGGTTCCCCTCATAACCCCAGCCTTCAGGCATGCCTCAGTGCCAGGCCAGGCCCTGGAGCCTCAGACTCCAGCAGACCCAGGGTTTAGGCCTGCACCAGCCAACTCAGGGTCTAGGCCAGTTCCAGCAGACCCCAGCACCAAGCTAGCCTCTGTGGACCCAGGTTCCAGGCCAGACCCAGGTTCCAGGAACTGGGCCCAACCTCATAGACCCAGGTACCTGGCTGACTCACCTACTGACCTAAGCACTAGGCCAGCTTGACCAAGGACTTCAACAGGCCCACCTACAGACCATGCCAGATGGCCTGCCTAAAATGATTGGACAAGTTGACATGTGAAGGGCTTATCTAGACAACTCCAGTCTGCAAAGACTGGAATAAGTCTCTGCTTCTTAAAGTGAGCAGACATCAATGCATGGCCATAAGGATCATGAACAATCACAAAACATGGCAACACCAAAGCAACAAATGAAGCACCAACAACTGACCTTACAAAAATGGAGATTTACAAACTGCCTGACAAATAATTCAAAATAATCATCTTAAAGAAGCTCAGTGAGCTACAAGAGAATGTAAATAGACAAACAGATACAATTAGGAAAACAATACCTGAACAAAATTAGAAGTTCAATAAGAGAAGGAAACCATAAAATGAATCGAAGAGAAATTCTGGCACTAAACAGCACAATAACAGAAATGAACAACTCCATAGAGAGTTTCAGCAGCAGACTCGATCAAATGGGAAATACTTGGTGAACTCCAAAACAGGTCATTTCAAATTACTCAGTCAAAGGTGGGGGAAAGAATGAAAAAGAGTGAAAGAATGAAAAAGAGTGAAGAAAGCCTGCAAAAACTGTAGGATACCATCAAGAACCAATTTAGGCATAATGAATGTCCCAGAGAGAGCAGAGAAATAGAAGGAAAAAAAGAAGCTTTTTAAAATGATAGAAAACATCCCAAATATGGGAAAAGATATAAATATCCAGGTACAGAAAGCTCCAAGGTTTCCAGTCAGGTTTAATCTAAATGAGACTACACCAAGACATATTATAATCAAACTGACAAAAATCAAAGACAAAGACATGATCCAGAAAGAGAAAAGAAGCATATCACATACAAGGGAGCACCAATATGGCTCTCAAAAGATTTCTTAGCAGAAATCTTACAGGCCGAGAGAGTGGGTTGATTTACTCAAAGTGCCAAAGAGGAAAACAAAGACTGACAACCAAGAATACTCGAATGACAAAGCTGTCCTTCAGAAATGAAGGAGAGATAAAGACTGTCCCAGACAAACAAAAGCTAAGGCAATTTACCACCACTGCACCTGCCTTACAATAACAGCTGAAGGGAGTTCTTCTACCTAAAAGAAAAGGACCCTAATTGGCAACATGAAACATGAAAGGAGATAACTTAATGGTAAAAGAAGTACACAGTCTAATTCAGAATACTCTAAAACCATAATGGTGGTGTGTTAATTACTTATATGTATAGTATAAAGGTTAAATTATAAACCATTAAAAATTACTACAATAATTTTTAAGGGATACGTAACATAAAAAGATGTAAATGGTGACATCAAATATTCAAAATGTGTGGTGGAAGGGAGTAGAATAAAAATGTAGTGCTTTCTCAGAAATCTGTGGAACAAAAAAATGAAAAATAAATAAATAAATTTAAAATGTAGTGCTTTTTGTGGCCAAAGATAAGTTGTTATCAGCTTCAAATAAACTGTTATAACCACAAGACACTTTTTATAAGTGTTATAGTAACCACAAATCAAAAATCTATAATAGATGCTTTAAAAAAGTGAAAAACAAGGAATCAAAACATACTATTAGGGAAAATCACTTAACCACAAAGGAAGGCAATAAGAGAGGAAGAGAGAAACAAAGTATAAATAAAACAACCAGAAAACAATTAACAAAACGGCAGTAGTAAGTCCTTACTTTATAAATCATCACCTTGAATGTAAATGAATTAAATTCTCCAATCAAAAGGCAGAGTGGCTGAATGCATTAAAAGCAAGGCCCAGCTTGATGCTGCCTATAAGAGAGTCACTTCATGTGTAAGGACACATATAGACTGAAAGTGAAGTTATGAAAAAAGATTTTCCATGCAAATGAAAACCAAAGGAGAGTAAGAGTAGCTATACTCATACCAGATAAAATAGACTTTAAGTCAAAAACTGTAGAAAGAAACAAAGAAAGTCATTACATAAATAATAAAGGGGTTAATTCAGCAAGAGGGTATAACAATACTCTGATGGAATGTGCTGTTGAAGATCTCTGTAGAGTTGCTCATTTTTGTCAATGTGGTTTTTGGTGCCAGAATTTCTCTTTATTTTTTTACAGTTTCTTTCTTGATCTATATATATATATATATATATATATATATGTTTGTGTGTGTGTATATATATATACCTGATATATATATATATGTGTGTGTGTGTGTATATATATATATGTGTATATCTATATATAAATATGTATATATCAAGCACAGGATCACCTAAACATAGAAAGCAAATATTAATAGATCCAAGAAGAGAGAAGACTTCAATACAATAATAGTAGAGGACTTCAATACCCCACTTTTAGCAATGGACAGATTATCCAGGAAGAAAATGTTAAACTATACTCCAGACCAAATGGACCTAACACACATACACAGACCTTCCATAAACAGCTGCAGAATACACATTCTTCTTAACTGCACATGAAACAATGTCAATGTCTAGAATAAATCATATGTTAAAGCACAAAACAATTCATAATAAATTTAAGAAGATTGAAGTATCAAGGAGCTCTTCTGACCATGATGGTATCAAAATAGAAATGAATAACAGAAGGAACTTCAGAAAAAATACATGGAAATTAAATAATATGCTCCCTGACAACCAATGGGTCAATGAAGAAATAAAGAAAGATGTTTAAAATCTTTTTAGCCAAATGAAAACAGAAGCACACCATACCAAAACACATGGGATACAGAAAAAACAGTTCTAAGAGGGAAGTTTAAAGCAATAAATGCTTACATCAAAAAAGAAGAAATATTGCATACCAACAATCTCTGTTGTGCCTTAAGGAACTAGAAAAACAAGACTAAACTAAGCCCCAAATTAGTAGAATAAATAAAATAATAACGATCAGAGCAGAAATAAATGAAGACTAACAACAATAAAAGCATCAAAAAAGTCTTCTTTTTGAAACGTTAAACAAAATCAACAAACTATTAGCTAGTCTTAAAAAAGGAGAGAAGACTGAGATAAAGAAAATCAGAATTGAAAAAGGAGACCTTACAATGATCATAAGAAACAATTATAAACAATTATGCACCAAAAAATTGGATAATCTAGAAGAAATTGACAAATTTCTTGATACGTTTTATTTACCAAGATTGAATTATGAAGAAATAAAAAATCTGAAAAGATCATGATCGTGTAAAGAGATTGATTCCACAATAAAAAATCTCTCTTCAAAGAATAGCCCAGGACCTGATAGCTTCACTGCTGAGTTTTACCAAATATTTAAAGAAGAACTAGTAAAAACTCTTCCAAAAAATTAAAGAGGAAGAAATACTTCCAAACTCATTCTTTAAGGCCAGCATTACCCTGATACCAAAACTAGACAAGGATGTGGCAAGAAAAGAAAACTACAGTTTAATACACCTGATGAGCATAATGTAAACATTCTGAACAAAATACTAGCAAACCAAATTTAACAACACATTAAAAGGATTTTTCACCATGATCAAGTGGGAATCAGCCCAGGAAAGCAAGGATGGTTCAACATATGCGAATCAACATTAACAGAATGAAGGACAAAAACCAAATGATCATTTCAATACATGCAGAAAAAGCATTTGACAAAATTCAGTATCCATTCATAATTTTTAAAAAAGATCTCTCAACAGATTAGGAATAGAAGGAATATATCTCAACCCAATAAAGGCCATGTATGACAAACCCACAGATAACATTGTACTCAATGGAAAAAAATTGGAAGTTTTTCCTCTAAGATCTAGAACATGACAAGGATTCCCACACTTTCCACTTCTAGTGAAAATTGTACTGAAAGTACTAGCCACATAAATTAGTCAATAAAAAGAAATAACATGCATTCAAGTTGAAAAGGAAGGGGTTAAATTGTCCCTGTTTGTGGACGGCATGATCTTATATATTTAAAAATCCCTAAAGTTTCCACCAAACAACTGTTGGAACTAATAAATGAATTTAGTAAAGTTGTAGGGTACAAAATCACATACAAAAATCAGTAGTAATTCCATACACTAGCAGCAAACTATCTGAAAAAGAAATCAAGAAAATAATCCTACTAACAATAGGTTATAAAATAACATATTTAGAAAGAACTTCAGCAAAGGAGATGATAGGCCTGTACATTGAAAACGATAAAACATTGATTAAACAAATTGAAGACATGCCACTGCACCCAGCCTGCATTGATTCTTTTTAATTGTTTGGTTATAAGATGGCTTTACGCTTTTAAAAATTCCCAAGGACTCGAAGAGATTTTATGTGGGTATTCGTTGATAATTATTATTATATTACAAATTAAAACATCATTTTAAAGTATTTGGTTTTTATTCATTAAAAATAATCCCATTATATGATAATATATATAACATTTATTAAAAATAGCTTTTATAAAGCCAAATAAACTGAAAAGATAGCATTGTTTCACATTTTTATAAAATTCTTTGTCTGTTTTACAAAATGACTGGATTTGTAAGTTTTCTGCTGCATCTGATTTTTCATAATTTCAAACATCACATAACATTTGGAATACCCTGTTACACCTTCACAAGAGAACAAGAGTGGGAAAAACTAATGATATCTTAAATTCTTATTAGAAAAACTTTGTTTTTTGAAACTTAATAAGGGCTCAGTAACTGTTGTTTATGGCTATTATTTCCCTTCCTCGTTGTGAGCATATACATATTCCATTTCAGACAGAGATACACTTTGGCATTGGGAGATCAATTCCTTTTTAGGGTAGCCATAACAAGTTCTATGGGAACCAAGTCACAACCTCTCTTATACCTTCATGAGAACTAAAGAGGTGTGTGAATTCATAAAACTGTAGCAATTTTATGTGTTTGGATACTATAATTTGTGATATTTCTCTCAAGTTATTTACTCTTGAGATATTTGAAAATCTGTATGCATACTGTGTGATGCCAAGATGTGTCCTTCCTTTTTCCTACAATTTTCCTCCAAGGACAATCAGACACAATCTTTGCTCTCCTCCAGAGAGAAGAGTCAGGGAACAATTATTTTCCCCTTAGGGAGAAGGTAGAAAGATATGAGGTCTCATAATCCTTCTGGGAATTTACTTCTTAGCTAATTCTAAATAAAACCCTTATTCCTTGAGGTTTAGTTTAGAGCTTCTTACTCTATTTTGATAGCATCAGCAAGTGGAGTATATGCTGCCAAATCTGGGATTTGTTCCTCTGGAGTCAGCTAGAGTTTCTTATAGCACATAACTCATCTATGTAGTGTTTATTCTAGTTCAAAGTTTACCCCTGAGGAATATCTAGTGCTTACACCTTCTTATGCAGAACAGATTTATTTGCACTGTGAGATGGTTTTCAGTACTGCTAAAGTAGGACAGAGTGGCAGCAAAAATCCTCATGGCTATGCAGAGAGGAATGACACTCCTGGGTGGCATATCCTAAGTTCTTCCTAACTTAAAGTTTGTGTACCAGGTAGATGAAATAGAAATATAGATGCACCCCACTCCCACCCAGCTCTGGGAGGTTCTGCCTGCTGTGTTATGGCCAGGAGCCTTCTGATTGCTTAGCAACTTTCTCTCCATCAACTCCCAGTGCGGAGGGATGGTGGTCATCTAAATTGGCCCAACTCTATTAATTGAGAAGGCAACTAAAAGTAAGAGAGCTTCAAATGCAGGCAATGCCTCTGGATAAGGATATTTTGGATAAGCCAAAAGGATGAAAGGATCTTAGATAGATGAGATAGATAGATGATAGATAGATAGATAGATAGATAGATAGATAGATAGATAGATGATAGATAGATAGATAGATAGATAGATAGATAGATAGATAGATAGATAGATGATAGATTAACTAGACAGGCAGACAGAGAGAGAGAACTACATATACATAATATATATTTATTATATAGATTATATACATATGTAATCTATCACAGATGAAGATATTCGAAGAAACTTCTGTTACTAGAAAATAAAATTCTGGTAGCAGCTGCAGTAAATTCTTTCCCTTGCAGAAACAGTGTAAGAGGTAAGTTTGTAATATAGTTACTTCTTTTTGAAATTTTCTAAACTATTAATCTCACTGTCAAAAATTATTCGACTCAAAAATTACTGTATGTGATATGGGATTCATCTTACCACAAAATAGAGCAGAAAGAGTGCCAATTCTTCTGATCAGAGTTGAAGAAATAAGATAAAGCACAGTTACAGCTCAGTTACAGGACTGTCCCAGGAGAGTATTTTACATACTGATCCTTCATACTATTGTTTTCTGCATTTCTACTATTTTATTGGCTCTATTTGGAAGGAAAAAATTTATTTAGGTACCTTAAGTTTTTCTCCTATATTTCAATGCTGCACCTTCTAAAAAGTTTTGCTCTTTCTTCACTATTATTTTCATGTTTATTTTTTAACAGTGAAATATCTCCAGATGGCAATGGAGATAAAGGATTTAATAATTCAGAGAAAAAAATAATTAAACGAAAAAGTTAAGATGTTACTACATCCATTTTTATATTACAGGAATTTTCTTTAGTTGTAGCAAAAATTCATGTTATGAACTTCATGCACATTTATATAAACCTCCCAAAATATATTCATATTTATAGATCTAAGACTGTCTCTCATTTGAGTTTGAGCCATTGCTCTTAAGATGCCACTGCCATAAAATATATGCCTCTCTAAGGCTGATATTTTGCAAAAGTTCACAACATAGCCTTCAAGGTCTTCAAGGTCCCTTTTTACTTTATTTTACTTTCTTATAAACTAAGTTTCCAATAAAGCAATTATCCTGAAACTGTCTTCTTATATGCAACATTCAAAGCAGGTATAAGACATTAACCATTTATGTATTACCTGTTTTCCCTACAGATATAATACAGTTCTTTTGTTTAAGCTTATTCAAGTATATCCTATAGAAATAATGTCTATCAAATTATGTGAATTATTCATGACATTTTAATAAATCCATTTTCAAATGATTAACTTATAACTCTGAACGTTTCCTAGTAAAGTTAAAATCATGTCTTGGTAATTGATAGAAACTGACAAATAGAAGACATTAGTATATGTATTTTTCAACTAAATATAACAATATGTTTAACTAGCATTTTCTATTTTCCTGTTTCATCCAATACTATTTTAGTTATTATCAGGGCCATAAAGATGTTTAATACTTATAACCCATCCATAAGACTTTTATAACTGAGTATAGAAGGCATATCAGCTCAAATAGATGACATTTGATATCAAATGCCTCTTCCTTTTTAATTTTATCTTGAGCATGCAACATATCTTCAAAATAGGAATATAACTCTTTTCACAGTTTTTACTGACAAACCTGTATACACTTAACAGGTGTCTGAAGAGCTTCCTTATAAGAATCTACTCTCATTCCCTAGAAGACTCTCTTTATAGGCTGATTACATAGACTTTCAATGAAATGTAAGGAAACAGGCTATCACCTTCCTTTCTATGGTAGCTGGTTGTAGACAAACAAAAGAATCCCCCAACTTGAGGAGCCCTGTGTCTCTGCTGCTCTCTGAGCCACCCCTGTGGATTATACATTGAGGTAGTTGATAAGCACAGTAACAACACTAGTATTTTTGAATAATCCAGATTCAATTTCTAGCTTCATATATGCCTGCCTCATAATTTACATTTACCTATGCCTGGTATTCTCCAAAGTGATATACAATATTTTCCAAAATATTTATATTGTTAAATCCATCCCACTTTCAAGAACATAAAAAATAATGTCAATAATAAACATGAATTAAATTACATCCATCATTGTAAAAGAAATAATTCATATTTATCTGGGAATATGTTAGTTCTGTAGAAAATATACTTTGACTATGAGCAATAAAAATAACATCACAGTTATGCAATATTATGTATTTTAAAGCTATGGCATTGATATATTAAAATGTTGTTTACACTGTAATGACTGTATAGGTAAAGATATCTCTGTGTAATGGATGATGTGGATCTGAAAAATCAAGTCATTCCAGATGTCACTTATCTAGGAAACAGGAGTTCTTCATGGGCCATGAACTGAAATTAAGAATAAAATAATAGATGCAAAATAAAAGACATATAATTTGCTCTTAATTATATAGGTAAAAGGATGTCTAGGAAGGAAATCCTGAATGGTGGGTTTTGAGATAACGACTTTCACAGAAAGTGTCTAGATCCTGGGCAGTAAGAAATAGTAAAATGTCCCATAAAGCTGTAATCAGTGGATTTTATCCCAGGTTTGATGGAAGTATATTAAAACAGGACCAATGACCAATTAGCCAATGACCAATTAACCTCTCAGAGTCAGCATGTCAAAGCTGAAAATCTAAACGTAGGACAATGTCATAGGAAAGGTGAATGAGAGTATGATGCCCTGATTGCTAAGTCAGAGGCTTTTTACCAATAACTAGTTTCTTCCAGGGTACTATATCTGATTTTTTGTTAGTTTGCTAGACAGTAATGGTTATAACCCATTGAATTAAAAATTCCATGTGTCCACATTAATTGATTGACAGATAAATAGAAAGAAAGAAAAAGAAAGAAGAAAAAAAAGAGAGAAAGAAGAAAGAAAGAAAGAAAGAAAGAAAGAAAAAGAAAGAAAGAAAGAAAGAAAGAAAAGAAAGAAAGAAAGGAAAGAAAGAAAGAAAATAGGCAGATAGATAGGCAGATAGATCAAGCTCATTCTCACAGTAAAGCCAACTAATAAATATAAAAGGAATGAGGGAGTTAGAATGACACATTTTGCAAACATCATTACTTATAATGGAGTCAGGTAAGATAATCAATAGATGCTTTAATGAGTGGCTGAGAATTTAATAAAAACAAGATATGTATATATTAGTTTTAATATATTTCCCAGAAATTATACTAGAAAAAAAGGATAATTTTATAATGGAGATAGACGATTTCAATATTGGAGCAAATTAACATTATCTGCCTACTAATAGAAGGCATTGAGATGGACACATAGATTCATCTCCTGTTAAAAATTTAAAGTCTGGATAAAAATATGGAGGGTCAATAGAAAACCCATTCATTTTGAGAACATTCTGTGAAACAACTTGTTTGTACTTTTCAAAAATATTAATGTCTAGACAGAGGGAGAGTGCCAGATCAGAATAGATTAACTGTGGGATATTGCATCACATCTTGAACAGGAAGGACAGAAGATGCTCTATTTAGAAAAGAATATTATGTCAAGATCACATTTCCTGATTTTGATAATAGTACTGTGGTTAGATAAGTGAATACCTTTGTTCTTGGATAAAATAGAGAACTTAGGAGTAAACAGGTATCATGGATACACAGTAGTCTTAAGTGTCCCAGAAAAAATAATAATATATATTAATATAGACAAAAAGAGAACACAAGCAAATATGAAAAAAATTATTAACAATTGTTGAATCTAGATGAAATGTGTATGAGAGTATTGTTTCTAATTCTTGGTACTTATCTGAAGGTTTGAATTACTTTACAATAAAAAGTTAAAAACAAAAACAGAAAGAAACACTGAGGGAAAAGGTGAGTCAAGTAGGCACAAATATATACATGCTTCCTCTGAGCTCATTTTGAAATAAATAACTCATTTTCTTTGATTCTCCAACCCTGACCTTTCATCACACTCTGGTCCTTTACAAAGTATCATTAAGGAATGGGGGACAACCAATCACGGGTCACAGAATTCATCCTGGTTGGATTCCAGCTCAGTGTGGAGATGGAAGTGCTCCTCTTCTGGATCTTCTCCCTGTTATATCTCTTCAGCCTGCTGGCAAATGGCATGATCTTGGGGCTCATCTGTCTGGATCCCAGACTGCGCACCCCCATGTACTTCTTCCTGTCACACTTGGCCGTCATTGACATATACTATGCTTCCAGCAATTTGCTCAACATGCTGGAAAACCTAGTGAAACACAAAAAAACTATCTCGTTCATCTCTTGCATTATGCAGATGGCTTTGTATTTGACTTTTGCTGCTGCAGTGTGCATGATTTTGGTGGTGATGTCCTATGACAGATTTGTGGCGATCTGCCATCCCCTGCATTACACTGTCATCATGAACTGGAGAGTGTGCACAGTACTGGCTATTACTTCCTGGGCATGTGGATTTTCCCTGGCCCTCATAAATCTAATTCTCCTTCTAAGGCTGCCCTTCTGTGGGCCCCAGGAGGTGAACCACTTCTTCGGTGAAATTCTGTCTGTCCTCAAACTGGCCTGTGCAGACACCTGGATTAATGAAATTTTTGTCTTTGCTGGTGGTGTGTTTGTCTTAGTCGGGCCCCTTTCCTTGATGCTGATCTCCTACATGCGCATCCTCTTGGCCATCCTGAAGATCCAGTCAAAGGAGGGCCGCAAAAAAGCCTTTTCCACCTGCTCCTCCCACCTCTGTGTGGTTGGGCTTTACTTTGGCATGGCCATGGTGGTTTACCTGGTCCCAGACAACAGTCAACGACAGAAGCAGCAGAAAATTCTCACCCTGTTTTACAGCCTTTTCAACCCATTGCTGAACCCCCTCATCTACAGCCTGCGGAATGCTCAAGTGAAGGGTGCCTTATACAGAGCACTGCAGAAAAAGAGGACCATGTGAATGAGGGGAGAATTTTGGTTCAGTTGATCTACCTTTATGAGATGTGGTTTGCTTGTGCAATACAACGCAGAAAAAGTCCACAAGAAGAGGCTTCATTTAAGAATGAAAATTATCTAGATTTTGGCCCTGAAAATGGGAACAAATTTCATGGGTATGCCCATCTTCTTATATTAAGTAGCCTTGTTAGGATACAGAATAGCTATGTTAGAATATCTAATTTTTTGTTTAAAATAATGACATATTTTAAAAAATCAGAAATAGGACTACATGGAGATAAAATAATTATTATTTTATAATTTCAACTTTTGTTTTAGATTCAGGGGGTACATGTGCAGGTTTGTTACATGGTTATATCATGTGATGCTGAAATTTGGTGTGAGATAGAACCCATCACCCAGGAAGTGAGTATACTATCCAACAGAAAGTTACATCAACACATTACTCTTCGCTGATCAATCAGGACATATGTAACTCCTACCATTACCTGGTAGCAGCTAAAAACGGTAGATTAAAATCAATATTAAGAGAAAAAACTTCCAAGAGAAACCAGAACTTTAATAAACAGTAATGTAGAGCAATGTGTTCCTACTTCACTGATTATGAGGACAATGAAATAAATGACTGAGAAATTATAAATTCCTTTTGGGAATAATTCAGAAAAGTAAACAAGAAAACATTGTGGAAAACTTCAATGAGAAGAAAGAAAGAGAGAGAGAGAAAGAAAAAAAGAAAGAGAGAAAGAGAGAGAGAGGGAGAGAGGGAGAGAGGGAGGGAGGGAGGGGGAAGGGAGGGAGGGAAAGAGAAAAGGAGAGAAGGAAAGAAGGAAGGAAGGAAGGAAGGAAGGAAATAGATAGATAGAAAATAGATAGACAATTGTATATTTCAAGCTGTATGATATGACCAACTGAATGAAATCCATTTGAAAATGTTTAAATGGTCTGGAAGGCAAGAGTTCTAAGCGTGGCTCTAATTTTACATTTATTCATGGTTATGGTAATTACCAATATGGCAAGATTGAGTCACCTGTAGGGGATCTTGGGTAATATTCAATTTATCTTAAGGTGGGTTGTGATAACACCAAGAGATATGAAACAACTCTGATATAACCAACATCGTCTGCCTTTCATGTTGGTAAAAAGTTCTTTGGATTTGTGAAACAAGATTGAGCAACACTCATTATGCTAATGATGGTACAATCAGTAAAGGTGGCTTTTCTATAGTCATCAGCTAAAGCATTTATTTTTTAAAGTATTCTCTTTATTATAAACTTCAATAGTAATAACTGAGATTTAAGTTGGTGTTCTATTGTCTCAATTTCCTTTTATCTACTAATTTCCTTTTATCTATTAATAAATTAATGGATTTAACTAATCCATTAGTTTTTAGTGCAATTTTATTTTTATTTTATTAATTTTATTTTATTATTTTTAGTGTAGTTTTAAGTTTACAGAAAAATTAAGTGCTAAGAGTTACATATACCCTCTAAACCCTCTCCACACAAATTGTGTCCCCTATAATTAATATCATGCCTTATGTGTGGTACAGTTATTACAACTGGTTGGTCAATATTTGTACATTAACATTAAATATAGCTCATAGCTTACATTAGGGTCCACTGTTTGTGTTGTACATTCTAAAGGTTTTAACAAATATATAATGTCATGTATCCAATATTACAGCATATAGAATAGTTTCACTGCCCTAAAAATCCCCTGTGCTCTACCTATTTATCTCGCTCTCCCTCCTCCAAAACTCCTGGAACCAGTAATCTTTTTAGTAGTTATATAGTTTTGCCTTTTCCAAATTATTTAGTTGAGATCATACAGTATATAGCCCTTTAAGAATGGCTCCTTTCTGAGAAACATGCTATACTAACTAAGGTTCTTCCATGTCTTTTTGTGGCTTGGTAACTCACTACTTTTTATCACAGAATATGCTGTTATCTGCATATGCCTGAATTAGGCTGTTCTTGTATTGCTATAAAGAAATTCCTGAGGCTGGGTAATTTATAAAGAAAAGAGGTTTGATTGGCTCATAATTCTGCAGACAGCACAAGAAGAGAGGTGCTGGTGTCTGCTCCTGGTGAGAGCCTCAGGAGGCTTACTATCGTGGCAGAAGGTGAAGGGTGAGCAGACATCTTAATGATGAGAGTGGGAGCAAGAGAGGGGAGGTGTCACACACTTTTAAAAGCCAGGTCTTGTGAGAACTATCTCATTATTATGAGGACAGCACCAAGGAGATGGCACTAAGCCATTCATGAGAAATCTGCCTCATGATTCAATGACCTCCTACCACTCCCCAACTCCAACACTGGGGACTCCATTTTAAAATGAGACTTAAAAGGAACAATATCCAAACTCTATCAGTACCATAGTTTGTTTTTCCATTCACCTATTGAAATACATCTTAGATACTTCTGGGGTTTAACAATTATGAATACAGATGCTATAAACATTTGTATATAGGTTTTGGGTTAGCATAAGTTTTTAACTCATTTGGTTAAATACCAAGGAAAGCAATATGCTGGGTTATGTGGGAAGTATGCACTTAGTTTTATAGGAAATTTCCAAACAGTCTACCAAAGTGGCTGTACCATTTGTATTCCCACCTGCAATGAAGGAGAGTTCCTGTTGCTCCATATCCTTACCAGTATTTAGTTTTGTCAGTGTTTTAAATTTTCAACATTTTAATAGGTATACAAGGGTATTTCATTCTTACTTGAATATGAAATTTTCTGATGACAGATGATGTTGAGAATATTTCCATGTGCTTTCTTGCCATCTGTATATCTTCTTTGGTAAGGTGTCTCTTCACATATTTTGTCCACTTTTTTAATGCTTTTTTGCTCATTGTTGAGTATTAAGAGTTACTTGTATATTTTCTACAAGTTATTTTTTTATATTTGTTTTGTAAATATTTCTTCTAGTCTGTGGCTTATCTTTTCATTTTTTTAAACTTCAGTTTTAATGAAGTTCAACCTATCAATTTGTTTTTTGATGGATTATTCTTTTAATCCAAAAAGGCATTGCCAATCACAAGGTCACCTGTAAAGTCTTCTGTTTTCCTCTAAGGATTTTATAATTTTGCACTTAACATGTAAGTCTATGATCCAGCTGAGTTAACTGCATAAAATGTAGTATCTCTGTTCAGGTTTGGGGCTTTTGTTTGTTTGTTTTTTGTATTTTTGCATGTTCAGTTATCCCAGCATCATTTACTGAAAATATTAGCTTTTTTCCATTAAATTTCCACTGCTCCTTTGTCTAAGATCAGTTGACTATAATTGTTTGGAATTTTTTAGGGGCTCCCTCTTCTATTCTTTTGATCTATTTATCTATTCTTTGGCCAATATGACACAGCTGTAATTACTGCAGCTTTATAAAAAGGCTTGAAGTTGGATAGTGTATTCGTCCATTTTCACACTGCTATAAAGAACTGCCCGAGATTGGGCAATTTATAAGAGAAAGAAGTTCAATTGATTCTCAGCTCAGCATGGCTAAGGAGGCCTCAGGAAACTTACAAAAATGGCAGAAGGCAAAAGGGAAGCAAGGCACCTTCTTCACAGGCAGCAGGAAGGAGAATGAATGCAGGAGGAACTACCAAACACTTATAAAACCATCAGATCTCATGAGAATCCACTCATCATCACAAGAACAGCATGGAGGAAACCGCCCCCATGATTCAATTACTGTCACCTGGTCTCTCCTTTGACAGGTGGGGATTATTTATAATTCAAGGTGAGATTTTGGGTGGGGACACAACCAAACCACATCAGATAATGTCAGTCATTCATCTTTATTCCTCTTTTTCAACGTTGTGTGGCTACTCTGGGTCTTTTGTCTTTCCATATAAACTGTAAAATCAGTTTGTCGTATCCACAAATAACTTGTTAAAATTTGATTGGGGTTGTATTGAACCTATAGGTAAATTTAGAAGTTCCTGAAATCTTGACAATAAGTGAGATTTCCCATGTGCATGGAATATCTCTCCATTATTTAGATCTTCTTTGATTTCTTTCATCGAAGTTTTTCAGTTCCCTTTGTATAGATCTTGTACATATTTTGTTAGATGTATACCTAAGTACTTATTTTTTAGTGCTAATGTAAATGGAATAATATTTTTTAATTTCAAGTTCCAATTGCTCATTTCTGGTGTAAGAAAGCAATTTGTATGTTAACCTTATATCCTACAACACAACCTTGCTATATAGTTTATTAATTTCAGAAGTATTTTTGATAATTTGGGGGGATTTTCTACATGAATAGTCATGTCACCTGTGAAGAAAAGCAATTTTATTTCTTCTTCCCCAATCTGCATACTTTTTATTTCCTTTTATTTTCTTACTGCATTAGCAAGGACTTACCATACAATGTTGAATAGAAGTGGTAAAAGAGACACACTTGCCATGTTCCTGATTTTAGTGTAAAGTATTAATTTCTTCTTATGACATATGTTACCTGTAGGTTATTTGTAGATCTTCTTTATAAAGTTGAGAAAGTTCTACCCTATCCTTACTTTGCTTAGAGATTTTCTTCATAATGAACGTGTGTTAAAATTTGTCAAATCCTCTCTTTGCATCAATTGATATGATTATAGATTTTTCTTCTTTAACCTGTTTATTTGATGGATTACATTAATTGATTTTTGAATGTTGACTCAACCTTGCATACCATATAAATCTCACTTGATCATAATGCATTATGATCATTGTAATATCAGTATTATGATCAGTATACATTATAAAACTCTATTTGGTAATATTTTGCTGAGGACATTTGCACATATGTTCTTGAGTGGTATTGCTCTGTAGTTTTCCCTACTTGTAATGTGTTGTCTAGTTTTGGTATTATGGTAATACTGGCCTCCTAGAATTAGTTGGGGAATATTCAGTCTACTTTCATTTCTTGGAACAGATTGTATAGAATTGGTATAATTTCTTCCCTAAATGTTTAGAATTCACCAGTGAAGCCATCAGGGCCTTGTACTTTTTGTTCGGGAAAGTTATTAATTCTTGATTCAATTTCTTTAATAGATGTCAGCTTATTCAGATTATCTATTTCACCTTTTGTGAATTTTGATGGATTTTGCCTTTCAAAGAATAGTTCTACATTATCTAGTTAATCATATTTTTAAGCATAGAATTGTTCAAAATATACCTTTATTATCCTGTTAATGACCATGGGATCAATAATGGCCACTTCTTCAACTCTGTATTAGTAATTTATGTCTTCTTTCTTTGTTTCTTAGTTAATGTGGCTAGAGGGCTATCAATTGTACTGATCTTCTCTATTGATTTTTCTGTTTTCAATTTCATTGATTTTTGCTCTGATGTTTATTATTGCCTTTTTTGTTCTTTGCACTAATTTGCTTTTCCTTTTTAGTTTCTCAAAATGGAAACTTACGTAGAAGCGTAGATTATTGATTTTCTTTCTTCTAATGTATGCATTGAATGCTATAAGTTTCTCTTTAAGCACTGCTTTACTTCATCACACAAGTTTTTATATAAATTGTATTTTTATTTTAACAATATTGTAAATATCTCTTGAGATTTCTTTGACCCAGGCATTTTTTTAAGAAACGTTTTGTTAAAATTTCCAATTATTGGGATTTTCCTGATGTCTTTCTGTTATTGATAACCAGCTTAATTCCACTGTGGCATGAGAGCATACTTTGTATAATTTCTATTCTTTTACTTTTGGTAAGGTGTGTTTTGTGGCTCTGAATATGGTCTACATTGTTGAATGTTTTATGTGAACTTAAAAAATGTGTGTTCTCTTATTGCTAGATGAAGTAATCTGTACATTTCAGTTAGGTCTAGTTGATTCATGGTGCTATTCAGTTCAGCTGTATTCCTACTAATTTTCTGCCTGCTGGAACTGTCCATTATAGATTTGGATTATAATCCTGAAAGACAAAAATCCCAAACACTATAATTTCAAATGTTGAAATGCCAAAAGATCAAAATCTCCAACGTCTAAAATAGCTAATGTCTAAAATCCCAAAAATCACAATCTTAATATATTAAAATTCTGAATTATGAAAACCTGAATTCTGGGGAAGAGGTCAGTGCATATTCAGATGTATGCAGGATAGTTGCATCCTGATAGTTGCATCATGTTAGGCAAAATTATTACCTTGGTATTGTCTTCATTTGCATTTGGTGGAAAACTCAGATGAGTGGACTGGCCACGTGATACAGACCCGAAAAAGCTTTTGTTTAAAAATATGTCATTTGTCTGCATTAGCATTTCTCCCAGCTGATGAAATTCCAGAAGTTTTTATTGAATTAAGGACACATTTGTCTGAAGAAGCCAGCAAAGTTAACGACTAATTTGAAAATAATTATAAGCGCAGTAGATTAGAAGACATGTATGCAATGGAATTGCTGTTCAATCACCAGTATTTTTGCTGAGAAATTCATGGTCAGTATATGAGTGCATGCAGAATGGATTTTAGCATAACCAGAACAACAAAGAAGCATGCCACAGAAAATAGAAACATTTAATTGGGAATGCTCACGTCAAAGTATATAGAATCACAGAAGAATTTCAAAAAGACCAATGCCATGTAGACTATGAATGTGAACATAGTCTCCAAGGAAAGCCATGCTCTAAAAGAACAAAAGCAGCTATTCAACACGATGCAAGGCTTCAAAAAATAGTTAACGATAATCAAAGTTGGCCAGCTTTTATGGATTACCTCTGGGCAACTGCCCACAACTTAGTCCTGTAATACACTTTTTCATATGTCAAATATTCTTTTTAGTTTTTTTTGCATTTCTTCTCCTTTGTTTTTCTTGTTTTAATTTTTTCCACTATTTTATATTGTCAGCATTATTTTTTACAATAACTATACTGTGTATTTCATCTTCATTCCCAATACTGGAGGAATAAATTGTGTAAAGACTTTTAAATAGTTCTAATTTATTTTATGCATTTTTTGCAAATTTGAGTTTTTGAAAGTGCATTATAACAACATTGACTTTATGTTTAAGCATTTTGAGTGTACATAAAAAACATTGAAACTTCCTCAGTAAATTACAAGAAGTCCTTTTGCACATCTGCATTTGTGAGAGATAACATTTCTTGAGGTCGTAGCTTCTTGGATGACTGGTATAATGATGCAACGTGTCACTCCCAGGGTTTTTGCTTGATCTTGCCAAAAGACTTAGGTTTTCCATTACAATATTTAATATGACTGAAGTTATAAATTTCGGTGTACACACAATTACCAACCATAGTGACATGCGTTTATACATTTTGCTTTTTGACCTATTTCTTTCTGAACACAACTTGTCAGTTCAAAACTGTTATACCCACGCAACTGTCATTAGTATACTTGAGTGTTCATGTTTGCAAAAATATGTATCTTATTGCCTATTTTATTGCATAAACTGGCCTATAATGCATTCTGTCGTGTTTTCATGTTTCTTAAATAAATCTCCTTTAAAAATGTAAATAAATATCTTCTTTAAAAATTTTAAGTTATTTTTTCCAGAATTATATTTTTGGGATTTTGATCTTTCAGGATTATAATTTTCTAGACTTCATTTAAGGATTTTGACCCTCTGGGATTTCAACAGTCAGGATTATGGAGTTTGAGATTGTGTCTTTGAGGATTGTGATTCGCTCCCATCCATTACTAACAGAGGGGTGCATTTATGTATCTCCCTCATAGTTCTTTCAGTTTCTGTCTCATGTATTTTGACACTTTACTAGGTACATACACATTAAGGATTATGTCTTCTTGGGGAATTGATCATTTTAGTACTATTTATTAACTCTACCCTTGACAATTTTCCTTGCACTGAAGTCTGCTCTGTTTGAAATTAATTCATTTAAGCCTTTAATCCATTTTGAGTTTATTTATTTTTGTATGTGATGTGGGTTAATATACAAAAGATAAGGGTGCAATTTATGCATGTAGATATGCAGTTTTCCTAGACCATTTATTGAAGACTATCATTTCTCCATTGTGTGTTCTTGGCACCGTTGTCAAACATCAGTTGACCATAGATGTGTGGATTTATTTCTGGCTCTCTATTCTGTTCCATTGGTCTACATGTCTTGTTTTTATGCCAGTTCCACACTGTTTAGTTTATTAAAGCTTTGTAATATATTTTGAAATCAACAATTGTGGTGCCTCTAGCTTTGTTATTATTAAAGATTGTTTTGGCTATTTAGAATTTTGTGGTTCCATTCATACACACACACACCATTTTCCTTATTTATTCATTTGTATATACACACAATAAAATATTATTCATTCATTTGTATACACACACACAATAGAATATCATTCAATCTTCAAAAGGGGAAATCCTGCCATTTGTGATAATGTGAATGAACCAGAGGACATTATGTTAAGTGAAACAAGCCAGACATAGACAAATAATGCATGATCTCACTTATATGTAAAATGCAAAATAGTCGAACTCATAGAAACAGGGAGTAGAATGGTTGCTGCGATGTGCTGGGGGGAGAGAAAAATGGGAGCGTATTGGTGAAAGGGTTAAAAATTTCTGTTATAGAAGATTAATAAGGCCAGGTGCAGTGGCTCACACCTGTAATCCCAGCACTTGGGAGGCTGATGTGGGTGGGCCACTTGAGGCCAGGAGTTCGAGATCAGCCTGGCCAACATAGTGAAAACCCATGTCTACTAAAAAATACAAAACTTAGCTGGGTGTGGTTGTGCACACCTGTAATCCCAGCTACTTGGGTGGCTGAGGCACAAGAATCACTTGAACCTGGGAGGCAGAGGTTGCAGTGAGCAGAGATCACGCCATACACCAGCCTGGACAACAGAGCTGACACTGTTAAAAACAAAAACAAAAACAAGAATAAATACTGGAGCTCTAATGTACAACAATTTGACTATAGTCAATAATACTGTAATGTATACTTGAAGTTTGTTAAGATCTTAGGTGTTCTCACCACACTCACACAAAAGGTAACTATGTGAGATGATGAGTATCTTAATTAGTTTAATTGTGGTGATTATTTCAGTATATATAGATATTAAAATATCAAGTTGTACATCTTAAATATATGCTTTTTGTCAATTATACTTCAGTAAAGTTGGAATAAAAAAGGCGGTTAGAAATAGCCTTCACAAAAATTGAAAGGTCTGCCACCCTAGTGAAATTTCTGAGGTCCAATATTTGAGACATGTTGCAATATTACCTTTAAAGTAAAGGAAACATTTCTGCCACTGTTAACACTGAGAGACACAATGTTTGTGGGACCCTTTAAAACTCTTGAGGTAATATATGCCACATTTTAATGTTCATTTCTAATAAAATTATTGAACAATCCATAGACTTGCAATTTAGAATGGGGACCAGAACAAGAGAAGATTCTGCACCTAGCCAAAATGGGTCAAATGAAACTCATAAGTATGAGTGTGGAAAATAAAGATGCAGTATGGTTATGTTTAAAAATTTCTAAATGAAAACAAACATCTTGCTTGGAGCAAAATCATTTTCTCTAGCAAACATAACTCCTCTTTTGAGACACAGCTCTTCTGGCTCAATACTGAACCCTGGTAGAAACCATGTGCCCCAACATGGTACTGTAAGTCAAGGCTCTCCAACTCCTGGGCCATGGACTAGTACTGGTCTATGACCTGTTAGGAACTGGGCTGCAGAGCAAGAGGTGAGCAGCAGGTGAGTGAGTGAAGCTTCATCTGTATTTCCAGTCACTCTCCATTGCTTGCATTACCTTCTGAGCTCACCCTCCTGTCAGATCAGTGGCAGCATTAGATTCTCATAGAAGTGCAAACCCTTCCAAACTGCACATGCAAGGGATCTACACTGCATGCTCCTTATGAGAATCTAATGCCTGATGATCTGTCACTGTCTCCCATCACCCTGAGATGGCACCATCTTGTTGTGGGAAAACAAGCTCAGGGCTCCCACTGATTCTACATTATGGTGAGTTGTATAATTATTTCATTATATATCACAATGTAATAATAACAGAAATAAAGTGCACAATAAATGTAAGCACCTGAATCATCCCCAAACCATTTCCCCTGACCCCCATTCATGGAAAAATTGTCTTCCACAAAACCACACCCTGGTGCCACAAAGGATGGGGACCACTGCTCTAAGTGACCATACAGCCTGTGATTCCCAGAAGGAACAAAAATTATCAGGTCCATTAAAACATAAATTTGGGCATGCAAAGAAGCACTCCGTTATCAAATGGAAGTTATACAGATGATATTAATATATTTATTTTGTTTTTTAATGATAGTCTATTAAAATATTTGTTTAGATAGACCTTTTATAAAACAACTACTTTTTAAATATTTTATAGATCTCTGGTCATCTTGGTCTATGAATTTATAATGCAGTGTGGTCAATGGTTACCTGACTGTGCAGTGTGTTAGGGGATCAGCTGAAGCCCAGACTTTAGTGTTATGTCACACCTGAAGAGCTTGCAAAGGAAAAGGAAGATGACCTCTCAGTGTAGAGCACATGAACTGAAAGCTATAATCTGTCAACTCTCACACTGCCAACAAATTTCTTGATTCGCAGATTTTATTGAAGCAATGTTATGTAGCAATCTGCTTAGACTATAACATGTGCCTAGGATTTTGCAGAAGCCATTGTTGGTTCTTTTCTGTTTCCCTCAGATAATCATTCCTGTAGCGTTTTTAAGATGCTTTGATTTTATTTTTAAGAACACTAAAGTAGTATCATGATTCTCTGCATTTTCTGAGAGGCAGATCTAGATGATCCTAAAAGCACAGTAGAAGCAAGCTTAGAACTCCCAAAAATACTCTCTCATCTTGCCTATGCACATCCTACCAGCCTGGATATTATGCAAGAGAAGAGCACCACCCATCTTATATGCCTGATAAAAACATTTTTTCCTTTCTAGAAGTTTCTCGCCATTCTTCCCTAATCTGCTTTTTTTCTCCTTTGTGATAACTGTGTTAATCTTGGGGAAATTAGTCCTTGGTAGTTTAGCAACATGGTAAAAAGTCTTAGGTTAATAATTGTGTCCTGAGTGTTGAAGTTTGCTTCGTTTCATTCTTCTCCCTCAGCCCATAAGCAGAATCATTTCCTTAGAGCCAAAGTTGTGAACATATTTTTCTCATTTGCACTGAGAGCCAATTTCCCTGTGTAATTCTGCTTTGTTGATTCCTTATATTAAGTTTTTATTAGTTGCATCATTCTTTGGAATATTTTACACGAGCTGATATGACCTCTTTATATGATGTAATATGATATAAAGAATGCTTCAGCTATCTTCATCTTGTGTCTTCCATCGTACTAAACTCTCTGCTACTCATGTATTCACTGTCTTTATTTGTGAAACACAAATGTAATACATATATTGAAGTTTGTTTGAGGTTTACATGAGCTTTATCTTGCATAACTTCATTTAAGGGGATCTGGACATTTTTGAGAAAATAGGTACTGTTGAAAGGTCTCTAACAAGATAAATTACAAAAGGTAGCATGAGCACTATTCACGATAGCAAAGAAATGGAATCAACCTGAGTGCCCGTTGACAGTGGATAGGATAAAGCAAGTGTTGTACAAATACACCATGGAATATTATGTATTCATAAAAAGAATGAAATTGTGTCCTTTGCAGCAATACAGATGCAACTGGAGCCCTAATCCTAGGCAAATTAATGAAGGAACAGAAAACCAAATACCGCATATTCTCACTTATAAGTGGGAGCTAAACAATGGATACACATGGACATAAAGATGGCAACAGTAGAAGCTGGGGACTACTAGAGGGGGGGAATTTAACTATTGGATACTATGCTCATAGCTGGGTGACAAGATCATTTATATATCAAACCTCAGCATCACGTAATATACGCAGGTAGCAAACCTGCACATGTATTCCCTGAGTCTAAAATAAAAGTTGGAAGATAAAAAATAAGTAAATATAAATAAATAATAGCATATGATATGGTTTGGCTATGTCCGCACCCAAATCTCATTTGAATTCCCATATGTTGTGGGAGGGATCCAGTGGGAGGTAATTGAATCATGCAGGCAGGTCTTTCCTCTGCTGTTCTTGTGATAGTGAATAAGTCTCACAAGATGTGAGGGTTCTGTAAGGGGGAGTTTCCCTGCACAAGATTTCTCTTCTCTTGTCTGCCACCATGTGAGATGTGCCTTTTACCTTCCACCATGATTATGAGGCCTCCCCAGCCACATGGAACTGTAAGTCCAATAAACCTTTCTCTTGTAAATTGCCCAGTCTCAGGTATGTCTTCATCAGCAGCATGAAAACAAACTAATACAGTAAATTGGTAGCACAAGTGGGGTGCTGCTGAAAAGATACCCAAAAATGTGGAAGCAACTTTGGAACCAGGTAACAGGCAGAGGTTGGAACAGTTTGAAGGGCTCAGAAGAAGACAGGAAAATGTGGGAAAGTTGGAAACTCCATAGAGACTTGTTGAATGGCTTTGACCAAAATGCTGATAATGATATGAACAGTGAAATCCAGGCTGAGGTGGTCTCAGATGGAGATGAGGAACTTATTGGGAGCTGGAGCAAAGATGACTCTTGTTATGTTTTAGCAAAGAGACTGGTGGCATTTTGCCCCTGCCATAGAGATTTGTGGAACTGTGAACTTGAGAGAGAATATTTAGAGTATATGGTGGAAGAAATTTCTAAGCAGCAAAGCATTCAAGAGGTGACTTGGGTGCTGTTAAAGGCATTCAGTTTATAAGGGAAGTAAAGCATAAAAGTTTGGAAAATATGCAGCCCGGCAATGCAATAGAAAAGAAAATCCCATTTTCTGAGAAATCCAAGCCAGCTGCAGAAATTTGCATAAGTAATAAGGAGCTGAATGTTAATCGCCAAGACAATGGGGAAAATGTCTCCAGGGCATGTCAGAGGTCTTCACGGCAGCCCCTCCCATCACAGGTCTGGTGGCCTAGGAGGAAAAAGTGGTTTTATGGGCTGGTCCCAGGGTTCCCATGATGCATGCAGCCTAGGGCCTTGGTGCCCTGCATCCCAGTCACTCCAGCTGTAGCTGAAAGGGGCCAATGTACAGCTCAGGCCACGGCTTCACAGGGTGCAACCCTCAAGCATTGGCAACTTCCATGTGGTGTTAAGCCTGCCAGTGCACAGAAGTCAAGAATTGGGGTTTGGGAGCCTCTCCTAGATTTCAAAGGATGTATGAAAACTCCTGAATGTCTGGGAAGAAGGTTGCTGCAGGGGTGGGGCTCTCATGGAGAACCTCTGCTAGGGTGGTGCAGAAGGGAAATGTGGGGTTGGAGCCCCCACAGAGTCTCTACTGGGGCACCTCCTAGTGGAGCTGTGAGAAGAGGGCCACCGTCCTCCATACCACAGAATGGTAGATCCACTGACAGCTTGCACTGTGCACCTGGAAAAGCCACAGACACTCAACATCAGCCCATGAATGCAGCCGGAGGGAGGCTGTACCCTGCAAAACCACAGGAGCGGAGCTGCCCAAGACCATTTGAACCCATCTCTTGCATCAGCATGACCTGGAGATCATTTGTGAGCTTCAAGATTTGACTGCCCTGCTGGATTTTGGACTTGCACGGGGCCTCCAGCCCCTTTGTTTTGACCAGTTTCTCCCATTTGGAACAGCTGTATTTACCCAATGCCTGTACCTCATTGTATCTAGGAAGTGACTAACTTGCTTTTGATTAAACAGGCTCACAGGCAGAAGGAATTTGCCTTGTCTCAGATGAGACTTTGGACTGTGGACTTTTGAGTTAATGCTAAGATAAGCCTTTGGGGGACTGTTGGGAGGGCATGATTGGTTTTGAAATGTGAGGATGAGATTTGGGAGGAGTCAGGGGCAAAATATGGGTTGTCTGTGTCCCCACCCAAATTTCATCTTGAATTCCTACATGTTGTTGGAGGAACCCAGTGGGAGGTAATTGAATCATGGGGGCAGGCCTTTCCTGTGCTGTTCTTGTGATAGTGAATAAGTCTTATGAGATCTCACGGTTCTATAAGGGGGAGTTTCCCTGAACAAGCTGTCTCTTCTCTTGTCTGCTGCCATGTGAGTCATGCCTCTCATCTTCTGCCATGATTGTGAGGCCTCCCCAGCCATGTGGAACTGTAAGCCCAATAAACCTCTTTTTTCTGTAAATTGCCCAGTCTCAGGTATGTCTTTATCAGCAGTGTGAAAGTGAACTAATACGGCATGGAAGGAAAATTATACTATTGGCAGTACACAGGGTCTTGCTACAGCAAGTAAGACACGTGATTCAGAAGAACTCAGCAGGTTTGACAATCCATATGTGAAGAAATAAAAATCTGTAATTGAAAATAAGGAGCAAAAAGTGAGAGGAACACAGATACCTCCTGATTGTCAAAAGAGGAAAAACATTCATAAGACATTATCACTTGGGTCTATGTTGGGGAAAGAGGGATGTAAACTTTCCATGCAAATTTCACTCATCTTTCCTTATGAAATTCTAGCATGCTCTTCCAATCTGCTTACACTGATTTCCCTTTCCATGAAATCACATGGAGTAATTTTTACTAATTATTTTAGCATTTAATCATTGCTTTATATTTCTTCTCAACTAGGTAATGCATGTAAATTTTATATGACCACTGGGATCATAGGGTCATTAAAGGAGAATATAAGCATGAATATATTTATTATTCTAACAGAGAATATTAAGAACAGAAAACTAATATATGCATATTGAATTGAATAAGAAACTAATAACGACTGAATACTGCTAGAGACTGAATTAGGGAATGTGTGAAGAAAAGGATAAATTATACAATATGTTATCTCATTTGGTTATCATTACAAAATAATTTCCAGAAGATAATGTGCTCGAGTTTCACAGTAATTCTGTACATCTGGTTCATCTATTTCACATCAGCTATCAAGTCATTTAATTTACCGCTTCTGCTTTCCACTGGTAAAGTATATTTGAAAGAACTAATTTGCATGTCTTAAATATTAATGTGTAAGCTTTATATGGATTTAAATGTGCTAGGGCAAATGAAAAATAATGTCAATGCCTTCTTATGTCATCTGTCCAATGGGGCAGTATGAGCATCAATTTTAAAACTACTAGACAGTAAAGACGTTTTGAAGAAATTATTGAGATTAGAGTCATATACTGTAATCCAAAAAATCTTAGAGCAAGAGACAGAAAGAGAAGTTCTTCTCTTCTGGGGTGATGAGTCGTATCCAGGGGAACATGAGCAGAAATTTTAGGGGGCTACACAGGACTGGTGAGAGTTGGTAAGCATTGTGGAATGATGTGAAGACTTTCTGAGAGAGAGCACTTTAAGATCATTTGAAAATGAGTTCAGTAGTTAGAAACAGAAAACGTAGTGTCTGTGTATATAAATCATTCATTGTGCTGGCGATTGTTAGACTGTGGAAATTTTTTTTCATTTCCCTAACTTCATAATCCATGCATGTAGTGTGGGTTAATGGTACTGACCAATTCACAGGATTAAATAACATAGTCTTACTGAGTCAGTTTGTGATGGAGGCAGATAGCTGGGCTGGCAGAAAAAGGTGTTCCCACATGAAGCTTATCCTAGATGGAGCAGGAGTGTGGGTCTCCTGACTCTCCTTGGTATCATTCTCTATGTCACTCCCAGTGAAAGTGATCAGATACAAAGGCAAAAAGAAAAAACTGGCACAAATGTAAAAATGAGTAGGAGAGGAAAAAAATAAGAGACTCCTTGTGCATCATGGCCTCTGCAAGTGGCTCTCACAGAGATGAAAGGACTTCACACCCCTGCATGAAAGTACTGATGTCCAGAGATATTAGCTGACTTATTGAAAATCACGTAATGGCAGGATAAGGATAGGAATATGTGTTTCTGGATAACTTCTCCAGTAAAATTTTTACCGTAACACTTGCTACTAATCTTGATATTACTGAGCAAGCATCAATAGCCCTCAAAACAAGCAAAAAGTTGTAGTGACAGTGTCTCTCAGTGATCTTGTATTGACTTTTCTGAAACAGTCAGGTTGATGTTGACTTATAGTTATTTCTGTTTGATAGTCTCCCATTTTATCTATCAGTGTTGGCAGATATTATACCTTGCTAGATCTGTCTTTTAGGAAAAATAAATCTGGTCCTAGAGTTGGTAGGTTGAATGACAATGCTGCTGGCTGTTTTCTGAAAATACCATTGAGATGAAGAAATACAGTATCTTCTTTAGCTAAAGAAACAGGCCAGGTGCAGTGGCTCATGCCTGGAATCCCAGCACTTTGGGAAGCCGAGGCAGGAGGATCTCCTGAGACCAAGAATTTGAAACCATCCTGGGCAACATAGTGAGATCCCATTTCCACAAAAATATTAAAAATTAGCTGAGCTTGATGTTTCATGCCTGTGGTTCCAGCTACTCAGGCAGCTGAGGTGGAAGTATCCCTTGAGACGAGGAAGTTGGGGCTGCCGTGAGCCATGATTCTGCCACTGCACTCCAGCCTGGGTGTCAGAGTGAGGCCCTGTCTCAAAAAATAAATAAATAAAAATAGCTCAAAAAATACTTTTCAGAGATCTTTATATTCTATGTTCAGTGGAAACCACTGCCCAAAGAAATGTTCATACTGGCTATACCATTTATTTCAATGAACTGATGCTCACTTTCATCATTTCTTTTGACAAGTTGAGGTTGTCATTCAACCATCAACTAACTTGACGTTTTCTTCTCTCTTCCAGTGCTGTAATAGCTTATCACTATTCTGTGACATCTTAACTTCTATTTTTAGATTTTGCTCAGTTTTCTTTTTCTTTTTCTTTTTTTTTTTTTTTAAGACAGAGTCTCGCTCTGTCACTCGGGCTGTAGTGCAATGGTCCGATCTTGGCTCGCTGCAACCTCCACCTCCTGGGTTCAAGAGATTGGCCTGCCTCAGCCTCCCAAGTAGCTTGGATAACAGACGCGCGCCACCATGCCCAGCTATTTGCTCAGTTTTTAGATACAAAATGTATACGATGGCAACTGAGATGAGAATCAAAGTATTTCTTAATTTAAAATCAGAAATAACCACAATTAAAAGTGAGAAAAGTGAGATAATCTGGCAGGCAAGATAATGTCTAGGATGTAAATATTCCTACTTTACGGAAATAGGTTATCATCACATACATTGTTAACCTTTCTGTTTAGATATGAAATATGTTTTCATTATTGCTGACTGCTTCTAACAAGGTCTAAAAACATGTATGTGTTATTGATGTTTCTTCCCAGTTCTGAACTCTTGTCAATTTTTTGGAGCTAAATTTAATATTATTACAATGGTGTGAATGTTCGTGTCCCCCCCAAAATTCATTGAAACCTAATCGACAATGCGATAGTAGGAGGAAGTGGGGCTTTTAGGATGTGATTAGGTCAAAAAGTAGAGCCCTCATGAATGGGATTAGTGTCCTTATAAACGGATACCAGAGAGGTTCCTTACTCCTGTGCCACGTGATATAACTTGGCTTTGCAATCTGGAACCATAATCTCATCTCGAATTGTAATCCCCAGGTATTGAGGGAGGAACCTAGTGGAAGATGATTAGATCATGGAGGCAGTTTCCCCCATGCTGTTCTCATGATAGTGAGTGAGTTCTCACGAGATCTGATTATTTTATAAGTGTTTGGCAAGCTCCTCCTTTGCTTGCTCCTCTCGCTCCTGCTGCCTTGTGAAGAAGGTGCCTGCTTCCCCTTCTGCCATGATTGTGTTTCCTGAGGCCTCCCCAGCCATACGGAACTGTGAGTCAATTAAACCTCTTTCCTTTATAAATTACGCAGTCTTGGTTATTTATTTATAGCAGTGAAAAAACGGACTAAGGCACCATGTGAGGACACAATTAGAAAGTACCATCTATGAACCAGAAAGTTGGCCCTCACCACACACTGTATCTGCCAGCACCTTGATCTTGGACTTCCAGCCTCCAGCACTGTGAGAAATAATTGTCAGTCTCACTACTGTGATCCACTAAGAATTTGTGTTCATAAGACATAGCTACAAGATGAGAGAGGGGTGCTTGTCCCACATCTGACTTTGTGTAAATTTAAATAAATCATTGCAGTATAAATGCACTAAGGCCCTGAGTGTGTCTCTTGTGGCAGATGAGTATCAGGGAGGAGAGTCTCCAGAGGGTAGAATGAGGTAAATTCTTCTGGCTGGTAATTATGGAAAGATCAAGGTCTCTCAGGCTGTCCCAGGTTGAATCCTCCAGAAGTGGCCACCAAGGTGGGGTCTGGCAGGCAGGATGTTTATAAGGGATAAACACATGTGGAAGGGAGGAGGAGACAGAAAACCTACAATGTAAGTGCAACAAAGACTCATTCAACCCCACAGGCAGCTCTGAAACACCTCAGAAATCGATGTAGATATTCTAGAATAAAATTGATTTTAGGAATCTATTATCCCATGATACTATTTTAATTATACGCTAAATAGGATGACCATCCTTTCTAAATGTGGTTTTTAAATAATTGCCAGATTAGGACTGAAAATAATATAGACATAATAGAGACTACTATACGTTTCCTCTAAATTATTTTGAATTAAATAACTTCCATTTTTATTGATTCTCCAGTTGTGACCTTTTCATTCATAGTTCAGTTCTTGACAAACTGTTATTAAGGAATGGGAGGCAAGCAGCCCTGGGTCACAGAATTCATCCTGGTGGGATTCCAGCTCTGTGCAGAGATGGAGATCTTTCTCTCTTGCATCTTCTCGCGATTTTATGCCTTCAGTCTACTGAGGAATGGCATGAACATGGGACTCACCTATCTGGATGACAGAGACGACAGACTACACACCCTCATATACATTTTCCTCTCACACCTGGCCATCAATGACATGTACTATGCTTCCAACAATGTTCCAAAGAGGCAGGTGAACCAAATGAACCAGAAAAAAAAAAACTTTGTTCTATGGATAAAGCAGATATTTTTGTATTTGGCTTTTGCTCACACAGAGTGCCTAATTTAGGCAATGATGTTCTGTAATAGATATGTGGCAATCTGCTAGATCTTTCTCCAACCCTTTACGTTGAGCCTATGGGTGTTGTTATGTGTGAGATGAGTCTCTTGAATATGGTAGACAGATGGGTCTTATTTTTTTAATGCAAATTATCACTCTGTGCCATTTAAGTAGGCAATTAATCCACAGTTAATATTGGTATGTGAGGATTTGATCCTGTCATGAAGATGTTAACTGGTTGCTTTGTGGTTTCTATTGTGTAGTTGCTTTACAGAATCTGTGGGCTATGTACTTAAGTGTGTTTTTGTAGTAGAAGACATCATTCTTTTGTTTCCATGTTTAGAGCTCCCTTAAGGGTCTCTTGTAAACCCCGTCTAGTGGTAACACTTTCCCTTAGCACTTGCTTGTCTGGGAAAGATTTTATTTTTCCTTCATTTATGAAGCTTAGTTTGACAGAATATGAAATTTTTGGTTGGAATTTCTTTTCTTTAAGAATGCTGAAAATAGTTATCTAATCTCTCCTGGCTTGTAGAGTTTCTGCTGAGAAGTTCGCTGTCAGCCTGATGGGGTTGCCTTTGTATGTAATCTGACCTTTTCCTGTAGCTGCCCTTAAGATTTTTTTTCTTTAGCACTGACTTTGGACACTCTCATGACTATATGTGTTGGTGAGGTTCACTTTGTATAGTATCTCGCAGGTGTTTTCTGGATTTTTTGTATCTTGGTGTCTAAGTTTCTGGCAAGATTAGGAAAATTTTCTTGAATTATTCTATCATATAAGTTTTTCAGGTTGTTTAATTTTTCTTCCTCCTCTAAGGAATGCCAATAATTCATAGTTTTGGTCACTTTACATAATCTCATATTTCTCAAAAACTTTGTTCATTTTTAAAAATTATTTTAGATTTATTTTTCTCTGACTGGATTAGTTCAAAAGACTCATCTTCAAGCTCTGAAATTCTTTCTCCTGCTTGCCCCAGCTATTAATAATTCTTTCAATTGTATTTTGAAATTCCTTGAGTTTTTGAATTTCAGAAGCTCTGATTTTCTTTTTAATATTATTATCTGATTCTTCATTTTCTAGATTGCTTTAGAAGTTTCTTTGCATCGATTTCCAATCTTTTCTTGGATCTCATTGAACTTCTTTGCAGTCCACGCCTTGAATTCCTTATCTGTCAATTACGAGTTTCCATTTTGGTTAAGGACCGTTGATGGAGAGCTAGCGTAATGTGAATGTAGATTCAGATCTTTCATGGTGCCAGCATTCTTACACTGGTTCCTTCTTATCTGAAGATGCTAAACTTCTAATTTTTATAATTATTTTTGAGTAGGTAGGATTTTTTCTTTTTCTTCCTTTCTCTCTCTAGATTTTTATTTTTCTTTCCCTTTCCCTTTCCTCCTCTCCCTAGAGGCTGTGACTGAGGATAATGCTGGGTAGGGTCTTTTGACTTTGCTTCCATAACCCTATGCACTTCTGTCCGCAGGTTTTATATTGGGCTGGGTACTTTGACCTACAAGCCAGTAGATGGCGCTTATGGGTAACAGCAGGTTGCAGCCAGTGGGGCTGGGTATATACTTGATTCTTGTTTACCGAGAAAACACTGGGTGGGGCTGGACCTGGCAAGCCCATCTACAGGTCCCCCAACAATAAGCACTAGCACCAACTCTGAGGGAGAGTCCAGTGGGCAGCCACCAAGTGTCCAGCGGCGTGCCTCGGCGTGGAAGTTGGCCCCAAATTCTCTGCATAAGGGTGCCAGAGGAAGCCTAATCTCTTACTCCAGGAGAGTGGCTGCTCCAAATGCCTGGAGATCTGCCTGGTTGTGGAGTGGAGAGGGTCTCCTTACACCAATATCCCTGCACAGGAAGGATGGGGTGGCTCAGGCTACTGCTCCAGGTGAGCAGATGCTCCAAATACCTGGAAATCTGTGGAGCAGAGAGGGTCCCACTACACCGCAATCTCTGCACCAGAAGAACGGAGCAGCTCAGATTGCTGATTCACGCTGATGGGCACTCTGAATCCCTGGATGTCTGCCTGGGCATGAAGTGGAGATGGTCCCCTTGCACAAGGATCTCTGCACAGGAAGGAAGGGGCAACCCAGGCTGCCAGCCCATGTGAGCAAGTGCTTTAAATGCTTGGCGATCTGCTTATGTGTAGAATGGAGAAGGCCCTGCTACACCACAGTCTCAAGGAAGTAGGCTGGGTCACCCAAAAATAACACACACAGACCAGTTCTAGTTCATCAAGCTGGCGCTGGCTGAAAGTCTCATTGTCCAGGAGAAACCACAGCCATAGCAGCTCTCCTCTTGCCCAAGGCCTGTGACTGGGGAAAACACAATTCCAGTGCCTACTGTTGAGATGTTTTCCACAGTTCTAGCTGTGGAGGACCCTACCCTGATCCAGAGCAGGTGCTCCAATCTCTATCAATAATGTTTGATATGAGTTGGCCCATACTCAACTGAAAATAAGAAAAATTTTTATGTGCAAGGATAGTCTCTGAGGTTGAGCATTTTTGTTCAGTGATGAGGCATTTGAATTACCAACATGCTTAATGCTATGGAAATCTATGGAACCCATTTCTTTAAGAAATGGATTCATATCTTAATAAAGAACAACTTTTTTATTGTTTAATTGCCGAAACAAGATGTCAGCCTATTACCCTAAGTAACCAGTTCAATCATAGCCATTCACATCATCTAGTACCAAGTGATATTTTTCACGGAAATGAACATGTGGAGGAAAAGTCCTTGACTGGAAAAAAAATTGATACATATAATCATTACAGAGCTGTATATTTATATAAGACTAACTGTGAGATGAATGGAGAAAGCTCTGAGATTCACTGTTGAGTAGCTTATAATTTCCAAGTCCTCTGCTAGACATGAAAACTATTTAGTGTAGAACAAAAATATGATGCTGTATCTCACAACTCCTATATAAATGTTTCCATTCCTACTTTATTTCTGCTTTCATTTTCACGGTGCATCTACAGTCTCTCTTCCAGCCTCCCATTTGTATTTTACAACATGCATAATTACAGATTTATTCTTTACTTATTTCATTTTCATATGATTTTTATATCTCTTGAAAGATTTCTTTGAAACTTCTGTCTTTTTTATTTTCCAGAGAAGCAGAGTATTTTTAGGCAATAATATTTTACCTTATGATGGCTTTCAACTATTAAAAGAAAAAAGGAAAGTAGTAAAATAAATAAATGCAGAGAGTCACCAACTTACAATGATTTCACTTAAGATTTTCAACTGTACAATGGTGGGAAAGTGATATTCATTCAGTAGAAACCATATTTCAAGTACTCATTTTACCATGATGTTTTTCCTTTTCAGTACAGTATTCAATAAATTACATGAAATATTCAACAGCTTACTATAATATAGGCTTTGTGTAAGATGATTTTGCCCAACTGTAGGCTAATGTTAGTGTTCTAAGCATGGTTCAGGTGGGCTAGGCTAAGCTATGATGTTTGGTAGGTTAGGTTTATTAAACATATCTTCAAGCCAGGTATAGTGGTGTGTGCCTATAGTCAGTCCCAGCTCTTCAGGAAGCTGAGGCAGGAGGATTGTTTGAGCTCAAAGACTTTGAGAATATAGTGTACTATGACTACACCTGAGAATAGCCACTGCACTCCAGCCTGGGCAACAGGACAATAGTCTATATTTTTTTAAAAAAAGCATCATCAACTTATAATATTACCAACTTATGATGGGTTTATTGGAACATAATCCTATCATAAGTTGAAGTGTATCTTTATATAGTAGAATATAGTAACATACTACAGACTTATTTTCTCAAAGCATAAAAATAAACCACACTAATGATCATCCGTGGGAGAGGGACACCTAGACAATGTCCTGCAAAACGAGAAATACTGGTAAGACATACTTTACATTCCAGACTGAGTCTCTTTCACCATGAAATAAAATCATTAAGAAATTTTTAGTAATATTTTAATTATTATATTTTAATTAAAAATTTAGGTATAGAAAGAAGGTTGTATAGCTTTACATTAAAAATAAATTAGTATGTGACTTGGATACTTGACACCAAATAGCTTGTGTCAGATTCACCCTCCCACCATAAAAAACTATACAATCTGGCCAAAATATAGAAAAAATTCTTGGCAGGTGTATTAGTCTGTTCTCATGCTGCTAATAAAGACATACCCAAGACTGGGTAATTTATAAAAGAAAGAGGTTTAGTGAACTCACGGTTCCACATGGCTGGGGAGAACTCACAATCATGATAGAAGGCAAAGGAAAAGCAAAGGCACATCTTACATGGCAGACAAGAGAGAGGGCATGTGCAGGGGAGCTCCCCTTTGTAAAACCATCAGATCTCATGAGACTTATTCACTATCACAACAACAGCATGGGAAAGACCCACCCCCATGATTCAATTACCTCTCACCAGCTGCTGAGCATGGTTCAGGTGGGCTGGCTACATGTGGGAATTATGCAAGCTACAATTCAAGATGGGATCTGCGTAAGGACACAGCCAAACCATATCAGCAGGCATTGAAGAACATTGTTGTAGCAAGTCAGGTATGAGATCTTTAAGGAAGGTGAGGCACATGAGGTTAGTACCACATTTGCCAGGATTTTCCAGAAAGGCATCTTCCTGACCTTGGTACAGGAAAATGGGACCCAACCAGGGGTTAGTGGTCTTGGGAACCAAAAGAAGCAATGAATAGAGTTCAAAGCTGCTAAATTGGTTAGGAATTGGGGGTCAATGTACCATATGGGAGAGAGAAAGAACCTAGAAATGGGTGTATACATGCCATTTTGGTCCTTCTGTGACTCCTTAGCTATGTGACAGTTGGCTAAGAAGAGGGGAGACCTTGGAGAAAGAAACTGCTGGGATACAGAAAGCAGAAGAGATCATCAGGGACTGAAAACTTCCTGGAAAGCTACTGGAGTTCAGATCCAGCCAAATGGGGAAATGTTGGCAAACAACTGAGAAACTCAGTTGGGACTCTAAAAATTCTCTTAGGAGAGGTGCAGTATCCCAGGAGTGAGGCATATGTTCTAAGAGGAAAATAAAATATAATTACCATAACACAGCTTAAAACTAGGTCTTGAGAGCAGCAAGATGATCTGCAAGTAATTACAAATTCTGCCCAGAAAAAAAATTCAAAATTCTTGAGTAGTTCTATATCATATTATCCATAAATTCAGCATACTTTAAAAAAAATACCAAATATACAAAAAAGCAAGTAAAACAGACTGATAAGAAATAAATCAGTTATTAAAAACAAACTCATAGATAATCCAGATATTGGAGTTAACAGATAGGGCATCATAACATCTATGATGAATATAAAGGAAAGAAAGAAAAAATGAAAGACAAAACAGGTTGTGTCAGATTTCTTTCTGGAAGCTTTAAAATGCTCACTTTATTTTCATAGATTCTAATTTCCTAAATTATGTTTGATGTTTCAAGCAAAAATCATAGCATTGTCTAGTGTTATTCTAAATGGATGTAAGACAATTATACTACAAATTTGATAGAGTAAAGAGACATAATATGACAGAAGGTTGCTATACTTCACTCAGACTGGAATAAAGATGATACCAATTGACTGTGATAATGTTTATATAAATGAATATACACTAAGCTGTAAAATGCAACCACTAAGCTATAAAATGCAACCAAAAAAACTATAAAAAAGAAGATACACTATAAACACTATAAATAACAAAATGGAATTCTAAAACAAATGTTCAAGTAACCCACATGAAGTCATGAAAAATAAGCAGAGAAACAAGAATTGATAGAGAAAACAAAAAATGTCAGGCTTACGCATTAAAGTATCAATAATTCATTTAATTATGAATGGTCTACCAAGAGATAGATAATAGAAGAGTGTATTTAAAAGTATGACCCTTTCTTATATGTTTCTTGTATGCTGTGTACAAGAAACTCACTTGAATTTTACCAATACAGGGCAGGCCAAATTAACAGGATGAAAAAAGATATATTACACAAACATTAATGAAAGGAAAGCAAGAGTGTCTGTGTGCATATCAGATAAAGCAAAGAAAACTACCAAAACCAGAGATTATATAATGATCAAAGGTTTAATCCATGAAGAAGACAGCAATTTTAAAAGTGTATTCACCAAAAAATAAAGCTTCAAAATATGTGATGTGAAAACTGCCAGAACTAAGGCGGGCCGGGCTCAGACCAGCGCTGCCTCAGGATGTAAAGTGTAACAAGAGGGCCAGGGGAGGTGGTGGGGGACAACATGGGCCTGTGAGGCCTGTGGGTGCCCGCGTTCCCCAGCTCCCCCCGCAGCCCGCTCCACAGTGGTCCGCTCCGGTTGGTTGTCACGTGCGCATTCGGGTTCCAGACCCAAGGCTGCGTGTTCTCCACCGCTTGTTGTGGCCAGTGTTACTGCGGTGACCGCCAGAGCAGCCTCGACGCTATGGAGGAGCCTGGTGCTACCCCTCAGCCCTACCTGGGGCTGGTCCTGGAGGAGCTACGCAGAGTTGTGGCAGCACTACCTGAGAGTATGAGACCAGATGAGAATCCTTATGGTTTTCCATCGGAACTGGTGGTATGTGCAGCTGTTATTGGATTTTTTGTTGTTCTCCTTTTTTTGTGGAGAAGTTTTAGATCGGTTAGGAGTCGGCTTTACGTGGGAAGAGAGCAAAAACTTGGTGCAACGCTTTCTGGACTAATTGAAGAAAAATGTAAACTACTTGAAAAGTTTAGCCTTATTCAAAAAGAGTATGAAGGCTATGAAGTAGAGTCATCTTTAGAGGATGCCAGCTTTGAGAAGGCGGCAGCAGAAGAAGCACGAAGTTTGGAGGCAACCTGTGAAAAGCTGAACAGGTCCAATTCTGAACTTGAGGATGAAATCCTCTGTCTAGAAAAAGACTTAAAACAAGAGAAATCTAAACATTCTCAACAAGATGAATTGATGGCGGATATTTCAAAAAGTATACAGTCTCTAGAAGATGAGTCAAAATCCCTCAAATCACAAATAGCTGAAGCCAAAATCATCTGCAAGACATTTAAAATGAGTGAAGAACGACGGGCTATAGCAATAAAAGATGCTTTGAATGAAAATTCTCAACTTCAGACAAGCCATAAACAGCTTTTTCAGCAAGAAGCTGAAGTATGGAAAGGACAAGTGAGTGAACTTAATAAACAGAAAATAACATTTGAAGACTCCAAAGTACACGCAGAACAAGTTCTGAATGATAAAGAAAATCACATCAAGACCCTGACTGGACACTTGCCAATGATGAAAGATCAGGCTGCTGTGCTTGAAGAAGACACAACGGATGATGATAACCTGGAATTAGAAGTGAACAGTCAATGGGAAAATGGTGCTAACTTAGATGATCCTCTGAAAGGAGCTTTGAAGAAACTGATTCATGCTGCTAAGTTAAATGTTTCTTTAAAAAGCTTAGAAGGAGAAAGAAACCACATTATTATTCAGTTATCTGAAGTGGACAAAACAAAGGAAGAGCTTACAGAGCATATTAAAAATCTTCAGACTCAACAAGCATCTTTGCAATCAGAAAACATATATTTTGAAAGTGAGAATCAGAAGCTTCAACAGAAACTTAAAATAATGACTGAATTCTATCAAGAAAATGAAATGAAACTCTACAGGAAATTAACAGTGGAGGAAAATTACCGAATAGAGGAAGAAGAGAAGCTTTCTAGAGTGGAAGAAAAGATCAGCCGTGCCACTGAAGGGCTGGAGACCTATAGAAAGCTAGCCAAAGATCTTGAAGAAGAATTGGAGAGAACTGTTCATTTTTATCAAAAGCAGGTTATTTCCTACGAGAAAAGAGGACATGATAATTGGTTGGCAGCTCGGACTGCTGAAAGAAACCTCAGTGATTTAAGGAAAGAAAATGCTCACAACAAACAAAAATTAACTGAAACAGAGTTGAAATTTGAACTTTTAGAAAAAGATCCTAATGCACTCGATGTTTCAAATACAGCATTTGGCAGAGAGCATTCCCCATGTAGTCCCTCACCATTGGGTCGGCCTTCATCTGAAACGAGAGCTTTTCCCTCTCCTCAAACTTTGTTGGAGGATCCACTCAGACTCTCACCTGTGCTTCCAGGGGGAGGAGGAAGAGGCCCAAGCAGCCCAGGGAATCCCCTGGACCATCAGATTACCAATGAAAGAGGAGAACCAAGCTATGACAGGTTAATCGATCCTCACAGGGCTCCTTCTGACACTGGGTCCCTGTCATCTCCGGTGGAACAGGACCGTAGGATGATGTTTCCTCCACCAGGGCAATCATATCCTGATTCAACTCTTCCTCCACAAAGGGAAGACAGATTTTATTCTAATTCTGAAAGACTGTCTGGACCAGCAGAACCCAGAAGTTTTAAAATGACTTCTTTGGATAAAATGGATGGGTCAATGCCTTCAGAAATGGAATCCAGTAGAAATGATGCCAAAGATGATCTTGGTAATTTAAATGTGCCTGATTCATCTCTCCCTGCTGAAAATGAAGCAACTGGCCCTGGCTTTATTCCTCCACCTCTTGCTCCAGTCAGAGGACCATTGTTTCCAGTGGATACAAGGGGCCCGTTCATGAGAAGAGGACCTCCTTTCCCCCCACCTCCTCCAGGAACCATGTTTGGAGCTTCTCGAGGTTATTTTCCACCAAGGGATTTCCCAGGTCCACCACATGCTCCATTTGCAATGAGAAACATCTATCCACCGAGGGGTTTACCTCCTTACTTTCATCCGAGACCTGGATTTTACCCCAACCCCGCATTCTGAAGGTAGAAGCGAGTTCCCTTCAGGATTGATTCCGCCTTCAAAGGAGCCTGCTACTGGACATCCAGAACCACAGCAAGAAACCTGACAATATTGTTGCTTTCTTCAAAAGTAATTTTGACTGATCTCATTTTCAGTTTAAGTAACTGCTGTTACTTAAGTGATTGCACTTTTCTCAAATTGAAGTTTAATGGAATAATAGTTCTCAGGATAGTATTTTGTAAATAAAGATGGTTTGAATATGAATCTTATGAGTAAATCATTTCCATTTTATTATATTCTAGATCATATAACTTTTAACTTGGTGAACTAATCCACTCTTAGAGAAACAATAGTGGGAGTTTTATATATGTAATCTTGCAGGTGAGGAGGCTTTAAATTCTAAAGGTTGTGGTGTCTTCATGCCAAGAACTGTATTCACTGTGGTTGTAGATAAATGTGAAAGTAACTTTATGCTTAATTTAATAAATTTTCATTGATTTTTTTTAAAAAAAGAAAACTGAAAGGAGATATAGATGAATCCACAATTATAGTTAGAAATTTCCTCATGCCTTTTTCAATAATTGATAGAACTAGACAGAAAATCAGCAAGGAGTGTTGGCTTTGGCAGCACTTTCTAAAATCAGAATGATGCCAACAAGATTAAAACGGTTCTTGAATATAGATTACACAAAATTTTGTGAAGCATTTCATGTTTTTAAAAAGAGGAAAAAAAAGAAAATCAACAAGAATATAAAACAACTCAAAATGCCATTAACCAAAAGAATCTATTTGGCATTTACAGAATATTCCACACAGTAACAGCAGAATACACATATTTTTTTTGAGTGCTGATGAAACACATGGCAAGATAGAGCTGTCCTAGGCCCTAAAACTCGCCACAACAAATTTAAAAGAGATAGTAATCATCCAGAGCAGATGAAAACCAGAAATCATTGTAGGGAATCCAATTGGAAATCAGCATAAGAAAGATATGAAAATCCCTAAACATTTGGAAATTTAAAAACACACTTCACAATAATCTATCAGTCAAAGAAGTCTCAAGGAAAAATTTAAAAATACATTGAACTGGATAAACATGAAACTGTGACATATCAAAGTACTGATAGAAGTTTTTCCTTGTCAGGTGACTCCTCAGTCAAAAAGGAGCCCAGTAGAGAAATGGGCTGGTGAGAACATCTGATGGGCTCTAGCAAGGGAGACAGAGCTGCGGGGGACAGTTCCTCAGCCCTGGACTCTGTCTGAGTCCCGGGAATCTGAGTCACGAGATATGAGGCACCTGGAAACAGGTCACAGTGAGGAGAGTCCTCAGGGGCTATCAGAGCGGGCATTGAAGGCCCATGATGCTCATTCTCCTCTTCCCTGCTCCTCGCTCTTCCCACTGCCCCCAGCCTGCCCCCATCCCAACTCTCTGGCTCTTTCGCCTCCTGCCCGCTGACTGGCACCCCTTTCTCCTTTATACCATGATCTTCTTGCTTTCCAGTTACTTCCTCTGATTTTCCCAAAAAGGTTTGACTCTTTTCGTCCTGAGAGTCCGCCCTGTTCTCTTCTGGCACCTGCAGCTCCCTCTTCCTCTCTTCTCCCTGTTCTGGACCTCCCTGACCCTGAGCCTTCCTCTCCATATCCTCCTGCTCCCACTCACCGTCATTCAGACCCTCTGGCTCCCCAGTGAGCCCCATTCTTTCTCCTTGTCTCCCAAGCATCACATCTTGTACCTGTTCCTGTTTTTGCTTCTGTTCTCCCTTTTCATCATTAACCTGCTCTATCATCTGTTCCTCCCCTAATAGCCCATCGGCACAAACATCCTCCCTCAGAGTTCCTTCCCCCCGAAATCCTGCTTCCTGCTGTCCCTGCTCCTCCAGAACTTGGACCTCCTGGGGATGCAAGAGCCCTTGACTTTCCTGCAGCTCCTCAGATGGCAGCTCTTCCCCCTGCCTGATAGTCCCACTTTCAGCGCCTTCATTCTGGTTGGTCTCTGCAGGATGCTCTTCGCAGGGAGAATAATATCTGGTCTGACCAGAGTTATCTGAAGAGGTTTCCTCTTCTTCTTCTGCCTGTCCAGATCCCAATGTCAAAGAAGTAAGTCCTGGCCAAAATTCCACCTCCTCTTCTTCGCTTCCCAGGTCACTGGAAAATGGGGCCATGTCTAGATGCTCACTCTGAATGGGGCAGGCCCAGAGCTCTGGGGGAGCTAGAGTCCTTGCTTGTCGGCCTGCTAGGCTCTGGGGTACTGCCTCCCAGTGTTCCGGAGTGTCACAGGCCTCAGCCACAAGGCTTTCCTGATTGGGCTCCACATCTGCAGAACCTTCCTTGGGAAAAGAGGGCATCGTCTCAATCGCATAGTCACACACATCCCTTAACTCACTCTGCTGAGTTGCTGAGAGTCTGTGTTCCTCTCTCCACTTATAGGATGGGTCCTCATCTTCTTGAGCTTCAAGCCCCAAGGCAGAGACCTGGCTGCTCCTCATGGGAGCCTCAGGGATAATGCTGAATTCCTCTATGGCAGAGATGGGAGGAGAGGCTCCACGCTGGGCCTCCTCAGCCTCCATCAGGGCTGAATCCTAAGGAGGAATCAAAGACAAATGTTTCTAACAACTCTGCTTTTACCTATCAGAGGAAGAGACCATAAAAAAGAAGAGTGATGCATTTATTTGGTTCCATTTAGGGTCATTCTTTGAGACAACAGGTTCTCAACAAAATAAGCAATAGCCTCTAAAAAACTTGTCATTGATGTATTTATTTCATAAATATTTTCCTAGCGACCCTGTTAAGTGTGGGGCATTCAGTAGTGAATGAGATAAAGATCTTGTCGTCATGGAGACTGTGGTCTTGTGAGGGAAACAGGTCATAATGAACAATTAAATTATAGCAGAGGACCATTGTCAGAGAGTGCCCAGAAGCTCCCAGTTGTCAGTTCTCTCTAGACTCCATTATGTCATCTTCTGTCTCTCCCTGTCTACTCTTCGGACACTAGGAGTGACTCATCCTCATATAACCCCCAGACACAGCAAGGGACACACCTCAGATCTATTAGGCCAGAGAAGCAGTGTCAGGAGAGGGTCTTCCTCTTAAGCTGTGGACATCAGTTAAAATAGGCCAGGCTATGATAGCCAATGTGTGAGGTGCTATGGTTTCATCTTCTTTACAGAGGGTTTGGAGTTTACTCATCTTTCTGTTTTCCATAGTGTCTACTACAGCATTGTAACTAACAGTTTTGTTTCCAATTCTAGAGGCAGCTGTTGTAAAGTGGGATGATAACAGCCTTATTGGATTAGTGTTGAACTAGACACATTACCACCTTGAAGGAAGACCACAGAAGGGTGCTTTCTGCATCACCTTACTCTCCCCTTGGCCTCAGTATCCATATGAACTCTTCTCATTAATTCTTTTGACCTTCCTGTCTTTTGATTTCGACCTTCCTGCCTTTCTTCTCACTTCCAGCAGAACACCTCATCTCCTATTTTGCAAAGAAAATAGAAACTGATGGAACTGGGTTTCTCTCACCTCAATTTCTTGCGATCCAAAGCAACCTGTATTTCCACTCTTTCTATCTTCCGCCCTCAGTCAGGAAAAGACGTATCCCTCCTTTCCATGCTCTGTCATTTCTTGCCTGCTTCCCCAGGAACACTGTGCACTCATACCTTCAACATCCCTGCTGAACAACCCCTGGGGTATGGAAGCATTCCCACATTCTTCTCATCTTTCAAATGACTAGAAGGAGTTGCTCTTATCTGCTGTCTTCATACTCTCACATCCCACCTGCCTCCAACTGAGCTTTGATAGCGGCATTCTGCCAATATTCCCTACAATCGACATGTTGTTAATTCCAAAGAAGACCTTATGGATCTTCATTTTGGGTGGTTCTTGTCAGTATTTGACAGTACTGAGGTTAGAAATACTCTCTTGTTACTTGTGGTATTACATTTTCCTGGTTTTACCCCTTCAGTTTCCTCCAGTCTTTTTTTTTCTTTCTTTTTTTTTTTTTTTTTTTTGAGATGGAGTCTTGCTCTGTCACCCAGGCTGGAGTGCCGTGGTGCAATCTTGGGTCATTGCAACCTCCACCTCCGGGTTCAAGCGATTCTCCTGCCTCAGCCTCCCGAGTAGCTGGGACTATAGGTGTGTGCCACCACACCCAGCTAATTTTTGTACTTTTAGTAGAGACGGGGTTTCACCATTTTGGCCAGGATGGTCTCAATCTCCTGACCTCGTTATCCACCCGCCTCGGCCTCCCGAAGTGTTGTGATTATAGGCGTAAGCCACTGCACCTGGCCTCCCCTGATCTTTTAACTAGGTTAAATTGTACCCCGCTTTGTAGCACTTACCAACTATAATTCACTTTACTTTTCCTTTGTAGCATTTATACAATTATAATTATATAATGATGTGTGTATTTTGAGTTACCCTCTATTGCAACCAATAGATAGTAAAATTTATGAGATTAAGAACTATGACTTGCTGAATTATCCATACTTAGCCTAATAGTGGCCTATACTCAGTGTTTAATAAATATTTTTCACATAAAGAATAAAGTTCAGGTCAGAATAAAATGTGATCCTTTTACTTCAATGGAATATGCCCACCTTTTCCTAAAATCATGATTAACAGTTTACACAGAACTTTAAACATTTAGAGCTCTATACACAACAAATTAATTTTTCTTATTTTTCATTCTGAAACACTAAGGTTTTCCTGCATACATGTCATTAAAAATAATGAAATGCTTCTTTAAATATGTATGTGCCATACATCTAAGAGTCATCGTATAAGATGGGTACCATTATTCTGCCCATTTTACAGATGAAAAACTGAGTTTCCCAATGCACTTTATATATATAATCCTGACACTCTGGGAGGCTGAGGCAGGTTGACTGCTTGAATCTAGGAGTTTGAGACCAGCCTGGACAACCTGGTGAAACCCTGTCTCCACAAAAAATACAAAAATTAGTGGAGCATGGTGGCACGTGCCTGTAGTTCCAGCTACTTGGGGGCTGAGATGGGAGGATCCCTTGAGCCCAGGAGGCAGAGGCTGCAGTGAGCCAAGATCACATCACTGCACTCCAGCCTAGGTGACAGAGTGAGACTCTGTCTCTAAATAAATTAATTAATTAATTAAAATAAAATAAAATTCTTGTTTCCCTCCTGGCCCAGATTCCCCATATCTAATCAATCACCATGTGCTATTGACCTCGTCTGCTAAATATCCCTTAAGACTGTCCACTTCTATCCCATCCCTCTCCACTGGTGCATGCTGCTACCGTCTCGCCCGGGCCACTGCACCCGGCCACAGCTTGGGCACTGGCCTCCACCCATTTCACGTTATTCCAGTCCTTTCTCCATACAGCACCTAAGTGAGCTTCAAAAGCACCAGTTCTAGCTTAGATTCTTCAGCAGCCTCTGAATGCTCTTGAGATGAAATCTAAATCTTCAGCATGGGTTATACTCCCTGCACAATCTGGCTCTGCCTTCTTCTCTAGCAGCCTATTCACCTGTCACCATCTGTCCCTGCCCCCATCCCCCCCCCTCCCACTGGCTTTCAGTGTCTTTAGCTCACTTCTCTCTGTGTCTCTCACCTGTAGGCCTTTGTAGACACTGCTCCTCTGCCTGGAATCCTCTTTTGCAACAGAGAATCCTTTGCTTCTCCTCAAACACACCTTGCACTTGTCATGTCATATTTAATGTCTATTTTCCAGGCTAGATTATGAGCACCATGAAGGGACAAACACTGCCATATAACCCCCTCTGCCTGAAGCCTAGTTGGCCCTCAACAAAGATGTATCGTGTGAATGAATGACGGAAGAATATAGAGTTAGAAGAGTGTGGATCAGTGTTTGGTTGTGCCTCTCTGGTATCTTTGCTGGTTTTAAGACAATTGTAGAAACCATTAAATTTATTTGAACATCCATTTTCTTATCTTTAAAAAGGAGATAAAAGGATTCCTTCACAGTTCTAGTAAAGATTAAATAAGGTAACATAAAAATGTACACTGCTATCTTTAAGGGTCATAGAAATGGTGGCTGTGGTAAATACTGTTGACCTGAGAGACAGAGAATAAGTGTAAGAGAGAAACACAGGATTCATAAAGCCGGAAGGACCTTCAGAGACACACAGAAACTGCTCAATTTACAGATGAAGAAACTAAAGGTCAAAGACCCTAGACCCTTGCTCAAATCTCCTAAGCAAATGGTATGGGCAAACCTGAAGCAAAGTCGCTTGATTTAAGTCTCCTGTAAGCACTTAGAGGTCCTACTGAAAGAAAGCTGGCAGGCCATCAGTCCAGAGAAGACCCCAGAATTCTATGGACCCAATGCTGCACCTGACCGTGCACCTTTCTTGTCTGGTCCAGGCTTAAACTGAAAACTCACCTGCTCAGAATACTGTCCTGCTTAGCCACTGTGTGTACACACACACACACACACACACACACACACACACACACACACACTGAGCCATCCTTACAAACTCTTGCAATAGAGCCTGACATAACCAAACAGGCAGGTCCCTAGCACACTGCAGAGTAGTATGTGACAAGATTCTGGCCATCCCAGAGACAGAGATACCATCTATATGGGGCAAAGAGATATGTCTGACATAATTGTACACAGGCAGAAGGACTTTTATGTCCTTTTCCAGTTAACTGACACCATATGCGATTGGCTCCCTATGTTTAGCCCTTAAGTACAAAATACTATAATCCCTATGGGTGATTCTGTGATGTGGCCCTGTTCTCTCAACCACACATCGAATAATATACTTGCTTACTTTAAGACACTTTCTGAAACTTGGCCTAAGGAGACCATGGGACTAAACCTGTAGTCTCTCCTCACTTACATCTGCATGGTTCAGGCCCTCTCCTCCATATACACCATCACGTCTTCAAAACAAGTAGCCTCTAAATAAAAGTGTGTTTCTGCCATATCTAGGGTATATCTATAAATACCATGTGCTACCTGGACATTTTCTGTTCCAATCTAGTGGCACAGTGCATGCCTGCCTCTGCAAGCCCATTGACACCATTTCTAACTGTCTTTTTTCATTTGGAAATATCAGTGGTCACCTGCTCAGCCACCAGTTACCGCAAAGGGAGAACATACCCCACGTTCCCTATACTTGATCCTATCTCAGTGATCCCGTTGCAATCAGGCATGACAAAGCTAAAATGTGACAAAGTGAAAGGAAATCTGTAAATCATGGTCTTACTCACGTAAAGGCATCAGGAGAGAGTTTTTTGCAATGCTCATTACGTTAGAGTGCAAACATCCTCATCTCCTTCTCCACTGAGGGTGAATAATCACTGTTTATCTGTGTACAGGCAAAGCCAGGGCATGGGATTATGGGGATACGGCCTTGCTTCAGACCACAGACATTTTGCATCCACATAACCTCACCCACGTGTGACTTCTTGAGAGGCAAAGCTTCAAGTCATCCCTTTAACATAATGTGTGACAGAGCTCACTATCTTCCCTAGAGCCCCCCCCAACACCTTAGCTCTTGTCTATTTCTAGTCACTAGAAACAACACTGTATTTCAAGGATACAACCCCTCCCCAATCAAACTGCCAAATCTTTGAACTGAGACTCAGTGCCATATATATATTTTTGAGGACCATGCTTCCTGGATTTTCTAGCAAGGTTGATTTCAAATATTCTGACTTAAAAATCACTAAAATAATATTGAGGTTAAAATAAGATCACCACATAGATATATAACTTTATTCACTGTTTGACATCACTGCCCTCAATACTACAAAGATATCAAAACAGGGGTAGCTTTCTGGACCACTGACTACTACAATGTGTGTTCTATCCATTGCAGGAAAGTCCCACCATGCCAGTGAAAGCTGTAATACACATTTATCTATTCTCTAATGTCTGAAAATGTCACACCAACTGCCTTATAGACCAGATAGTTTATATAAGAACATTATTAGTGTCAATGCTGACTTACACTCTACAATCTCATCTGTGGTCCTGGTGGCATCCACACAGATAACATTAGTGTGAGTGACGTGTTTGTGTATTAACATAGACCTTGAGGGTGACTTTGTTCCAGTCTACCTTGCAGGCACTATAAGTGATCGGCTCCTGCTTACTCCACAGACACTGTGAGTGACCCAGCCCCTGTCTACACTAGAGCTGTTGGTCACCTGTTTGTCTACACCACTGACACTTGAGTAATGCTGCTCCCGTTGAACCCAAGACCCTACGAGTGACTCCATTCCTGTCCATACCACATAGCGACTGACCTCTCCAGACACCACAAATGACGTATTCCTGTCTATCCCACAGACACCACGTGTAACGTGGCCACGGAACCTCAGACAGACCGCGTTAAGGGCACTGATACACTCTCAGGACCTCTAATATATGAACACTCTTCTCTCTATTGAGAATCACTATATTCTGTTGATGAGAGGGATTCCTTTGCACTCCTCCTGATTTCTCTCTCCTCCCCACTAGGACCATGACATACATTCCTCCTGCATATCAGTCTCACCCAGAACTGACACGCCCTCATCCCATCTTCCCAGCTCCCCAGGACTCCTTCACTAGCCACGGCTTCACTTTTAGGCCCACAGATTGGTTAACAAATGACACCCATTTTGCTAAGGCCTATGCCAGGAACTTCTTCATGCTCCAAATGTGGATAAAACAAGACGTCTGAGACAGAGGCCACATCAAGAGCTTTTTAGCTGGAGCTGGGACCTCTGGATTAGGCCCAAGATGCAAGGCCAGACAGTGGAGTGCAGTAGGGGAGCAAGCTAGGGAGGAAGCTCGAAAGGAAAACCACCCTCTCTCATCTGTTTGACACACCCTTCTCTCTCAACCAGACAAGAGTCCTGGCCAGAGTTCACTTCTAGGTAGACAGGAGGGCAAATCTGTCTTTGGAACCCAAGATCCAGGAAGGGAAGAAAGGGACTGAGATCTGGAAATGACGTAGTATCACAACTGGCTCTCCTCCGGTAGTCTTGCCGGAAGGCAACTGCAAAAGATGCTCAGGGGTTCTAGAGCTCTGCGTCCGCATTCTAGCACCCCAACGCCTACCTCAGCCCCCAACTCTAAATAACTTCTTTCCACCTTGCTAAGAATGCAACGTTGTGATTCACATCAAGCTTTAGGAGGCTCCCCATATGTAGGGAACTGGGGTGAGGGGCAGGGCAGGATTCACTGTTCCAGGTTACGGAGCTTTGGTTAACACGGAGAGAAGCTACACATAGACTCACACAGTATGCAAATACCTATGGAGATACATAAGGAAAGGCCCCGGCCTGGTTAAGGAAAAGGAGCCGATAAAACCTCTCCAGGTAAGGAACAGCCTAGAAAGGGAATCTCAGTTATTCCTTCTGATATGGCTTAGCTTTCCCCAGGGCGCCTACTTTGAAGAAAGAGCCCTGATTATTGGCCCGGGGAACGTCTGGGGGCAGGGTGCCCATTTCCTAGGCGGGACCCGACCGGAAGCAAACTTGTAGGCAACAACATTTCCTCTAGTTCCTCTCCTCTTCCCCACCAGGGTCCTCAGCCACACACCCCGAGCCCTGCCTGCGGGCCCAGCCCCCCCATTTCCGGAGCCTGCGCCCCGGACCCAGCGGGGGCTGATCCCTGGGAAAGGCCTGGCTTCCTCTTCCTTCCTGTCCCTGCCCCACCTCCGCCGGGCTCCACAGCCGCCGGGAGCCCAGGGCCGAGACGGGAGGAGGGCACCCACCTGGTCGGTGTCACATGCTGCTTCGGCCCCAGCGTCCCCTCCAGGTCCCGGCGCCGGCCGCAGTCCCCAGAGCCGTCCCCAGCGCAGGCCCGGCCGCCCCACCCGCGGCCCGCCCCTGGCCGCCCGACGGGAGGGAGGGATCGGGTTCTCCTAGGAAGTTTCAGGTGAGGAAACAGGGACACACCTTCCCGGAGGAGGGGCAGGGCCCCTCCGCGCGCGAGCCCCATTGGTGTGAAAGAAGCTCCCGCGTCAGAGCTGGGAAGTGCCGGGCCGGCGGGGAGGGGAGCCCGGGCGCACGGGCCAGGCCGCGGGCTGTCCCAGGGAGCCCCGAGGGCGCGGTGCGCGGGCGCAGGTCGGGCGCAGGCGGGGTGACCCGGGGAAGGGGCGCGCACAGAGACAGAGGGAGCCAGCCGGGCCCCACGGTGTCCTCGGACGCCTCCGAAATCTCCCTGCGTGTTTGTTTCTTCGGAGCTTCACCGGAGCCTGACTCTGGAACCGGCCTGTCTGCCTGCTGCAGTCTGTATGTGTTTGTCTTTTGCCTTGGCCGTGCCTCTGGAAGTCTGACATCCGTGGTTGTACATGTGTCTTTATCTTCAGGCCTCATTGGTTTTTGGTTTGTTCGTTGTTGTTGTTGTTGTTTTTTCTGAGACGGAGTCTCGCCCTGTTGCCCAGGCTGGAGTGCAATGGCGCGATCTCGGCTCACTGCAACCTCCGTCTCCGGGTTCAAGAGATTCTCCTGCCTCAGCCTCCCGAGTAGCTGGGATTACAGGTCCGCGCCACCATGCCCGGCTAATTTTTGTATTTTTTAGTAGAGGCCGGGTTTCGCCATGTTGGCCAGGCTGGTCTGGAAACTCCTGACCTCAGGTGATGCACCCGCCTCGGCCTCCCAAAGTGCTGGGATTACAGGCGTGAGCCACCGCGCCCGGCCAAGGCCTCAGTGTTGATTTCTCTTCCGTGATGTCTCCTCCTATAGAATAAAGAGTGTCTCCTCCATCTCCTCCTCCGCCCCCTTCTTCGTTTCTCTCTCTCTCTCCCTCCCTCCTCCCCCCTCCCTGTCCCTCTCCCTGCCTCTTCCTCTCCCCTCTTCCTTCTCCTACTTAGGGCCTAGAAGTGTGCCTCTCTGAAAGGACATGCCCGTGTCCTTCTGTATTCCCGAGTTTATTTTAGAATGAGTGCGTATCTCAGGGTGTATGTTCCTTCTAGGGCCTGTGTGTGTGTGTGTGTGTGTGTGTGTGTGTGTGTGTGTGTATTTAAATCTCTAAGCCCATGTTTGTGTGTTTTCTTATGCCTGTATTTTTTTTTTTATTCTTTCAGGGAAACGTTTTGTTCTGTTAGTCTTGGAGGCCAAGGCTGAGTGGGTTTATCTCTGTGCCCCTCCAGTGACTTCAAAGAATGCCAAAAGTCTCTCGAGTGTGCCTGTGTGCACACACAGACACACACAAAGTAGGAATCCTTTACCTGGGGGACAGAGATTTCTGTTATTTTTGGTTGAATCTGACCACTCCCCAAAGCCATTCACTACTCCAGGGGTTTCCATGGTGACATAAGTCAAGTGAAATATTAATGGACTCCTTGCCTATTTTGCTCTTAGGAATGCCATGGTCTACAGCCCAAACAGCTTGGCTAGACCATTTCTAGATCACTGTGCCCATTGGCTGTTGCCAATGATCCTGGTTGAACGTGTTCACTAGTTATTTTGAGGTGGCTGTAGAATAGAATGTAATTAAGGAAGTATAGCCTCTTCTGTAATAGAGTCCTGAACAGCTTTATGTTAAAAAAGTGTGCTACTTCTGCCATGTTACTCTGAAGGATTAAGTCTTAAACAGTTCAGCAGTTTTCAGCCTACTCTAAGCTGCCATGGAGTGTATGGGAAACTATAGGAAAAATTGGGATTAAGACTCAAAAATCTGGATTAAGAAGGGCAGGCCTTGCATGTGTCCTAGGCTCAGCAAAAGGGTAAGAACTGGGAGTACAGAAAGGCAAAAAGTTCAAACTGGGACTGGCTCTACTTCTAGGCTGGAATACAAAACTCATTCCCAGGTATGAGAGGGTCCTTGATTTATACCGAGTGAGCAAAGTGAGTAAACTTCTGATCTAGGGCAGAAGCTGTTGACCTCTGGGTCGGGTGCGGTGGCTCACAACTGTAATCCCAGCACATTGGGAGGCCTTGGCCGGTGGATCACCTGAGTTCAGGAATTTGAGGCCAGCCTGGCCAAACATGGCGAAACCCCTTCTCTACTGAAAATACAAAAATTAGCTGGGCTTGGTGGTGGGCACCTGTATTCCCAGCTACTTGGGAGGCTGAGGCAGGAGAATTGCTTGAACCCAGGAGGCAGAGGCTGCAGTGAGCTGAGATTGCACCACTGCACTCCAGCCTGGGTGACAGAGTGAGACTCTGTCTAAAAAATACAAAAAAAAAAAATTGTTGACCTCTGGCATATTTCATGCTGCCTACTGGGGGTGGGCAATGGGGTCAGAGGTACCAGAACTGCCTCCTGAACCAGCCTGGCTATTCTTTCTGCTTCCCTCCAGCTTCAGTTGGTTCTCCTTGATTACAGTGCTCTCTCTCTCTCTCTCTCTTCTCATCAACTCGACCTCCTCTTGTTCTGCCAGCTCTGACTTGTCAGCATATTTTTTTTTGAAGTCACAACCCTGGATTCTTGTGCGCTTGTCCAGAGAGTTAGCACACAAGGCTTTTCCTGACTTTTCAACTAGTAGGAAAGTTACAACCGACCATTTAGGGAGTTTGCTCTTCCCATCAAGCCTGTTCCTGTCTGCAGGGTGTATTTGCATGTGGAGGTCACTCTAGCTCTCCCAGGTATTCTTCCTTTCACTTTGCAGACTATGGTTCTCAGCATTTTATTATTTTTTTTCTTTTTCATTTCTTGCTGCGTGGTCTTGGTGACTGGGTTTCTTAATCAAGCCTGTCATCCCATCCTGAGATTTTGATATTTTATTTGGGCCTATATTTCCTCTATAAAGGCCTAGAGAGGAGAGAGAATGATGCCATGGAAAGAGAATGAGATTTAGATTCAGACAGGGGTAAATTTGAATCCTGCATTCCATTTACTTAATGTGAAATCTTGGGCATATTCACCTTCCTGTGCTTTCTCTGAATCTTCCTACGTTTCATTTCCCTAATGTCTTAATTGGGGATAATAATATGTAATGATACCTACGTCACTGGATTGTTGTGGTGATTCAATACTGTAATATATAGAAATCACCTTAGTATAAGTACCTGATGTGTAAAGGTGGTCAAGATGGGTTAGTTTCCTTTCCTAGCAGTGCCTGTCAGTGATGCATGTGGAATGAATATATTTATAAGAACAAAGTGATAGGGGCTGGGAACAGTAAATAGATTCAAAATAAAGCTATTTTAAAATGAAAGCCCTATTAGACGAGGCTGAATAAAAATAGCTTCTGGAACTTGGGACTACTTTAATTGACAATAATGCCTTTAAGATCAAGTTATGGGGCTTGGGGAGAGGCAGGGAACACTCCTGTATAGTTCTAGGTATCAGGACTAAAGGAATGACAATGACCTTTTCTGAAGCAGGAACTCATCAGCATTATCCCTGGGGCTGTCATTGTCCTGACTAGATACTGTCATGGTGCCACTATCCCACATGACTGGCTGCATTGTTCCCACGTGGTGAACTCTCTCTGACTCTCAGCTGGTCCAGTGCTAGTTCTTGGAACACTCCTAAGGCCTTTCTGCCTCTGCTTTTTGCCTGATCCTGTGACCCAACATTGAACCTTTCGAACTGATTTTGAACTCAGTTCTTCTTTTTTTTGAGATGGAGTCTCGCTCTGTCGCCAGGCTGGAGTGCAATGGCGTGATCTCGGCTCATGGCTACCTCTGCCTCCTGGGTTCAAGCGTTTCTCCTGCCTCAGCCTCCTGAGTAGCTGGGATGACAGGCATGTGCTGCCACACCCGGCTAATTTTTGTATGTTTAGTAGAGATGGGGTTTCACCATATTGGTCAGGCTGGTCTCGAACTCCTGACCTCATGATCTGCCTGCCTCGGCCTCCCAAAGCGCTGGGATTATAGGCATGAGCCACCGTTCCTGGCCCCAGTTCTTCTGTTAATGGGGCTGACCATGGTCTCTCCATTCATCTCTGTTGAAGCCAGGCTGGCTTGACCACTGTGGTTCTTAGCTATCTTCTTCTATTCTGTTTTTTTGTTTTATTTTATTTTATTTTATTTTTCAGAGATGGAGTCTTGCTCTGTCCAGCCCAGGCTGGAGTGCAGTGGCACGATCTAGGCTCACTGCAACCTCTGCCTCCTAGGTTCAAGTGATTCTCTTGCCTCAGCCTCCCCAGTAGCTGGGATTACAGGTGCGCACCACCAAGCCTGGCTAATTTTGTGTTTTTAGTAGAGATGGGGTTTCACTATGTTGGCTAGGCTCATCTCAAACTATTGACCCCAAGTGATTGGGATTACAGGCGTGAGCCACTGCGCCCAGCCTATCCTCTTCTATTCTGATGAGCATGGTTTTATTTTCTATCCTTGGCTTCCCCTTATTTATTTTCTCAACCTTTGCACATTGATTGGCATAAGCCTAAATTTAATGCCATTCAAGGCATACATACTAATTGCCTCATTCATTTTTTCTTCTATTCATTTACTCAGTATGCATTCTTAGAAACCAGATATACAAAGACAAGATCTCTGCTTTCAAGAAGCTCTCAATCTGATTGAGGAGAGAAACAGGTAGCAAATAATGGCAGCAGAGCATGGTAAGTGTTATGTTGAGATGGACACAAAGTACAATGGAAGCATAAAGGAGAGAGTAGGTGGCACTCCTTGGGGAATCAGAGAAGCCTGAATGGATAAGGTGGATTATATATATTTTTTTCTTTTTGAGATAGGGTCTCACTGTGTCACCTAGGCTGGAGTGTAGTGGTGCAATCATGGCTCACTGTAGCCTCAAACTCCTGGGTTTAGGTGATCCTCCCACCTCAGCCTCCTGGGGCTGGAACTAGAGATGTGTACCACCATGCACACCTGGCTAATTTTTGGTATATTTTTGTAAAGACAGAGTTTTGTCATGTTACCCAGGCTGGTCTCGAACTCCTTGACTCAAGCAATTCACTCACCTTGGCCTCCCAAAGTGCTGGGATTACAGGTGTGAGCCAACGTGCCCGGCGAAGGTGAGATTTGAGTTGACTTGTCTTTTAAAAATATTCTGTTACTGGCCGGCATGGTGGCTCATGCCTTTAATCCCAGCATTTTGGGAGGCCGAGGCGGGGGATCACGAGGCCAGGAGATTGAGACCATCCTGGCTAACATGGTGAAACCCCGTCTCTACTAAAAATACAAAAAAAATTAGCCGGGCTTGGGAGACTGAGGCAGGAGAATGGCGTGAACCTGGGAGGCAGAGCTTGCAGTGAGCCGAGATCGCACCACTGCACTCCAGCCTGGGCGACAGAGCGAGAATCTGTCTCAAAAAAAAAAAAAAAAAAAATTCTGTTAACCTGGTATAGAGGAGGATATAGGAAAAGCATACCAATAGCAGAAGTGAAATATGCAAAAATACAAGCCTGAGCACCCTCTGTTCAGGGATGTGCAAATAGTGTGGGTTTAACATGAGATGTGGTGAAGAAATGGCAGAGAATGAAGTTGGAAGGGTAGTCGGGCAGCCAAATCATGAAAGGCCTTGTAGGCCATTCCTGCTACTGAGTTTGGACTTCATCCTTCTGGGGATAGGCCTCCTTGGAAGGGTTTCAAGCAAGGTCATGATGAGATCAGATTCTAAGGTTAGATTTAGAAAAAAAAGCTCTGGGGGCAGTTGAGAGAATGGACTGGTGTGGATAGTGAAGTGGAGGGGCAAGGAAGGCAATCAGCTGTTGTAGCAATTAGATGGATATTGTAGTCATGGAGGTAAGAAAAGAAGACACCTTGAACGAATGCAGGGGCAATGGGAAAATAAGACAGGGAATGGATTTTAGTATTGTGCTGACTGTTTTTTTTTTTTTTTTTTTTTTTTTTTTTTATTTATTTTTTTTTTTTGAGACGGAGTCTCACTCTGTCACCCAGGCTGGAGTGCAGTGGCGGGATCTCGGCTCACTGCAAGCTCCGCCTCCCGGGTTCACGCCATTCTCCTGCCTCAGCCTCCCAAGTAGCTGGGACTACAGGCGCCCGCCACTACGCCCGGCTAATTTTTTTGTATTTTTAGTAGAGACGGGGTTTCACCGTTTTAGCCGGGATGGTCTCGATCTCCTGACCTCGTGATCCGCCCGCCTCGGCCTCCCAAAGTGCTGGGATTACAGGCGTGAGCCACCGCGCCCGGCCGTGCTGACTGTTTTTTGAAGATAAAATGATCAAGTCAGATTTGAAGAATTGACTGTTGGAGGTGAATAAAATGATGTCCTCTCTGAGTACTTCTCTGTTTGTGAGAGGACTCCTTGAGGAGTTCTGCTCTTGATTTTGCAGGGGCTGCCTCTAGAGCTCTGTGTTTTATTTGCAGAAAGAAGCTCAACTATTAATACTTTGCTGCTTGCTTTGAACTTGCATTTCACAGCCTGGCCCTTTTTTTTCTCAATGTTGCTACTTTGCTTTCAAGATGTAGAGGCCTATTGGCCAGATAGACACATCAAAGAGCCTTGCCTAGGAGTTTAGTCACAGCTGTCATCATTTGTGTCCAGGAGCCATGGGCTTCAGCTTGCCTGGTTTGATCGGCACTACCTGTTTTTCTTTTTTTTAATCAGTAGTGGTAAGAGTGGTAAGATGGGTGGTTCTGGGAAGGGTTACTGAGGAAATGGTCTGTTTTGCTTGTAAAAAGAATGTTTCTATTAACTCAGACATTTAGAAACTCACTTATTCTCAGAGATATTAAGTCATGGGTGTAGGAAAAGGATGGGAGTTTAAGAAGTGAAAGAGACCACCTCGACCTGAATGAATGAATGAATTGTGAATTTTTAATAATTCACAGTTGTGTTCACTTGTGAATTATTAATAATGTATATAACAACTAAGTGTGCGGAGGGTCTCAACGTATAGTTTGTGGATGTGCGGGTGATCCGGCTGTGACATCTGCCACACCATAGATCAAAGTGTAGTTTGTGGTACACCTGCATTGGAGTCTCCAATTCGCTTTGTGAGTCATTCTTTTTTTTTGAGATGGAGTCTTACTCTGTTGCCCAGGCTGGAGTGCAGTGGCATGATCTTGGCTCACTACAACCTCCGCCTCCCAGGTTCAGGCAGTTCTCTGCCTCAGCCTCCTAAGTAGCTGGGGTTGCAGGCGCCCGCCACTACGCCTGGCTAATGTTTTTGTATTTTTAGTAGAGATGGGGTTTCACCATACTGGCCAGGCTGGTCTTGAACTCCTGACCTCGTGAACCACACACCTCAGCCTCCCACGGGTCATTCTTAAGCACAGTAAAGCTTAGGACTCAGGGTGTTCCAGCTTGTATAGAAGGAAGAAGTACAGTGGACTGCAATGCCTGCTTTAAGGATATTAGGGAAACAAGAAAAGAAACTTTTGTGCCAGGCCACTGGGTATAAAGTTTTATGACCCGAGGATGGAAGGAAATTAGAAACAGGGATTGTAAGGCCAACAGGGAGAAAAGCAGAGCAAGTATTCAACAATTTCGTTAGACAGTACATGTAATCAGTTGTAGTTTAACACTGGACATGCATGTGTGATGTAATTTTTGAAGTTATGAAAGTGTAAGCAATCTTTTGTTCCGAGTTTACCCCTGGATGCTGTGGGCAATGAGGGATGAGCCTGGTGCAATGAAGAAGTAAATTGCTGCACAGCATGGTGCCTCAGGCCTGGAGCTCTTCACATCCTTTAGAGCTGGATTAAGAGATGCTGTGTTAGCTCCAGCAAAGGTCACTAGGAGTCTTTGGGTTAAATTTTTTTTTTTTTAATCCACAAATTCTTGTAGTTCACTGAACTTCTTTAAGAGGAGGAAAGCCCAACTTGGGGTCGATAAATGGTATAGTAAATATTTGTTCAAGTTCTGAAATGGACTATCATTTTAAAGAGTTGATTAGCAAAGTTGAAAATACCTGATATTCTCTATGGTTTGTATCTGTGGGAGATGTTTGGTGGAATGGTCAGGAGGAAGAGATGGAAAGAGTGCCATTGCCTTAAAAAAAAAGAACAGCCCTGGCCGGGTGTGGTGGCTCACGCCTGTAATCCCAGCACTTCGGGAGGCCGAGGTGGGCAGATCACCTGAGGTCAGGAGTTCAAGACCAGCCTGGCCAACATGGCGAAACCCTGTCTCTACTAAAAAAAATACAAAAATTAGCCAGGCTCAGTGGCTTGCACCTGTAATCCCAGCTACTCGGGAGACTGAGACAGGAGAATCGCTTGAACCCAGGAGGTGGAGATTGCAATGAGCCGAGATTGCACCACTGCACTCCAGCCTGGGCAACAAAGCAAGACTCCATCTCAAAAAAAAAAAAAAAAAAGAATAGCCTCTTACCAGCTCTGCTGGGTTCTAAAAGATGAATAGGTTGCCTACCCTGATGTCAAGGAGCTCACAGTGTAATGGATGTGACAGATGAACAACAGTGTTGAAGTGCAGTGCACTTTATGCTAGAGGTGCCATGGGAGTTTGGAGGAGGAAAAGATTATCTTGTCGGTGAGTTTATAAACCAATGCCAAAGTGATGATGCCTCTGTGTGATGCTTATAGGTCAGCAGTTACACCATCACTCTTCCTAAGTCTCTAGACTAGAGGCTCATATTTTTCGAATCTCCTGTACAAAGACATTTTTAACTTGAGTGCATATATCATAGAAAAATATGTATACTTCCAAATCTCATTTAGTTGAACATTTCCAAAACGTCTGGTACATAATGTCTGAGAATGCCCAGGTCCTCCTGGAGGCTGGTTATAGCTATGGTGAGGTGTTGCAGTCATGAAGAGGGAGTGGGTCCTTGCCTGCCTGCCCTACAGTGAGCAATCCCTAGAAGCGCTGTTATTCAGGTTGTCTTGCTTTTTGTCTTTTGAAATGTTTGGATTTGGGATGTTTTGGAAATTTCCCCATCCAAAATTTTTGGAAGATAGGGATGGGGATGGGAATGATCCCTGTTCCTTATTTTTTATTTTTATTTTTTTGATACAGGGTCTCGCTTTGTTGCCTAGACTGGAGTGCAGTGGTGCTATCATGGCTTACTGCAGTCTCCACCTCCCAGGCTCAAGCAATCCTCCCACCTCAGCCTCCCGAGTAGCTGGGACTACAGGTGCACACCACCATGCCTGGCTAATTTTTGTATTGTTTTGTAGAGATGGGGGTCCCACTTTGTTGCCCAGGCTGGTCTCAAACTCCTGGGCTCAAATGATCCACCTGCCTCAACCTCCCAAAGTGCTGGCAAGATTACAGGCGTGAGCCACTGCACTCAGCCAATTCCTGTTCTTTTGAAATGGAGTCTCGCTCTGTGGCCCAGGCTGGAGTGCAGTGGCATGATCTAGGCTCACTGCAAGCTCCACCTCCCGGGTTCATGCCATTCTCCTGCCTCAGCCTCCTGAGTAGCTGGGACTACAGGCGCCCGCCACCACGCCCGGCTAATTTTTTGTATTTTTAGTAGAGGCAGGGTTTCACCGTGTTGGCCAGGATAGTCTTGATCTCCTGACCTCATGATCCTCCCGCCTCAGCCTCCCAAAGTGCTGGGATTACAGGCGTGAGCCACCGCGCCCAGCCCAATTCCTGTTCTTAAAGAGACTATAACCAGTAAAGTTCATTTAGTGGAGTTCTGGCTCTACTGTATTTGTTACCAGAAAGAGGTTCTGGTCCCAACCCCAAGGGAGTGTTCACGGGCCTTGCACAAGAACGAATTTGGGGCAAGCCCGTAAAGGGAAAGCAAGTTTATTAAGAAAGCAAAGGAATAAAAGAATGGGCTGTTCGACTGAGTATACTTACAGTTATTTCTTCATTATATGCTAAACAATGGGTGGATTACTCATGAGTGTTCCAAGAAAGGTACAGGCAGTTCCCAGAACTGAGGGTTCCTCTCCACTTTAGACCCTATAGGGTCTAAAGTTCAGACACTGCCTGGCATTTTTAAGTTGTCATGGCACTGGTGGGAGTGTCTTTTCGCATGCTAATGAATTATGAGTAGCATATAATGAGCAGTAAGGATGACCAGAGAGGTCACTTTCATCACTGTTTTGGATTTGGTGGGTTTTGGCTGGTGTCTTTACTGTATCCTGTTTTATCAGCAAGGTCCTTGTGACTTGTATCTTGTGCCGACCCCTATCTCATCCTGTGACTAAGAACGCCTAACCTCCTGGGAATGTAGCCCCATAGGTCTCAGCTTTGTTTTATCAAGTCCCTATTTATGATGGAGTCACTGTGGTTTGAACACTTCTGACACAGTGGCTCCCAAACCTGGCAAATCAGCAAAATTTCCTTAAAATCCATCTGTCTATCAATCAATCTATCTATCTATCTATCTATCTATCTATCTATCTATCTATCTATGAGACAGAGTCTTGCTATGTCGCTTAGGCTGGAGTGCAGTGGCGTGATCATAGCTCACTGCAGCCTTGAACTCCTGGGCTCAAGCCATCCTCTCACCTCAGCCTCCCTGGTAGCTGGGACTACAGGTACACACCACCATGTACAGCTAATTTTTAATTTGTTTGTAGAGATGGGGTCTCACTACTCTCTATTTTCCCAGACTGATTTTGAACCCCTGGCCTCAAGGGATCCTCCTCCCTTGGCTTCCCTGGGTGCAGAGGTTACAGGCATGAGCCACTGGGCCTGACTGTTGTTTGTTTTTAAGATGATTATGATTAGGATGAGAAGCCAGGTTTAGGAATCCTGATAGAAAAGCAGTGGTTCTTTAGCAGAGGCTTCCATCATAATCATCTGATCAGCATTCTGAATTTGCCATTGCCCTAAACCCACGGAGTTTTAATTCTGTAGGTTTGGGGTCAAACAGAACTATTTGAAAATAGCTCCTTGCTGATTTGGATGCCTAATAATAGTGGAAACTCTCTGACCCACAGCAGTGATTTTTAAACATCTTTCATTCTACCTCCTGTCAATAAAAAATTTTGAGCAGGCATTTCCCCAGTATATGCATGTTTTATTTATTTATGAATTATATATGTGTACTTCTGTATGATATGCAAACACAGATGTTTTAAAATAATGAGGTACAAATAAATGTCATTGAAAGCTCTAATATTTTTATCTCGTTCCCCCAGTGGATACACTGAGGATCCCATTGTGTAGAACATTGAGAGAAAGAACAGGGCCAGTGGTTCCATAATTGACCCCAACTCTTATTTAGCTGCTACTATCACGGGTAGCTGTCTGAAACAGAATCACTGGTTCCCACCCCAACCAAAGCACTCCTACTCCATTCCTTAATTTATGCAGTCATTCAACACATGTATAGGTTTAGCAGACCTAATCCCCAAATCTCAAATCCAAAATGCTCCAAATTGTGAAATATGATACTCAAAGGAAGTGTTCATTGGAACATTTGACATTTGGGATTTTTGGACTTGGGACGCTCAACTGGTTAAGTACCTGCAAATATTCCCAAATCCAAAGAAATCCAAAATCCAAAACACTTCTGGTCCCAAGCATTTCAGATAAGGGATACTCAACCCATATTGTGCAAAGCGTTGAATGAGGGGCTAGGGATATAGTTGTGCACATGGTCTTTGATCTCAAGGACCTAGGTTATGCCCGCATAAACATTAAACAAATGATTACTTAATAATAAATTACTATAATTTTGATGGATGCTAAAAAGTGTGAACTCAAAAGTACCTGAGATAAGTCTCAAAGAAAGTTTAGAAAGTTTATTTTGCCAGAGTTAAGGATATACCCATGACAGGGTTTCAGGAGGTTCCGATGACGTGCCCGAGGTGGTCAGGGTACAGCTTGCTTTTATACATTTTTGGGGAGACATAATACATCAATCAATACATGTAAGATTTACATTGGTTCAATCTGGAAGGGTGGGACAATTTGAGGGCGGGGGTAGGAGGGCTTGCAGGTCATAGGTAGATTTATAAATTTTCTGATTTGTAACTGGTCAAAATAATTATTATCAATAGGAATGTCTGGGATATGTTAAGGGGTTGTGGAGACCAAGGTTTTATCATGTAGATGAAGCTTCCAAGTGGCAGGTTTCAGAGAGAATAGATGGTAAATGTTTCTTTTTTTTTTTGCCAGGTCATTCAACATTTATTCAACCAAAAATACTAAGTCAGCTCTATACAAACTAATGGAAGGATACAGCTATGCAAATATAGAACACTAAAGTGTTACATGACAGATGTATGAGGTAGGTATTATTTTCATGCGCGTCCGTGTGAAGAGACCACCAAACAGGCTTTGTGTGAGCAACATGGCTGTTTATTTCACCTGGGTGCAGGCGGGCTGAGTCCGAAAAGAGAGTCAGTGAAGGGAGATAAGGGTGGGACCGTTTTATAGGATTTGGGTAGGTAAAGGAAAATTACAGTCAAAGGGGGTTTGTTCTCTGGTGGGTAGGAGTGGGGGTCGCAAGGTGCTCAGTGGGCAGGAGTGGGGGTCGCAAGGTGCTCGGTGGGGGTGCTTTTGAGCCAGGATGAGCCAGGAAAAGGACTTTCACAAGGTAATGTCATCAGTTAAGGCAAGGACCGGCCATTTACACTTCTTTTGTGGTGGAATGTCATCAGTTAAGGTGGGGCAGGGCATATTCACTTCTTTTGTGATTCTTCAGTTACTTCAGGCCATCTGGGCCTATACCTGCAAGTCACAGGGGATGTGATGGCTTGGCTTGGGCTCAGAGGCCTGACATTCCTGCCTTCTTATATTAATAAGAAAAATGAAACAAAATAGTGTTGAAGTGTTGGGGTGGCAAAAATTTTTGGGGGGTGATATGGAGAGAGAATGGGCGATGTTTCTCAGGGCTGCTTCAAGCGGGATTAGGGGCGGCGTGGGAACCTAGATTGGGAGAGATTAAGATTTTAGTTTCCTGACTCCGGACGTGTTGAGTAAAGCTAATTTGCCAGTCCTGGGTGGGGGCAAATCCTCGAGCTTGCTGTGTAGGGAAGGAAGGGGGCCTGAATAATCCCTGAGGAATAGTAGAATAGCAGATGGAACACTGAGAAATTATTTCCTTGAGGATAGATTTCCATGATGGAAAGGAAATGAGAGGTTCTGAAAGGCGGGCTAGTGGCTTGTACTATAGCATAGCCTGCCTTTGCTGGTGTGTGGCGATTAGGCCTGGTGGAGCTGCCATCAGTAAATGAAGCGTGATCAGGGTGAGGAACAGGAAAGATATGGTAAATGTTTCTTATCAGGCCTTAGGTCTGTGTTGATGTTAGTGCCGGTCGGCTCTTCCTGAATTCCAAAAAAGAGGAGGGCATAATGAGGCATGTCTGACCCCCACTTCCATCACAGCCTGAAACAGTTTTTCAGCTTAACTTTGGAATGCCTTTGGCCTAGAGGAGGTGTCCTTTCAGATGGTTGGGAGGTCTCAGAATTTTGTCTTTGATTTCTGAAAGTATATATATATAAAACCTGAGAATGACCTCTTCTGGAGGGTTTGAGAAATCTGTAATTTGGAGGCAGGAGTGTCATTGAAGGAAAGCTAGAAAATTTCAGATCTGGAGGACAGAGGTGGAAATCCCATAGCACAAGATGAAACTGAAGATGTGAGCAGAGACCAGGGATCACGTGGGCCTAGTAGACCATGTTAAGGAATTTGATCTTTATTTTGAGGGCAAGGTAATCCATTGAAGGATCTAAGGGAGAGTGACAGGGCCAGATTTTCATCTCAAAAAGATCACTTAAAGGTGCAGCAAGTTGTATCAATTCTTTCCCTTCTTTCTCTTTTTGAGATAGGGTCTCATTCTGTCACCCAGGCTGGAGTGCAGTGATGTGATCATGGCTCACTTCTGCCTCAACCTCCTGGGCTAAAGCCATCCTTCTACCTTGGTCTCCCCAATAGCTGGGACTACAGGCATGCACCACCACACCTGGCTCATTTTTAATTTTTTTTGTAGACATGGGGTCTCACTATGTTGCACAGGCTGCTGTCAAACTCCAGGGCTCAAGTGATCCTCCCACCTCAGCCTCCCAAGGTGCTGGGATTGTAGGTATGAGCCACTGCACCCAGCCTATTCTCTCCTTTCTTATCTTTTGCTTGTATTTAGAAACCTTTGCTTTTACAGTTGCCCTCAGATTACACTCCCCTTTTCCCTACTTTCTATGAACTCTTACAAGTCCTCCAAGATCCATCTCTGTTGTTACCTTCTTGGTGAAGCCTTTTCTTATTCTCTCCTCCAAACATCCACACTCTTTAGAGCTAATGTATTTTATGTATGTATTTTTTAATTTATATGGTATACGTGCTGCTGAAGCGAGCACTAGAGCTAATCTCTATAAAGGCACTTTGTAGGTTTTATTGCAGTGTACCTATTTTGGTAAATTGGGGGAGGACAGTTGCAGAAAATAGAATTCCTTGAAATCTTCATGGCACGGTATCATTTGGTTTCTTTGGTTTGTTCAAGCTCCTGCCTTAGTTTACTTATTCCTTTCTTATTATAACGAATTCTGCACTGTTTGTATGTGTTTTTAATTTACATAAATGCTGTCTTTTATCGACTTTACACTTTTTACTTTTTAAAATTAGGACGAGTTTTAAACATCTACTCATTTTCCTTTGTGTATCTGTAGTCTTTTGCTTCTAACCAGTGCTTTTGTTCCACAGTCTGAATTCATCATATTTTACCTATTCTCACTTTCAGTGGTGGCCACCCAAATCCTTTCACCTTCCCTGTATCACAAACGATGCTGTAATGAGCAGCCTTGTATACATCCTTTACGGACCTGTGTGAGAATTTCTGTGGGATGTGAACATCCAAGATCAGAATTCTGGGGTTGGAAAGCGATGGTGTGCTTATTTAGCCAGATCCTGGCTGTTGCTCCCTCGAATGGCTGCACTGACTGTGTGTTCATCACAGTGCAAGAGTCTTTGTAGCCCCATGTCCCCAACAACACTGGGCATGTTTTGATCAGTTGAGTAGCTTCAAAGCGGTATTACACTGCTGTTTAATTTTCATTTCTCTGGTTACTAGTGGGTTGAGGATCTCAGTAAATTTGTTGTCATGTGATTATTCACATTGCCTATCATGCCTTTGTCTACTTTTCTGTTGAGTTACTCTCATTTTCCTGTTGCCTTGCAAAACTTTCTTGTATCCTTGCAAAACTTTCTTGTTGCCTTGCAAAAGCCTAGGTGGAAGGATGGCTTGAGCCAAGGAGGTTGAGGCTGCTGTGAGCCAGGATCATGTCACTGTACTCCAGCCTGGGTGACAGAATGAGACCCTATCTCAAAAAGAAAAAGAAAAAGAAGAGAAAGAGTAGATACAGTTTGCTGCACCCTTAGGTGATCTTTTTGAGTTGCAAATCTGGCCCTGTCACTTGTATAATCTCAATGTTAGTTATCTGTAAGTTTTAGATATTGAAAACATTGTCTCCTAGTAATCTGAACAGAAATGTGTAACAATTTTGCCACACATTAATTCTTCTATATTATCTTAACAGCTTTATTTTCCATCCTGAGTCTGTTTTTTAGTCTAATGATATTGAGTAGATACTTAATTATGTCAGTCTATTATGTCAGTTTTTAAACTCCAATGTTCATCTTTTCTTGATTTATGCTACCAACTTCATTATGTATTACGTTCTTATAAGTAGATGAGTCTGTTTCTGACGCTTGCCCTCTGTTCTGTTCTACTTGTCCATTTAAATGTTCTTGCTTGAAATTGTTTCTATGACAGTGGCTTTGTAGTACATCCATGGATTTGGTTGGGACACTCCCTCCCCTACTTCTACTTTTCTCCTCTTTCTCAACGTTTATTTAGTTATTTGTGGACCTTTATTTTTCCATGTAGATTATAGAGGTTTTCAGAGATCCTCAGAAAACCCAACTGAAATCTTACTTGAGGTTAATTTGGGGGAGAATTGAGATTTTATGATAATAAACCACCCTTCCCAAAAGTATAGACTGTCTCCCCAATTATTCTTCTCATCTTATATGTTCTTTAGACTAATTTAAAACTTTTTCTTTATTTTTTTATTAAATAAGGTTATCAATACTTTATAGATTTTTATGCTATTGTGAATTAGATCTTATTTTTGAATTCTGTTTTTCTAGTGAGTTTTCCTTGTCTAGAGAAATGTTCTTGATTTTAATTTATTCGCTATGCTGTGTTTCTCAAGAGCAGAGGCTGCATCTTTCGTCTCTGTATTCCCAGTGTTTAAAACATTGCATGGTAAGTGATCAATGAATGTTTGTTTGTTGAATGAATGAATGAATGAGCAGGATACATAAAGCAGAATGGGCTGCTATGATATTTGGGTCCATATAGAGGCTTCATGGCAACATCCACGACAGTTCCAGTAGACACCCCACCACAAGGACCAAGGGAAGGGGCAGCCAATTCCTTTACATGGCTATCTTCCTCGGTGTGATCAATTAATTCCCCAAAGTGGCTCAATTAGCCTTAGTTGGTACCCTCCCCAGTTTTCCTCAGACCACATAGATGTTTTTGAACATAGCTTTTTGCTATTTACTATGGCTTCTTCTGGACACCCACTCTTAGCTCAAATTTACACATGCATTTTGGAAGCCTTCACTGCCAGAGTGGTGGTCAGACTAAAAAGCTTGACTTGGGTCTCCAAGCCATAGTTATGAAGTACCATAGGATTGGTTGTCTTCCTGGTACTTTCTTCTCCTCAGAAATGAAGCAAGCACTTAGACCTCTTAACTGCTGATGAGCTGAGCTTGGATCCCTAAAAGCGGAAAAGAGAATTTGAATACCAAGACCCAGCTACCCTTAGGACTGGAGCAAGATTGGACACAGGTATAGGTGCTCTTGGTAATGTTAGACAAAGGCAAAGGCAACACACAAGGAAAGTTAGGCTTTTAAAATGACAGTTCATTTATTTTACAAAAATTGTACTGAGTGCAATATAAAGGCCTTTCACAGTCTGACTCCTGCCTTCATTCCCAGGCTTCCCCTTGGTCACTATCTTTTTCTGTCTCTACCATACATGCTTTGTGCTCAAGCCATACCTGATTGTTTGTCAAACCATTATATGCCAGTTCTTTTTTTATTCCTGGATCTTGCTAGACAGTATTCTCTGTGTCTAAAATGCTCTTCCTACCTTTCTCTGTCTATTTATCAAACCTCTATTAATTCTTTTCAATGATGAATTCATGTTACCTTATCTCTGAAACTTTTCCTGACTTCTCCAAGTAGAATGGTTATCTTTCATTCTGTGGCACCTTAACGTATTCAGTATAGCCTTCTGTTAGTACATTTTTAATGCTGTGATATTGTAACTAATTTATTTTTATTTTCTTGTCTGCTTATTTTCCATTGCAAGCTTCTTAAGATTTGGGACCATACATTCTCTATCTTTGTGACTGAAAGCTGAGCATAGCTTCTAGTATGCAGTAGGTGATCAGTTAGCAAATAATTGATTAAGTTGAACAAATAATTGAGTAAGTTCACCATGAAGAGAATGAGATTTTGATCCTATACTGGTCATGTGGTTCTAGAAAAGCAACTAATCTTTCTATTCATCTGTAAAATAAATTTATATATGTATTTGCTGAATTGTGAAGATGTTATATTAGTCATCTTGGGTTGCTGTAACCAAATCCCATAGGCTGGTTGGCTCAAACAACAGACGCTTATTTCTCACAGTTCTGGAGGCTAGTAAGTCCAAGATCAAGATGCCAATAGATTTGACTCATGATGGGGGCTCTCTTCCTGGCTTGCAGATGGCTGCCTTCTCATATTCTGCAGAGAGAAAGGTCTGGTGTCTCTTCCTCTAGTTATAAGGGCACTAATCCCATCAAGGGGGATCTACCCTCCTGACCTCATCTAAGCACAATTATTTTCCAAATGCCCCACCTCCCAATACCATTGCATTGAGGTTAGAGCTTCCTATGTGAATGGGAGGGTGGAGGAAAGAACACGAACATTCAGTTTATTACATATCTTATAAAATATTATGAATCTGGTTAAAGTATTTTCAAAGAAATGTTTTAACTATGGAGACCAGATGAGTGAACAATGAACCTTGCCATAAATATGACAGCAGAGAAAAAATGACTATCCTTGATATGGTTTGGCTATGTCCCCACCCAAATCTCAACTTGAATTGTGTCTCCCAGAATTCCCACATGTTATGGGAGGGACCCACGGGGAGGTAATTGAATCTGAAATGCTCTTCCTATCTTTCTATGCTTATTTATCAGTCCTCTGCTAATTCTTTTCAATGATTGATTCAATGATGAATTCCCATGCTATTCTCATGATAGTGAATTAAGTCTCACGAGATCTGATGGGTTTATCAGGGGTTTGCACCTTTACTTCTCTCTCGTTTTCTCTTGCCACTGCCATGTAAGAAGTGCCTTTTGCCTCCCACCATGATTCTGAGGCCTCCCCAGCCATGTGCAACTGTAAGTCCAGTTAAACCTCTTTTTCTTCCCAGTCTTGGATATGTCTTTATCAGCAGTATGAAAACTGACTAATACAGTAAATTGGTACCAGTGGAGTGGGGCGCTGCTGAAAAGATACCTGAAAATGTGGAAGCGACTTTGGAACTGGGTAACAGGCAGAGGTTGAAACAGTTTGGAGGGCTCAGAAGAAGACAAGAAAATGTGGGAAAGTTTGGAGCTTCCTAAAGACTTGTTGAATGGCTTTGACAAAAATGCTGATACTGCTATGGACAATAAGGTCCAGGCTGAGGGGGTCTCAGATGGAGATGAGGAACTTGTAGGGAACTGGAACAAAGATGACTGTTGTTATGTTTTAGCAAAGAGACTGGTGGCATTTTGCCCCTACCATAGAGATTTGTGGAACTTTGATCTTGAGAGAGATGATTTAGGGTATCTGGCTGAAGAAATTTCTAAGCAGCAAAGCATTCAAGAGGTGATTTGGGTGCTGTTAAAAGCATTTCATTTTAAAAGGGAAACAGCATAAAAATTTGGAAAATTTGCAGCCAGTTGATGCAGCAGAAGAGAGAAACCTGTTTTTTGAGGAGAAATTCAAGCTGGCTGCAGAAATTTGCATAAGTTACAGGGAGCTGAATGTTAATCTCCAAGACAATGGGGAAAATGTCTCCAGGGCATGTCACAGGTCTTCATGGCAGCCCCTCCCATCACAGACCCTGAAGACTAGGAGGAAAAAATGGTTTTGTGGGCCAGGCCCAGGGTCCCCATGCTGTGTGCAGCCTAGGGACTTGGTGCCCTGCATCCCAGCTGCTCCAGCCATTGCTAAAAGGGCCGAGGTACAGGTCTGCCCGTGGTTTCAGAGGGTGCAAGCCCCAAACCTTGGCAGCTTCCATGTGGTGTTGAGCCTGCAGGTGCATGGAAGTCAAGAATTGAGGTTTGGGAACCTCCATCTAGATTTCAGAAGATGTATGGAATCACCTGGATGCTCAGGCAAAAGTTTGCTCCAGGGGCAGAGCCTTCATGGAGAACCTCTGCTAGGGCAGTGTGAAGGGAAATGTGGGGTTGGAGCCCCCACACAGAATCCCTACTGGGGCACCACCTAGTGGAGCTGTGCAAAGAAGGCCACCGTCCTTCAGACCCCAGAATGGTAGATCCACCGACAGCTTGTACCGTGCACCTGGAAAAGCCACAGACCCTAAACGCCAGCCCGTGAAAGCAGCCAGGAGTGGGGACTATACCCTGTGAAGCCACAGGGGCAGAGCTGCCCAAGACTAAGGGAACCTACCTCTTGCATCATTGTGACCTGGATGTGAGACATGGAGTCAGAGGAGATCATTTTGGAACGTTATAATTGGACTGCCTCGCTGGATTTTGGACTTGCATGGGGCTTGTAACGCCTTTGTTGTGGGCAGTTTCTCCCATTTGGAATGGCTGTATTTACCCATTACCTGTATCCCCATTGTATGTAGGAAGTAACTAGCTTGCTTTTGATTTTACAGGATCATGGGTAGAAGGGACTTGCCTTGTTTCAGATGAGACTTTGGACTACGGACTTTTGGGTTAATGCTGAGATGAGTTAAGACTTTGGGGGACTGTTTGGAAGGCATGATTGGTTTTGAAATGTGAGAACATGAGATTTGGAGGGGCCAGGGGCAGAATGATATGGTTTGGCTGTGCCCCCACCCAAATCTCAACTTGAATTGTTATCTCCCAGAATTCCCAGGTGTTGTGGGAGGGACCCAGGGGGAGGTAATTGAATCATGGGGGCCGGTCTTTCCCATGCTATTTTTGTGATAGTGAATAAGTCTCAGGAGATCTGATGGGTTTATCAGGAGTTTCTGCTTTTGTTTCTCTCTCATTGTCTCTTGCCGCTGCCATATAAGAAGTACCTTTTGCCTCCCACTGTGATTCTGAGGCCTCCCCAGCCATGTGCAACTGTAAGTCCAATGAAACCTCTTTTTCTCCTCAGTTTTGGGTATGTCTTTATCAGCAGCGTGAAAATGGACTAATACGATCACCCTCTTCTTTGTTCTCCTTTCTATTTCATCGCTAATTTTTTTTGGCATTTGGAGGGTGCTATACATTGCAAAAGTTGGGGACTCACTAATTCCACTGCTCACTGTATATCAAGGTAATCTGTCAGGGGTTTGGTTTTATATAAGAAACAAATGAGTCCCCAGAACATACAAGTTAAGATTATTCAATCAAGGGAGGCAGTCATTACCCTTTAACCTCTGAAAGAAAACTGCAAGTAGGCATCAAACTAACCCTGAGATGGGAGAGAGTAGAAGTTCCCACACCCAGTGAATTGTAGGACATTAGGTAATTATTGGTGGGAAGTAAATTTGAGTGGGGAACTGAATTTCAACTGACTTTTATCCTTGAAGATGGTGCTTCTATTTTCTCAAATTAGAAGGTTATGAAAATTGCATCTGAACAACAAGTTGTATTAGCATAAGTTCTAGAAGAAACTGAGAAAGCAAGGCTAGTCTGAGGAAAATTTATACCGCTCACATTTCCCTTCTGAATTGGAGAATAGAATTGAATAGCAAAATTGTAACCTACCTTTCAAAGATGCATTTTATAGTGAAGTATATTTTGTGAACTTTTATATCTTCTATTCTTATTTTTCTATTGCCCTATTTTAAAATCTATCTTGAATTTATTAAATGTATATGTCTCTGTTTATATATTTATGAGTAATATGGTAGTCTTTTTGGTATCAGATGAGAACCCAACACACACAAATACATACTGACACATACAAAGATGTTTATACTGCCTCTTACATCTGTCGGAAGAGAGAGGGTTCCAAGAATTCCTGTGATGAGGGCTTAAAGCCAAATATTTTTGTTATCATTTTATACATATATATTTTATTTTTTTTCTATTTGGGAGAAGCTAGAAAACACACATTACTTTTTTTTGTATCTTTTCTGTTTTAGACTAAAATCTGCTGCTATTCAAAGAATAAATTGTATCTTTGTGTATTCTGATAGACATAATAAGTAAGTTGTGTAAGTTATAAGTATGTATAAGTAAGTTGTATCTTTGTGTACTCTTCTTCTGATAGACATAATAATATAAGACAAACCCAATAACAGCATGCTGTTTATTTTGAACACAGAAATGTCTTTAGTTCAGCCTAACTCTGTCCTTCCTTTTTGCTGATAGAAAGTCTTCGGCCTCATCCCTCGTCTCACGTCCTTGATGCCTATTTCTTGAGGTGTTCCATCCACTGTCAAAGTCCCCAGTCAGTGATTGTTCTTAGGTATGAGTATTCTTTTCCATCCTAATCCATGTTATCCCACTTATCTTCCAAAAGGCATCCTCTACTCCTAGAGCAGCACAACAGGTTTCCTTCTCTACTCTTGATGGTGAGCCCAGAGTACCCTGTTGTCTCTGTGGCCCTAGGCTTCCACTTACCCTGCCCTTACCTCTGTGGCAGTGGAGAGGATATGGTAGCAAAAGAGAGCAGGAGTGATCCACCATGTCCAGTCATCCTAGGGGATTGGTTCCAAGGACCCTTCCCACCCCCTGCAGATACCAAAATCCCCAGATGCTCAAGTCTCTGACATAAAATGGCTTAGTCTTTGCCTATAACCTATGCACATCCTCCTGTACACTTTAAGACATCTCTAGATTAATAGCTAGTACAATGTAAATCCTATGAAAATAGTCGTTATACTGTGTTGTTTAGGGAACGATAACAAGAAAAAAAGTCTACATTTTCAGTACAGACACAACCATCCATTTTTTTTCCTGAATTTTTTGATCCATTGTTGGTTGAAGCTACGATGTGGAGCCTGTGGATAAGGAGGGCTGACTGTACAGCTATGTCACATTTTTGACTGCCAAGGCACAGAGGCACAGAATAAAATAGAGAAAAATGGAGACAAGAATAAAGATGAGACCGGTGTAGTGGCTCACGCCTGTAATCTCAGCACTTTGGGAGGTGGAGGCGGAAGGACTGCTTGAGCCCGGGAGTTCAAGACCAGCTTGGGAAACATAGTGGGACCCTATCTCTATTTAAAATTTTTTTTTTCTTTTTGAGACAGAGTCTCGCTCTGTCACCCAGGCTGGAGTGCAGTGGTGTGATCTCAGCACACTGCAACCTCCACCTCCCAGGTTCAAGCGATTCTCCTGTCGCAGCCTCCCGAGTAGCTGGGACTATAGATGCCCACCACCACTCCCGGCTAATTTTTGTGTTTTTAGTAGAGGTGGGGTTTCACCATGTTGGCCAGGCTGATCGCAAACTCCTGATCTCAAATGTTCCACCCACCTTGGCCTCCCAAAGTGCTGGGATTACAGGTATGAGCCATCACGCCTGGACAGAAAAAATTTTTTTAAAGAATAAAGATGAATAGGAAGGGAGGTGCCATTCACTTCAGCAGAGACATCCTTCTATTTCCCTTGTGATGCAAATATTCCCACCTCTATGACTCTGTCAGGAGAGGGATACTGAAGATGTTAAAGTCATTAAAACAAGATATTAAAAAAAATCAGAACAGTTTAATCCTGTCCTGGTAGAGATGATCAAACAACTCCAAAGAGGTGATGACTTAACATATTTCTAGGTCCAAGTAGTGGCCAACCGGGGCCAGCATCCTCCCAGTCACCCAGGCTGCCAACCAAGGTGGCTGAATACTTGCTTGAGATTGCCAGCATTTGTGATATCATCACTGTGCATAATTTCAAGGTAGGATCCTCATTGCTGTGGGCTATAAAATGGACTCTGCCCACCACACCCCCCCCGCCAACACTTGGCACACTTAGATGGAAATGGAAAAATGGTATTCTAAAACATTCTGTTGCATTATTATTTGTACCCCTAGGCAGGTGTGATTCATGTGGGACAGAGTGGCAAGGAAAGGCTCTATTGAAGGGGCGAGCCTTGAGCTGCCCCTGGGTGGAAGTGTGGGTGGCCATGGGAGCTGCATTTCCATGGTGGTGGGAGCTCTGGGCCACTCCTCAATCCCATGTCTGACACACACACACACACACACACACACACACACACACACACACACACAAACAAACACACACACACCCACTCCTGATAGTAGGAAGAGCAGTATTTTGGACAAAGAGGAGGCTGAAGGCTGCATGACGCCTTGAGACATCAACTCAGGTATGTGTGGAGGTGGCGGAAAGTATTATTACCTGGAACAATCTTCACCCTTTAGGCCTAAATCAACCTCCACCTCCACCGGGACGTTTTTGCACAATGTGTTTCTTTGACAGACTCACCAGAGCGTATGCACATTTGGTTCTCCATTAGAAACATATTTTGTATTTCTAGTTCCTAAAGGAAATGTGAGTTTTGTACTTAGCAGAAGCTATAGCACCATCTTGTGGAAATAAATGCATTGGATCACAAGCTTGCTCTGAAAATTTTAGTCATCTTAAAAAAAAAAGTAAATCTTGATATGACTTCATAGCTCTAAATCACTCCTGGAATGCACCATCTATTAGTAGCAAAAGACTTCTCATATATTGTAATTGTATGAGGGTGGAGTTAGCATTCTCCACCAGCTGCAGCTTTCTTTCTGTTTTGCTTTCGAGGTAGGGTCTTACTCTGTCCCCCAGGCTGGAGTGCAGTGGTGTGATCATAGCTCAATACAGTCTTGAAGTCCCAGGCTCAAGCAATTCTCCTGCATCAGTCTCCCGAGTAGCATAGTGTGCCACTATACCCAGCTAATTTTTTGTAGAGATGGGGTCTCTCTATGCTGCCCAGGCTGGCACTGGCAACTTTCTTCTTTTTAGAATAATTACCGTACTTAGGATCCAATATTCTTCCCATCTCACTTGTTTTAGAATGTGTGTCCTCAGGTTTGGATTTTAATCATGTCCCAAGGGATCTTGCCTTCTAAATAAAGGAACACTCACTGGGTACCAATGTTCTTTTCTGTCTCCTCTGGTGAATCAGACACTTCTCTTCTTAATAGAGTTCATTGATAAAGGGCTTGGGAAAAGGAGGTCCCTTCATTATTGAGAATCTAAAGCATTGGATTGGGAGCCCACAGAAGAACTGGAACAGAGGCTGAGGCAGGAGGATCACTTGAGCCCAGGAGTTCGAGGTTGTAATGAACTGTAATCGCACCACTACACTCCAGCCTGGGTGACGGAGTGAGACCCCATCTCAAAAAAAAAAAAAAGTCCCTGGAAAAGGTTTTATTTAGAATCACGAAATCATTGAATCATTTAATAAATAATGAGTCTTTTTAATGTAAGTAGTATACCCTCCAGTGGAGGGGAAAAAATGCCCAATGTTCTCAACCTTTCTTATCCCTAGTTTGATCTGCATCAAACGTGGAATTGATGTAAAGCTTTGGGGCTTCACCAGGCTTCCCTCTGAACAGTCTCAGGCTTGATTAGAATTTAAGGCTGGTGTGAATTTTGCAAATTTTAAAGATCTATGTTTATCTTCAAGACATATTTTGAAAAAATTACACATTGACATCCTTCAAAAAAGCTAAAAGCACAGAAGTAAATGTCTGCCTCCACATGTTTCCCAGCTATCCAATTATCTTCTCTCAAGGCACCAATATTACAAGTTGTTTGTGAAATGCTTCCAAAAATATTTTGCACTTACAGGAAATATATTACATCAATGATAGTCCACAAAATATTTCAAAACTTGCATTTTTCATTTAAAAATATAGGTTGAAGATTGTTCTATATTAGCACATAGTTTCCTTATTTATTTTTCAGCTGTACAAGATTTTATTGAATGGGTGTAGTCTCCTGCTGAGGTTTTTCCCAGTAGTTTGGCAGTACAAACAATGCTGCAGTGAATAACCTTTACATCTGTTGCATAGCACACATGCTAGTCTACCTGTGGGCTATATTCCTGGAAGTAGAATTGCTGTGTCAAATGGTGCATTTGTAATTGTGGGAGACTTTGGCAAACTTTTCTCCATGCAGGTCATTTATACCAAATTACAGCAATGTATGACACTCCATGCCTCACTAACTGTATGTTTTTAAAACTTTTTTTTTTTCTGAGACAGGGTCTCACTCTGTTGCCCAGGCTGGAGTGCAATGGCGTGATTACAGCTCACTGCAGCTTCGACTTCCCAGGCTCAAGTAATCCTGCCACCTCAGCCTCCCACAGGAATGCACCACTATGCATGGCTGATTTTTTACTTTTTGTAGACAGAGTCTCCCTATGTTGCCCAAGGTAGTCTTGAACTCCTGGGCTCAAGTGATCCTCCCACCTCAGCCTCCCAAAGTGCTGATATTACAGGCATGAGCCACCACACCCAGCCTTTAAAACTTTTTGACTTTGCTAATGTAATAGGTGAAATATTATATTTCAGTGGTTACTGTTGTCATTTTTGCAGTGTTCCTTTTATGAATTTGGTTATAGGAACTCAAATTTTTCATGAGGCCTGGTCACCTAGTCAGTTATCTTTCTCCAGAGCTATTTTGGCAAATACATTGATTTTTTTAAAATTAAGTTTTATGAATAGATATAAATGACTCAGATTTCAATCAGCTTTCAAAAATATTTTTTTTGTATTCTCCCTTTCCTACTTGTCCCCAGTAGTGGATTTACCATGAAGCTAGCAAAGCTTAAGCTTAGAACCCCTTCCAAGAGTCCCTTCCAAAGCTCTGAACTAATTTTGTATTCATACATTCACATTCTGTTTCTTAAAGAAGCTGCCCCAAATTGTATAAGCTTCAGGCCTAGATATGCCGCTGCTTGTCACCGTCTTCCCTGTTTTCAACCTCTCTCTTCCTAGTTTCTTCTGTATTCCTCTAGAATGACTTTATGCATATGTAAGCACATCTAGTTAGAGTTTATCCACCCCCTTCCTTTTTTCTTGCTTTTCTGAATGGGTCTTGGAGATTTTTCAATGTAAGATCTAGAGACCATCCATATTGTTTACTGTTGGTTGATAATTTTATGGTATTCCATTGTATGAAGATACTGGTCTTTACTTAATCAGTCCTGTATTGGTGGAACTTAGTGGACATTTGTTTTGTTTGTTTTTTGCATTAAGAAAAGCTCCTGGCAGGTTTCAGAGACTTAAATGACAGCTAAAAATCTGGTGGGATTACAGGTTTCAGAAGTGACAAGGTTTAAAATAGATGAAATTGTTGGGGGAGCCCTAGCCTCCCTTCCTGCACACCCTCTTCAGGTATCTAGGACTCGAAGTCTTATCAAAACAGGACACTTATTACCTGCTAGTCACAACCTATCTATATGAACATATACATCGGCGTGGGAAGTTTGTCTGTGATTGTGAAACAAGATTGTCTTGCTAAAGACATTCTGAATATGTGAAGGCAGGAGGGAGAGATAATTGTAAGGCTTTGAGTGCCTCTAAAATCCTACTGGATAGTTGTTGGCTTCAAAAAAAGGCAGATAGCTTCTGAGGTCATAGTATTCCATCAGTGGCATTGCTACAGCCTGCTAACTGACTTTCATTGCCCACACGCTAACATTTTGTTCTGCTGTATCTGATGGGGAAGGGTTGAGCCACGCAGGCATGGAGTGCTAGATGTCTTCTGCATGCCAGAAGAGTTCATTACTTAGTATTTTAACCCTTCATTTACCTGATTTTATTTATTTATTTATTTTTGAGACGGAATCTCCCTCTGCCACCCAGGCTGGAGTGCAATGGTGCAATCTCGGCTCACTGCAACCTCTGCCTCCCGGGTTCAAGTGATAATTCTGCCTCAGCCTCCCGAGTAGCTGGTTTTACAGGCATGCGCCATGACGCCCGGCTAATTTTTGTATTTTTAGTAGAGATGGGGTTTCACCATGTTGGCAAGGCTGGTCTCGAAGTCCTGCCCTCAAGTGATCCACCCGCCTTGGCCTCCCGAAGTGCTGGGATTGCAGGCATGAGCCACTGCACCTGGCCTTTCATCCACCTTAGTCATCACTTCCTTTCTTCTCTTCCAGTTCAATGCAAACACCATGGGAAACACATTTGGGATAGCTGGAAATTCAGCCTGTTTATTCTCTCTACCCCCTTAAAGCATGGAATGGCTGATCTCCTATCACAACCCACTTTTTGAGAAGAAAGGATCATACACCTGTCTGATTTGGTTACCTCAAATCCAGTCCTATTGCCCAGTATTACCTTTTGTTCATATGTCCTTGTTTGGCTCTTTCCTAGAACTGCCTTCCCTGGGACTAAATTGTAGTGGGTTTTAGTTTAAGATACCACATTAAATTTTTTAAAACACTTTTAATATTTGTGGGTACATAGTAGGTGTATATCCTTTACCTCTTTTATAAGGGATCAGGTAAATAATACATAGAGAAAGTAAGGAAGGAGAAAACAAAGGTGAGAGAAGAGAATAGATGGATCTCAATGCTTCATGATTAAGAATAACTTTTAGTACTTCTTTTCAGCTTACAAAGTGCTGTGTATATTACCTTTTGTGAAGCTCACATTTCCTTGAAATAAATGGGGTGGTGTCTTATCACCATTTTACAGACAGGGAAGGAAAATAAGGATAAGGCTGATCATGGCGCACCTGAATCCAGGTTTATAGGATTTCCCAACATCTTGAGACTTGATGGTTCAGGGTTGACTTTGTCTGGGTCCCTCAGAAGGTAATCAGGGCAGTAGCAGTTTCAGAATGTTTGTACTGAAATGGGGGCTAGGGGATTTGTCTTGAAGCTCTATTTGGATTGTATTTCAGATAAAATTGAAAAAAAATCTACTGTCTGATAAAATTGAAAAAAATTCAGGTAAAATTGAAATATTCAGATAAAATTGAAAAAAAATTCTATGGAGGTGCTGATGATGGAGATCTGTGGAGGAGTCCCAAGTCTCTTGGTCCCTCTACTTCTTTTGAGTTTTACTATTGTCCTGAAGAGGCAGAGAGCTAGAAACTCAGAACCTCTGATTCCCTGTGGCACAGGCTGCTAGATGTTTATCAGAATTGTTCCTCTTATGCCTGGGTATACAGACCACATTTCTCAGAATCACTTGCATTTTTTATTGCCATGGTGACCAAATCTTAGCCAATGGGATGTGAGCAGAAATAAAGAGTCCACTTTTGGGCCAGGTCACTGAAACTTTCATGCTTTGTCTCCCTCCAACACACATGACAATAATGGGAACCATGTGGAAATGAGGGCAGATCCATGAGGTGTAAGGACCCTGGGTCCCTGAATCACCAATTGATGGCGTGATGTCTGCTGGTCAGGAAAACCTCCTCTGAACAAGGAATGAACATTGGTTTACTGTAAAATTTTCAAATAATGCAATATTCTTTCCCATGGTTCAGTCTACATTTTGAGAGGTCTCTTCTTTAAGTCTTTAATGTGTATTATTTTAAACATTTTCCCATGCTTTAGTATATGTCTCTATATATATTCTCACACATACACATATCTATAGGTTTTTAAGTGAATGAGAAAGCACAGTATCAATATACTTTGTTTCCTCACTTCACATTTTGTGAAAATTTTGCTTATGGTAATATTAGTTTATATGTTAACTGTACATTAATATCTAATTAGATGTTAATATACTAGTAAAACTTATTTATATTAAGAGTTGCATATTTCATTGTATATATTTGCAATGTTTTATTTAATAACCTCACTATTGATATTAGGTTATTTATCAATTTACAAGTATTGCTTCTGCTTAAAATATATGTACATGTATATATTTATGCATATGGGAATATTTCTGTAGGATATGTTCTTAGAATTGAAATTGCTGCATCAAAAGGTATGCACATTTTATTTTTTGAGGCCAGGCACAGTGGCTCATGCCTGTAATCCCAGCACTTTGGGAGACTGAGGAGGGAGGATCACTTGAGCCCAGGAATTCAATACCAGCCTAAGCAATATAGACCCCATCTCTACCAACCAACAACAACAAAATTAGCCAGGCATGGTGGCTTGCACCTGTAGTTCCAGCTACTCTGGAGGCTGAGGTCGGAGGCTGTTTTCAGCTCAGGAGTCCGAGGCTGCAGTGAGCTGTGATTGCGTCACTGTACTCCAGCCTGGGCAACAGAGTGAAACCCTGTCTCTGAAAAATCAAAACAAAACTAACAATTTAGTTTTTGAAGAGACATGACCAAATTTCCCCAAAATCTATTAAGACTGTGGGGAAGTATCCACTTGCCTACATGCTTAGCGATGCTAGAAAGTATCCATCTTTTAATTTTTGTCCATCTAATGGGTGAAAAATGGTATCTTGTGCTTTAAAATTTATTACTTACTAGAGGAACTATACATCTTTCATTACATTTATTATTCTCTGTCACTTGTTCTACTGTAAATAGTTTATCTGTCTCTACTTGTATCTATGTGTTTTTTTCCAATAAAAAACTGGTTTGTGTATTACTATTTTGCTTGTTATATATATTGGGGACTACGTTAGCTATATTTTAATCATTTTCTTAAAGCTGATTTTCTTTTCTTTGTGTGTGGTAAAGATGGTGGACTTTTTAAACGTTTTATTTTTTTCTGCCGGCTGCAGTGGCTCATGCCTATAATCCCAGCACTTTGGGAGGCTGAGGCGGGTGGATCACCTGAGGTCAGGCATTCAACACCAGCCTGGACAACATGGTGAAACCCTGTCTCTATTAAAAATGCAAAAAATTAGGCAGGCATGGTGGTGGCCGCCTGTAATTCCAGCTACTCAGGAGCCTGAGGCAGGAGAAGCCCTTGAATCGGGAGGTGGATGTTGCAGTGAGCTGAGATTGTGCCATTGCACTCCAGCCTGGGCGACAAGAGCAAAACTCCATCTCAAAAATAAATAAATAAATAAATAAAATTAAGTAAAATAAGTGTTTTATTTTTTAATTGACAAAATTGTATAGATTTACCATGTAGAAAATGATATTTTGAAATGTATGTACATTGTGGAATGACTAAATTGGGCAAATTACCATATGAATTATCTAACACCCTTGTCATTTTTATGGTGAGAACACTTAAAATCTACTCTGTCAACATTTTTCACAATACAATCTATTGTTATTAGCTATCATCACCAAGTTGTACAATAGATCTCAAGGCTGATTTTCTTGATCCTTACTTAACTGTTCACAGAAAAAGATTCTGTAAGTCCAGGATAGAGGGAGGCCATATGACCCAGTGGTTATGGAGTCAGGCTCACCTGGATTAGAGTCCAAGTTATGTCAGATACTTGCTGTGTGACCATAGAAAAGTTTCTTACTATCTCTGAACCTCTATCTCTTCTTTTGTAATAATAATAATAAAAGTACTAGAATTGTTATGAAGTTGAGACATGATAATGATGCATGTACCTTAGCACAATGCCTGACATTTCATAAGCTCTCAGCAAATACTAGCTCTTAAAAGTATATCTACAATGTGGGTAATATGGGTACAAAACTAGATATTTATGTTTTAGTCTAGTTCCTAGAACCATTCCCAATCAAAGTTATTCCTAGTAATATTCTTTCCTTAAGGTGGGCATTTCGTGTTACCTTTTAGCCAGTCTTATGAAATTTCTATTTCCCAGAGCACTAAAATAGTCAACTAATTAATTACTTCAGTATGTACTATTTTTTTTCCTTTTTTGAAACAGAGTCTCCCTCTGTCACCCAGGCTGGAGTGCAGTGGCATGATCCTGGCTCACTGCAACCTCTGCCTTCCAGGATCAAGCGATTCTTGTGCCCCAGCCTCCCAAGTAGCTGGAATTACAGGCGCATGCCACCATGCCTGGCTGGTTTTTGTATTTTTAGTAGAGAAAAGGTTCATCATATTCGCCAGGCTGGTCTCAAACTCCTGGCCTCAAGTGATCCTCCTGCCTCGGCCTCCCAAAGTGCTAGGATTACAGGCATGAGCCATCGTGCCTGGCCAGTACGTATTTTTGGGGTTCTACTGTATTTAAGGTCAGAGAGATTCAGTTAGCCTCAGAAGTCCATTTCATTTTCTCTGTATGGAATTTATTTTATACTCCTTTGACAAAAGTGAAAATCCAAATTAATATGAAATGTGAAGAAACTAATAAAGACAGGGAATTAGAAAACAAGAGGTGACCTTAAAGTTTTTCTAGTTCAATTCTTTATTTTATATGTGTGGAAATGGAAGTCCAGAGGAGTTAAGCAACTTTTCTGAGGTCACACAGTGTGTAAGTGAGGGAATTGTCGTGACAGCCCAGACATTCTCATGCTGAGGCAGTATTCTGTTGACCAAATCATACCGTGTTCAAGGATTCACTTCTTCTTTTGGCACAACATGATTTCAAAAATTAAAAACAGAGAAACACAGCTTGGAAAAACACAGATAAAAATGAGCCAATGCTATTTAAAATTTATGAAGAAAGCAAGGGATGTAAGACACTTCTCTGCTGGCTGCGAAAACATGAGAGCTGTGAAGTCCAGTGAGACAGCATTCCAAATGTCTTTCCTTTTTGTCTATTCTCAAGAACCTGTATTTAACAATGGTACTCTACACTCACAGCCAACAGTAAACACCAGTCCTACAGGTCGGCAGTTGGCAATCCCTGGTCCACGTGCCAAAGATGCTGCAGGTGCCAATCTCAGGCGGCAAGGAAACTGACTACAACACACAAATTCCCATCCCTTTCATTCCCAGTAGTTATTGCCTACAGTTGTCTCCACCCTCTTGCCAGAGTTTTCAAGATCAACACCCTGACATGACTTCCTGTGTAGCACCAGTACCATCCTGGCCTTCTGGAATCACAGTTTCAGTCATTTGGCACACTTCTGTGAGAAGGCAATCGCCATGGACTCCTACGATAAAACATAAATAAGTATTCCCAGCATTTTTAATAGTAAATGCTAAATTTCAACCCTAAATTGTTTCTTTTCTTCTCTGTGATCCTAGAGCAATAGGATATTCTTGATTATTAATATCTACTGCATAAGAATATGCCAAAAGGATGAATTGGACAAACCAAATGCACAAGATATCCAAACTTAAAAGAATAGGCCAGGCACGGTGGCTCGCGCCTGTGTTCCCAGCACTTTGGGAGGCCGAGGCGGGTGGATCACCTGAGGTCAGGAGTTCGAGACCAGCCTGGCCAACATGGGGAAACCCCCTCTCTACTAAAAATACAAAATTAGCCAGGCATGGTGGCCCACGCCTGTAGTCCCAGCTACTCAGGAGGCTGAGGCAGGGGAATCACTTAAACCTGGGAGACAGAAGTTGCAGTGAGCCAACAACTGCACTCCAGACTGGGCAACAGAAGAAGACTCCTTCTCAAATAAATAAATAAGTAAATAAATAAATAAATAAATAAATAAATAAAAAGAATAAAGGGTAACACATCCCTAGGCCTATATGATGTGAGTAGAAATTTGAACACAACCACTCATTTGTTCATTTAGTCAAAGTTTATTGTGTGTCTACTATGAACAGGCCTGTTGCCAACCATTCAGGAGATGAATATCAGGAGGTCCTCTGCAAGAGAGTGGCTCAGAATTTATTTACAGTCAGACTGCCTGGTCTTGATTCATGTTTCTACCACTGAATGATTTGGCGACCTTGAATAAATTAATTAATTACACTAAACTTTATTTCCCCCCCTTTAATGTTAGGATAGTATTAGTACCTACTCCACATATTTGATGTAAGAATTTTTCTAAAGCATTTTATGCAGTGCCAACCACATAGTAAGTGCTCAATAATTATCAGCTACAATTAAATTTCTACTGTAGTATAACCTAAAATTAGAGGGATTTAAAGAAGTTTAGAAATCAGAAGATGGCTCAACACTGAAAATTTGGAAATGGGGTCAACAGATAAAGTGTCCTCTATGTATTCCGTATGTTTTTTGTGAGTACTCACTCTGTGCTAGGAATGTATAGGTGTAAAGAGATGAACCAGTGCTTGTCCTTCCCTTTGTGAAGCAATGAATGAAACATAATTGAGACATGCACTGTAAATCCCAGGTTGAGGATTACAAAAAGTTGGAAACCAAAACCAAAATCTGAATTCCTTGACCTTGGGAGAAGTCTCCTGTTTTTTCCAAGTGAACGGGCTAGGACCAGATTCAGAGACAGGCTCCCCGGGAGCCTTTGCCAGCTGACTCACAGAGGTTCCCTGAGTCTGGGCCACAGCTCATGCTCCTGGTCCAGCTATGCCCTCCAAGAGTGAGTGGCCTCCTGTGCCTCTAGGGGGGACAAGGGGAAGCCATGAGGGCAAAGGCGTAGGTGACCTACCAGCACCAATGCTCTTCCTGTTTAAAGAGCAATTTTGGTTCCAGATCAGAAAGTTTAGCAACCCTGACAGGATTAAAATAACTTCTGACAGCAGGGTAATCATAACAGTTTATCTTATGTTCACATAGCACTTTTAAGTCTTCAGAAAAAAAATGTGTCCATTTGCATCTTGCTTTGGGTTTTCAGTGGCACTCTGTGGTGTCCTAAACAGCTTCCATATGCATAATTTTCAGATGAAGGACTGAAGCTTAAGCAGTTTAAGGGACTTCTCTGCAAAAAACACAGCTAGCAAATGGTACATCTGGAACTAGAACCAGGGCCTCCGGTACGCACCTTGTGTATTTAAGGGGTAGGCAGCATCGTGGGCTTCTTGGATGCCTGGGCCAATCCTAAGAGAGGACTGCACACACAGAATTTAGGGTCCACACAGGCAACCGCCTGAGCATGGTTTCTGCACACCATGATTTCCTGCTGCTCCTCTGGTACCAGGGGAGTATTCATCCCTTGAAACCTACCCCTGGTATTAGAGCTCCTCACCTTTGTCCTGCCACTTGAATGTATCCCTTCCCAGTGTTAGTTGCAATGCAGTATGCAGCATCTGCCGTGAAACTAAACAACCGTTTAAAAACTGTTCGGCAGCAATGGAATTACAAATTGTATATCCAGTTTGGGTAATTTTAAAAAATTTAATAAATTATTTCATTGTTATTATTGTTGGAGACAAGGTCTCACTCTGTCACCCAGGCTGGAATGCAGTGGTGCGATCATGGCTCACTGCAGCCTCAAAATCCCTGGCTCAAGTGATCCTCTTGCCTCAGCCTCCCGAATAGCTGGGGATATAGGCACACGTTGCCATGCCCGGCTAGATAATTTACAAAAACACTTTCTAATGTTCTTCAATTGATGAACCATCAACTTAAAAGTTTTATCCATTGTTTTTGGTTTCACCATCCTGCCCGTCAAGAGGCTCCTCCTCCGTCTCTGACCCTTGGAGTCACAGTTCCTTCTTGCTACCACCTCATCTCATTTCACGCACCAGTATAAAAAAAGCTGTTTTTTGTTTGTTTGTTTGTTTGTTTGTTTGTTTTTCCCCCAGCTTTAAGTACTTTTCTGTCTGGAGCCCAATGCCTATCTTTGGCTAGAGATTGAAAATTGCTTTTCATCTCTCCTCCTCTTCATCTTTGGAAATTTCATGATCTCTTTGATTTTTATATAATGGTTACGATTATGGGTTCAGCAGTCATATTGCCTAAGTTTGATTCTGGACTAGGTACTTATTAGCTGGGAGCATTGGTTAAATTATATAATCTCTCTATAGTTCTGTTTTCTCGCCTAAAAATAGTAGTAATAGTCCCTACCTCATAGGGTTTTTATGAGGACTTAAAGAGCTCTTACTTGTAAGGTTCTTGGAATAGTGCTTCACTAAGCACTGTGCGTATATGTGTGTGTGTGTGTGTGCGCGCACGCATGTACGTGAGCATGTGAGTGTTGTATGTGAACTAGAGATGTCTTTGTTCTGGATCTTACCACCCAGAACCAAGTATAGTTCTAAACTTACTCTCTAATCTCATTGAGAACAGCCTCTACTCCCACCCTGTCTGTGTTCTGTGTTCCTCTGAATCTCTTAACCTCCTTTGCAGCCATGCCCACAGGACTCGTCAAACAGGATAAGAAGCCTTCCATAAATAATCTCTGACTCTCCTGGCCTCATCATGGCACATTCTAGATGGGGAAGAAACCCACATTCACTTAACATATCCTACGTTAGGATTGGTTAGACTTATTCTTAATTTGAAATGTTGCTAATAAAGTCCCACATTGTCCTGGTTAAGTAAAGAAGGCTTGGGAGCCAGATTGTTTGGGTATGAGTCTAACATTTACCATCTGCTTGAAGTTCACATCTATAAAATGGGATAATAATGGGAAATGAATTGGCTATAATGATAAACTGAGGTTATCTCTATAAAGTACCTATCAATGTGCAGTGGATGGTGCAGAGTAATTTATAATAATGCTAACTATTAACATTATTATTAAAACGCTTTTTTCCATTGAATTGTCTCTGTGTGGGGCTTTCCATTCGTCCCCAGCAGTGAAAAGTTGTGTGGTGGTACTAACTTCCTCTAAGTGAAGAGCATGTGCTTATTTAGAGACAATCATAGACAGTCCCCTGGAGGAGGTGAGAAGAGTAGAAACAAGTGACCATCACAGTCTCAGGGCAGGTTGGAAAGTGGATTTTGTTGTGTAATTGCTTCAGATTGCCAGCTGAATGTTTATGGATTCACTCTCTCTGACAACAGAAATTGTCAGTTTGTAGGATTTTATAAAAATCAATTTCCCTCCAAGCTGAAGTAGGCACTTAGGTACATTTACTGCTTATAAGAAAGGAAGTACAATTGAGGGGAAACATCCAAATGAGGATGAAAATGGACAGAGGTATCAATGGGTTCTGGAGTCTCTGCCTGTGGCTGTATTTTTAAAAACTTTTTATAGATATGACTTTATCTGGTAATAACTGCTATTCCTCTACTACTGAGCATACCTGACTAAGTCACAGGTGGAGTGTCTGTTTTAAACTTCTGGACTCATAGCAGTGTACAAAATAAATCTTTCCCCAACATTCTCAACTCAATAAGTGCTTAAATTAAAAAATGTTAAGTATAACAAATGCATCAAAAACTAAATACTTCCCAGGCAGGAAAAAGGAATGCTTTGCAGAGTCTCTTGGTTCATTCAGTCTCAGATATAAAGAGAGTAGTGAACTTAGGTGGTATTTGGTACCAAGATTCCAGGAGATGACTGAGGAGGGAGAGTCAAATGTCACACCAGTTAGGAATGACTTTCCTTGCCCAGTGCTCTCCTCAGGGCACCCTTGACCTCTCCGTTCCTCAGGCTGTAAATCAGGGGGTTAAGTGTTGGGTTGAAAAAACTGTAAAATAGAAAAAAGACCTTTTGCTGCTCCTCAGGATGGCGGGACTTGGGGGCCATGTACATGATGATGGCACTGCCAAAGAAGAGTCCCACCACGCAGAGGTGGGAGGAGCAGGTGGAGAAGGCCTTTCTGCGGCCCTCCCCAGACTGGATCCTCAGGATGGCCGCCAGGATGTGCGAGTAGGAGACAAGCACCAGGCTGGGTGGCCCCACCAGGAAGAACACGCAGGCTGCAAAGATGACCACCTGGTTGAGCCAGGTGTCAGCACAGGCCAGCCTGAGGACAGACAGGATTTCACAGAAGAAGTGGTTGATTTCATGAGGCCCAGAGAAGGGCAGTCTTAGGATGAGAACCACATGGGCCAGAGCCAGGAGGGAGCCACACGTCCAGGAAGTGACGGCCAGGGTGATGCAGACTCTCCAGGTCATGATGACGGAGTATCGGAGAGGGTGGCAGATGGCCACGTAACGATCGTAGGACATCAGCACCAGCAGGAGACATTCGCTGTGTCCAAAACTCAAACAGAGAAAGGTCTGCGTCATGCAACCAGCAAAGGAGATGGGCTTGGCTGGATGCAGGAGGTTCGCCAGCATCTGGGGCACCGTGTTGCGGGTGTAGGCGATGTCGACGACAGCCAGGTGTGAGAGGAAGAAGTACATGGGGGTGTGGAGTCTGGAGTCCAGTGAGATGAGCCCCAGGATGGCCCCGTTCCCCAGCAGGGTGAAGATATAGAACAGGGAGAAGAGCCCAAAGAGGAGCATCTGAATCCTTGGGCCCAGGAGAAATCCCAGTAGGAGGAACTCTGTGACCATTGTCTGATTTTCCCCCATTTCCCTGTGAAAAAGAAAAAGATCACTTAGGACCAGATTGTCAAAAAACACCTAGACATTATTTTATGAATTTAGTCATTTTTAAAAGATAAACTTTTAACATTAGTGATTGAGCTACACATTAAGTTAATTACTGATTGTAAGTATCCAGTGTTATAGAAGGGATTGTGTCACCAATGATAGGATACATAGAGCCATTGACACATCATGGGAAGAAAGAATGTCGTACCAAAAGTGGAAGTAAAATGACCATCTAATAAGGATTGTCTTGAAGCTGCACATATAAAAATTACTAAGAGAATTCCTGAAGTGTAGAAATAATCAGTAATGGAAGAACTCCAAATATGGGAATTAGAGTAGTCCTAGAAAAAAAGATGATGTAATCCCAGTTTCTCAGTAGAAATATCAACTATTTTGCTTTCAACATCTGAAATCAACCTTTGCACTCTGGAGCAGTTTATATAATAACAGAAGAAGTAGAAAGACAAAAAACAATTTTAATGACATTGTGATTGTTTGGGTTCCTGAGAAGGAACTAATGGATGTGCTACAAATGGGTTCTAATTGCAATCTTTATTTTACAATGGGTCATAAATAGGAACCGATAATTGGTGATTTGGCAGTTAATCTACTGATTGATGCACAGTTACTGATTTACCAAAAACTGGTTTTGAATAACAACTCACACAATTTGTAGAAATTAGATTTTTCTGGGCGAGTTTGTACATACGTATCATTTAAAACATTCACAATGCCTGAATGTTATGTTTGCCACTGCATTATATATCATTTCTTTTCTAGTCTCTCCTTTCACTTTTGCCAACCCTTTGGTAAATTTAATCCATTTGTGTTTAAGTAAGATGTTCTTTTTACATGTAGAATGAAAGAAACTATGGAGAAAAAATTTAAATGAAGTATCTTTCAAAAACACCAGAAATGACCATTCATAAAAAATTAATTGTGCTTCAGCAACATAAGAATTGCTAAACACTTTACAGGTGGCTAATTAAAACTTTTTTTGCAAAGAGCTAATTTAGTGACTTCATTATTTTGCAGATTATTATAGCAATAAATTGTCAGGTAATTGGTATTTGTGAATTGGTGATGTGCCAAATAATATTTGGGTTTTTGTCCTTAAGTCCTAGATAACATTTTCCTCAATATACCATGTAGAAATCCAGTATTTTGCCAGTGCACATGTTTTTGTTAGTGCCTTTGCTAGGCAAAAATAACCTGCGGCTGAGCCGTTGAACCTGCTTATCTCTGAAGAAAAAGCTTCTCTGGATTAAGGAGAACTTCTCCAGATTAAGGAAATATGCTGCTTTTGATAAGACCCTGGTCCAGCTGTCATTGGAGCAAAGACATGGAACCACCCTAAATGTCCACCAACGATAGACTGGATAAAGAAAATGTGGTACATATACACCATGGAATACTATGCAGCCATAAAAAAAGAATGAGATCTTATCCTTTGATGGACATGGATGGAGCTGGAGACCATTATCCTTAGCAAACTAATGCAGGAACAGAAAACCAAATACCGAATGTTCTCACATATAAGCAGGAGCTAAATGATGAGAACACATGGACACATAGAGGGGAACAACACAGTACTGGGGCCTATCACAGGGTAAAGGGTGGGAGGAGGAAGAGGATCACAAAAAATAACTAATGGGTACTAGGCTTAATATCTGGGTGATGAGATAATTTGTACAAAAAACCCTCAAGACACAAGTTTGTTTACCTATGTAACAAACCTGCATTTGTACCCCTGAACTTAAAAGTTAGAAAAGAAAAAGTTAAAAAACTAATCTAATTGGAGCCCTAAAGAACGTTCCCACTGGATCCTTTTCCAGTGGTAACAAATGATTGTATACTTATAAGCATTATCAATAAATTGTTGATTATTATCAGCAAGACACAAATAAATTCTAGTGAATATTGTAACTTCATAACACATGGCCAAGGGTTATATTTTTTTTTTCAGGATTCTATTAAAAAAATACTCTCCTAGGCCAACCTTCTACATTTAATTGGAAAACACGCAAAGCATATGAAATATTTGGTTGTGAAATGCATTTGAATTTACACCTTATAAACATCTTTATTTATTTATTTATTTTTTTGAGACGGTTTCCCTGTGAAACCTGCCCTGGAATGCGGTGGTGTGATTACGGCTCACTGTAGTTTTGACATATCAGATTCAAGTGATCCTCCCCCTCAGCCTCCCAAGTAGCTGGGATTACAGGTGCATGCCACCATACCTAGCTAATTTTTTTAAATAAATATTTTTTGTACAGACAATGTATTATTATGTCACCCAGGCTGGTTTCAAACTTTTGGGTTCAAGTGCTCCTCCCACCTCAGCCTCCCAAAGTGCTGGGATTGTAGGCATGAACCGTGTACCCAGTCTACATCTTATAAAAAACTTAATTTCTTTATTTAGTCCTTCATTATTTCCTTTTGTAACTCCCCAAATGATTATACAAAGAAAAAAAATCCACTATGCACAAGTATGAATTTCTTTGAAAGCTAGATGGAGAGTCAAGAAGAAAGGAGAGCTTGGTGAAGACACTCAGATTCTTTAAGGACAGTTGCCACATGGGTTGAAACCCTGATTTCTTTTACAGGACTGGGTTGTTAACACACTCCTTGTGAACAAGGAAAAGGTGCTCTCACTTTTGTAATCCTGACAGTAAATACTTACTGTGTGGACAAATTAATCAATAAATACAAATGAATAAATGAATGAATGCATAGTTTTTTTAACCATCCTTTGACTGAATCTGGAATGTCTACTATAATCTGAATACTTGAAAGACACTTTTGTTTTCTTTTTCTCCCCCATAGTTTCTTTCATTCTACATGATACAAAGAACATCTTACTTAACTCAATGGATTAAATTTACCAAAGGGTTGGCAAAAGTGAAAGGAGAGACTAAAAAAAAAAATTAAATATAACCCAGTTGCAAATGTAACATTCAGGCATTGTGTATACTTTCAGGGGTGTCCAATCTTTTGGCTTCCCTGGACCATGTTGAAAGAAGAAGAATTGTCTTGAGCCACACATAAAATCCACTAACACTAACGATGGCTAACGAACTTAAAAAAAAAATCACATAATATTTTAAGAAAATTTACAAATTTGTGTTGGGCCACATTCAAAGCTGTCCTGGGCCACCTGCAATTTGGACAAGCTTGCTTTAAGTGATATATATGTACAAGTTAGCCATTTAAAAATTTGGCAAATTATTTGATGACTAATAAATTAACCAACGTTTCCATGGCTTCTAAGTAAATATGTAAGACTGAAATCATTTCTTTACACATGACGAAACCTGTCTACTTCAAAAGGTAAAACTTAAGATCTGATGAGCTGACAAACTCCTTTCTAATGAGTCACACAACATTCTTAAAATGAAAGCTATTTTTAAATCCTCAGGTCAAGTAAAGTATTAGATGATTTATTTCCAAGAATCAGAAATATTTGAGGCTGGATGCGGTGGCTCATGCCTGTAATCCCAGCACTTTGGGAGGCTGAGGCAGGAGGATTGCTTGACACCAGTAGTTTAATACCAGCCTGGGCAACATAGTGAAACCCTGTCTCAAAAAAACAAGTAAAACAGAAACAAAAACAGTAGCTGGGCGTGGTGGCACATGCCTGTAGTTCTACCCGCTTGGGAGGCTGAGGCAGGAGGGTTGCTTGAGCCCAGCAGTTTGAGGTTGTGGTGAGCTATGATAGAACCATTGCACTTCAGCCTGGGCAATAGAGTGAGACCCTGTCTCAACAAAAAGAAAAGGAAAAAAAGAATATTTGTTAAAACTAATACACTCATAACACTCCTTTGTCTTTTTTTTTTTCTTTCTCTTTTTGAGGCAGGATCTCGTTCTGTCACTTAGGCTGGAGTGCAGTGGCGCAATCATAGTTCGTTGCAACCTCAACCTCCCTAGGCTCAGGTGATCCTCCCACCTAGCCTCCCCAGTAGCTGGGATTACACGTGTGCTCTACCATGTCTGGCTACCTTTTTTTAAAAACTTTTTTTTAGAGATAGGGTCTCACTGTGTTGTCCAGGCTGGTCTCAAACTACTGGCCTCAAGCAGTCCTTCTGCCTCAGCCTCCCAAAGTGCTGAGAATACAGACATGAGCCACTGCACCTGGCCTCAAATATTCTTATTACTCGGGAGTAAAGCATCTAATACTTTATTTGACCTGAGGATTTAAAAATAGCTTTTATTTAAAGAATATGATGTGACTCATTAGGAGTTTGTTGGCTCATCAGATCTTAAGTTTTACTTTTTGAAATAGACAGGTTTGGTCATCTGCAAAGAAATGATTTCAGTCTTACATATTTACTTAGAAATCATGGAGATGTTGGATAATTTATTAGTCATAAAATAATTTGCCAAATTTTTAAATGGCTAACTTGTACATATATATCATTTAAAACATACACAATGCCTGAACGTTATGTTTGCAACTGGGTTATATTTAATTTTATTTTTAGTATCTTCTTTCACTTTTTCCAATCCTTTGATGAATTTAATCCATTTGCATTTAAATGAGATTTTCTTTGTATCACATAGAATGAAAGAAACTATGGGGTGGGGGTGGGTGGAGAAATAGTAGTGTCTTTCAAGTATACCGATTACAGTAGGCAAGATTTAAGCAAGCCAGAAATTCCAGATTCAGTCCAAAGACGGTAAAAAAACAAACAAACAAACAACAACAAAAAAAAAACCAAAAAATGATATTTAGGCATTCATTCATTCATTTGATTTATTGATCTAGTAAGTGACTAAAAAGGTGAAATACATTTGACTATATATTGTGCCTGGAATATGGTAGGTGTTCAATAATTATTTATTGACTAACTAGATATCAATTTGATTAAATATGAGAAAGCAAAACATTAATGAACTCTCCACATTCTTCTGTGAATCAGGTTCTCAGGCAGAGTAAACACTGAAAGAAACAAAAAAAGTAGCAATTAAAGAGCCATGGGCTTAGTGGTCAGATGCACATTTATTAGTTATATGACCTTGAGCACATATCTTAGCCTCTCCAAACTCGTTTCCTCTTTTTTAAAAAGGAGAAAAGTGATAGTACCTATTTTATGAGGTGGTTGTGAAGATTAATTGAGATGATCTGTGTTATACATTGAACACATTTCTGGTATGCAGTGAACACTTAATGGCTGAGATCAATTATTATCAGTCTTTAACAATTTCTTGAGTAGCCTGAAGATTGTATGAACCTGACAAGCATTGCCTCTTCAAGGTTCACAATAGTCCCTTAAAACCATGATCCTCTAAAGCTGATTTTGTAGTCTTGATTATGGCAGTGGAAGTCAACATGTTAATTTTATGGATGATGTATTCTTTATTTATTTAAATCTGGCATTGATGTTTATAGTTTTGTTGCTTTCATGCAGTTACTTCTCCATCATATAAAAAATTAGCTTAATTCTCTACATACATACATTATTTGTGATAATATGTTCAAAGAAGTTAGCATGAACTTTCCCTCAAACTATCCCCATTGCAGAAAGATAATCAGCACATAATTAGAGAGGAGTGAATTTCCTTACCAATGTTTGTAGTGGATGTGAAAGTTAACCAAGACCAGGAGCTACAACATGTCTAGGAGGAATTCATGGTAAAGTAAAAAGAGGCAACCTGGTTAGCTCCCACATTTGGACTCAAGGATCTCAGAAGAGTGAAGCACCTGAAGGTTTCTGGGAGTTTCTGTGGGAGCTGCAGAATCTTTGCTTCTGTTTCTGATTGAAAATGTATCAGAATCCTCAGAAAAGGAGGTGTTATTCTCTGATGTGCTCAGCCTGGTTGACAGCTGAGGGATCACTGGAGGAGCTGGGCCATGAAACCTCCTGCATGCTCATCTCCTTGGGGAAGGAGAGACAAGACAATTGGTTTTTTCTATTTCTGTTCTTAACCCCAGCAGGATGCACAATTAACAAACACCGACAGCCACAGAGCACACCTCTGAGACAACATCTTTCATTATAGTCCCGGAATGCTTGGATTTCATGAATCCCAGCACTGCCCTTGTTCCCCAAGCTTCAGATGGTTCAAGTGAACCTGTCAGGAAGCAGAACCAGTGTGACAATGAATAAGCTCCTGGCAGGAACCTCTGTAGCTCAGCCTCTCCCTGATGTAATCTGGGTTACTTGTGTTGCAGCAGAACTGGGAAGAAAGGACCCTGAAAAGTTAGCTGGTTCCAAGTGACCCTCCAAGGTATGGAGATGCTTTGGGGAGCTGGTGAGGGAGGCACAGAGCAGACTGGGGAGTCAACGGAGGGGCCAAGGTGTCCCGGTGGGGCTTATTAGAACCTGCCTGAAGGGAGGGTCTCCTAAGACACAAACCACCACTGTAGATCGTGTATTAGAATTATTCTCTAATCTTTATTCTGAAAGGGGAAGAGTGCTGGATTCAGAGCCCACCTCAGGGGAAGACAGGACCCTCTCCAAGATGGTTTCCCTAGAAGCTACTACCTCTCCCTGGAGGGTGGAGATATTTGCTGGTCAAAGGTATTTTCATGTTTATTTCTACTTCTTTCTTCTACTGGACATAGGAGGATTATGAATTTTATATTAAGCAATTATGCAATTTACAAACTAATGAGTTTATTACAATGTGGTCTTTGACCTGCTGGGGTTATGGTATAAACCCAAGGAAAATCTTGCCCAGGTAATCAGGGTGTGAGAACACGCTCACCTGTGTTCCAGCTGTATATGTCCACAGTGAATTGCTTTGGGGACACACAAAAATGCTCCTGATCATATGAAAAGTCTAGTGCCTAGTAGGCCATCCATAAACATTAGAATCTTTTCTTTATTTTTCTTTCCACACCCCGGTGAAGTGCAACAGATATAAATGACAAGCCTGTGAAAACAACAATTTTAGAACTTTTTTCCATATTCCTCATCATATGAACATCAGTTAGAAAAAGTCATTTTAAGGTAGAAAACAGAAAATGTGAGCTAAAACAAGTTAAATATAAGGTTTTTATGATGCCAAACAAACTAATTTAGGAAATGCATCGCCTCAAATTACATGATTTATCACATATCAAGTTGAAGAAGCTTAAGCTTCTAAAAATGGTCAGAGTAAACACATACAAAACGTAAAAGTATACGAAGGAAAATAACACAGACAGAACAGTCCGATCTTAGTAGAAATGGATATGCTTACAGATGTTTGCATGATACGCCAGTATGCAGAAATCAGGAAACTGCCTTTTGGGAGCAAGTAGTCAGCTGAAAGTTCTGTGAATAATGGCTTTAGAGAATTCATTTCTATATAACCAACACCTTAGGAACATTGGTTATAAACACACATTTGAGGGTATAAAAATTAAAAAGATAGAAAATAATTAGTAAGTAAGTATAACATTTGGGAATGTCACACAAACAAAAACTTAGCAAAAACCCTTTAGGAACATGAATATCAATAGCTATAACTCAAAATTGTCAATATTCTGTTAAAATTAAATTGAAATAACTTCTGTTGAAGACAGTAAAAATGACACAAAAGTATATGAAAGAACTCAGCACATAAACGACACAGCCAATATTAATTGAAATGAGAAATATTTACATGATCTTCCAGCATTGGGCATTTGATTTCATTGAACATTTATAACTTCTATGCTTAAAGTACTTTTAGAATTTGACCACAGAGTTCATTTGAGAGTAATACAGACAAAAGCTAACATAAGATGGGTGGGTTTAGCCACCTTACAGAGTAAATTATCCTAAGAGATGTTTTATAAAAGAGCAGCTAATAATGTTCGGAGAAACAGCCAAGACATAGGTAAATATATCTTCAGGATGGCATGACAGAAGTGGAATGAGAAGAGAGTGAAAATGCTAATGTTCTCAATTATATTTCATGAATAATTATGAGTTAAAAGGGCAGAAGTTCATCTGAAATCCTTTGAAACAGAGAACAAAAGAGAAATAATTGTAAGGACTTACTTTTAGGGTTTGTTTCAGCTGCTAGTGTTACCTTAACTAAGACAAATTCCTTAAAAGATGTGGGGTCTTCTTCCCTTGCACAATTGTCTCTGGACTTAACTGCCAGTGTGGGATTGCATTTCCCAGCCCTCTTATATTTAGGTGGGGTCATGTTCTTACAAAAGGTATACAAGCAGAAGAGATTTGTGCAGCTTCCAGGGCTGCAGTGGAAGGAGGGCATGCATGGAGGAGGAGGGCATGCCTCCTCCATGTTTGGCCTTCCCATCACTGGCTGGAAGTGAAGGCCTACAGGGCTCTAGGATGGCGGGACCATGCGATGGAAGGTGCCTGGGTCCCTGCATCACCAGTGGAAGGCTGTCTGTCATCCCTGCCTAGGACTTTACATGAGCAAGATGTAAAGTTTTATTTTGTTAAATCACTGTGATTTGGGAGTTTACCTGTTGCTGTTTATCCTACCTAATACATTATTTAACATTACTATGGCGATGAGAGGAATGAGGAAGGGCTAGTAACTCTAAAGCTAAGGTATTAGGAGCTCTCGAGATCAATTCATATTCTAAAAAGCATCAACATATGGCATGAAATACTGACTTTTTGCTTATGTCATGCAGTTATCTTAGAGTCTGAGGAGTCATGGTTTATTTTGTGTGCTATTTGGTTTCTCATGCAAACTATTTTAATTAATAATATAGGTTAACTTACTTAAACATAGCCCAATATTGAATAATAATGTAAGTGATACAAAATGATATTTTTGAGGAAACACTTTGATACAATTTAGCACAATCCAACAAGATTCTAAACTGCTTTTAATAATTGCTTAATTTTGGCTTTTACTAAAATATATGAGAAATGTGTACTGTTTTGAGAACTTAAGGGGCCAGACGTTTTTTGAGAAAAGGCTTTTTAGAAATTCTAACATTAATACGTGTTTCCTGTAATATTATTGAAAAACATAGAAGGGTTTATTTCTCCTAGTTCATTCCTCTGCCTAAAGCAACTTCTGTTGACTACTTAATGTACATCATTCCAGATCACGAAATTAAATACAGATGTATGTAAACACACATGTGCATACATGTGTACTCACATACACATATACAGGTGTACGAATTTATGTATAGCTAGGAGATTTCCCTGCACAAATGACAAAGTCTTATAAAAATGTTACTTGCTTTTTTCATTTAGCTATATTTGATGAGCTATTTTCATTGCAGCTCATTTTAGATAATACTTGTTCTATTTAATAGCTGTGTAACATTTTTCATAATTTAGTAATTTCAAAATTAACACTTGATCTTTTGAATTTTTGAAATCAATTTAATACCAAATCCATGTACACATTTCTTTGTGCAGTTACATATGTAAGTATTTCTGTAGAATGGATTCTTAGAATTAGTATGCGTGTTTTAAATGTTGGGTAAATAATTTCAGTTTTTTAAATCCAAAATGTGTGCCAATTTATACCTCCACCAACAATGTGTGAGTGTCATCAACATCACATGTAACACCATTTTCCCCTCACAATCTATTGAGTAAAAAAATCTCATTTTATAGTAGATTTCCTGATTGAGATAGATGACATTGTCATATTTATTGGTATGTTGTGTTTATTCTGTTGTCTGTATCTACATATTTTTGTCCATTTTTCTCATGGATTTGTGTATTACCCTTTTGGTTTTTTCACCTATGTTAAAATATATTAGCTGCATTACTATCCTCTTTCTTAGGATGAAATTTCAGGCCAGTCAAAAATTCAGGCTCATTTTTCTCAAGCTTTTAATCATGGGTAGAAAAGACTCCATATGTCCAGGCTGGAGGAGATTGGTATAACTTAGTATAATAGTTACAGACATAGTCTCTGGCCTTTGGAACACCTAAAGAAAAGTCCTCCTGTGCCACCTACTAGCTGTCTGAGGTGTACTTAACATCTCTGTGCCTTGATTTTTTTCATGTATAAATTGTATATAATAGTAATACTTCCCTCTGGCAATTGTTATGAAGATTAGATTAGACATAAATGCATATGTGTAAAACATTGTTTGATATGAAACAAGTACTCAATAAATGCCAGGAATTAATATTATTATGTCACTTGTGCAATGCCAGCACAAATGTACAGATCTGGGAAACTCTGTGAATAAAAGTTATTCTTAATCTTTTTCAAATAGGGTAATGAAACTGTTTTTACTTCCTTAGAGAGGACAGTTAATGTGAAACTTCTTTTGCCTTATTCTGCAAGTCTTATGCCATTCATAGTTCATACAGCATAAATATATTGAAATCAATAATTAATTTTGTGGTTACTCTTGAATTCCTACTATTTGTGAGGCTCAGGAGTTCGAGAATAATTCTCAAAAATTATTCTCAAAAATTCCATTTAATTTTGTCTCCTATGTAAAAGAAAAACAACATACATTCTAGGAAGTTAATAAAAAGGCATAGAATTTGAGAACTAAAAGGAACTTAACAATCATCTAGTCCGACATTTCATTTTATATGTGGGGAAACCAATGTGCAGAGGAATTAAGTGACTTCTCTAAGGTCATGCAGTGAGTAGGTGGTAAATTGGGAGAGGAACCCATAATTTTGTGAAATATATATTTGGTCTTTGTCCCCATTTCTTGGCGTACAGTTTCTAAAACTCTAGGAATCCCCAGAGTGATAAGAGTATCTTTTGTATGTTCTGTGGTTTGAATGTGTCCCCCAAAGTTCATGAGTTGGAAACTTAATCTCCAATGTAACAGTGTTGAAAGGTGGGACCTCTAAGAGGTGATTAGGTCATGAAAACTCTGACTTAATGCATGGATTAATGGTGTTGTCTCAGGAGTGGATTTGTTATGTGGAGATTGGGTTAGTTACAAAAGCAAGTTTGTCCCTCTCTCATCCTCTCACCTTTCACCATGCAGCAAGAAGGCCCTCTGCAGATGCTGACACCTTGATATTGGACTTCCCAGATTCCAGAACTCTGAGAAATAAATTTCTATTTTAAATAAATTACCCAGTCTGTGATATTCTGTTATAGCAACACAAAATGGACTTAGACGGTATGCTAATGAGATGACTGCTGGCAGGGAGCTCTGAAATAACTTTAGGATAGGGGCTGGTTACTACAAAAACAAAGGCATGTTTAGTGGGTTGGGACTTTCAGCCTATACCTCAACCTCTGGGGAGGGGAGAGGGCCTGAAGTTTGAGTTGATCACTAATGGCCAATGATGTAATCAATCATGCCTGTGTAATGAAGGCTTTACAGAAAACCAAACAGGGTTTGCAGACTTTCTTGATTGCTGAACACATGGAGGTTCCTGGAGGGTGGTGTGCCCAGAGAGGTCATGGAAGCTCCATGCCCCTTCTCCAATACCTCACCAGATGCATCTCTCTCATCTGGATGTTCATCTCTATCCTTTGTAATATCCTTCGTAGTAAATGGTCAAACTTAAGTAAAGTGTTTCCCTGAGTTCTGTGAGCCACTTTAGCAAATTAATTGAGCCTAAGGAGGGGGGTCATGAGAGTCCCAATGTATAGCCAGTTGAACAGAAGCACAGGTCGCAACCTGAGGCTTGCAATTACCATCTGTAGTGTTGGGTGGGGGGAACAGGCTTGTGGGATCTGACACTGTCTCCCAGTAGATAGTGTCAGAATTGAATTGATTTTTAGGGCATGCAGTCGGTGTCCATTGCAGATTGCTAGGTGTGTGGGGAAAAACCTCAACGTATCTGTTGTTAGAAGTAAATTGTTGAGTGACTGTGTGAGTATAAGCAAAGGAGTAGGAAAAGCACCTTTGGTTTTTTCAATATTTTAGAGAATCCAGATGTCTTGGCTCTGAGCCAGTCATCTGAGGACCAAACCAGGCCGTGCCTAGTAGTGAACCTCTTCTCTTGACCCAACAAGATTACAAAAATTAAAAACAAACGAATAAACAGAGACAGGTCAAAAAAAGTAAACAAAAACCAAAACAGCAAGTCAAATGAAAGCAGGGCTCTTAATCAAAGTTCATCAAGAAGGTAAGAAAAATTGATATGGTCTGGGAAAACATCAGAGCTGTGAGACAGCATTCCAACTCTTGTTTTTCTCCCACTTTTTCTTTTTTCTTTTCTTTTCTTCCCCCCCCCACCCCCCCCATTGAGACAGGGTCTTTCTCTGTCACCTAGGGTGGAATACAGTGGTGCAACCATGGCTCACTGCGAACTCAACCTCCTAGGCTCAAGCAAGTTTCCCATCTCAGCTTTTCAAGCAGCTGGAACCATAGGCGTGTGCCACCTCACCTGGCTAATTTTTTTATGTTTGAAGTTTTTTGAAGAGACAGAGTTTCACTATGTTGCCCAGGCTGGTCTCAAACTCCTGGGCTCAAGCAATCCTCCTGCCTCAGCCTCCCAAAGTGCTGAACTACAGATGTAAGCCATTGTGCCTGGCCTTCACTTTTTCTTAGGAACCATAGATTTAACAATGAATCTCTATATGATTAATATTCAAAGTGTGGTCTATGGATCCGCAGCATCAGCAAGGTATGAGAGATGATAAGAAATGCAAATCTCTGCCTATTTCATTTAGACCTGTTGAATCAGAACCTGTATTTTTGCAAGATCCCTGAATGATTAATATACACATTGACATGTGAGAAGCACTGGTCTACATTACCTAGCAAAGAGTAAAGAATGGTCCTACAGGTCAGTGATGGCAGTGCTCACTCTACATACCAAGGACACCATGGGGGCCAATTTAAGGTAGTGCATGCACTGACTTCCACTCCCAGGGTGTCATCCGTGTCATTTTCAGTAATTACAGTGCCTTATGCTCTACTCTTTGGCAAGACAGAGGAGGGGAACACTCTCTCCATGGCTACTGTGCCAGCACAATCACGTTGTGTCATACTATAACCATAGGGTTTGGCAATTTGGGACAGTCTTTTTGAAAGACCTATAACCTTTGTTCTATATGATAGGAACAAATATATATCATCCTAGTTTTCTTTTATATTAGTCTCGAAATATCCTCTCTGAATGTGTTTACAATTTCTCTGTGGCCACTGACAGATGAGATGTAGTTTATTAATATTCATCTCAGAAGAAACTTTTGCAAAAACGGAATGTATCTGGAGCTAAACATGATTAAATTGACTGACACTGTATTTAATTACATATTTTATGGAGATCCTTTTTTAAAAATATAGAAGTGTGGACTACATGATTACTCATTTATTTATTTAGTCAACATTTATTGAGTAACTACTATGAAACTGGCCTGGTCTAGCCACTGAAGATACAAATATCAATAGGCCCTTTCCAAAAGAATGGTTCTCAGTTAATGTAGAGTAGATTGACTGGACTACAGTTTTATTTCTACCACTTGATATTTCGTTGACATCGAGTAAATTAATTAATTCTCTAAACCTCAATTTCCCCTCTATAAATGAGGATATTATTAGTACTTAATTCACAGTGTTGATGTGAGGATTATATCAAAAACATTTAACATATTGTCTCGTACACAAGTGCTAAATAATTTTTAAGCTACAATTACTTTCTACTATTCTGTGTTATTCAGATAAAATGATTTTTATTTTTATTTTTATTTTATTTTATTTTATTTTATTTTTTTCTGAGATGGAATCTTGCTCTGTTGCCCAGGCTGGAGTGCAGTGGCGTGATCTTGGCTCACTGCAAACCCCGCTTTCCAGGTTCAAGCAATTCTTCTGCCTCAGCCTCCCAAGTAGCTGGAATTACAGGTACATGCCACCATGCCCGGCTAATTTTTTTGTATTCTTAGTAGAGACGGGGTTTCTCCATGTTGGTCAGGCTGGTCTTGAACTCTTGACCTCGTGATCCGCCCGCCTTGGCCTCCCAAAGTGCTGGGATTACAGGCATGAGACACCACGCCAAGCCCAAGGATTTTTAAAATACAGAAATCAGAATATAGTTTAACACTGACAATTGTGTCTAAGTACTCAGCAGATAGTTAAAGGTGCATGAATTGGTGCAGCCAGTGCTTAGTGAGTGCCTACTAGGTGCTAGGCAATGTGCTCATGTTACTGATAAATGAATGAATGGATTCCAATTCCTGCTGTTGCGGAGCTCCCCATCTTAGATGTGAAATTTGATACCTACCTGAGCAATGTTCTCAGGTAAACTTTCAGGTAAATACCACCTGAAAGATTATAACCATTTTAAATATCAATAATGAAACTGAATTCCTTTTTCTTGGGGCTGTTTTTAGATAAAATGCTATAAAACATCCATTTTAGTTCTCATCAATTGGTAAGGCACTGCTGTAACACTGCATTGTCGGTCTTCTCGTTCAGTGTTGTCTGTTTCACTCTCCAGCTCAACCCCAGAGTCCTCACGGCCATGCATCCCTGACCCTTGGAGTCACAGTTCTTTCTTGCGACCACTCCCCCACTTTTTTCACATCTCTGTTTAGAGTCAAGCTGCTTCCTTTAGAAGATGTATACCCCTTTCTATCTAAAGCTGAATATCCATAGTTTGGTCTTAATTATGTGTTTTCTTTCACTGTCACGAGTTCTTTGATCTTTATTCACAGATATGCTCTATAGAGGCCGTGCTGTGTAGTGGTTATGGCTATAGGGTCAGGGATCAGATTGTCTTAGTTCAATCCTGGACTGGGTAATTGTTAGCTGTGAGGTACCAGGCAAGTTGCTTAATCTCTCCGTGCCTCAGTTTCTTTATATGTAAGGTAGGATATTGATTATCTTCTGACTCAAAGTGTTATTTTGAGGATTAATTGAGGTAATACATGTAAAATTCTTAGAGCAGTGACTGGCACAAAGTAAATAAGCTCTGTGTGTTTGTGTGTGTGTGTGTGTGTGTGTGTGTGAGAGAGAGAGACAGAGAGAAAGAAAGAAAGAGAGAGAGAGAGACTGACTATGGGTGTGTTGGTTCTGGGTCTTAGCTGAACTAAATAGCCAGTCTCAGTGAGAACTACCTTTATTCTCATCTTCTTCATGTTCTGCATTTGTCTAGAAGTCCAGTGCTTTCATGTGACTCAGCACATAAGAGTCACCATCCAGGACAACCAGCCTCTCATACATGATCTCTGGTCCTCCACGCCTTAGAGAGAACAGATCAGCTCCCTGTGGCATACATCAGACTATAAAGAAAGCTTCCTTCTTTTAATAGTTCTGCCTTGGGATACATTTACCTTATCCTTTATTTGATAACATAGATATTAAAATTCTACATTGATGTGCTATGTACAGAGGCTGGGAGCCAGACTGTCTAGGGATAAGTCTGACACTTGCTGCTTTCTGGTTTGTGCATACATAAAATAGTGACAATAGGACCTTCTTCCTGGATTTGTTATGACTAAATGAAATGGCCCATGTAAAGTGCTATTAATATGTAGCATATGCCATTGAGTGGTGAGTCAAAATGTTAGCTATTATTACAAAAACTCATTTTGTTTTTACATTTAATAAGTTCTGCCTGGGTATCTTCACCCACAGGGAATAATAATGAGTTGGGTGGAGTACTTGTTAACCCCTATGAAAGGCATACACTTATTTTGCTGAAAAAGTATTAACATGCTCTCTTGTAAAATTGAGAAAGACTCTGGAAGCAAGTGGCATCCTAATCTTAGGGAAGGTTAGAAAGTAGAATTTATAGGTAACACTCTGGGAAGCCACCTAAAATGCATGGGGACTCATCTCTAACCATTAGATTTGTAGTGAAGATTTGTTAAAGAAAATTAAAATGGAAACCAGACATGGAGAATCACTTAGATGATTCAGGCTGGGTTAGGTCACTTATGGAATCACTTTTCCTGGAGCAGGGAAAGCCAGTTAGGCCTCATAAGTGACCTAACCCAGACTGATTTGCAAACACAAGTGAAAATTAACTTGAACTATTTCTTATAAATACTTGTATTAAAGCAAAATGAAATTTAAGATTAACCACTCAGAAGCTGCCAACTAAGTTATATAACTAAAGACTTTCCAGCAGTATAGGCCAACTAAGGCAATTGTATAAAGGTAACCAATCAAATATTTTCTTTGCTTTAGTTCCGTGGTTGTCCTGTAAAAGCCCTCCCCTTGCATTCCTTTAGTGGAGCCCATGAACCACTTATAGTTTGGAGCTGTCTGATTCATGAATTGCTATTTGCTCAAGTAAACTCTTTAAAATTTTATTGTGCCTCAGTTTACCTTTTAACAGGAAAATAGATTGGCTCAGCAAAAATTTCTTCACCACCATGGTTGAAGAGCTAGCTACATACCTACACTGTCTGGTGAAATTTCCTTTTTCAGGGGTAAGACATTCTAATGAGGGAAATGATCCACAACTGGACTAACCAAGGTGGAAGAGCTGATGAAAAGACACTGGAGAATCACGCTTAGAGACAGATGTGCATATGTACAATACACAGCTCAACACTCAATGTTTTCTGAAGAAACCATAAACAACCCAAATAGTTTTCTTGGATACTCATTTTCAGCCTTTTCAACAGGGAATGCCCAGTTTTGCCTCTTTGCCAGCTACTAGCTACTGAGTTTACCCTGAACTTTGTAAACACTGTTCACTGTTCCCACACGGTCTGTAGTGTTCTTTTGCTTCTCTTCTCTCTTTTCCCTTATATATGTTCTTTTTGTTTTCCTTTTTTGTTTTCTTTTTTGAGACAGTGTCTCCCCGTCTCCCAGGCTGGAGTGCAGTGGCGCAATCTTGGCTCACTGCAACCTCTGCCTCCCAGGTTCAAGCAATTCTCATTCCTCAGTCACCAGAATAGCTGGGATCACAGGCATGCACCACCACGCCCAGCTAATTTTTGTATTTTTAGTAGAGATGCAGTTTTGCCACATTGTCCAGGCTGGTCTCAAACTCCTGGCCTCAAGTGATCCACCCACCTCAGCCTCCCAAAGTGCTGGGGTTACGGACATGAGCCACTGTGCCTGACTTATCTCTTCTTTTAAGTTTGTTCCTTCACTCAGCCTACTAGTTAACTCCTGTACATGAGTTAATAAGTTTTACACAAAATTTCTCAGCGCATGCAACACAACTAACTAAATCCCTCTATTTAACAGGGAAAGTGCAATTGTGTGAGAATGGACAAGTGTGCTGCTGGGTTTTGGGAATCACTTCTTTGGCTGAACCTTTTTATTTTCTTTTAAATCTTATGACATATGCCGTTAGTGAGTTTATATAGTTCGGTGTATTAGTCTGCTTTCACACTGCCATAAAGAACTACCCGGGACTGGATAATTTCTAAAGAAAAGAAGTTTAATTGGCTCACAGTTCCACATGGCTGGAGAGGCCTCAGGAAAGGTACAATCATGGCGGAAGCCACAGGGGAAGCAAGGCACGTCTTACCATGGCACAGCAGGAGAGAGAGAGCAAAGGGAGAAGTGCTGCACTTTTAAACCATCAGATTTCGTGAGAACTCGTTCACTATCAACAGAACAGCAAGGGGGAAATCCCTCCCCATGATCCAATCACCTCCCACCAGGTCCCTCCGCTGACATGCGGGGATTACAATTTGACATGAGATTTGGGTGGGGACACAGAGCCAAACTATATCATTTGGTTAAAGAAGTAAGTGGCCTGTATTTAACTTTTGGGACTGGGAAAATGAATTAAAATAATTCTTTATTTTACAGATATTAAAGTAATTGTGAAATAAAAGAAAAAATTGTCTGATAAAACCACATCTCATAGAAACCCAATGAATGCAACACATCTAAAATTTTATCTGCAAAAAACGAGAGAAGACTTGCCCTTCTGTCAGTAAAGCACAGATAAAGAGAAGTAAACTTTTCTGGATTGAGGCAATAATTGGGCATCAAGAGTCCACGTGACAACTGAGGCTGGCAGTTCAAATGTCACACCTCTTAGGAATGACTTTCCTTGCACAGTGCTCTCCTCAGGGCACCCTTGACCTCTACATTCCTCAGGTTGTAAATCAGGGGGTTTAGCATCGGGTTGAAAGAACTGTAAAATAGAAAAAGGACCTTCTGCTGCTCCTCAGGATGGCGGGACTTAGGGGCCATGTACATGACGATGGCGCTGCCAAAGAAGAGTCCCACTACGCAGAGGTGGGAGGAGCAGGTGGAGAAGGCCTTTCTGCGGCCCTCCCCAGACTGGATCCTCAGGATGGCCGCCAGGATGTGTGAGTAGGAGACCAGCACCAGGCAGAGTGGTCCCACCAGGATGAACATGCAGGCTGCAAAGATGACCACCTGGTTGAGCCAGGTATCAGCACAGGCCAGCCTGAGGACAGACAGGATTTCACAGAAGAAGTGGTTGATTTCACGAGGCCCACAAAAGGGCAGTCTTAGGATGAGGCTCACATGGACCATAGCCAGGAGGGAGCCACATGTCCAGGAAGTGATGGCCAGAGTGATGCAGACTTTCCAGGTCATGATGATGAAATATCGGAGAGGGTGGCAGATGGCCACGTACCGATCGTAGGACATCAGCACCAACAGGAGGCATTCAGTATGTGCAAAACTCAAAAAGAGAAAGGTCTATGTCATGCAGCCAGCAAAGGAGATGGGCTTGGCTGGATGCAGGAGGTTCACCAGCATCTGGGGCACTGTGTTGCAGGCATAGGCGATGTTGACGACGGCCAGGTGTGAGAGGAAGAAGTACATGGGGGTGTGGAGTCTGGAGTCCAGTGAGATGAGCCCCAGGATGGTCCCATTCCCCAGCAGGGTGAAGACATAGAACAGGGAGAAGAGCCCAAAGAGGAGCATCTGAATCCTTGGGCCCAGGAGAAATCCCAGTAGGAGGAACTCTGTGACCATTGTCTGATTTTTCACCATTTCACTACTAAAAAACAAACAAAGAAACAAACAAAAAACAAGCAGCTGTGTGACACGCTTTTTTTTAAAGTCTATTTTATTTATTGTTTTATAAATTTTTAGTTTGTGGAAAATTGTTAGTAAATGTCTTTAAGAACTCATTCAGTTATACATAAGTAAAGTTTTACTTGAAAACTTGCTGTTAATTCAAGTCCTTCATATTTGTAACAATCACTATACCTGAAATCCCAAATGCAAGAAATTGTTTTTCAAATAGAAAAAGTGTAGCTGACTTCAGCAACAAGAATTGCAATATACTATATAAGTAACCAACGGAAGGAAATTATTGACAAATCAATAATTCAATTTGGCACTTGACAAATGGCAGCATCAATGAATTAGCAGTAAGATGCTTAGCCTGTGAGTTGGTGGTGTGCTGAATTGATGAATTTGTTTTTTTGACCTTGGATCTTGGATCACAGTTTCCTTAATGAACTTCAACATGGTTTTTGGTGCAAACATTTGTCAATGCCATTGCAAGAACAAAATAACTTGAGTCTTATCTACTTTAGTGAGATTAAAGTGAGGAAAGGCACTGTTTTTGGCCAGTCCCTAGTTTAATTTTTGTCAGTACTAACTGGGATATAAAGGTGTGTTTCCCGAGGATATAAGAGACAGACTTGCATTCTGAGAAATAAATTTGTGAAACCCACATGTAACTGATGAGAATAACAATCTAGAGGTGAGAAACACGACACTTTCAGGAAACATTGAGTGGAGAGTTTGAGGAGCCTCCAGAAGGCCACTGCGGGTGCTTTGATGAAATCTCTGGGAGGCACAGCAGAAGAATGTGATTCATTCAGTGAGCCCAAGTGTAGTCGGTTGTATGGCGTGCCTGTCTGGAGGAAGACTGTAGGAAAAAGAAGGCAGGTGACCAATATGGAGTGTAGTCATCAGGCCAGAGGGGCAGCATTTGGCAATGCATCCTTAATGACATTCAGGGTAAGGAAAAAGGGGAACCAGCTGCACCAGGATCCTAGCCATCTGGTGATTCTATGTCTACAGTCTGGATAGATGGTTTGGGTAAATAGCCCTAGCTAGTAAAATCTCTAATTAGCCCCTCTTGCTCTGATTTCATATTCATCAATCAACTGTTAGGTAACAATTTATCTTCTTGAGCAGTTATTTCTACAAAGAAGAAATGTGTTGAGTACTAAACTTCTTGACTCCTTTTGCAGTCACATTTTCAAGTTTAAATAAATGAACATTTAGGTATCCTGGCTTATGCATTTTCCTCTTTTGCTTTTGGGTTGTATGATGCAGTTCCTGAACAAAATTCCCAAAGCTGAATCTAAAATGTGAGGACCAGACTCTGGGTCAAGGAAACCTCATTGAAGCAAGAACTGGGGAAAGAGACAGATTCCTTTCTAACAGCAACAGATGAGATATCTATTTTCTTATAAGCATTATTGATAGGTGATCAAGTTACCTTGACACAAAAATAATCTAAATAACAAATTAAAAATTCCTCACTTGTGACCAGGACTTATTAAATTTTAGGTTGATAGTAAAAATTTCTCAGTAGGTGCCGTCATATGCACCTGTAGTTCCAGCTACTTGGGAGGCTGAAAGCAGGAGGATAGCTTGAGCCCAGGAGTTCCAGGACAGCCTGGATAACATGGCAAGCCCTCATCTCATAAAATAACATAAAATAAAAAATTTCTGTGTTTATCAAACTTTCTAAATTTATTTTTTAAGCTCATAAGGCATAGAAAAATATTTGACTGTGAAAGATGTATTCAAACCCACCCACTTATAAAATAATAATTTCCTTTCTCAATTTTTCATTTCCCTCAAAAGGAAGACATAAAGGAAAAAAGAAACACAGTAAAAGCCATGATTTTTTGAAGCCAACTGAAAGACAGGTGTAAAAGAAGGAAAATAAGGTACCTCATAGTCTGAGTATTCTTTCAGAACAGTAGTCCTGTTTGATTCAGCCTTGATTTCTTTTAAAGAAATGGAGAGGGCATGTTCATTTTTATATCCCTTTAATTGTGTATGTTAATACACATTTTCAAATGACATATAAATATAAGCAAATGAATTAATAACTAAGTATTGATGTCCTTATATTAGATCTGGTTTCTTTTACAGTATAGTCAAGTATAATTATGCCAAATTCAGCCCCTTCTTCCCAAAGGAAATAAAATGCTACAATTCAGGAGAATTTCATCCCTAATGATCTGAATTAAAATGAAATTTTAAAAATGTGTCAAGAACAACGGGAAGATTCATAAAGTGTTTAAACACTTGAATTTTGAATCACTTCTCTTTTATCTATTTTTTTTCTTATTTTATTTGATACCTATGTGACATACTTATTGTTAATTAAAGACAATCAAGAGGAAACCAAACAGAGTAAATTTCTAGGGGGTTGGAAGGAGTGGACTGGGGGATTTTGCTCTACCTTGACACACGTTGTAATTCCAAATGTACCTTTCAGGCATAGAGATGTACATTAATTTATATATGTACAATTTCAGAATTTAAAAAATGACAGATTATCTGGCTAATACATGGTAAGGAAACTAGAATTTTAAAGTAAATATCTAAGAAGGCATTTGTTGCTGTATATATAAGCAAAACAGCGTAACTTTATGGAACCTGCATTTTAAAAAGCAAATCTCAAAATTTAATGATCTGTCAGGTTCTTTTTTAAAATCTTGGGCATGGGTAAAGCAGAATCGCTGAAGTGATTACCTGTAGTTAATCTGTAGCTCAGCTGAGCTGCAGGGCTGTTTACTTGTAAGTAACAAGTGAGAAATGAAAACTAAGTTATCTCATTGCTTACATAGTTATGAGCCAAGACTTTGCAAAGTTGTCTTATGGAGTCAGAGTTGATAACGTAAGTACGTTTTCTGGATATAAGAACTATCGTGGACCATGAAGAACTGAGTGTCAGTTTCATGTAACGACCGTCTATTCAATAATCTGCTAGAGGTTGATAACAATTGATCCTACTCTTGAGTGCTTCCTGTGAACTGGGCACTGGAGGAACACAGTGTAGCAAGTTGATGGTTCTGAGCTTGTGAAGATTTCATTGTGAAGATGTGCCTCGGGAGGAAAAGCAGAAATAAATAAAAAGGTACACATTAAACAAAAATCCTATAAAAAGAAAATTTAAAGTATTATTAATTATTACATCGTTTTCCTACTTTGTTACACCACCACCTACCACCTGAGTTCTTTTTCTGTACTCTTTCCATGTGCACCACAAAAACTTATCCTCCAGTCTATGGAAAATCTAATATTTATACATATTTATCTAGTACATTGCAGGTGCCTTATGCCCTCTTTAGTGCCATGCTTAATGAAAGATAAGACATAGATTTAGCATCCATTTGGGTTTATATTCTATTGCAATAAATATATTCTCATAGATTAGCATGTATTGTGACTGTACTGGCAATAATTAAATGCATAATTTATTAAACAGCTGACATGTATTAATTTTCCTGAGCTGTAACATCTCTCCATAATATACTGTGCTATACTTTCCTTTGGCTGCGAAAATTATTTCATACATTTTATCAAAATCTATAAAACAGAAATTTCTGGCTTTTTTTGTGAGTGTCATCTTTCCCAAAGAAATCTCTATCACATAGATATTTCTCCACCAAAGAAACATATATAGCCAAGTCCTAAACACTTTTACATAATTTGCACATCAAATGTGCATCTATTTTTCCCCTGGAACCATTGATATATAATATGAATAATGAGCATATATGTTTAGCCATAAAATAAATGATTTACTTCCCTTCCCATTACTTAATAAAAAGTGTTAGTAACAGAGTGAGAGTGAACCAAAGCCTAGGTGCCACCACGAGTCTAGGAGGAATTCATGGTAAGTAAAGAAAGGCAACCTGGTTAGCTCCCACATTCGGACTCAAGGATCTCAGAAGGGTGAAGCACCGCAAGGTTTCTGGGAGTTTCTGTGGGAGCTGCAGAATCTTTGCTTCTGTTTCTGATTGAAAAGGTATCAGAATCCTCAGAAAATGAGGTGTTATTCTCTGATGGGCTCAGTCTGGTTGGCAGTTCAGGGCTCTCAGGAGGGGCTGGGCCATGAAACTTCCTACATGTTCAACTCCTCGGGGAAGGAGAGATAAAACAATTGTGTTTTTCAATTTCTGTTCTCAACCCCAGCAGGATGCACAATTAAGAAACACATATTAAGAAACCGCATATTCTCACTCATAGGTGGGAATTGAACAATGAGATCACACGGGCACAGGAAGGGGAATATCACACTCTGGGGACTGTTCTGGGGTGGGGGGAGGGGGGAGGGATAGCGTTGGGAGATATACCTAATGCTAGATGACGAGTTAGTGGGTGCAGCGCACCAGCATGGCACATGTATACATATGTAACTAACCTGCACAATGTGCACATGTACCATAAAACCTAAAGTATAATTTAAAAAAAAAAGAAAAGGAAGAAAACGCAAGCTCAAGGTCAGTCAACCACAGAGCACACCTCTGAGACAACCATTCCCATCCCGGAATACTTGGCATGATTTGAATTTCATGAATACTCACATTGCCCTTGTTCCCCAATCTCCAGATGGTTCAAGTGAACCTGTCAGGAAGCAGGAACAGTGTGACAATGAATAAGCTCCTGGTGTGAACCTCTGGAGCTCAGCCTCTCCCTGATGTAATCTGGGTTCCTTGTGTGGCAACAGTAATGGGAAGAAAGGACCTGAAATATTAGTTGATTCCAAGGGACCCTCTAAGGTTAGAGAGGCAGAGAGCAGACAAGGGTGTCCAAAATGTCCCAGTGGGGCTTATTAGAACCTACCTGAAGGGAACGTTTTTCTAGGACACAAAACACCGGTGCAAATCCACTGTTGAAAATGTTCTCCAATGTCTATTGTGAAATGGAGAGATTTTGAGTTCAGCTCCTTTCGGGAGGGGAGGAAAGAATCCTCTCCAAGGCAGCTTCCTCTAGCAGTTTCCTGCCTCTTGTGGGATGAGAAGATTTGCTGTCTAAGATATTATCATATTTATTTGTATTTTGCTGAGTTCTTTTACTGGATGTAAGGCAGTCCAAATGTTATTTGGAAATCTCCTATCAATCAATCATGCAATTTAGATAGAAGTTAGTTCCATACAGTGTGATCTCTGACTTGCTAAGGTTTAGAATAAACTCAAAGGGCAATGTGGCACAGTTATTAAGGTTTGAGAGTATGCCCATCTGTGCTCTGACTCTACACATCCACTGCGAGAAGAAACATCCATATAACACCAAAAACACTATATGAAAATCTTGTTGCACAGTAGGCCACCCATCAATATTACAGCTTTTCTTTTTCTTTTGATGTTCCAGGTGACCTGCAGGAAATGTAGAAATCAGGAAACTGACATACAAAAGAAAAAGTTAGTAGCAAATGGAAACAACTTTATAAAAATATAATATGGTATATAGTATAAAAATTATACTACAGTATACTTTTTACTTTATAAAAAGTATACCATAAAATAGTTTTAAAACTATTTTTATACTATATAAATAGTATAAGCAGTATAAAATAGGCTGGGCAGGATGGCTCATGCCTGTAATCCTAGCACTTTGGGAGGCCGAGGCAGGTGAATCAACTGAGGTCAGGAGTTTGAGACCAGCCTGGCCAACACGGTGAAACCCTGTCTCTACTAAAAATACAAACCCTGTCTCTACTGAAAATTAGCTATGCGTGGTGGCACATGCCTGTAGTCCCAGCTACTTAGGAGGCTGAGGCAGGAGAATTGTTTCAACCCAGGAGGCAGAGGTTGCAGTGAGCCGAGATTGCACCACCGCACTCCAGCCTGGGCTATAGAGCAAGACTGTCTCAAAAAAAAAAAAAAAGGATAAAATAGTTTTAGGACATAGTTTTATATCTAACATGATATGACACTGAGTTATTGTGTAAAAAGTTATTTTAAAATATAAAAGTAAATTCTTTGAACTAAGACAATGAGAAATTAAATATAAATGTTTAAGACCAAACTTAAACCTAGAAAAAACATCATCTCAAAATGACATGTTTCCCATGGCATAAGAAGCTGCTACAACTTTTAAGTGTGTAGGTGGTGGATTTTGAAATCTTTCTAGATTTTTCTTTCTTGAGAAATCTGGGTTTATCTTGAAAACCCTGAATTAGAAAAATTAGATTGATTTCATTCAGCGGCAAACACAGGCAGATGTATACTGAATCATATTTCTTAAAAATCTCAAATTTAGAAGATTGTGAGGTTGAATGAGGTCATCTCCTGAAGCTTCTATAGCAGGAATGCCGATCCATGATGAAGGACAGGATTGCATTTATTTTCTTTAGATGATCTACCATTGAACAGTAGAGACAGGGTCCCTCACGGTCTGTATCCAAACAGAACCCGGATTTTTACAGACTGATCGAGGCATAATGCTCAGAACTACATCTCTTTAGAGGCTCACTTTGCAAGGAAAAAAGAAATCATTCTGCCCTAGAAGGGGGCTGTAGGAAGTATTCACAATGAGTCAATTAATATCAAGATCTCCTGTTCCAGGAAACTGTTACTAAGTATTACAAAGGAAATTTTATGTGCTCACATAAGTTTAGAAAACACTGGCTTAAAGCTGGTATAGAATTATTCTTTCCTAGAGAAATATTTACAGCATTCACTATGCTAATATGAATTGTGATCCCTAGACAGAGGCATCTGATGTGAAGTAAGTCTCAAACTTATTTGACTATAGAACTTATTTTTAAAGTCCTCTGAAGGGACCAGTGTTTTGAGGAAAACATTATGGGAGGTATGGGACTGGATCAAAAGCTAATGAGGATATTGTAAGGGGTATTGTCCTGGTGTGGAGTGGCTGCAGCACAACTTGAAGAGATCAATTTCTAGAATTTCATCCCACATCTGCTGAAATCAGTCATTTAAAGGTAGGGCAGGAGATAGCTCCATTTTAAATAAATGTCTCAGATAATTCTCATGTCCATTGAGGGCAGAGGTCCCACCAGTGCAGAGATGGGTTAAGAACCGCTCAATGATGTAACTTCCTAGGTCACTGTCAGTCACAATGCCATAATCCTTTTCATAAAGCCCTTTCTACTCCCAGCACTCTCTTCAAAGTATTCTTCACTTCTGAGTTCCTAAGACTACAGATAAGGGGATTGAGCATGGGATTAAAGAGGCTGTGAAACAGCAGGAGATATTTCTTCTGCTCCTTGGGGTTCCCATATCTGGGTCCAACATACATGATAATGGCTGTGCCATAAAAGAGTCCAATCACACAGAGGTGGGAGAAGCAGGTGCAGAAGGCTTTCCTCTGAACTTCCCTTGATTGGATCTGAAGGATAGCACAGAGGATGCACATATATGAAACTACAATTGTGGACAAGGGTCCCACCAGCCCAGAAATTGCTCCGGCCAAGACCATGTTCTCATTGATGTGGGTATCTGCACAGGCAAGTTTGAGAACAGCCAAGATTTCACAAAAAAAGTGATAAATTTTCTGGGGCCTACAGAAGGGTAAAGGTAGAAGTAACACAAGATGAATCAAGGATAAAAGGACTCCAGTGGTCCAGGAAGTCACCGCGAGGGTGATGCAGACTCTCCAGGTCATGATGGCCAAATATCGGAGGGGGTGGCAGATGGCCACGTACAGATCATAGGACATCACCACCAGGAGGAGACATTCTGTGACAGCAAAAGTGGAAAACAGAAAGGTCTGCATCATGCGGCCCGCAAAGGAGATGGGCTTGGCTGGATGCAGGAGGTTCACCAGCATCCGGGGCACCGTGTTGCAGGCGTAGGCGATGTCGACGACCGCCAGGTGTGAGAGGAAGAAGTACATGGGGGCGTGCAGTCTGGAGTCCAGTGAGATGAGCCCCAGTATGGTCCCGTTCCCCAGCAGGGTGAAGACGTAGAACAGGGAGAAGAGCCCAAAGAGGAGCATCTGAATCCTTGGGCCAACGGGAAATCCCAGTAGGAGGAACTCTGTGATGGATGTTATATTGTCCCCCATATCCCTATGACAGAGGAAATCAAGTTAATGCTCATGGTTTAGGAGAAGTGTTTAAAAACAGATTCATTTTAACTTGTTCGGCACTCTTTGGTGAAGTAGAAAAGTGTTCAGACAGCTGCAGTGAGTTTTTGTGTTTTTAAATGAATGCTTCAAGACAATTTGGTAACGCTAAAATAAATGTTTAAAAAATATATGCAGGCCGGGTGCGGTAGCTCACGCCTGTAATCCCAGCACTTTGGGAGGCCGAGGCGGGCGGATTGCCTGAGCTCAGGAGTTCGAGACCAGCATTGACAACACGGTGAAACCCCATTTCTACTAAAAATACAAAAAATTAGCCCGGCGTGGCGGCGTGTACCTGTAGTCCCAGCTACTCGGGAGGCTGAGGCAGGAGAATTGCTTGATCCCAGGAGGCGGAGCTTGCAGTGAGCCGAGATCACAACACTGCATTCCAGCCTGGGTGACAGAGCCAGACTCTGTCTCCAGAAAAAAAAAAAAAAAAAAAGAAAAGGAAAAAAAACGCATGCACACGTATACATAGGTTTCTTTTTTATTACGTTAATTTTTTAATAAAGGCTAAAATTTAAAAATAAACGTGTCACATATTAATATATCCTTTTGGTCTTTTTTTAAAAAAAATTTGGCTCAGGCCTTTCAGGGATGAATGTCACATGTCAATGTAGTACACAGTTTTTGTTTGATTCAGTGAGCTATCTCATATCCTTCAAATAAATTCTTCTTTTCCTTGGTCGTATTATTCAGAGTTTTTCTCTGCTATGTTTCAGAAACAATGAACACTAACTGATACACATGTCAAAGTCTTAAAACCACATTAAGTTTAATCTTAAAGTGGAAGGTTTAATTAAGGGCGGGCTATACTAAGGTTCGACATACCATCAGCCAAATACACCAGTGGTCATTCACCTCTTAAACTTTCCACTCTTGCACTGATCATCACCTCCACAGCAAATATCTCACAAAATCTTTTCTTATCCAAGTGTAAAGACTTATTTTTTAGCCCAGAACCTTATTTTTTGTTATTTACTTTCCCACAATGTTTAGATGAGCATTTATGTGAATGACTGAATAGATTTGCACCGTGTCATTATCTAAACACGAAAACAGGATCAGTAACTTTTGTTGGATTTGGGCTTACTATTGATAAACACTCTAGAATACACAGTTTTAAGCATTGTCTATGCAGGTGATTGGCAATAGTTCGATGAATTTATGAGGAATGCTGCAGAAAGAGTCTCTGAATTCTCTGATTGAACTCAGGCCTCCTTGATCCCACAATTAAAATGTTAGCATAAGCATGATATTGTCATTTTTGCTTAAATTTTATTCTCATTTTTTATGTAAAATTATATTGTCTTGGAGATAGGAAGGATGAGCAATAATCCTCCATTTAAATGTCCATAAAATTATAAATTTAATCCTGCAAAACCGACTAAAAAGTATTTCATTTGCATTGGATTTTTCCTACCACCATTCCAAGGATAAGTATTATGCTCATGTTGAAAAAATAAAATAATTTAGTTATTTATTGATTTCTTGTCATTTATTTCATGTTGTCCTGAGATTGGATCTAAACTTTGAGCTCCTAATCATCGCTCAGATTGTGTGGCCTCGTAAGATTGTGCGTAATAAGTAAACAAGCATCTGTACACTTGTTAACTTAATGAGCTTCTGTATGTGACACTTTAAGCCTTTTTAAAAATTAAGTGCTGGGCTATGCTTGGTGTCTCATGCCTGTAATCTAAGCACTTTGGGAGGCTGAGGAAGGAGGTTCGCTGGAACCCAGGCATTTGAAACCAGCCTGGGCAGCATAGAGACCTCATCTCTTTTAAAAAATTTTTAAAATAGTAATTATATGAAAAAAAAATTTTAAAGAAAAAAAGTGCTGGTCTTTTTTGTTAACGTTGAACATTTACCAGAGTCAGTTGCACACAGATATTTCTTGAACTTAAAAAAAGCTACCAGCCAAAATAACCATTAACATATTGATTGCTTTAATATATTAATATACTGATAGATAATATGCTGATATCTATTAATATATTTTAGTCATATTATCCTATTATCTAAAACTATTGGTGAGCAAAATTTGAGCATTAAGAGAGTAGAAATGTACTTTTGCATGATATTAAAGTGTGACGGTAAAAGCAAACAAGCAATGAAAATGACCTTAAATTATATTTGACCAGAACTCACAAAGGCAGTTAGGAAATCCAGGTGTCTAGAGATGACTGCTGTGTAAGAACCTAGATAATCTTCATATAGAAAAGGCAAACATTTCTACAGTGTGGCTGAGTTTACTGATGGTGCTGGGAACTCTGCTGCCCATCTGAGAAATGCCAAGGAAGGATCTTGCTTCTTCAAGTGCTTTTGAGAAGGGAAGGTGTTATTAAGTCATCACCTCCACAGAGTACCTTCCAATTATCATGAGAGCTTTGTGTGACGCATGAGAAAATAGGCTTCACTTGCACCAGCATGATTTCCATAGAGACATGAAGAACCCAACCACTGTTATTCTTCTAGGGGCAGAGAATTGAGCTTCTGTCTCATTCTGTCTCTGAGGAAGCCACAGTGATAAAGAGAATGAGACTAAGGCAAGAACAGAAAATGCCTTTGTAACTGAAAGGATACATATATTATCTAAAGTAATATCCTGGGACCACGTGGCTATCACAGCTACCAAAATATGTGAATTTGTTAGAGTTTCATGAATATTTATGCTATTCCTTCCCCAAACATTCAGAAAACACTTGGGAGATGCAAAGATCCATGTCTAGGTTTGTTTGGCGGTTAAAATAAAACCTTGACATTAATTCCTGCAGTCATTTCTTTTAGTGTAGTCTGCTTTCCCAAATACCCAAAAGCTGTTGGGAGAATAAACTTGAATTCCAAGGTCTTAATCATTAGGTCATTTTACATAGAAACTCAGACACTTTATTTTTAAGCACCAATCTGTAGATGTTGGAGATTCATTTTAAATAATCTGTGGGGCTCATTGACCTGTCTAGAAGAAGAATGGATAAGGCATAAGGATTGAGCAAAATTTACTTTTGAAAATTTTCTTTTTTTTTTTTGATAATATCTGGTCCTGCCCTTATGGGAAGGATAAAGCTCTGTAAAAGCACAGGGCCAGCTCCTGTTTTCTGAACCCTTTCTATGGATGGCGATGAATCTATGTATTCTACTTATCAGAGTAGGTTTACCCTCATGGATTATATTTGAGGTCCCACATCTGAGTGGTTGACATATTGTGCCAATATACCTAGCCAAAGTGCCCTTGCATTAGGCCTGGCTTGTTTACTAAGGTATCAGCTGGTTGGAAGGACCTAGGAGACTGTATGTATAAGCTGAGAGAGAGGCATCAGTGATATAGGGATCTGGGCCAACTGTTCATTCAGCCTACTTTTGTCTTTTGCATTTTCTCTTGCCCTAAAACATATTGCATCCATTATAGGATAGATGGTTGCAGTGACCATTCAGTCTTATGACTTGGTAGATCTAATAGCACTTCAGCTCAAGTTGGACAACTCCGGATTTATACTTACTTGGCATGCCTTTCTCACTTAGCTTAATAATTTCTAGCTTTTAATTTAATGACGTTCACTTGAACATTTAGAGGACATTATAGGGTGGTTAATTGGCTTAGCTTCAACATTGTTGTGTCTCAGGGACTAGGGAGGCCAGAAGAGGAAGAGAGAGAGGGAAATGGCCTGTCGGTGGAGCAGTCAGAACACACACAACATTTATCAATTAAGTTTGCTGTCTTATGTGGACGTGCTTATGCTGCCCTAAAATAATTACAATAGTAACATCAAAGATCACCTATCACAGATCATCATAGCAGACAATAATAATAAACCCATTTAAAATACTGTACAGATTATTAAAATTTGACCTAGGACACAAAATGAGATCATGCTGTTGGAAAAATGGTGCAGATAGACTTGCTTGAGGCAGGTTAGCCACAAAATTTTAACACAATGGAAATGCAATATCTATGAAGCACAATAAATTGCAGAACGATAAAATGAGTTATGTCTGTATATAGAAATGGAATTAATTTGATTGTGTTTATCTTAAATTCTGTGACCTTAATGGACTCACTTCTTAATTTAAGGAGGTTTGTAAAATAGATTTATTTGGATTTCTATGTAGAAAGTCATGTCTGTTGTAAGTAGGGACTGTTCTATTTTTTCCATTCTGATCTGTATGTCCTTTAATTATTTTCTTGTCTTATTGCAGTGTATAACTTCTAGCACTGTTTTGCATAAGGGTGATAAAAGCAGACATAGTTCCTTTATTCTTGATTTTAGAGAGGAACCATTCAGTTTTTCACCACTAAATATGATGTTAGTATAGCTATGTCCTACATAACACTTTGGTCGGTGATGGACTGCATATATGAGAGTGGTCCCACAAGATTATAATGGGGGTGAAAAAATCATATTGCCAACTGATGTCATAGCCGTAATAATATTGTAGCACAATGCATTACTTACATGTTTGTGGGATTGCTGCTGTAAACAATCCTACTGCACTCCCAGCGTGGTTAAAAGCAAACAACTATGTATTTTACTATGCATTTACTACACTCTACTAAACTTTTTGTCATTATTTTATTTTATTTTATTTTGGAGGTGGAGTCTTGTTCTGTTGCCCAGGCTGGAGTGCAGTGGTGCAATCTCAGTTCACTGAAACCTCTGCCTCCTGGGTTGAAGTGATTCTTGTGTCTCAGCATCCCAAGTAGCTGAGATTATAGGTGTGCAACATCATGCTTGGCTAATTTTTTATATTCTTGGTAGAGATGGGGTTTCACCATGTTGGTCAGCGTTTTCTTGAACTCCTGACTGCAGATGATCTGCCTACCTCAGCCTCCCAAAGTACTGAGATTACAGGTGTGAGCCACTGTGCCTGGCCTTTGTCATTATTTTAGAGTGCACTCCTTTTACTTATTAAAAAAAGTTAACTGCTAAACAGTCTCAGGCAAGTCCATCAAGAGGTATTCCAGAAGAAGGCATTGCTATCATAGGAGACGACAGCCTCATGCATGCTCTTACCCGTGAAGTCCTTTCTGGATGTTCACACAATGTCAGAATCACTTGACCGCACATTTCTCAGAACGTATCCGCATCATTAAACAACACGTGATTGTATAGTGTTAGCTTTTTGTAGATGCTTTTTATCAAGTGGATGAAGTTTCCTCTATTCCTGCTTTATAGAGAGCTTTTATCATGAATGGATATCGAAATGTGTTAAATGTTTATTATGCATCAACTGATATAATGTAACTTTCCTTCTTTTGTTTGTTAACATGGTGGATTATTTTGATTGACTTTTTGAGATTTAATCAGGTCTGTTTTTCTGGAAACAATCCCCCGCTGGACATGGGTAAATTTTGAAAAATATACTATAGAACTCTATTTATCAAGTAAGTTATACATATCTTTATATATATATATGTATATATGTGTGTGTGTGTGACACACACACACACTCTCTCTCTCTCTCCTGGTTTTGGTATCACTGTAATAATAGCTTCAAAAAATAAATTGGGAAATGCTCTCTCTTTTACTGTTTTCTGGAAAAGATTGTGTAGAATTGGTGTTAACTTTTTAAAAACATGTTAGAATTCTCCAGTTAAACCATCTAAGCATAAATATTTATTTATTGGTAGTTTTAAAATTATGAATTCTATTTTCTTAATGGTTATAGAGTTATTCAAATGATCTATTCATGCCTGGTGAGTTGAGTTAGTTTGTGTTGCAGGAGGAACACTGCATTTTGTCCATTTTGTCTATTGTCTAATTTATGTGTGTGGAGTTGTTTGTAATATTCCTTGATAGTCCTTTTTTATGTGTGTTTATGTCTGTAGTGATATCGCCTGTTTCATTATGATATTTAAAATTTGTTTTTTCCTTTTAATTTATGCTTGAGTTTGCTAAATTTTATTAATCTTTTAACATAGCTATCTCTTTGTTTCATTGATTTAACCATTGTTTTTCTCTTGTAAATGTAAGTGTTTTCTGTTCTTATCTTCATTAATCCCCACCCTCTACTTGCTTTGAGTTTATTCTGCTCTTCTTTTTCTAGGTTCCTGAGGTGGAAATCTATTGCTCACTAGAGACTTTTCCTCTTTACTAATGCGTGCATTTATTGCTCTAAGTTTCCTTCTCAGTACTTTGATATGTCACAGTTTCATGTTTATCCAGTTCAATGTATTTTTAAATTTTTCCTTGAGACTTCTTTGACTGATAGATTATTGTGAAGTGTGTTTTTAAATTTCCAAATGTTTAGGGATTTTCATATCTTTCTTATGCTGATTTCCAATTGGATTCCCTACAATGATTTCTGGTTTTCATCTGCTCTGGATGATTACTATCTCTTTTAAATTTGTTGTGGCGAGTTTTAGGGCCTAGGACAGCTCTATCTTGCCATGTGTTTCGTCAGCACTCAAAAAAAATATGTGTATTCTGCTGTTACTGTGTGGAATATTCTGTAAATGCCAAATAGATTCTTTTGGTTAATGGCATTTTGAGTTGTTTTATATTCTTGTTGATTTTCTTTTTTTTCCTCTTTTTAAAAACATGAAATGCTTCACAAAATTTTGTGTAATCTATATTCAAGAACCGTTTTAATCTTGTTGGCATCATTCTGATTTTAGAAAGTGCTGCCAAAGCCAACACTCCTTGCTGATTTTCTGTCTAGTTCTATCAATTATTGAAAAAGGCATGAGGAAATTTCTAACTATAATTGTGGATTCATCTATATCTCCTTTCAGTTTTCTTTTTTTAAAAAAATCAATGAAAATTTATTAAATTAAGCATAAAGTTACTTTCACATTTATCTACAACCACAGTGAATACAGTTCTTGGCATGAAGACACCACAACCTTTAGAATTTAAAGCCTCCTCACCTGCAAGATTACATATATAAAACTCCCACTATTGTTTCTCTAAGAGTGGATTAGTTCACCAAGTTAAAAGTTATATGATCTAGAATATAATAAAATGGAAATGATTTACTCATAAGATTCATATTCAAACCATCTTTATTTACGAAATACTATCCTGAGAACTATTATTCCATTAAACTTCAATTTGAGAAAAGTGCAATCACTTAAGTAACAGCAGTTACTTAAACTGAAAATGAGATCAGTCAAAATTACTTTTGAAGAAAGCAACAATATTGTCAGGTTTCTTGCTGTGGTTCTGGATGTCCAGTAGCAGGCTCCTTTGAAGGCGGAATCAATCCTGAAGGGAACTCGCTTCTACCTTCAGAATGTGGGGTTGGGGTAAAATCCAGGTCTCGGATGAAGGTAAGGAGGTAAACCCCTCGGTGGATAGATGTTTCTCATTGCAAATGGAGCATGTGGTGGACCTGGGAAATCCCTTGGTGGAAAATAACCTCGAGAAGCTCCAAACATGGTTCCTGGAGGAGGTGGGGGGAAAGGAGGTCCTCTTCTCATGAACGGGCCCCTTGTATCCACTGGAAACAATGGTCCTCTGACTGGAGCAAGAGGTGGAGGAATAAAGCCAGGGCCAGTTGCTTCATTTTCAGCAGGGAGAGATGAATCAGGCACATTTAAATTACCAAGATCATCTTTGGCATCATTTCTACTGGATTCCATTTCTGAAGGCATTGACCTATCCATTTTATCCAAAGAAGTCATTTTAAAACTTCTGGGTTCTGCTGGTCCAGACAGTCTTTCAGAATTAGAATAAAATCTGTCTTCCCTTTGTGGAGGAAGAGTTGAATCAGGATATGATTGCCCTGGTGGAGGAAACATCATCCTACGGTCCTGTTCCACCGGAGATGACAGGGACCCAGTGTCAGAAGGAGCCCTGTGAGGATCGATTAACCTGTCATAGCTTGGTTCTCCTCTTTCATTGGTAATCTGATGGTCCAGGGGATTCCCTGGGCTGCTTGGGCCTCTTCCTCCTCCCCCTGGAAGCACAGGTGAGAGTCTGAGTGGATCCTCCAACAAAGTTTGAGGAGAGGGAAAAGCTCTCGTTTCAGATGAAGGCCGACCCAATGGTGAGGGACTACATGGGGAATGCTCTCTGCCAAATGCTGTATTTGAAACATCGAGTGCATTAGGATCTTTTTCTAAAAGTTCAAATTTCAACTCTGTTTCAGTTAATTTTTGTTTGTTGTGAGCATTTTCTTTCCTTAAATCACTGAGGTTTCTTTCAGCAGTCCGAGCTGCCAACCAATTATCATGTCCTCTTTTCTCGTAGGAAATAACCTGCTTTTGATAAAAATGAACAGTTCTCTCCAATTCTTCTTCAAGATCTTTGGCTAGCTTTCTATAGGTCTCCAGCCCTTCAGTGGCACGGCTGATCTTTTCTTCCACTCTAGAAAGCTTCTCTTCTTCCTCTATTCGGTAATTTTCCTCCACTGTTAATTTCCTGTAGAGTTTCATTTCATTTTCTTGATAGAATTCAGTCATTATTTTAAGTTTCTGTTGAAGCTTCTGATTCTCACTTTCAAAATATATGTTTTCTGATTGCAAAGATGCTTGTTGAGTCTGAAGATTTTTAATATGCTCTGTAAGCTCTTCCTTTGTTTTGTCCACTTCAGATAACTGAATAATAATGTGGTTTCTTTCTCCTTCTAAGCTTTTTAAAGAAACATTTAACTTAGCAGCATGAATCAGTTTCTTCAAAGCTCCTTTCAGAGGATCATCTAAGTTAGCACCATTTTCCCATTGACTGTTCACTTCTAATTCCAGGTTATCATCATCCGTTGTGTCTTCTTCAAGCACAGCAGCCTGATCTTTCATCATTGGCAAGTGTCCAGTCAGGGTCTTGATGTGATTTTCTTTATCATTCAGAACTTGTTCTGCGTGCACTTTGGAGTCTTCAAATGTTATTTTCTGTTTATTAAGTTCACTCACTTGTCCTTTCCATACTTCAGCTTCTTGCTGAAAAAGCTGTTTATGGCTTGTCTGAAGTTGAGAATTTTCATTCAAAGCATCTTTTATTGCTATAGCCCGTCGTTCTTCACTCATTTTAAATGTCTTGCAGATGATTTTGGCTTCAGCTATTTGTGATTTGAGGGATTTTGACTCATCTTCTAGAGACTGTATACTTTTTGAAATATCCGCCATCAATTCATCTTGTTGAGAATGTTTAGATTTCTCTTCTTTTAAGTCTTTTTCTAGACAGAGGATTTCATCCTCAAGTTCAGAATTGGACCTGTTCAGCTTTTCACAGGTTGCCTCCAAACTTCGTGCTTCTTCTGCTGCCGCCTTCTCAAAGCTGGCATCCTCTAAAGATGACTCTACTTCATAGCCTTCATACTCTTTTTGAATAAGGCTAAACTTTTCAAGTAGTTTACATTTTTCTTCAATTAGTCCAGAAAGCGTTGCACCAAGTTTTTGCTCTCTTCCCACGTAAAGCCGACTCCTAACCGATCTAAAACTTCTCCACAAAAAAAGGAGAACAACAAAAAATCCAATAACAGCTGCACATACCACCAGTTCCGATGGAAAACCATAAGGATTCTCATCTGGTCTCATACTCTCAGGTAGTGCTGCCACAACTCTGCGTAGCTCCTCCAGGACCAGCCCCAGGTAGGGCTGAGGGGTAGCACCAGGCTCCTCCATAGCGTCGAGGCTGCTCTGGCGGTCACCGCAGTAACACTGGCCACAACAAGCGGTGGAGAACACGCAGCCTTGGGTCTGGAACCCGAATGCGCACGTGACAACCAACCGGAGCGGACCACTGTGGAGCGGGCTGTGGGGGGAGCTGGGGAACGCGGGCACCCACAGGCCTCACAGGCCCATGTTGTCCCCCACCACCTCCCCTGGCCCTCTTGTTACACTTCACATCCTGAGGCAGCGCTGGTCTGAGCCCGGCCCGCCTTAGTTCTGGCAGTTTTCACATCACATATTTTGAAGCTTTATTTTTTGGTGAATACACTTTTAAAATTGCTGTCTTCTTCATGGATTAAACCTTTGATCATTATATAATCTCTGGTTTTGGTAGTTTTCTTTGCTTTATCTGATATGCACACAGACACTCTTGCTTTCCTTTCATTAATGTTTGTGTAATATATCTTTTTTCATCCTGTTAATTTGGCCTGCCCTGTATTGGTAAAATTCAAGTGAGTTTCTTGTACACAGCATACAAGAAACATATAAGAAAGGGTCATACTTTTAAATACACTCTTCTATTATCTATCTCTTGGTAGACCATTCATAATTAAATGAATTATTGATACTTTAATGCGTAAGCCTGACATTTTTTGTTTTCTCTATCAATTCTTGTTTCTCTGCTTATTTTTCATGACTTCATGTGGGTTACTTGAACATTTGTTTTAGAATTCCATTTTGTTATTTATAGTGTTTATAGTGTATCTTCTTTTTTATAGTTTTTTTGGTTGCATTTTATAGCTTAGTGGTTGCATTTTACAGCTTAGTGTATATTCATTTATATAAACATTATCACAGTCAATTGGTATCATCTTTATTCCAGTCTGAGTGAAGTATAGCAACCTTCTGTCATATTATGTCTCTTTACTCTATCAAATTTGTAGTATAATTGTCTTACATCCATTTAGAATAACACTAGACAATGCTATGATTTTTGCTTGAAACATCAAACATAATTTAGGAAATTAGAATCTATGAAAATAAAGTGAGCATTTTAAAGCTTCCAGAAAGAAATCTGACACAACCTGTTTTGTCTTTCATTTTTTCTTTCTTTCCTTTATATTCATCATAGATGTTATGATGCCCTATCTGTTAACTCCAATATCTGGATTATCTATGAGTTTGTTTTTAATAACTGATTTATTTCTTATCAGTCTGTTTTACTTGCTTTTTTGTATATTTGGTATTTTTTTTAAAGTATGCTGAATTTATGGATAATATGATATAGAACTACTCAAGAATTTTGAATTTTTTTTCTGGGCAGAATTTGTAATTACTTGCAGATCATCTTGCTGCTCTCAAGATCTAGTTTTAAGCTGTGTTATGGTAATTATATTTTATTTTCCTCTTAGAACATATGCCTCACTCCTGGGATACTGCATCTCTCCTAAGAGAATTTTTAGAGTCCCAACTGAGTTTCTCAGTTGTTTGCCAACATTTCCCCATTTGGCTGGATCTGAACTCCAGTAGCTTTCCAGGAAGTTTTCAGTCCCTGATGATCTCTTCTGCTTTCTGTATCCCAGCAGTTTCTTTCTCCAAGGTCTCCCCTCTTCTTAGCCAACTGTCACATAGCTAAGGAGTCACAGAAGGACCAAAATGGCATGTATACACCCATTTCTAGGTTCTTTCTCTCTCCCATATGGTACATTGACCCCCAATTCCTAACCAATTTAGCAGCTTTGAACTCTATTCATTGCTTCTTTTGGTTCCCAAGACCATTAACCCCTGGTTGGGTCCCATTTTCCTGTACCAAGGTCAGGAAGATGCCTTTCTGGAAAATCCTGGCAAATGTGGTACTAACCTCATGTGCCTCACCTTCCTTAAAGATCTCATACCTGACTTGCTACAACAATGTTCTTCAATGCCTGCTGATATGGTTTGGCTGTGTCCTTACGCAGATCCCATCTTGAATTGTAGCTTGCATAATTCCCACATGTAGCCAGCCCACCTGAACCATGCTCAGCAGCTGGTGAGAGGTAATTGAATCATGGGGGTGGGTCTTTCCCATGCTGTTGTTGTGATAGTGAATAAGTCTCATGAGATCTGATGGTTTTACAAAGGGGAGCTCCCCTGCACATGCCCTCTCTCTTGTCTACCATGTAAGATGTGCCTTTGCTTTTCCTTTGCCTTCTATCATGATTGTGAGTTCTCCCCAGCCATGTGGAACTGTGAGTTCACTAAACCTCTTTCTTTTATAAATTACCCAGTCTTGGGTATGTCTTTATTAGCAGCATGAGAACAGACTAATACACCTGCCAAGAATTTTTTCTATATTTTGGCCAGATTGTATAGTTTTTTATGGTGGGAGGGTGAATCTGACACAAGCTATTTGGTGTCAAGTAGCCAAGTCACATACTAATTTATTTTTAATGTAAAGCTATACAACCTTCTTTCTATACCTAAATTTTTAATTAAAATATAATAATTAAAATATTACTAAAAATTTCTTAATGATTTTATTTCATGGTGAAAGAGACTCAGTCTGGAATGTAAAGTATGTCTTACCAGTATTTCTCGTTTTGCAGGACATTGTCTAGGTGTCCCTCTCCCATGGATGATCATTAGTGTGGTTTATTTTTATGCTTTGAGAAAATAAGTCTGTAGTATGTTACTATATTCTACTATATAAAGATACACTTCAACTTATGATAGGATTATGTTCCAATAAACCCATCATAAGTTGGTAATATTATAAGTTGATGATGCTTTTTTTAAAAAAATATAGACTATTGTCCTGTTGCCCAGGCTGGAGTGCAGTGGCTATTCTCAGGTGTAGTCATAGTACACTATATTCTCAAAGTCTTTGAGCTCAAACAATCCTCCTGCCTCAGCTTCCTGAAGAGCTGGGACTGACTATAGGCACACACCACTATACCTGGCTTGAAGATATGTTTAATAAACCTAACCTACCAAACATCATAGCTTAGCCTAGCCCACCTGAACCATGCTTAGAACACTAACATTAGCCTACAGTTGGGCAAAATCATCTTACACAAAGCCTATATTATAGTAAGCTGTTGAATATTTCATGTAATTTATTGAATACTGTACTGGCCTAGAGTTCCCACCCAGCCCTTTAAACTCCTGTATCCAAAGGTGACATCTGACCCTGCTTTCTTTTCTCTCCCTCTTAGACCCTCACTCACTGTAACACTCCAGAAGGTCCAACTCCTCTCTTGGCATGGCCAAGGCTGAGATCCACCGAAGCTTTTCACTTCTGAGAAAACAAAGCAGGGTCATAGCATCAATTGTGGGGGTGTAGGAGGAGGGCCAAGGATGGGGATGGCAAAAGACTGTGGGAAGGACTTATCTAGTTCCATGACTTCTATCAAACACTATATAGGACTCTTTTTGGTTGGAAACATGACACAATCTTGAACTATATGTGAATGTGTCTTGTCACACTTTACTTTTCCTCTTCTCTTTCCAGAATTATCCTCCTAATGGCTTCTCATATCTTCCAAGTTGGGGCGTAAAGTTCATTAGTCATAAAGTCTGGAGATTTTCTGTTTTGGAAATTGTGCTAAGCGAAGTGTTCATTTCAGTTTAGATTCCCTCCATCATTTGGCATGATTCTTGACACTCGCTTGCCTATCTCCCTTCAACTAACTATCTCAGAGATGATCATTGTTTCATAATAATAATTAGATCAGGGAGATATGTCTACTGTTTTATTTGTTGTTGTTGCACGGTGTAATCCAAGCTTAGGTTTGTAATCATCTGAAGGTTTCTGCATTCTGTTAGCCTCTGTGCCCAGTTGTGCCTAGGTAACTGGGAATGGACTATTACTGTTCCAGGCACAGTGCCCAAAGCACCAAACCAACAACATGCATCTGCACCTGATTATTTGACTTATGTGCTGTTTTGCACACAAACTCCGATACTAGTCCTTCTGTTCAATAAATGAGAACAGGTGTTATCGGTCCCACTCTGAAGTATCTTCCAAGGGACAAAACTGAAAAAGTGTCTACAACATAGGGATCCTCAAACACTTAGATACGTCAAACTTTTAAATGACTGTTCATATATCTTTTATAATAGCAATAACAGCTACAGGCTTTTACATGTTCATTATTGCAGGCACTGTGTTCCAGATTTTATAGGTACTATTAATACTCTCAAAAATGTATGTCTGTGTGAATGTATTTTATTTTATTATTATTGAAAACATGAGCAAATCAGCATTCTCAACACTATGGATTTCTGGTCAATAGAGGACTGGTTTGGAAGATGGGAGCACAGAAAGTAAAAGTCACCCAGCACTTGTCTTATTCACATCTGTGCCCACCAGCTGGGGCATAGAAGGGTTTCTGCCTCAGGCATGGAGGCATGTGCTCACAGATACCAGTATTCCAATTCCTTGCTCACTCCATACCAGTCCTTCTCCTTTCTGATACTACACAGACCTTGTCCTTCTTGAGTAAAGAGTATAAAATAGATGCTAAGCCTCGGTGGTGACTTTGTACCCTCTCCCACCCCAATCTCCTGCAAGTTATCCATTAGTTTTAGGAGTTTGAATTTCTCTATGGTGGTCCCCAGTCCAGAATGGGCTAAATGAGGCTGTGGCTGTCTTCTGGACACATTTTCTGCCTTGGTCTCACTTCTTTTCTCGGCTGCCCATCTTCCCCCACCCCCAGCTCCTCTGCCCAGCCCCATCTCACTGAGTCTCCGTGCGGAAGAGGAACTCGGCCTGGGCGCCCTGAGTGTTCTGCCGCAGAAAGAGTCGGAACAGGTTTTTGTGAGGTCCATGTAGCTTCATTTCACACTTTTCCCCCCGAATGGAGGAGAAGGGAGCATGGTCAAATACCAGGAATCGGCTACCCCTGCAAAATACAAATCTTTTCAACCTGATTCTAGAGTTTCCATACTTCACCTACCCTCATAACCTTGGGTTCGAAATCCCTACATCTACAGCCTGCAAATTCCCACAAAAACCATAAGATGGTCCTAACTTGCTCCCAAGATGGTAGCTCCAGGGTCCTCAGGGATTTGTCCTAGTCTGGCAAACCACACACCTAGTGCAGTGGATACATTACCACTTTAAAGAGGTGAAGAGATGGAATTTATATACATTTCCCAAGAACCTTAAGACCAGAGACTTAAGATCTGGAATTAGCTAAGTATCTCTAGAATAGCAGGTTGAGGCCAGTCCAAAGAAGCCACAAATAGACTCATGTGAGAATGTGATAAGCTAATTTGCTACATTTTGCTCTGTGTCTATACCATATTACATGTCCTGCTATGTGGTCTCATGATACAGTTTGATGGGATCCCCTTTTTGCTTTGGGCTTGTTTTTCTCTTCTCTAGGCTATGACCTGGGCTCTATGGGTTAAGCCATTGAGAAGGGCTCTTCTAGGAACATGACCCTTCTCTCTCCCTTTCAGACCCCCCTCTTTCCTCATCCCCTTCCCCTCTTGTGCCCTGGCCTGCCACTCCAGTCACTGACTCTCGGGGCCGAGACAGCAGCAGACAGTCATTGAAGAGGTGCAGGTGGACTGGACGCGTGTTCAGCTTCCTTCGTAGCCCTGGGGAAGCACTGAACTCCAAGGCTGTCAGCTCCCCACTTTTCACCAGCCAGCGTGACTGAGAAATGAGCGGGAATATCTACAGGGCAGAGGAAGAGAGAGAAGGCAGTGTCACAGATGGGAGAAGCATGAGGTTTGCTCCCAGTCCCACCCTCCTCCCCATGCCACTTCCATGCAAGTTCCACTTAAACAAGCATCTCTTCCACATCTGCCTTCTGGCTCATAACCCATCACTTAGATTCTCTTTCTCTCTGAACCCTCTAACTACCACTGTCCACTGGTGTGTGGCTCCCATGGTTGTATGCTCAGGTAAATAGAAGATGCCTATGGTCCAACTCAGGATAGTGAGTGTGTGGGACAGCTCTGCCCTAGAAGCCTGAACTGAAGGAGGGATGGAAGAGTCCAATCAGGGTATGTGATGGAACAAGTCAGTGAACACTATATGTGTCTTAGAGGTTAAAATAAAATATTAGAGGCAGGTCTGGTATCAATTCCATTTTTTATACCAGAGATATGTGAGCAGCTGGAATCAAACATGGGGGTGAGAAGAACTAGGTGGGGCGTCTTGGAGCTGGAATTTGGTTAAAGATGAGGGTGTGGTCTATGCTTAGTATGTGAATAAGGGATTTTCCTTCTTTTTCAGGAGTGTAAAGATAGTATGTGTTCTAAGCACGGGCGTGGTGGCTCACGCCTATAATCACAGCACTTTGGAAGGCAGAGGTGGGTGGATCACTTGAGGCTACGAGTTGGAGATCAGCTTGGCCAACATGGTGAAACCCCATCTCTACTAAAAATACTAAAATTAGCCAGACATGGTGGTGCAGACCTGGAATCCCAGCTACTCGGGAGGCCAAGGCATGAGAATCGCTTGAACCTGGGAGGTGGAGGTTGCAGTGAGCCAAGATCGCACCACTGCACTCTAGCCTGGGGCGACAGAGTGAGACTCTGTCAAAAAAAAAAAAAAAGATAGTATCTGTTCTAAGTTGGAATTTGAATGTGGAATGTCTATTTTAGATTTGTATTTCAATGAGGGATGCTGGCTCTAAATTTGGATCCAATCTTATGTGGGTTTGATTAGACTAGAAAGAGATTTGATAAAGTAATAAATGAATCAAGCACCAAAACATTCTTTTATAAAGGCTCATCCTGAAAAGTTCTCTCTCATTTGCCCATTTCTCAAATGCACCCCCCTTGTCCTCAGGTAACCACTGTTCCTTTTTTTCTTGTTCTCCTTCCAGAGTTTCCTTATGCACACACAAGCAGACACCTGTATAGATTTGTATCCTCCCACTTTTATACCAAAGGTGATATAATATACACACAATTCTTTACCTTCATCTTTTCACTTAGCAGTATGTCTTGGAGACCCAAGTAGGCCTCCCAGAAATAGGACAGAATAGAAGGTGGGCAGAAATGAGGGGAGGGGCTGGGGATAATGTGAGCAAGGTGGTTCCAGGTTAGGGGGTGATCTGCAGGACATGTTAAGGGAGTTCATGGGCAGGGATGGGGTGCATGGGACCGACTCACTTTGCACTCAAACTCAATCTTCTGGCTCAGGTAGATTAGCTCCTCTGTCCGTCGCATACTCTGGACATTGTTATTGCAGTCCCGGATCAGCTAGGGGTGCAGAGAGTGAGGAAAGGGGAAGGGCACTGTGTTAGAGGCTTTGACCTTTGAGTCCCTTGCAAGCAATCTGGAAATAGGTTATGACAGCCTCAGTCATTTTTCCCAGGCTGGAATTGGGCAGGCAGTATCAAGCACAAGTCCTAGGCAACTTTGTATGACTTGGGAGAACATTCCTGAACTGAGTAAAAGTGAGACTGAATGTGGGGGTGATGGTGGAGAGGGCACAGTCCCTTGATGTGGAGTGTGCTCGGCGTGGGAGAGGTGGCCGTGGGGTGTGTATGTTTGGAAGTTTGGCGGATGCAGGGAGGTGGCTGAGCTCTCCCAACAGGGTCCCACCTCCCATGCTCCCTGGAGTCATGGGCCTAGGTGGGAAAGACCTCTCTGAGAAGAACACACAGAGGGTCAGAGTGGAGGTGGTGGCTGCCTACCTGCTCCAGGGCGTGGTGTGCCTTCGTGGCCTCTGCCTCCTCCGAGGAGCCAGGCTGTGTTCTCTTCAGAATGTTCTATTGAACAGACAGTAGGCAGGAGTGAGATGGGAGGAAGAAATGGGAAACAGGAAGAAATGATTGGGGGCTGGTGAATGGAGAAGCTCAGGGACCACATTTTAGCAGCAAATATTTCCAAGCAAGCAGGCAGTGGGCAGCAGGGAGACAGGATGTGGACACCTGGCAGAAGAATGGTTGGTCCTTTGTTGTGGGTCTTCCTGAGGGCATCCCTTTGAGTTAAGGGGAGAGGATCAAGGTAGCATCTGCCCTACCTGGAGCAGCAGTTTGAGGCGGGTGATGCGTTGGAAGGGCAGAATCAGAAAGGACTTGAGGGAAAGGCGCTGGCAGACGGGGTCGCTCTCCAGCTTCTCCAAGACCTCCCGGAAATTGCTGTTGCTATTCCTGCACGGAGAGTGAGCCTTAGGGGAGGGGGGATATGGGGAGCAATGGGGGATGCAGTGAAGGTGCGGGGAAGGGAGGTCAGTGGAGTATCTGTGGGCTGGGAAAGAGCGGTGGGAGCTGATGTACAGGGCGCTCAGATGTGATGCTGGGGTAACCAATACAGAGGGCGGAATGGGGAAAGTGTGCTCTTGGGATAGCCCTCTGGGCTGGGGACTGGTGCATGGTCACCTCAGGGCCTACATGGGGATTAAATGGGGGATGAGTCTCACATCAGGCTCTGGAAGGTGCGTTCCTGATAGGTCTGGTTGGTGACATAAGGCAGGTAGACCCGGCGGAAGTCTGGGGCGTGGTTCAGGACTACGTCACATACTTGGAAGGAGAAGATATTGTTCTCAAAGTTCTCTTCCAGGTCTGAAAGGAACCTGTACAGGATTTAAACGAGTCTCATGAGACTTCTGGACCTCAGCTAAACAGCTGACTGGCCCCTGGTGTACACTGAGCTGGTGACTTCTTCACTCCATTAGCCAATAACTTCTATTGACTCTCTGCTCTGTGCTCCTTGCTATGCACTAGAATTCGCTCCAAAACTGTCCTGAGTTTGAGCCTGATTTAACACTTTTATTCTAATATTCCATTTCTCATTCTTCTTTTGACCCTGTTCAGGTTTTCTGATCTTTAGATGGTTTTTCCACCTCATCTCCAATGCAGTGCATGACCACAGTAATCCAAAACCTCAACCCAGGAAGCATTGCTCATTTACTTATCCATTAATGGATCTATCCACCCACAGACCCTCTCCTCTTCTTGCCATTCTTCTTCCTATAACCATCGGGAATCATGGAAGAAACTGAGGCCCAATTTCTTCCCATAACTGTGAAAATGAAAGGGTTTCTAAGAGGGGAAAAAAATAACGGAACATTTAAAGCCTAACAACAGTGAGGCTGAGTGAGTGGTATTTAGGAGAAGGGGAGTCTCACGTGGCGCTGACGTCTCGCACATCCTGTAAACGAGAGAAGAGCCATTGGTGCTCCTGGTTGGAAAGTGTGGCCCGGAGTGAAGTTGAAAGTTGGAAATGATCCACAGCTATGTTTAGACTGCGCAGGTAGGAGGCCTCTGACACAATCAGCTCAAATTTGACCTAGGAGGTTGGAGATGAGGAAGATTAATTAAGGATTTTATTTACCCCCTGGAATATGCCAGCCACTGTGTAATGTTTTGGGGATAGAGCGGTGAGCAAGATCCTTTTATGGTTCACAGTCACACCAGAACCTAAGTTGATCTGCAGGGAGGGGAAGAGCATTTGAGTAGGATTTAATCTAGGGTACAGGTACAGGCCTTCAAAGGTATAAAAGAAAAATATGCTTTCAAGAAATCTAAATAACAAAAACAAGAACAAAAAATGAGTAACAAAGTGAGATGGATATGTTAATTTGCTTCACTAGGGTAATTCTGTTACTATTTATATGTAGCCCATAACATCATGTTGTATATCTTTAATATACACAATGAAATTTATATTAAAAAAGCTAAATAGACTGGGTGCAGTGGCTCACGCCTGTAATCCCAACACTTTGGGAGGCTGAGGTGGGTGCATCACTTGAGTCTGGGAGTTCAGGACCAGGCTGGGCGACGTAGAGAGACCCTGTCTCTACAAAAAATACAAAAATTAGCCGGATGTGATGGCGTGCACATGTAGTCCCAGCTATTTGAGAGGCTGAGGCGGAAGGATTGCTTGTGCCTGGGAGGTGAGGTTGCAGTGATCCCAGATTGCACCACTGCACTTCAGCCTGGTGACAGAGTGAAACCCCATCTCAAAACAAACAAACAAACTAACTAAACTAAATAAATTGAGCATTTTTTGAACCAAGTGTACAGCAGTAGTGGCCAGAGATGAAGCTGCAGCAGTCGAGGAGGCCTGAAGGGTAATGTAAACAATGTAAAATTGTTTGGACTTAAGACAATGGGACAATGAAAACAGGCTTTACATAGGAGAATAACTTGACCACATTTGTTTTATATAAAGTTATTTTTTTTTATTTTTTGGAATTGAGATGGAGTCTTGCTCTGTCACCCAGGCTGGAGTGCAGTGGCACGATCTCAGCCCACTGCAACCTCCGCATCCCAGGTTCAAGCCATTTTCCTGCCTCAGCCTCCTGAGTAGCTGGGATGACAGGCATGCACCACCACGCCCAGCTAATTTTTGTATTTTTAGTAGAGACAGGGTTTCACCATACTGGCCAGGCTGTTCTCAAGCTCCTGACCTCAGTTGATCCACCCGCCTCGGCTTCCCAAAGTGCTGGGATTACAGGTGTGAGCCGCTGCGCCCAGCCTGTTTTTCATAAAGTTATTTCTAAGCAGAATGAGAAGAAAAGATGAAAAGAAGCAAAAGCCATCCATGTTAAGAAACTGTTGTAATAATTCCACATGAGAGATGAAGGTCTGAATAGCCATGGAGCTGAAGAGAAGTAGATTAATTTTATAATTATTTATGAGGTAGAATTGGAAGGGTTGGATTATTTGCTAGAAATGGGGCCTCAAAGAGAAGGAAGGTTCAAAGCTAATGTTTTGTACTCACAGCAAAAGCTTTTTGAGTCGGGCACCTGGGTGAATGATGGAGTCATTTACTGAGCCAGAGAACTTTGAAAAGGCATAGATTTAGGGGATGAAGGTGATGAGCTCAGTTTGAGGTTTGAGGACAGATGAGAAGCAGGAGACAGAAGCAGGATATCTGAGAACAAGATGGCGCGAGAAGCAGGAGACAGAAGCAGGATATCTGAGAACAAGATGGCGCAGCTGTGGTTTAATGCATGCCCAGCATGTGAGAACTTGTCTGGAGGTTCCAGCAGGGGGCGCTATGACTCATGACCGTGCCTCTAGCTGGGCTCCTCATGCTTTTCATCCAAGCATGTGGCCTCAAGAGAGATGCCTGGATAGAAAAGAGAAAGGAGACACACCCTGGTGATGACTTGGATGACCAATGACACAGCCAGATGACCCTCCCATACAACAACCCTGAACAGGGACACTGAAGGCTCATTTGCATCCTTGCTCTAACATTCACTACACGACTGACTTTGGGTGGCTCATTTAACCTCTCTGAATCTCACTTTTCGTGTCCTTTTATGTGGATATAGTGACCCCCATCTCACTGTGGAAGATGCAACAGTTGAAAGAAATGGAGCCTGTGAAAGCACTTTGTGAACCCCAGAGGTACTACTTTATAAAATGAATATGTGTGTTTAAGAGATAGAAATGTAAAGCCCTTTCTTCTCACAAACATGAGACCAGGGCTGGAATAGGAGGCCTGCTGGACTTCCCAGCATGCTGGAGTTGGTAAAAGAGAGCTAGAACTCGTGTCATCTCCCACTGTTTGGTCAACAAATATGGGGAAGATGAGTTATTTTCTAAATATCTTCTCTGTGCTTAAAAATTTGCAGCCACAACAGGGCTCTCAAGTCTGAACTTTGCAAAGTCTAAAAATGTATTCTCTCTCTGACTTGGTAAAAGCATTGTCTATCCATAAGTCCTCCTGGCCCAAATTTTACTCCTCCCTGCCTCTGAAAGGCAGAGAGTACGGCACTAATATTTATCAAACTATACATCAAATATTACTGCTAAATTAGATATGCATTATTTCATTTAAACCATTCAGCAACCCTGAAAGGTAGGCATTATTATCCTCAATTTGCAAGTGAGGAAACTGAGATTTAGTGATGTTATAAGGCTGCCTAAGCTAGCAAATGGTGAAGTCATGTTTCAAACCTAGGTCTGGCTTACTTAAAATGAAAAGTCAACATTTTTTGAGAAATTACTATGTACCAGGCATTCATGTTTCTTGATCCTTGCAGTAACTGTTTGTATCTCAGTTTTACAAATGTCATTTGGCCAAAGGTAAATTGGAAATATTAAAGTGGGCTCTGGGGCTGGGCTCAGTGGCTCATGCCTGTAATTCCAGCACTTTGGGAGGCCGAGGCGGGAGTATTGCTTCAGCCCAGGAGCTCGAGACAACTGGGCAACATAGTGAGACACCATCTTTTCAAAAAATTAAAAAATTAGCTAGGCATAGTGGCACATACCTGTAGTCCTAGCTACTTGGGAGGCTGAGGCGGGAGGATTGCTCGAGCCCAGGAGGTTGAGGCTGCAGTGAACAATGATTGTACCACTGTACTCCAGCCTGAGTGACAGAGCAAGACCCTGTCTCTAATAAATTAATAATTTAAAAAAAAAGTGGTTTTCATATCCAGGTCATTTCTTCCAGAACCTAATTTCTTAAACATTATTCTATTCCATTGTTCCATACTGTCTTTCTGGGAAGAAAGGTTTTACCCCATATTTCAGACAAATTAATAAGAGGCGCTCTCCATGTAAAACTTACTAATGGTAATAGCTTAGAATCAGACAAACAGCCTCTAGTTCAGTCTTGCTGTTGGGAGTAACAATCAAGCAGGGACTGATGATCACTCTAAGGCCCCTGTTAGATTGATGGACCACAGGACAGCTGCAAAGGGCCCTCTTCAAGGGACCCAACAAAGAGCCCCGGAATGTGCCTTGGCTAAAGAGGAAAACTGTAGTGTAGCCTGAAACCCTGGTTGAACAGGGAAGCTTTCCTCTACCCTGAAACAGCAGTGATGATGGGATTAACTCCACATTCCTCCACACAAATTCAGAGGCAATGGCCACCATGTATAGCCCAGACCAACATCAGGTAGGAGCAAGTGGCCTATGGCATGAGGAGGTGAGGATGAAAGGGGAGGTGGTGAAATCCAGAAAACAATTCAACTTCTTCAGAATGGACATGACCCACAGCTGTGGCATGTACACGCGCCTGTGTGGTGGGGACAGCCGACTCTTGGTGGCAGTGGTGAGCAGGAGAGAAGGATGCTAGCAAACAAGACCTTGTCATCTTTTCTGTAGCCCCCTCCCCACCGTGGCCTGCCCAGTACCTCTTGCAGCTTTTGGTCTTCATGGGTCATGGAGAGCAGCACGGTGCTGTTGCGCACCACGGGGATTTCCTGCCAGAGGGAGCCGCTGGAGGCCATGGAGAGCCGCTGCAGGTACGACTCGGAGGAGACCAGGGCCTTCCGAGGCTGCCGCGGAGAGCTAGGCCCGGGTGTCTCGGACAGGCTCTCCAGCCGCTGCTGGCTCTGGATCTCCTTATTCAGGACAACATCACTATACTCCTGGTAAAGCAGCTGGGCTGCAGGGCAAAGAAGCATGGGAAGGAAGAGAAGCAGGAAGAAGGGACGGTGAGCGGAGGCAGGGAAACAGATCTTCTGCAATGCCTTCTCGCTAGGGACATCCCCACCCCACTGCTGACATCCACAAGCCCCTCTCCAGTGCTGGGCAGAATGCCCACCTGGGTCTATAGTTCCACTTCAAGGTACTCACAGGAGTTGATGAGTTTGGAGCAGCGTCTTGAAAAGCCTCCCATCACCTCCTTTGGTTTTTTCTCCCTGTGGAGTAAAGAAGGGCTCTGGGGTACCTACTGGCCATTAGACACAGAGCACCCCAGGTGACTGTGGGGGACAAAGTCTCTAGCCTCTGGGATGTGTGCTGGGATGTCAAGACCAAATCCCCCGGAGAGGCACAGAGTTGCAACTTGACCCACTTGGGCTAACATGGAGCTTTTGTGGGGTTTAGTTCACAGCCATAGGGCTTGGGAAGATGGATGACTCGTAGGCTCGGCTGACCGAATGAGGTAGATAAAGACAATCTCCCTAAGCTGGCATCCCGGCATCTCTCTCTTCTCCTCCTTACACCAAGAAGAAACAGGAATGAGCCATTCGGGGTCTCAGAACCCTTATCAACTGAAATCCTCACTAGGGGACTCTCAGTATCCCAAGTGAAGAGAGTACAGTGTGGCTGTTAGGGGAGAGGGTGACTTACCGAAAAACAACAGTGTCTGAGGGTCCCGGATGTTTCTCCACGGCTGGACCTCTTGAATCTAAAAGTGGAAATGGGGAAGATAACTGAGATTTCAGAGGGATAGAGAGAGCCAAAGAAGATCTAGAGCAGGAGATGTAGGGGTCCAGAAGGGAAAATGGGCTTTATTGGGAAACTGGGAGGGAAGAAAGTGGCAAAGCAGAGAGCGTGAAAGAGATCAGTACCAGTGACGTCCCGAGCCACGGGTCAGGATGGGACTGGGACAAGTACAGAAGGCCTTTTCTACTACCCAGGAGGAGAGCAAGCAGGGACTGTAACTGAAGAGTAGAAGGGAGTCCAAAATAACCTTGGGACATCCAAAGAAGGTGCTGGTTGAGGGAGAGACAGGGAGATAGAGGGGAAGAAGAAGGAAGAGCATCCCAAGGAGCTTGGAGGGCACTTCGGGGCTCTCTCTGTGTTGAGGTTAGGCACACATGTGAGCGAAGCCAGCAGAGAGAATGTTAGGAACCCTAGGGACAGAAGATGGGATGAGGTGGGAAGAGCTGGGAAAAGCTTGGTCTGATGTGTCACTGTGGTCCCGGTTCTTGCTCACCTGAAGAGCCCTCAGGCAAGATGGAAGGTCTGCGCAGGCCCTGCCGGCTCCAGCCCTTGTGCTTGTTGGCCCCCTCACTAGGAGCCACAGCCTGTCCACTGCTGTCCCCTGGTGGCCTCCCTGAGTCCCGCCTGTGGGGCCAGCTGGACGCCTTCTCCAGGTGCAGATGGCTGGGTTTTTCTGGCTGCCTTGCTTGGCCCACAGGTGACCTCCCTGGGCCACTGGCTCCTTGCTGAGGGGTTGTCCTTCTCAAAGGTTCTCTCGCAGGGGCCTCAGGGTGTTCTCAGACCCCTGCTTCATCCTTAGAGGTGGGTCCCTGGAGCTCCGGAGTCCAGGGAGTGGTAGGGGAAGAGGGGCATAGGAAGTTTGTCATGTTGCTGAAAGCCATGCCAGGGGACACTTCGCTCTTACTCCTGCTGGTGGAAGTGAAAGACTCTGTTGATCTAGCTGTGGCCGGGGGCCAGGAGGTGCGTCCAGCAGAGGCAGGGAGGGGGACTGTCCAGTCTTGACAAGCAGGTCTTGTTTTGGCATGACCCCCTGAGTTCATATGTCCTCCCCGAGTGCTCCTGCTCCTCCCCCTGGACTTTGGGGGCAATGGGGGTGGTTCGGTGGGAGGGTCTATGATGGGTAGTGGGGGTAGAGGCCTGTAGATCCTTGAGCTACCAGGAGCAGAAATGGGAGGAAGGTGGGGCTGCGGCAAATCAGGGGTAGGGGGTAGCGGCTTGTTGTATCTCCACCTGGGGGTGGCCTGAGCATGGTGGGAGCTGTCTGGGGTAGATGGCAGAGGTCGGTGCTGCCTGGCCACAGCGGGGTCAGAGGCTTGGGGAAGTGGGCCTTTATGGGGGGCATGCAGCCCTGAACCTAGGGCCAATGGAGGAGGGTGGCTATGCTGCTTCAGCGTGGGAACCACTACACGAGCATGGCCATCTGTCTCCACCACGGAGGGATGGGTGTCCCTCCTCTGTGGGGGAGGAGGGGGCAGAGGTTCGTGGATCCTCACATCCTCCATGGAGACAAAGGATGGGGAAGAACCGTAGGCGGGAGACTCTGTGGCAAAGGCTGGATTATGTGGGGAGACCCAGGGCTGGATGCTGGGAGGACTGCTGGGTCTCTCTAGATTTGAGATGGATTCTTGAGAGTCCTGCTTCAGCGTGGATAAGGCAGTAGGGGATGCTGAAACGGTGCTGTAGTCCCTACCACTCCTTCTGTCCCTTCTTGGGGTCACAGAGCTGTAGATGGCAGGTTTGGGGGGCCTCTGGGGCAGCTCTGAGTGGGAGTAGGAAAGCAACATTCCCACCAGGTCTGGAGTCTGCTCTGTCCTGTGAGAACCAGGGAAGGAGTCACTCCGTAAGTGCTGGACGGTGCCTGTGGAGTTGGCTGGGGGCCTCGGAGGGCTGGTCCCGGTGGAGGGGAAGCCATAGAGGGCAGCCGGGCACATCTCAGAAGTCCCACAGGGAGATGGGTCATCCATTGAGAGAGGGGCACTGGCAGTTTCTGGAGCACGTGCAGCACAAGAGGTTTCCCTCCTGGGAAAGGCAACTGGGGGCCTGGCAGATACCGAGGCAGGTGTGATGGGGTAGGCTTCAGCAGGACTGGGAGGAGCTGAATCTGGTGTCCTTGGAGGAGTCACAGATGCACTGGCAAAGACCACCTCAGTCCCTTGGCTGGACACTGTTCCCTTCCTCAGCCTGGATCCCTCTTGCTGGCTGTTTTGATCTATTTCCTTGTCAGGTGACTCCTCAGTCAAAAAGGAGCCCAGTAGAGAAATGGGCTGGTGAGAGCACCTGATGGGCTCTAGCGAGGGAGACAGAGCTGCGGGGGACAGTTCCTCAGCCCTGGACTCTGTCTGAGTCCCGGGAATCTGAGTCACGAGATATGAGGCACCTGGAAACAGGTCACAGTGAGGAGAGTCCTCAGGGGCTATCAGAGCGGGCATTGAAGGCCCATGATGCTCATTCTCCTCTTCCCTGCTCCTCGCTCTTCCCACTGCCCCCAGCCTGCCCCCATCCCAACTCTCTGGCTCTTTCGCCTCCTGCCCGATGACTGGCACCCCTTTCTCCTTTATACCATGATCTTCTTGCTTTCCAGTTACTTCCTCTGATTTTCCCAAAAAGGTTTGACTCTTTTCGTCCTGAGAGTCCGCCCTGTTCTCTTCTGGCACCTGCAGCTCCCTCTTCCTCTCTTCTCCCTGTTCTGGACCTCCCTGACCCTGAGCCTTCCTCTCCATATCCTCCTGCTCCCACTCACCGTCATTCAGACCCTCTGGCTCCCCAGTGAGCCCCATTCTTTCTCCTTGTCTCCCAAGCATCACATCTTGTACCTGTTCCTGTTTTTGCTTCTGTTCTCCCTTTTCATCATTAACCTGCTCTATCATCTGTTCCTCCCCTAATAGCCCATCGGCACAAACATCCTCCCTCAGAGTTCCTTCCCCCCGAAATCCTGCTTCCTGCTGTCCCTGCTCCTCCAGAACTTGGACCTCCTGGGGATGCAAGAGCCCTTGACTTTCCTGCAGCTCCTCAGGTGGCAGCTCTTCCCCCTGCCTGATAGTCCCACTTTCAGAGCCTTCATTCTGGTTGGTCTCTGCAGGATGCTCTTCGCAGGGAGAATAATATCTGGTCTGACCAGAGTTATCTGAAGAGGTTTCCTCTTCTTCTTCTGCCTGTCCAGATCCCAATGTCAAAGAAGTAAGTCCTGGCCAAAATTCCACCTCCTCTTCTTCGCTTCCCAGGTCACTGGAAAATGGGGCCATGTCTAGATGCTCACTCTGAATGGGGCAGGCCCAGAGCTCTGGGGGAGCTAGAGTCCTTGCTTGTCGGCCTGCTAGGCTCTGGGGTACTGCCTCCCAGTGTTCCGGAGTGTCACAGGCCTCAGCCACAAGGCTTTCCTGATTGGGCTCCACATCTGCAGAACCTTCCTTGGGAAAAGAGGGCATCGTCTCAATCGCATAGTCACACACATCCCTTAACTCACTCTGCTGAGTTGCTGAGAGTCTGTGTTCCTCTCTCCACTTATAGGATGGGTCCTCATCTTCTTGAGCTTCAAGCCCCAAGGCAGAGACCTGGCTGCTCCTCATGGGAGCCTCAGGGATAATGCTGAATTCCTCTATGGCAGAGATGGGAGGAGAGGCTCCACGCTGGGCCTCCTCAGCCTCCATCAGGGCTGAATCCTAAGGAGGAATCAAAGACAAATGTTTCTAACAACTCTGCTTTTACCTATCAGAGGAAGAGACCATAAAAAAGAAGAGTGATGCATTTATTTGGTTCCATTTAGGGTCATTCTTTGAGACAACAGGTTCTCAACAAAATAAGCAATAGCCTCTAAAAAACTTGTCATTGATGTATTTATTTCATAAATATTTTCCTAGCGACCCTGTTAAGTGTGGGGCATTCAGTAGTGAATGAGATAAAGATCTTGTCGTCATGGAGACTGTGGTCTTGTGAGGGAAACAGGTCATAATGAACAATTAAATTATAGCAGAGGACCATTGTCAGAGAGTGCCCAGAAGCTCCCAGTTGTCAGTTCTCTCTAGACTCCATTATGTCATCTTCTGTCTCTCCCTGTCTACTCTTCGGACACTAGGAGTGACTCATCCTCATATAACTCCCAGACACAGCAAGGGACACACCTCAGATCTATTAGGCCAGAGAAGCAGTGTCAGGAGAGGGTCTTCCTCTTAAGCTGTGGACATCAGTTAAAATAGGCCAGGCTATGATAGCCAATGTGTGAGGTGCTATGGTTTCATCTTCTTTACAGAGGGTTTGGAGTTTACTCATCTTTCTGTTTTCCATAGTGTCTACTACAGCATTGTAACTAACAGTTTTGTTTCCAATTCTAGAGGCAGCTGTTGTAAAGTGGGATGATAACAGCCTTATTGGATTAGTGTTGAACTAGACACATTACCACCTTGAAGGAAGACCACAGAAGGGTGCTTTCTGCATCACCTTACTCTCCCCTTGGCCTCAGTATCCATATGAACTCTTCTCATTAATTCTTTTGACCTTCCTGTCTTTTGATTTCGACCTTCCTGCCTTTCTTCTCACTTCCAGCAGAACACCTCATCTCCTATTTTGCAAAGAAAATAGAAACTGATGGAACTGGGTTTCTCTCACCTCAATTTCTTGCGATCCAAAGCAACCTGTATTTCCACTCTTTCTATCTTCCGCCCTCAGTCAGGAAAAGACGTATCCCTCCTTTCCATGCTCTGTCATTTCTTGCCTGCTTCCCCAGGAACACTGTGCACTCATACCTTCAACATCCCTGCTGAACAACCCCTGGGGTATGGAAGCATTCCCACATTCTTCTCATCTTTCAAATGACTAGAAGGAGTTGCTCTTATCTGCTGTCTTCATACTCTCACATCCCACCTGCCTCCAACTGAGCTTTGATAGCGGCATTCTGCCAATATTCCCTACAATCGACATGTTGTTAATTCCAAAGAAGACCTTATGGATCTTCATTTTGGGTGGTTCTTGTCAGTATTTGACAGTACTGAGGTTAGAAATACTCTCTTGTTACTTGTGGTATTACATTTTCCTGGTTTTACCCCTTCAGTTTCCTCCAGTCTTTTTTTTTCTTTCTTTTTTTTTTTTTTTTTTGAGATGGAGTCTTGCTCTGTCACCCAGGCTGGAGTGCCGTGGTGCAATCTTGGGTCATTGCAACCTCCACCTCCGGGTTCAAGCGATTCTCCTGCCTCAGCCTCCCGAGTAGCTGGGACTATAGGTGTGTGCCACCACACCCAGCTAATTTTTGTACTTTTAGTAGAGACGGGGTTTCACCATTTTGGCCAGGATGGTCTCAATCTCCTGACCTCGTTATCCACCCGCCTCGGCCTCCCGAAGTGTTGTGATTATAGGCGTAAGCCACTGCACCTGGCCTCCCCTGATCTTTTAACTAGGTTAAATTGTACCCCGCTTTGTAGCACTTACCAACTATAATTCACTTTACTTTTCCTTTGTAGCATTTATACAATTATAATTATATAATGATGTGTGTATTTTGAGTTACCCTCTATTGCAACCAATAGATAGTAAAATTTATGAGATTAAGAACTATGACTTGCTGAATTATCCATACTTAACCGAATAGTGGCCTATACTCAGTGTTTAATAAATATTTTTCACATAAAGAATAAAGTTCAGGTCAGAATAAAATGTGATCCTTTTACTTCAATGGAATATGCCCACCTTTTCCTAAAATCATGATTAACAGTTTACACAGAACTTTAAACATTTAGAGCTCTATACACAACAAATTAATTTTTCTTATTTTTCATTCTGAAACACTAAGGTTTTCCTGCATACATGTCATTAAAAATAATGAAATGCTTCTTTAAATATGTATGTGCCATACATCTAAGAGTCATCGTATAAGATGGGTACCATTATTCTGCCCATTTTACAGATGAAAAACTGAGTTTCCCAATGCACTTTATATATATAATCCTGACACTCTGGGAGGCTGAGGCAGGTTGACTGCTTGAATCTAGGAGTTTGAGACCAGCCTGGACAACCTGGTGAAACCCTGTCTCCACAAAAAATACAAAAATTAGTGGAGCATGGTGGCACGTGCCTGTAGTTCCAGCTACTTGGGGGCTGAGATGGGAGGATCCCTTGAGCCCAGGAGGCAGAGGCTGCAGTGAGCCAAGATCACATCACTGCACTCCAGCCTAGGTGACAGAGTGAGACTCTGTCTCTAAATAAATTAATTAATTAATTAAAATAAAATAAAATTCTTGTTTCCCTCCTGGCCCAGATTCCCCATATCTAATCAATCACCATGTGCTATTGACCTCGTCTGCTAAATATCCCTTAAGACTGTCCACTTCTATCCCATCCCTCTCCACTGGTGCATGCTGCTACCGTCTCGCCCGGGCCACTGCACCTGGCCACAGCTTGGGCACTGGCCTCCACCCATTTCACGCTATTCCAGTCCTTTCTCCATACAGCACCTAAGTGAGCTTCAAAAGCACCAGTTCTAGCTTAGATTCTTCAGCAGCCTCTGAATGCTCTTGAGATGAAATCCAAATCTTCAGCATGGGTTATACTCCCTGCACAACCTGGCTCTGCCTTCTTCTCTAGCAGCCTATTCACCTGTCACCATCTGTCCCTGCCCCCATCCCCCCCTCTCCCACTGGCTTTCAGTGTCTTTAGCTCACTTCTCTCTGTGTCTCTCACCTGTAGGCCTTTGTAGACACTGCTCCTCTGCCTGGAATCCTCTTTTGCAACAGAGAATCCTTTGCTTCTCCTCAAACACACCTTGCACTTGTCATGTCATATTTAATGTCTATTTTCCAGGCTAGATTATGAGCACCATGAAGGGACAAACACTGCCATATAACCCCCTCTGCCTGAAGCCTAGTTGGCCCTCAACAAAGATGTATCGTGTGAATGAATGACGGAAGAATATAGAGTTAGAAGAGTGTGGATCAGTGTTTGGTTGTGCCTCTCTGGTATCTTTGCTGGTTTTAAGACAATTGTAGAAACCATTAAATTTATTTGAACATCCATTTTCTTATCTTTAAAAAGGAGATAAAAGGATTCCTTCACAGTTCTAGTAAAGATTAAATAAGGTAACATAAAAATGTACACTGCTATCTTTAAGGGTCATAGAAATGGTGGCTGTGGTAAATACTGTTGACCTGAGAGACAGAGAATAAGTGTAAGAGAGAAACACAGGATTCATAAAGCCGGAAGGACCTTCAGAGACACACAGAAACTGCTCAATTTACAGATGAAGAAACTAAAGGTCAAAGACCCTAGACCCTTGCTCAAATCTCCTAAGCAAATGGTATGGGCAAACCTGAAGCAAAGTCGCTTGACTTAAGTCTCCTGTAAGCACTTAGAGGTCCTACTGAAAGAAAGCTGGCAGGCCATCAGTCCAGAGAAGACCCCAGAATTCTATGGACCCAATGCTGCACCTGACCGTGCACCTTTCTTGTCTGGTCCAGGCTTAAACTGAAAACTCACCTGCTCAGAATACTGTCCTGCTTAGCCACTGTGTACACACACACACACACACACACACACACACACACACACACACTGAGCCATCCTTACAAACTCTTGCAATAGAGCCTGACATAACCAAACAGGCAGGTCCCTAGCACACTGCAGAGTAGTATGTGACAAGATTCTGGCCATCCCAGAGACAGAGATACCATCTATATGGGGCAAAGAGATATGTCTGACATAATTGTACACAGGCAGAAGGACTTTTATGTCCTTTTCCAGTTAACTGACACCATATGCGATTGGCTCCCTATGTCTAGCCCTTAAGTACAAAATACTATAATCCCTATGGGTGATTCTGTGATGTGGCCCTGTTCTCTCAACCACACATCGAATAATATACTTGCTTACTTTAAGACACTTTCTGAAACTTGGCCTAAGGAGACCATGGGACTAAACCTGTAGTCTCTCCTCACTTACATCTGCATGGTTCAGGCCCTCTCCTCCATATACACCATCACGTCTTCAAAACAAGTAGCCTCTAAATAAAAGTGTGTTTCTGCCATATCTAGGGTATATCTATAAATACCATGTGCTACCTGGACATTTTCTGTTCCAATCTAGTGGCACAGTGCATGCCTGCCTCTGCAAGCCCATTGACACCGTTTCTAACTGTCTTTTTTCATTTGGAAATATCAGTGGTCACCTGCTCAGCCACCAGTTACCGCAAAGGGAGAACATACCCCACGTTCCCTATACTTGATCCTATCTCAGTGATCCCGTTGCAATCAGGCATGACAAAGCTAAAATGTGACAAAGTGAAAGGAAATCTGTAAATCATGGTCTTACTCACGTAAAGGCATCAGGAGAGAGTTTTTTGCAATGCTCATTACGTTAGAGTGCAAACATCCTCATCTCCTTCTCCACTGAGGGTGAATAATCACTGTTTATCTGTGTACAGGCAAAGCCAGGGCATGGGATTATGGGGATACGGCCTTGCTTCAGACCACAGACATTCTGCATCCACATAACCTCACCCACGTGTGACTTCTTGAGAGGCAAAGCTTCAAGTCATCCCTTTAACATAATGTGTGACAGAGCTCACTATCTTCCCTAGAGCCCCCCCCAACACCTTAGCTCTTGTCTATTTCTAGTCACTAGAAACAACACTGTATTTCAAGGATACAACCCCTCCCCAATCAAACTGCCAAATCTTTGAACTGAGACTCAGTGCCATATATATATTTTTGAGGACCATGCTTCCTGGATTTTCTAGCAAGGTTGATTTCAAATATTCTGACTTACAAATCACTAAAATAATATTGAGGTTAAAATAAGATCACCACATAGATATATAACTTTATTCACTGTTTGACATCACTGCCCTCAATACTACAAAGATATCAAAACAGGGGTAGCTTTCTGGATCACTGACTACTACAGTGTGTGTTCTATCCATTGCAGGAAAGTCCCACCATGCCAGTGAAAGCTGTAATACACATTTATCTATTCTCTAATGTCTGAAAATGTCACACCAACTGCCTTATAGACCAGATAGTTTATATAAGAACATTATTAGTGTCAATGCTGACTTACACTCTACAATCTCATCTGTGGTCCTGGTGGCATCCACACAGATAACATTAGTGTGAGTGACGTGTTTGTGTATTAACACAGACCTTGAGGGTGACTTTGTTCCAGTCTACCTTGCAGGCACTATAAGTGATCGGCTCCTGCTTACTCCACAGACACTGTGAGTGACCCAGCCCCTGTCTACACTAGAGCTGTTGGTCACCTGTTTGTCTACACCACTGACACTTGAGTAATGCTGCTCCCGTTGAACCCAAGACCCTACGAGTGACTCCATTCCTGTCCATACCACATAGCGACTGACCTCTCCAGACACCACAAATGACGTATTCCTGTCTATCCCACAGACACCACGTGTAACGTGGCCACGGAACCTCAGACAGACCGCGTTAAGGGCACTGATACACTCTCAGGACCTCTAATATATGAACACTCTTCTCTCTATTGAGAATCACTATATTCTGTTGATGAGAGGGATTCCTTTGCACTCCTCCTGATTTCTCTCTCCTCCCCACTAGGACCATGACATACATTCCTCCTGCATATCAGTCTCACCCAGAACTGACACGCCCTCATCCCATCTTCCCAGCTCCCCAGGACTCCTTCACTAGCCACGGCTTCACTTTTAGGCCCACAGATTGGTTAACAAATGACACCCATTTTGCTAAGGCCTATGCCAGGAACTTCTTCATGCTCCAAATGTGGATAAAACAAGACGTCTGAGACAGAGGCCACATCAAGAGCTTTTTAGCTGGAGCTGGGACCTCTGGATTAGGCCCAAGATGCAAGGCCAGACAGTGGAGTGCAGTAGGGGAGCAAGCTAGGGAGGAAGCTCGAAAGGAAAACCACCCTCTCTCATCTGTTTGACACACCCTTCTCTCTCAACCAGACAAGAGTCCTGGCCAGAGTTCACTTCTAGGTAGACAGGAGGGCAAATCTGTCTTTGGAACCCAAGATCCAGGAAGGGAAGAAAGGGACTGAGATCTGGAAATGACGTAGTATCACAACTGGCTCTCCTCCGGTAGTCTTGCCGGAAGGCAACTGCAAAAGATGCTCAGGGGTTCTAGAGCTCTGCGTCCGCATTCTAGCACCCCAACGCCTACCTCAGCCCCCAACTCTAAATAACTTCTTTCCACCTTGCTAAGAATGCAACGTTGTGATTCACATCAAGCTTTAGGAGGCTCCCCATATGTAGGGAACTGGGGTGAGGGGCAGGGCAGGATTCACTGTTCCAGGTTACGGAGCTTTGGTTAACACGGAGAGAAGCTACACATAGACTCACACAGTATGCAAATACCTATGGAGATACATAAGGAAAGGCCCCGGCCTGGTTAAGGAAAAGGAGCCGATAAAACCTCTCCAGGTAAGGAACAGCCTAGAAAGGGAATCTCAGTTATTCCTTCTGATATGGCTTAGCTTTCCCCAGGGCGCCTACTTTGAAGAAAGAGCCCTGATTATTGGCCCGGGGAACGTCTGGGGGCAGGGTGCCCATTTCCTAGGCGGGACCCGACCGGAAGCAAACTTGTAGGCAACAACATTTCCTCTAGTTCCTCTCCTCTTCCCCACCAGGGTCCTCAGCCACACACCCCGAGCCCTGCCTGCGGGCCCAGCCCCCCCATTTCCGGAGCCTGCGCCCCGGACCCAGCGGGGGCTGATCCCTGGGAAAGGCCTGGCTTCCTCTTCCTTCCTGTCCCTGCCCCACCTCCGCCGGGCTCCACAGCCGCCGGGAGCCCAGGGCCGAGACGGGAGGAGGGCACCCACCTGGTCGGTGTCACATGCTGCTTCGGCCCCAGCGTCCCCTCCAGGTCCCGGCGCCGGCCGCAGTCCCCAGAGCCGTCCCCAGCGCAGGCCCGGCCGCCCCACCCGCGGCCCGCCCCTGGCCGCCCGACGGGAGGGAGGGATCGGGTTCTCCTAGGAAGTTTCAGGTGAGGAAACAGGGACACACCTTCCCGGAGGAGGGGCAGGGCCCCTCCGCGCGCGAGCCCCATTGGTGTGAAAGAAGCTCCCGCGTCAGAGCTGGGAAGTGCCGGGCCGGCGGGGAGGGGAGCCCGGGCGCACGGGCCAGGCCGCGGGCTGTCCCAGGGAGCCCCGAGGGCGCGGTGCGCGGGCGCAGGTCGGGCGCAGGCGGGGTGACCCGGGGAAGGGGCGCGCACAGAGACAGAGGGAGCCAGCCGGGCCCCACGGTGTCCTCGGACGCCTCCGAAATCTCCCTGCGTGTTTGTTTCTTCGGAGCTTCACCGGAGCCTGACTCTGGAACCGGCCTGTCTGCCTGCTGCAGTCTGTATGTGTTTGTCTTTTGCCTTGGCCGTGCCTCTGGAAGTCTGACATCCGTGGTTGTACATGTGTCTTTATCTTCAGGCCTCACTGGTTTTTGGTTTGTTCGTTGTTGTTGTTGTTGTTGTTGTTGTTGTTGTTGTTTCTGAGACGGAGTCTCGCCCTGTTGCCCAGGCTGGAGTGCAATGGCGCGATCTCGGCTCACTGCAACCTCCGTCTCCGGGTTCAAGAGATTCTCCTGCCTCAGCCTCCCGAGTAGCTGGGATTACAGGTCCGCGCCACCATGCCCGGCTAATTTTTGTATTTTTTAGTAGAGGCCGGGTTTCGCCATGTTGGCCAGGCTGGTCTGGAAACTCCTGACCTCAGGTGATGCACCCGCCTCGGCCTCCCAAAGTGCTGGGATTACAGGCGTGAGCCACCGCGCCCGGCCAAGGCCTCAGTGTTGATTTCTCTTCCGTGATGTCTCCTCCTATAGAATAAAGAGTGTCTCCTCCATCTCCTCCTCCGCCCCCTTCTTCGTTTCTCTCTCTCTCTCCCTCCCTCCTCCCCCCTCCCTGTCCCTCTCCCTGCCTCTTCCTCTCCCCTCTTCCTTCTCCTACTTAGGGCCTAGAAGTGTGCCTCTCTGAAAGGACATGCCCGTGTCCTTCTGTATTCCCGAGTTTATTTTAGAATGAGTGCGTATCTCAGGGTGTATGTTCCTTCTAGGGCCTGTGTGTGTGTGTGTGTGTGTGTGTGTGTATTTAAATCTCTAAGCCCATGTTTGTGTGTTTTCTTATGCCTGTATTTTTTTTTTATTCTTTCAGGGAAACGTTTTGTTCTGTTAGTCTTGGAGGCCAAGGCTGAGTGGGTTTATCTCTGTGCCCCTCCAGTGACTTCAAAGAATGCCAAAAGTCTCTCGAGTGTGCCTGTGTGCACACACAGACACACACAAAGTAGGAATCCTTTACCTGGGGGACAGAGATTTCTGTTATTTTTGGTTGAATCTGACCACTCCCCAAAGCCATTCACTACTCCAGGGGTTTCCATGGTGACATAAGTCAAGTGAAATATTAATGGACTCCTTGCCTATTTAGCTCTTAGGAATGCCATGGTCTACAGCCCAAACAGCTTGGCTAGACCATTTCTAGATCACTGTGCCCATTGGCTGTTGCCAATGATCCTGGTTGAACGTGTTCACTAGTTATTTTGAGGTGGCTGTAGAATAGAATGTAATTAAGGAAGTATAGCCTCTTCTGTAATAGAGTCCTGAACAGCTTTATGTTAAAAAAGTGTGCTACTTCTGCCATGTTACTCTGAAAGATTAAGTCTTAAACAGTTCAGCAGTTTTCAGCCTACTCTAAGCTGCCATGGAGTGTATGGGAAACTATAGGAAAAATTGGGATTAAGACTCAAAAATCTGGATTAAGAAGGGCAGGCCTTGCATGTGTCCTAGGCTCAGCAAAAGGGTAAGAACTGGGAGTACAGAAAGGCAAAAAGTTCAAACTGGGACTGGCTCTACTTCTAGGCTGGAATACAAAACTCATTCCCAGGTATGAGAGGGTCCTTGATTTATACCGAGTGAGCAAAGTGAGAAAACGATGTAATAATTAATAATACTTTAAATTTTCTTTTTATAGGATTTTTGTTTAATGTGTACCTTTTTATTTATTTCTGCTTTTCCTCCCGAGGCACATCTTCACAATGAAATCTTCACAAGCTCAGAACCATCAATTTGCTACACTGTGTTCCTCCAGTGCCCAGTTCACAGGAAGCACTCAAGAGTAGGATCAATTGTTATCAACCTCTAGCAGATTATTGAATAGATGGTCGTTACATGAAACTGACACTCAGTTCTTCATGGTCCACGATAGTTCTTATATCCAGAAAACGTACTTACATTATCAACTCTGACTCCATAAGACAACTTTGCAAAGTCTTGGCTCATAACTATGTAAGCAATAAGATAACTTAGTTTTCATTTCTCACTTGTTACTTACAAGTAAACAGCCCTGCAGCTCAGCTGAGCTACAGATTAACTACAGGTAATCACTTCAGCGATTCTGCTTTACCCATGCCCAAGATTTTAAAAAAGAACCTGACAGATCATTAAATTTTGAGATTTGCTTTTTAAAATGCAGGTTCCATAAAGTTACGCTGTTTTGCTTATATATACAGCAACAAATGCCTTCTTAGATATTTACTTTAAAATTCTAGTTTCCTTACCATGTATTAGCCAGATAATCTGTCATTTTTTAAATTCTGAAATTGTACACATATAAATTAATGTACATCTCTATGCCTGAAAGGTACATTTGGAATTACAACGTGTGTCAAGGTAGAGCAAAATCCCCCAGTCCACTCCTTCCAACCCCCTAGAAATTTACTCTGTTTGGTTTCCTCTTGATTGTCTTTAATTAACAATAAGTATGTCACATAGGTATCAAATAAAATAAGAAAAAAATAGATAAAAGAGAAGTGATTCAAAATTCAAGTGTTTAAACACTTTATGAATCTTCCCGTTGTTCTTGACACATTTTTAAAATTTCATTTTAATTCAGATCATTAGGGATGAAATTCTCCTGAATTGTAGCATTTTATTCCCTTTGGGAAGAAGGGGCTGAATTTGGCATAATTATACTTGACTATACTGTAAAAGAAACCAGATCTAATATAAGGACATCAATACTTAGTTATTAATTCATTTGCTTATATTTATATGTCATTTGAAAATGTGTATTAACATACACAATTAAAGGGATATAAAAATGAACATGCCCTCTCCATTTCTTTAAAAGAAATCAAGGCTGAATCAAACAGGACTACTGTTCTGAAAGAATACTCAGACTATGAGGTACCTTATTTTCCTTCTTTTACACCTGTCTTTCAGTTGGCTTCAAAAAATCATGGCTTTTACTGTGTTTCTTTTTTCCTTTATGTCTTCCTTTTGAGGGAAATGAAAAATTGAGAAAGGAAATTATTATTTTATAAGTGGGTGGGTTTGAATACATCTTTCACAGTCAAATATTTTTCTATGCCTTATGAGCTTAAAAAATAAATTTAGAAAGTTTGATAAACACAGAAATTTTTTATTTTATGTTATTTTATGAGATGAGGGCTTGCCATGTTATCCAGGCTGTCCTGGAACTCCTGGGCTCAAGCTATCCTCCTGCTTTCAGCCTCCCAAGTAGCTGGAACTACAGGTGCATATGACGGCACCTACTGAGAAATTTTTACTATCAACCTAAAATTTAATAAGTCCTGGTCACAAGTGAGGAATTTTTAATTTGTTATTTAGATTATTTTTGTGTCAAGGTAACTTGATCACCTATCAATAATGCTTATAAGAAAATAGATATCTCATCTGTTGCTGTTAGAAAGGAATCTGTCTCTTTCCCCAGTTCTTGCTTCAATGAGGTTTCCTTGACCCAGAGTCTGGTCCTCACATTTTAGATTCAGCTTTGGGAATTTTGTTCAGGAACTGCATCATACAACCCAAAAGCAAAAGAGGAAAATGCATAAGCCAGGATACCTAAATGTTCATTTATTTAAACTTGAAAATGTGACTGCAAAAGGAGTCAAGAAGTTTAGTACTCAACACATTTCTTCTTTGTAGAAATAACTGCTCAAGAAGATAAATTGTTACCTAACAGTTGATTGATGAATATGAAATCAGAGCAAGAGGGGCTAATTAGAGATTTTACTAGCTAGGGCTATTTACCCAAACCATCTATCCAGACTGTAGACATAGAATCACCAGATGGCTAGGATCCTGGTGCAGCTGGTTCCCCTTTTTCCTTACCCTGAATGTCATTAAGGATGCATTGCCAAATGCTGCCCCTCTGGCCTGATGACTACACTCCATATTGGTCACCTGCCTTCTTTTTCCTACAGTCTTCCTCCAGACAGGCACGCCATACAACCGACTACACTTGGGCTCACTGAATGAATCACATTCTTCTGCTGTGCCTCCCAGAGATTTCATCAAAGCACCCGCAGTGGCCTTCTGGAGGCTCCTCAAACTCTCCACTCAATGTTTCCTGAAAGTGTCGTGTTTCTCACCTCTAGATTGTTATTCTCATCAGTTACATGTGGGTTTCACAAATTTATTTCTCAGAATGCAAGTCTGTCTCTTATATCCTCGGGAAACACACCTTTATATCCCAGTTAGTACTGACAAAAATTAAACTAGGGACTGGCCAAAAACAGTGCCTTTCCTCACTTTAATCTCACTAAAGTAGATAAGACTCAAGTTATTTTGTTCTTGCAATGGCATTGACAAATGTTTGCACCAAAAACCATGTTGAAGTTCATTAAGGAAACTGTGATCCAAGATCCAAGGTCAAAAAAACAAATTCATCAATTCAGCACACCACCAACTCACAGGCTAAGCATCTTACTGCTAATTCATTGATGCTGCCATTTGTCAAGTGCCAAATTGAATTATTGATTTGTCAATAATTTCCTTCCGTTGGTTACTTATATAGTATATTGCAATTCTTGTTGCTGAAGTCAGCTACACTTTTTCTATTTGAAAAACAATTTCTTGCATTTGGGATTTCAGGTATAGTGATTGTTACAAATATGAAGGACTTGAATTAACAGCAAGTTTTCAAGTAAAACTTTACTTATGTATAACTGAATGAGTTCTTAAAGACATTTACTAACAATTTTCCACAAACTAAAAATTTATAAAACAATAAATAAAATAGACTTTAAAAAAAAGCGTGTCACACAGCTGCTTGTTTTTTGTTTGTTTCTTTGTTTGTTTTTTAGTAGTGAAATGGTGAAAAATCAGACAATGGTCACAGAGTTCCTCCTACTGGGATTTCTCCTGGGCCCAAGGATTCAGATGCTCCTCTTTGGGCTCTTCTCCCTGTTCTATGTCTTCACCCTGCTGGGGAATGGGACCATCCTGGGGCTCATCTCACTGGACTCCAGACTCCACACCCCCATGTACTTCTTCCTCTCACACCTGGCCGTCGTCAACATCGCCTATGCCTGCAACACAGTGCCCCAGATGCTGGTGAACCTCCTGCATCCAGCCAAGCCCATCTCCTTTGCTGGCTGCATGACATAGACCTTTCTCTTTTTGAGTTTTGCACATACTGAATGCCTCCTGTTGGTGCTGATGTCCTACGATCGGTACGTGGCCATCTGCCACCCTCTCCGATATTTCATCATCATGACCTGGAAAGTCTGCATCACTCTGGCCATCACTTCCTGGACATGTGGCTCCCTCCTGGCTATGGTCCATGTGAGCCTCATCCTAAGACTGCCCTTTTGTGGGCCTCGTGAAATCAACCACTTCTTCTGTGAAATCCTGTCTGTCCTCAGGCTGGCCTGTGCTGATACCTGGCTCAACCAGGTGGTCATCTTTGCAGCCTGCATGTTCATCCTGGTGGGACCACTCTGCCTGGTGCTGGTCTCCTACTCACACATCCTGGCGGCCATCCTGAGGATCCAGTCTGGGGAGGGCCGCAGAAAGGCCTTCTCCACCTGCTCCTCCCACCTCTGCGTAGTGGGACTCTTCTTTGGCAGCGCCATCGTCATGTACATGGCCCCTAAGTCCCGCCATCCTGAGGAGCAGCAGAAGGTCCTTTTTCTATTTTACAGTTCTTTCAACCCGATGCTAAACCCCCTGATTTACAACCTGAGGAATGTAGAGGTCAAGGGTGCCCTGAGGAGAGCACTGTGCAAGGAAAGTCATTCCTAAGAGGTGTGACATTTGAACTGCCAGCCTCAGTTGTCACGTGGACTCTTGATGCCCAATTATTGCCTCAATCCAGAAAAGTTTACTTCTCTTTATCTGTGCTTTACTGACAGAAGGGCAAGTCTTCTCTCGTTTTTTGCAGATAAAATTTTAGATGTGTTGCATTCATTGGGTTTCTATGAGATGTGGTTTTATCAGACAATTTTTTCTTTTATTTCACAATTACTTTAATATCTGTAAAATAAAGAATTATTTTAATTCATTTTCCCAGTCCCAAAAGTTAAATACAGGCCACTTACTTCTTTAACCAAATGATATAGTTTGGCTCTGTGTCCCCACCCAAATCTCATGTCAAATTGTAATCCCCGCATGTCAGCGGAGGGACCTGGTGGGAGGTGATTGGATCATGGGGAGGGATTTCCCCCTTGCTGTTCTGTTGATAGTGAACGAGTTCTCACGAAATCTGATGGTTTAAAAGTGCAGCACTTCTCCCTTTGCTCTCTCTCTCCTGCTGTGCCATGGTAAGACGTGCCTTGCTTCCCCTGTGGCTTCTGCCATGATTGTACCTTTCCTGAGGCCTCTCCAGCCATGTGGAACTGTGAGCCAATTAAACTTCTTTTCTTTAGAAATTATCCAGTCCCGGGTAGTTCTTTATGGCAGTGTGAAAGCAGACTAATACACCGAACTATATAAACTCACTAACGGCATATGTCATAAGATTTAAAAGAAAATAAAAAGGTTCAGCCAAAGAAGTGATTCCCAAAACCCAGCAGCACACTTGTCCATTCTCACACAATTGCACTTTCCCTGTTAAATAGAGGGATTTAGTTAGTTGTGTTGCATGCGCTGAGAAATTTTGTGTAAAACTTATTAACTCATGTACAGGAGTTAACTAGTAGGCTGAGTGAAGGAACAAACTTAAAAGAAGAGATAAGTCAGGCACAGTGGCTCATGTCCGTAACCCCAGCACTTTGGGAGGCTGAGGTGGGTGGATCACTTGAGGCCAGGAGTTTGAGACCAGCCTGGACAATGTGGCAAAACTGCATCTCTACTAAAAATACAAAAATTAGCTGGGCGTGGTGGTGCATGCCTGTGATCCCAGCTATTCTGGTGACTGAGGAATGAGAATTGCTTGAACCTGGGAGGCAGAGGTTGCAGTGAGCCAAGATTGCGCCACTGCACTCCAGCCTGGGAGACGGGGAGACACTGTCTCAAAAAAGAAAACAAAAAAGGAAAACAAAAAGAACATATATAAGGGAAAAGAGAGAAGAGAAGCAAAAGAACACTACAGACCGTGTGGGAACAGTGAACAGTGTTTACAAAGTTCAGGGTAAACTCAGTAGCTAGTAGCTGGCAAAGAGGCAAAACTGGGCATTCCCTGTTGAAAAGGCTGAAAATGAGTATCCAAGAAAACTATTTGGGTTGTTTATGGTTTCTTCAGAAAACATTGAGTGTTGAGCTGTGTATTGTACATATGCACATCTGTCTCTAAGCGTGATTCTCCAGTGTCTTTTCATCAGCTCTTCCACCTTGGTTAGTCCAGTTGTGGATCATTTCCCTCATTAGAATGTCTTACCCCTGAAAAAGGAAATTTCACCAGACAGTGTAGGTATGTAGCTAGCTCTTCAACCATGGTGGTGAAGAAATTTTTGCTGAGCCAATCTATTTTCCTGTTAAAAGGTAAACTGAGGCACAATAAAATTTTAAAGAGTTTACTTGAGCAAATAGCAATTCATGAATCAGACAGCTCCAAACTATAAGTGGTTCATGGGCTCCACTAAAGGAATGCAAGGGGAGGGCTTTTACAGGACAACCACGGAACTAAAGCAAAGAAAATATTTGATTGGTTACCTTTATACAATTGCCTTAGTTGGCCTATACTGCTGGAAAGTCTTTAGTTATATAACTTAGTTGGCAGCTTCTGAGTGGTTAATCTTAAATTTCATTTTGCTTTAATACAAGTATTTATAAGAAATAGTTCAAGTTAATTTTCACTTGTGTTTGCAAATCAGTCTGGGTTAGGTCACTTATGAGGCCTAACTGGCTTTCCCTGCTCCAGGAAAAGTGATTCCATAAGTGACCTAACCCAGCCTGAATCATCTAAGTGATTCTCCATGTCTGGTTTCCATTTTAATTTTCTTTAACAAATCTTCACTACAAATCTAATGGTTAGAGATGAGTCCCCATGCATTTTAGGTGGCTTCCCAGAGTGTTACCTATAAATTCTACTTTCTAACCTTCCCTAAGATTAGGATGCCACTTGCTTCCAGAGTCTTTCTCAATTTTACAAGAGAGCATGTTAATACTTTTTCAGCAAAATAAGTGTATGCCTTTCACTTAGGGGTTAACAAGTACTCCACCCAACTCATTATTATTCCCTGTGGGTGAAGATACCCAGGCAGAACTTATTAAATGTAAAAACAAAATGAGTTTTTGTAATAATAGCTAACATTTTGACTCACCACTCAATGGCATATGCTACATATTAATAGCACTTTACATGGGCCATTTCATTTAGTCATAACAAATCCAGGAAGAAGGTCCTATTGTCACTATTTTATGTATGCACAAACCAGAAAGCAGCAAGTGTCAGACTTATCCCTAGACAGTCTGGCTCCCAGCCTCTGTACATAGCACATCAATGTAGAATTTTAATATCTATGTTATCAAATAAAGGATAAGGTAAATGTATCCCAAGGCAGAACTATTAAAAGAAGGAAGCTTTCTTTATAGTCTGATGTATGCCACAGGGAGCTGATCTGTTCTCTCTAAGGCGTGGAGGACCAGAGATCATGTATGAGAGGCTGGTTGTCCTGGATGGTGACTCTTATGTGCTGAGTCACATGAAAGCACTGGACTTCTAGACAAATGCAGAACATGAAGAAGATGAGAATAAAGGTAGTTCTCACTGAGACTGGCTATTTAGTTCAGCTAAGACCCAGAACCAACACACCCATAGTCAGTCTCTCTCTCTCTCTTTCTTTCTTTCTCTCTGTCTCTCTCTCTCACACACACACACACACACACACACAAACACACAGAGCTTATTTACTTTGTGCCAGTCACTGCTCTAAGAATTTTACATGTATTACCTCAATTAATCCTCAAAATAACACTTTGAGTCAGAAGATAATCAATATCCTACCTTACATATAAAGAAACTGAGGCACGGAGAGATTAAGCAACTTGCCCGGTACCTCACAGCTAACAATTACCCAGTCCAGGATTGAACTAAGACAATCTGATCCCTGACCCTATAGCCATAACCACTACACAGCACGGCCTCTATAGAGCATATCTGTGAATAAAGATCAAAGAACTCGTGACAGTGAAAGAAAACACATAATTAAGACCAAACTATGGATATTCAGCTTTAGATAGAAAGGGGTATACATCTTCTAAAGGAAGCAGCTTGACTCTAAACAGAGATGTGAAAAAAGTGGGGGAGTGGTCGCAAGAAAGAACTGTGACTCCAAGGGTCAGGGATGCATGGCCGTGAGGACTCTGGGGTTGAGCTGGAGAGTGAAACAGACAACACTGAACGAGAAGACCGACAATGCAGTGTTACAGCAGTGCCTTACCAATTGATGAGAACTAAAATGGATGTTTTATAGCATTTTATCTAAAAACAGCCCCAAGAAAAAGGAATTCAGTTTCATTATTGATATTTAAAATGGTTATAATCTTTCAGGTGGTATTTACCTGAAAGTTTACCTGAGAACATTGCTCAGGTAGGTATCAAATTTCACATCTAAGATGGGGAGCTCCGCAACAGCAGGAATTGGAATCCATTCATTCATTTATCAGTAACATGAGCACATTGCCTAGCACCTAGTAGGCACTCACTAAGCACTGGCTGCACCAATTCATGCACCTTTAACTATCTGCTGAGTACTTAGACACAATTGTCAGTGTTAAACTATATTCTGATTTCTGTATTTTAAAAATCCTTGGGCTTGGCGTGGTGTCTCATGCCTGTAATCCCAGCACTTTGGGAGGCCAAGGCGGGCGGATCACGAGGTCAAGAGTTCAAGACCAGCCTGACCAACATGGAGAAACCCCGTCTCTACTAAGAATACAAAAAAATTAGCCAGGCATGGTGGCATGTACCTGTAATTCCAGCTACTTGGGAGGCTGAGGCAGAAGAATTGCTTGAACCTGGAAAGCGGGGTTTGCAGTGAGCCAAGATCACGCCACTGCACTCCAGCCTGGGCAACAGAGCAAGATTCCATCTCAGAAAAAAATAAAATAAAATAAAATAAAATAAAAATAAAAATAAAAATCATTTTATCTGAATAACACAGAATAGTAGAAAGTAATTGTAGCTTAAAAATTATTTAGCACTTGTGTACGAGACAATATGTTAAATGTTTTTGATATAATCCTCACATCAACACTGTGAATTAAGTACTAATAATATCCTCATTTATAGAGGGGAAATTGAGGTTTAGAGAATTAATTAATTTACTCGATGTCAACGAAATATCAAGTGGTAGAAATAAAACTGTAGTCCAGTCAATCTACTCTACATTAACTGAGAACCATTCTTTTGGAAAGGGCCTATTGATATTTGTATCTTCAGTGGCTAGACCAGGCCAGTTTCATAGTAGTTACTCAATAAATGTTGACTAAATAAATAAATGAGTAATCATGTAGTCCACACTTCTATATTTTTAAAAAAGGATCTCCATAAAATATGTAATTAAATACAGTGTCAGTCAATTTAATCATGTTTAGCTCCAGATACATTCCGTTTTTGCAAAAGTTTCTTCTGAGATGAATATTAATAAACTACATCTCATCTGTCAGTGGCCACAGAGAAATTGTAAACACATTCAGAGAGGATATTTCGAGACTAATATAAAAGAAAACTAGGATGATATATATTTGTTCCTATCATATAGAACAAAGGTTATAGGTCTTTCAAAAAGACTGTCCCAAATTGCCAAACCCTATGGTTATAGTATGACACAACGTGATTGTGCTGGCACAGTAGCCATGGAGAGAGTGTTCCCCTCCTCTGTCTTGCCAAAGAGTAGAGCATAAGGCACTGTAATTACTGAAAATGACACGGATGACACCCTGGGAGTGGAAGTCAGTGCATGCACTACCTTAAATTGGCCCCCATGGTGTCCTTGGTATGTAGAGTGAGCACTGCCATCACTGACCTGTAGGACCATTCTTTACTCTTTGCTAGGTAATGTAGACCAGTGCTTCTCACATGTCAATGTGTATATTAATCATTCAGGGATCTTGCAAAAATACAGGTTCTGATTCAACAGGTCTAAATGAAATAGGCAGAGATTTGCATTTCTTATCATCTCTCATACCTTGCTGATGCTGCGGATCCATAGACCACACTTTGAATATTAATCATATAGAGATTCATTGTTAAATCTATGGTTCCTAAGAAAAAGTGAAGGCCAGGCACAATGGCTTACATCTGTAGTTCAGCACTTTGGGAGGCTGAGGCAGGAGGATTGCTTGAGCCCAGGAGTTTGAGACCAGCCTGGGCAACATAGTGAAACTCTGTCTCTTCAAAAAACTTCAAACATAAAAAAATTAGCCAGGTGAGGTGGCACACGCCTATGGTTCCAGCTGCTTGAAAAGCTGAGATGGGAAACTTGCTTGAGCCTAGGAGGTTGAGTTCGCAGTGAGCCATGGTTGCACCACTGTATTCCACCCTAGGTGACAGAGAAAGACCCTGTCTCAATGGGGGGGGTGGGGGGGGGAAGAAAAGAAAAGAAAAAAGAAAAAGTGGGAGAAAAACAAGAGTTGGAATGCTGTCTCACAGCTCTGATGTTTTCCCAGACCATATCAATTTTTCTTACCTTCTTGATGAACTTTGATTAAGAGCCCTGCTTTCATTTGACTTGCTGTTTTGGTTTTTGTTTACTTTTTTTGACCTGTCTCTGTTTATTTGTTTGTTTTTAATTTTTGTAATCTTGTTGGGTCAAGAGAAGAGGTTCACTACTAGGCACGGCCTGGTTTGGTCCTCAGATGACTGGCTCAGAGCCAAGACATCTGGATTCTCTAAAATATTGAAAAAACCAAAGGTGCTTTTCCTACTCCTTTGCTTATACTCACACAGTCACTCAACAATTTACTTCTAACAACAGATACATTGAGGTTTTTCCCCACACACCTAGCAATCTGCAATGGACACCGACTGCATGCCCTAAAAATCAATTCAATTCTGACACTATCTACTGGGAGACAGTGTCAGATCCCACAAGCCTGTTCCCCCCACCCAACACTACAGATGGTAATTGCAAGCCTCAGGTTGCGACCTGTGCTTCTGTTCAACTGGCTATACATTGGGACTCTCATGACCCCCCTCCTTAGGCTCAATTAATTTGCTAAAGTGGCTCACAGAACTCAGGGAAACACTTTACTTAAGTTTGACCATTTACTACGAAGGATATTACAAAGGATAGAGATGAACATCCAGATGAGAGAGATGCATCTGGTGAGGTATTGGAGAAGGGGCATGGAGCTTCCATGACCTCTCTGGGCACACCACCCTCCAGGAACCTCCATGTGTTCAGCAATCAAGAAAGTCTGCAAACCCTGTTTGGTTTTCTGTAAAGCCTTCATTACACAGGCATGATTGATTACATCATTGGCCATTAGTGATCAACTCAAACTTCAGGCCCTCTCCCCTCCCCAGAGGTTGAGGTATAGGCTGAAAGTCCCAACCCACTAAACATGCCTTTGTTTTTGTAGTAACCAGCCCCTATCCTAAAGTTATTTCAGAGCTCCCTGCCAGCAGTCATCTCATTAGCATACCGTCTAAGTCCATTTTGTGTTGCTATAACAGAATATCACAGACTGGGTAATTTATTTAAAATAGAAATTTATTTCTCAGAGTTCTGGAATCTGGGAAGTCCAATATCAAGGTGTCAGCATCTGCAGAGGGCCTTCTTGCTGCATGGTGAAAGGTGAGAGGATGAGAGAGGGACAAACTTGCTTTTGTAACTAACCCAATCTCCACATAACAAATCCACTCCTGAGACAACACCATTAATCCATGCATTAAGTCAGAGTTTTCATGACCTAATCACCTCTTAGAGGTCCCACCTTTCAACACTGTTACATTGGAGATTAAGTTTCCAACTCATGAACTTTGGGGGACACATTCAAACCACAGAACATACAAAAGATACTCTTATCACTCTGGGGATTCCTAGAGTTTTAGAAACTGTACGCCAAGAAATGGGGACAAAGACCAAATATATATTTCACAAAATTATGGGTTCCTCTCCCAATTTACCACCTACTCACTGCATGACCTTAGAGAAGTCACTTAATTCCTCTGCACATTGGTTTCCCCACATATAAAATGAAATGTCGGACTAGATGATTGTTAAGTTCCTTTTAGTTCTCAAATTCTATGCCTTTTTATTAACTTCCTAGAATGTATGTTGTTTTTCTTTTACATAGGAGACAAAATTAAATGGAATTTTTGAGAATAATTTTTGAGAATTATTCTCGAACTCCTGAGCCTCACAAATAGTAGGAATTCAAGAGTAACCACAAAATTAATTATTGATTTCAATATATTTATGCTGTATGAACTATGAATGGCATAAGACTTGCAGAATAAGGCAAAAGAAGTTTCACATTAACTGTCCTCTCTAAGGAAGTAAAAACAGTTTCATTACCCTATTTGAAAAAGATTAAGAATAACTTTTATTCACAGAGTTTCCCAGATCTGTACATTTGTGCTGGCATTGCACAAGTGACATAATAATATTAATTCCTGGCATTTATTGAGTACTTGTTTCATATCAAACAATGTTTTACACATATGCATTTATGTCTAATCTAATCTTCATAACAATTGCCAGAGGGAAGTATTACTATTATATACAATTTATACATGAAAAAAATCAAGGCACAGAGATGTTAAGTACACCTCAGACAGCTAGTAGGTGGCACAGGAGGACTTTTCTTTAGGTGTTCCAAAGGCCAGAGACTATGTCTGTAACTATTATACTAAGTTATACCAATCTCCTCCAGCCTGGACATATGGAGTCTTTTCTACCCATGATTAAAAGCTTGAGAAAAATGAGCCTGAATTTTTGACTGGCCTGAAATTTCATCCTAAGAAAGAGGATAGTAATGCAGCTAATATATTTTAACATAGGTGAAAAAACCAAAAGGGTAATACACAAATCCATGAGAAAAATGGACAAAAATATGTAGATACAGACAACAGAATAAACACAACATACCAATAAATATGACAATGTCATCTATCTCAATCAGGAAATCTACTATAAAATGAGATTTTTTTACTCAATAGATTGTGAGGGGAAAATGGTGTTACATGTGATGTTGATGACACTCACACATTGTTGGTGGAGGTATAAATTGGCACACATTTTGGATTTAAAAAACTGAAATTATTTACCCAACATTTAAAACACGCATACTAATTCTAAGAATCCATTCTACAGAAATACTTACATATGTAACTGCACAAAGAAATGTGTACATGGATTTGGTATTAAATTGATTTCAAAAATTCAAAAGATCAAGTGTTAATTTTGAAATTACTAAATTATGAAAAATGTTACACAGCTATTAAATAGAACAAGTATTATCTAAAATGAGCTGCAATGAAAATAGCTCATCAAATATAGCTAAATGAAAAAAGCAAGTAACATTTTTATAAGACTTTGTCATTTGTGCAGGGAAATCTCCTAGCTATACATAAATTCGTACACCTGTATATGTGTATGTGAGTACACATGTATGCACATGTGTGTTTACATACATCTGTATTTAATTTCGTGATCTGGAATGATGTACATTAAGTAGTCAACAGAAGTTGCTTTAGGCAGAGGAATGAACTAGGAGAAATAAACCCTTCTATGTTTTTCAATAATATTACAGGAAACACGTATTAATGTTAGAATTTCTAAAAAGCCTTTTCTCAAAAAACGTCTGGCCCCTTAAGTTCTCAAAACAGTACACATTTCTCATATATTTTAGTAAAAGCCAAAATTAAGCAATTATTAAAAGCAGTTTAGAATCTTGTTGGATTGTGCTAAATTGTATCAAAGTGTTTCCTCAAAAATATCATTTTGTATCACTTACATTATTATTCAATATTGGGCTATGTTTAAGTAAGTTAACCTATATTATTAATTAAAATAGTTTGCATGAGAAACCAAATAGCACACAAAATAAACCATGACTCCTCAGACTCTAAGATAACTGCATGACATAAGCAAAAAGTCAGTATTTCATGCCATATGTTGATGCTTTTTAGAATATGAATTGATCTCGAGAGCTCCTAATACCTTAGCTTTAGAGTTACTAGCCCTTCCTCATTCCTCTCATCGCCATAGTAATGTTAAATAATGTATTAGGTAGGATAAACAGCAACAGGTAAACTCCCAAATCACAGTGATTTAACAAAATAAAACTTTACATCTTGCTCATGTAAAGTCCTAGGCAGGGATGACAGACAGCCTTCCACTGGTGATGCAGGGACCCAGGCACCTTCCATCGCATGGTCCCGCCATCCTAGAGCCCTGTAGGCCTTCACTTCCAGCCAGTGATGGGAAGGCCAAACATGGAGGAGGCATGCCCTCCTCCTCCATGCATGCCCTCCTTCCACTGCAGCCCTGGAAGCTGCACAAATCTCTTCTGCTTGTATACCTTTTGTAAGAACATGACCCCACCTAAATATAAGAGGGCTGGGAAATGCAATCCCACACTGGCAGTTAAGTCCAGAGACAATTGTGCAAGGGAAGAAGACCCCACATCTTTTAAGGAATTTGTCTTAGTTAAGGTAACACTAGCAGCTGAAACAAACCCTAAAAGTAAGTCCTTACAATTATTTCTCTTTTGTTCTCTGTTTCAAAGGATTTCAGATGAACTTCTGCCCTTTTAACTCATAATTATTCATGAAATATAATTGAGAACATTAGCATTTTCACTCTCTTCTCATTCCACTTCTGTCATGCCATCCTGAAGATATATTTACCTATGTCTTGGCTGTTTCTCCGAACATTATTAGCTGCTCTTTTATAAAACATCTCTTAGGATAATTTACTCTGTAAGGTGGCTAAACCCACCCATCTTATGTTAGCTTTTGTCTGTATTACTCTCAAATGAACTCTGTGGTCAAATTCTAAAAGTACTTTAAGCATAGAAGTTATAAATGTTCAATGAAATCAAATGCCCAATGCTGGAAGATCATGTAAATATTTCTCATTTCAATTAATATTGGCTGTGTCGTTTATGTGCTGAGTTCTTTCATATACTTTTGTGTCATTTTTACTGTCTTCAACAGAAGTTATTTCAATTTAATTTTAACAGAATATTGACAATTTTGAGTTATAGCTATTGATATTCATGTTCCTAAAGGGTTTTTGCTAAGTTTTTGTTTGTGTGACATTCCCAAATGTTATACTTACTTACTAATTATTTTCTATCTTTTTAATTTTTATACCCTCAAATGTGTGTTTATAACCAATGTTCCTAAGGTGTTGGTTATATAGAAATGAATTCTCTAAAGCCATTATTCACAGAACTTTCAGCTGACTACTTGCTCCCAAAAGGCAGTTTCCTGATTTCTGCATACTGGCGTATCATGCAAACATCTGTAAGCATATCCATTTCTACTAAGATCGGACTGTTCTGTCTGTGTTATTTTCCTTCGTATACTTTTACGTTTTGTATGTGTTTACTCTGACCATTTTTAGAAGCTTAAGCTTCTTCAACTTGATATGTGATAAATCATGTAATTTGAGGCGATGCATTTCCTAAATTAGTTTGTTTGGCATCATAAAAACCTTATATTTAACTTGTTTTAGCTCACATTTTCTGTTTTCTACCTTAAAATGACTTTTTCTAACTGATGTTCATATGATGAGGAATATGGAAAAAAGTTCTAAAATTGTTGTTTTCACAGGCTTGTCATTTATATCTGTTGCACTTCACCGGGGTGTGGAAAGAAAAATAAAGAAAAGATTCTAATGTTTATGGATGGCCTACTAGGCACTAGACTTTTCATATGATCAGGAGCATTTTTGTGTGTCCCCAAAGCAATTCACTGTGGACATATACAGCTGGAACACAGGTGAGCGTGTTCTCACACCCTGATTACCTGGGCAAGATTTTCCTTGGGTTTATACCATAACCCCAGCAGGTCAAAGACCACATTGTAATAAACTCATTAGTTTGTAAATTGCATAATTGCTTAATATAAAATTCATAATCCTCCTATGTCCAGTAGAAGAAAGAAGTAGAAATAAACATGAAAATACCTTTGACCAGCAAATATCTCCACCCTCCAGGGAGAGGTAGTAGCTTCTAGGGAAACCATCTTGGAGAGGGTCCTGTCTTCCCCTGAGGTGGGCTCTGAATCCAGCACTCTTCCCCTTTCAGAATAAAGATTAGAGAATAATTCTAATACACGATCTACAGTGGTGGTTTGTGTCTTAGGAGACCCTCCCTTCAGGCAGGTTCTAATAAGCCCCACCGGGACACCTTGGCCCCTCCGTTGACTCCCCAGTCTGCTCTGTGCCTCCCTCACCAGCTCCCCAAAGCATCTCCATACCTTGGAGGGTCACTTGGAACCAGCTAACTTTTCAGGGTCCTTTCTTCCCAGTTCTGCTGCAACACAAGTAACCCAGATTACATCAGGGAGAGGCTGAGCTACAGAGGTTCCTGCCAGGAGCTTATTCATTGTCACACTGGTTCTGCTTCCTGACAGGTTCACTTGAACCATCTGAAGCTTGGGGAACAAGGGCAGTGCTGGGATTCATGAAATCCAAGCATTCCGGGACTATAATGAAAGATGTTGTCTCAGAGGTGTGCTCTGTGGCTGTCGGTGTTTGTTAATTGTGCATCCTGCTGGGGTTAAGAAAAGAAATAGAAAAAACCAATTGTCTTGTCTCTCCTTCCCCAAGGAGATGAGCATGCAGGAGGTTTCATGGCCCAGCTCCTCCAGTGATCCCTCAGCTGTCAACCAGGCTGAGCACATCAGAGAATAACACCTCCTTTTCTGAGGATTCTGATACATTTTCAATCAGAAACAGAAGCAAAGATTCTGCAGCTCCCACAGAAACTCCCAGAAACCTTCAGGTGCTTCACTCTTCTGAGATCCTTGAGTCCAAATGTGGGAGCTAACCAGGTTGCCTCTTTTTACTTTACCATGAATTCCTCCTAGACATGTTGTAGCTCCTGGTCTTGGTTAACTTTCACATCCACTACAAACATTGGTAAGGAAATTCACTCCTCTCTAATTATGTGCTGATTATCTTTCTGCAATGGGGATAGTTTGAGGGAAAGTTCATGCTAACTTCTTTGAACATATTATCACAAATAATGTATGTATGTAGAGAATTAAGCTAATTTTTTATATGATGGAGAAGTAACTGCATGAAAGCAACAAAACTATAAACATCAATGCCAGATTTAAATAAATAAAGAATACATCATCCATAAAATTAACATGTTGACTTCCACTGCCATAATCAAGACTACAAAATCAGCTTTAGAGGATCATGGTTTTAAGGGACTATTGTGAACCTTGAAGAGGCAATGCTTGTCAGGTTCATACAATCTTCAGGCTACTCAAGAAATTGTTAAAGACTGATAATAATTGATCTCAGCCATTAAGTGTTCACTGCATACCAGAAATGTGTTCAATGTATAACACAGATCATCTCAATTAATCTTCACAACCACCTCATAAAATAGGTACTATCACTTTTCTCCTTTTTAAAAAAGAGGAAACGAGTTTGGAGAGGCTAAGATATGTGCTCAAGGTCATATAACTAATAAATGTGCATCTGACCACTAAGCCCATGGCTCTTTAATTGCTACTTTTTTTGTTTCTTTCAGTGTTTACTCTGCCTGAGAACCTGATTCACAGAAGAATGTGGAGAGTTCATTAATGTTTTGCTTTCTCATATTTAATCAAATTGATATCTAGTTAGTCAATAAATAATTATTGAACACCTACCATATTCCAGGCACAATATATAGTCAAATGTATTTCACCTTTTTAGTCACTTACTAGATCAATAAATCAAATGAATGAATGAATGCCTAAATATCATTTTTTGTGTTTTTTTTTGTTGTTGTTTGTTTGTTTGTTTTTTTACCGTCTTTGGACTGAATCTGGAATTTCTGGCTTGCTTAAATCTTGCCTACTATAATCGGTATACTTGAAAGACACTACTATTTCTCCACCCACCCCCACCCCATAGTTTCTTTCATTCTATGTGATACAAAGAAAATCTCATTTAAATGCAAATGGATTAAATTCATCAAAGGATTGGAAAAAGTGAAAGAAGATACTAAAAATAAAATTAAATATAACCCAGTTGCAAACATAACGTTCAGGCATTGTGTATGTTTTAAATGATATATATGTACAAGTTAGCCATTTAAAAATTTGGCAAATTATTTTATGACTAATAAATTATCCAACATCTCCATGATTTCTAAGTAAATATGTAAGACTGAAATCATTTCTTTGCAGATGACCAAACCTGTCTATTTCAAAAAGTAAAACTTAAGATCTGATGAGCCAACAAACTCCTAATGAGTCACATCATATTCTTTAAATAAAAGCTATTTTTAAATCCTCAGGTCAAATAAAGTATTAGATGCTTTACTCCCGAGTAATAAGAATATTTGAGGCCAGGTGCAGTGGCTCATGTCTGTATTCTCAGCACTTTGGGAGGCTGAGGCAGAAGGACTGCTTGAGGCCAGTAGTTTGAGACCAGCCTGGACAACACAGTGAGACCCTATCTCTAAAAAAAAGTTTTTAAAAAAAGGTAGCCAGACATGGTAGAGCACACGTGTAATCCCAGCTACTGGGGAGGCTAGGTGGGAGGATCACCTGAGCCTAGGGAGGTTGAGGTTGCAACGAACTATGATTGCGCCACTGCACTCCAGCCTAAGTGACAGAACGAGATCCTGCCTCAAAAAGAGAAAGAAAAAAAAAAAGACAAAGGAGTGTTATGAGTGTATTAGTTTTAACAAATATTCTTTTTTTCCTTTTCTTTTTGTTGAGACAGGGTCTCACTCTATTGCCCAGGCTGAAGTGCAATGGTTCTATCATAGCTCACCACAACCTCAAACTGCTGGGCTCAAGCAACCCTCCTGCCTCAGCCTCCCAAGCGGGTAGAACTACAGGCATGTGCCACCACGCCCAGCTACTGTTTTTGTTTCTGTTTTACTTGTTTTTTTGAGACAGGGTTTCACTATGTTGCCCAGGCTGGTATTAAACTACTGGTGTCAAGCAATCCTCCTGCCTCAGCCTCCCAAAGTGCTGGGATTACAGGCATGAGCCACCGCATCCAGCCTCAAATATTTCTGATTCTTGGAAATAAATCATCTAATACTTTACTTGACCTGAGGATTTAAAAATAGCTTTCATTTTAAGAATGTTGTGTGACTCATTAGAAAGGAGTTTGTCAGCTCATCAGATCTTAAGTTTTACCTTTTGAAGTAGACAGGTTTCGTCATGTGTAAAGAAATGATTTCAGTCTTACATATTTACTTAGAAGCCATGGAAACGTTGGTTAATTTATTAGTCATCAAATAATTTGCCAAATTTTTAAATGGCTAACTTGTACATATATATCACTTAAAGCAAGCTTGTCCAAATTGCAGGTGGCCCAGGACAGCTTTGAATGTGGCCCAACACAAATTTGTAAATTTTCTTAAAATATTATGTGATTTTTTTTTAAGTTCGTTAGCCATCGTTAGTGTTAGTGGATTTTATGTGTGGCTCAAGACAATTCTTCTTCTTTCAACATGGTCCAGGGAAGCCAAAAGATTGGACACCCCTGAAAGTATACACAATGCCTGAATGTTACATTTGCAACTGGGTTATATTTAATTTTTTTTTTTAGTCTCTCCTTTCACTTTTGCCAACCCTTTGGTAAATTTAATCCATTGAGTTAAGTAAGATGTTCTTTGTATCATGTAGAATGAAAGAAACTATGGGGGAGAAAAAGAAAACAAAAGTGTCTTTCAAGTATTCAGATTATAGTAGACATTCCAGATTCAGTCAAAGGATGGTTAAAAAAACTATGCATTCATTCATTTATTCATTTGTATTTATTGATTAATTTGTCCACACAGTAAGTATTTACTGTCAGGATTACAAAAGTGAGAGCACCTTTTCCTTGTTCACAAGGAGTGTGTTAACAACCCAGTCCTGTAAAAGAAATCAGGGTTTCAACCCATGTGGCAATTGTCCTTAAAGAATCTGAGTGTCTTCACCAAGCTCTCCTTTCTTCTTGACTCTCCATCTAGCTTTCAAAGAAATTCATACTTGTGCATAGTGGATTTTTTTTCTTTGTATAATCATTTGGGGAGTTACAAAAGGAAATAATGAAGGACTAAATAAAGAAATTAAGTTTTTTATAAGATGTAGACTGGGTACACGGTTCATGCCTACAATCCCAGCACTTTGGGAGGCTGAGGTGGGAGGAGCACTTGAACCCAAAAGTTTGAAACCAGCCTGGGTGACATAATAATACATTGTCTGTACAAAAAATATTTATTTAAAAAAATTAGCTAGGTATGGTGGCATGCACCTGTAATCCCAGCTACTTGGGAGGCTGAGGGGGAGGATCACTTGAATCTGATATGTCAAAACTACAGTGAGCCGTAATCACACCACCGCATTCCAGGGCAGGTTTCACAGGGAAACCGTCTCAAAAAAATAAATAAATAAATAAAGATGTTTATAAGGTGTAAATTCAAATGCATTTCACAACCAAATATTTCATATGCTTTGCGTGTTTTCCAATTAAATGTAGAAGGTTGGCCTAGGAGAGTATTTTTTAAATAGAATCCTGAAAAAAAAATATAACCCTTGGCCATGTGTTATGAAGTTACAATATTCACTAGAATTTATTTGTGTCTTGCTGATAATAATCAACAATTTATTGATAATGCTTATAAGTATACAATCATTTGTTACCACTGGAAAAGGATCCAGTGGGAACGTTCTTTAGGGCTCCAATTAGATTAGTTTTTTAACTTTTTCTTTTCTAACTTTTAAGTTCAGGGGTACAAATGCAGGTTTGTTACATAGGTAAACAAACTTGTGTCTTGAGGGTTTTTTGTACAAATTATCTCATCACCCAGATATTAAGCCTAGTACCCATTAGTTATTTTTTGTGATCCTCTTCCTCCTCCCACCCTTTACCCTGTGATAGGCCCCAGTACTGTGTTGTTCCCCTCTATGTGTCCATGTGTTCTCATCATTTAGCTCCTGCTTATATGTGAGAACATTCGGTATTTGGTTTTCTGTTCCTGCATTAGTTTGCTAAGGATAATGGTCTCCAGCTCCATCCATGTCCATCAAAGGACAAGATCTCATTCTTTTTTTATGGCTGCATAGTATTCCATGGTGTATATGTACCACATTTTCTTTATCCAGTCTATCGTTGGTGGACATTTAGGGTGGTTCCATGTCTTTGCTCCAATGACAGCTGGACCAGGGTCTTATCAAAAGCAGCATATTTCCTTAATCTGGAGAAGTTCTCCTTAATCCAGAGAAGCTTTTTTTTTCAGAGATAAGCAGGTTCAACGGCTCAGCCGCAGGTTATTTTTGCCTAGCAAAGGCACTAACAAAAACATGTGCACTGGCAAAATACTGGATTTCTACATGGTATATTGAGGAAAATGTTATCTAGGACTTAAGGACAAAAACCCAAATATTATTTGGCACATCACCAATTCACAAATACCAATTACCTGACAATTTATTGCTATAATAATCTGCAAAATAATGAAGTCACTAAATTAGCTCTTTGCAAAAAAAGTTTTAATTAGCCACCTGTAAAGTGTTTAGCAATTCTTATGTTGCTGAAGCACAATTAATTTTTTATGAATGGTCATTTCTGGTGTTTTTGAAAGATACTTCATTTAAATTTTTTCTCCATAGTTTCTTTCATTCTACATGTAAAAAGAACATCTTACTTAAACACAAATGGATTAAATTTACCAAAGGGTTGGCAAAAGTGAAAGGAGAGACTAGAAAAGAAATGATATATAACGCAGTGGCAAACATAACATTCAGGCATTGTGAATGTTTTAAATGATACGTATGTACAAACTCGCCCAGAAAAATCTAATTTCTACAAATTGTGTGAGTTGTTATTCAAAACCAGTTTTTGGTAAATCAGTAACTGTGCATCAATCAGTAGATTAACTGCCAAATCACCAATTATCGGTTCCTATTTATGACCCATTGTAAAATAAAGATTGCAATTAGAACCCATTTGTAGCACATCCATTAGTTCCTTCTCAGGAACCCAAACAATCACAATGTCATTAAAATTGTTTTTTGTCTTTCTACTTCTTCTGTTATTATATAAACTGCTCCAGAGTGCAAAGGTTGATTTCAGATGTTGAAAGCAAAATAGTTGATATTTCTACTGAGAAACTGGGATTACATCATCTTTTTTTCTAGGACTACTCTAATTCCCATATTTGGAGTTCTTCCATTACTGATTATTTCTACACTTCAGGAATTCTCTTAGTAATTTTTATATGTGCAGCTTCAAGACAATCCTTATTAGATGGTCATTTTACTTCCACTTTTGGTACGACATTCTTTCTTCCCATGATGTGTCAATGGCTCTATGTATCCTATCATTGGTGACACAATCCCTTCTATAACACTGGATACTTACAATCAGTAATTAACTTAATGTGTAGCTCAATCACTAATGTTAAAAGTTTATCTTTTAAAAATGACTAAATTCATAAAATAATGTCTAGGTGTTTTTTGACAATCTGGTCCTAAGTGATCTTTTTCTTTTTCACAGGGAAATGGGGGAAAATCAGACAATGGTCACAGAGTTCCTCCTACTGGGATTTCTCCTGGGCCCAAGGATTCAGATGCTCCTCTTTGGGCTCTTCTCCCTGTTCTATATCTTCACCCTGCTGGGGAACGGGGCCATCCTGGGGCTCATCTCACTGGACTCCAGACTCCACACCCCCATGTACTTCTTCCTCTCACACCTGGCTGTCGTCGACATCGCCTACGCCTGCAACACGGTGCCCCAGATGCTGGCGAACCTCCTGCATCCAGCCAAGCCCATCTCCTTTGCTGGCTGCATGACGCAGACCTTTCTCTGTTTGAGTTTTGGACACAGCGAATGTCTCCTGCTGGTGCTGATGTCCTACGATCGTTACGTGGCCATCTGCCACCCTCTCCGATACTCCGTCATCATGACCTGGAGAGTCTGCATCACCCTGGCCGTCACTTCCTGGACGTGTGGCTCCCTCCTGGCTCTGGCCCATGTGGTTCTCATCCTAAGACTGCCCTTCTGTGGGCCTCATGAAATCAACCACTTCTTCTGTGAAATCCTGTCTGTCCTCAGGCTGGCCTGTGCTGACACCTGGCTCAACCAGGTGGTCATCTTTGCAGCCTGCGTGTTCTTCCTGGTGGGACCACCCAGCCTGGTGCTTGTCTCCTACTCGCACATCCTGGCGGCCATCCTGAGGATCCAGTCTGGGGAGGGCCGCAGAAAGGCCTTCTCCACCTGCTCCTCCCACCTCTGCGTGGTGGGACTCTTCTTTGGCAGTGCCATCATCATGTACATGGCCCCCAAGTCCCGCCATCCTGAGGAGCAGCAAAAGGTCTTTTTTCTATTTTACAGTTTTTTCAACCCAACACTTAACCCCCTGATTTACAGCCTGAGGAACGGAGAGGTCAAGGGTGCCCTGAGGAGAGCACTGGGCAAGGAAAGTCATTCCTAACTGGTGTGACATTTGACTCTCCCTCCTCAGTCATCTCCTGGAATCTTGGTACCAAATACCACCTAAGTTCACTACTCTCTTTATATCTGAGACTAAATGAACCAAGAGACTCTGTAAAGCATTCCTTTTTCCTGCCTGGGAAGTATTTAGTTTTTGATGCATTTGTTATACTTAACATTTTTTAATTTAAGCACTTATTGAGTTGAGAATGTCGGGGAAAGATTTATTTTGTACACTGCTATGAGTCCAGAAGTTTAAAACAGACACTCCACCTGTGACTTAGTCAGGTATGCTCAGTAGTAGAGGAATAGCAGTTATTACCAGATAAAGTCATATCTATAAAAAGTTTTTAAAAATACAGCCACAGGCAGAGACTCCAGAACCCATTGATACCTCTGTCCATTTTCATCCTCATTTGGATGTTTCCCCTCAATTGTACTTCCTTTCTTATAAGCAGTAAATGTACCTAAGTGCCTACTTCAGCTTGGAGGGAAATTGATTTTTATAAAATCCTACAAACTGACAATTTCTGTTGTCAGAGAGAGTGAATCCATAAACATTCAGCTGGCAATCTGAAGCAATTACACAACAAAATCCACTTTCCAACCTGCCCTGAGATTGTGATGGTCACTTGTTTCTACTCTTCTCACCTCCTCCAGGGGACTGTCTATGATTGTCTCTAAATAAGCACATGCTCTTCACTTAGAGGAAGTTAGTACCACCACACAACTTTTCACTGCTGGGGACGAATGGAAAGCCCCACACAGAGACAATTCAATGGAAAAAAGCGTTTTAATAATGTTAATAGTTAGCATTATTATAAATTACTCTGCACCATCCACTGCACATTGATAGGTACTTTATAGAGATAACCTCAGTTTATCATTATAGCCAATTCATTTCCCATTATTATCCCATTTTATAGATGTGAACTTTAAGCAGACGGTAAATGTTAGACTCATACCCAATCTGGCTCCCAAGCCTTCTTTACTTAACCAGGACAATGTGGGACTTTATTAGCAACATTTCAAATTAAGAATAAGTCTAACCAATCCTAACGTAGGATATGTTAAGTGAATGTGGGTTTCTTCCCCATCTAGAATGTGCCATGATGAGGCCAGGAGAGTCAGAGATTATTTATGGAAGGCTTCTTATCCTGTTTGACGAGTCCTGTGGGCATGGCTGCAAAGGAGGTTAAGAGATTCAGAGGAACACAGAACACAGACAGGGTGGGAGTAGAGGCTGTTCTCAATGAGATTAGAGAGTAAGTTTAGAACTATACTTGGTTCTGGGTGGTAAGATCCAGAACAAAGACATCTCTAGTTCACGTACAACACTCACATGCTCACGTACATGCGTGTGCACACACACACACACACACACACACATATACGCACAGTGCTTAGTGAAGCACTATTCCAAGAACCTTACAAGTAAGAGCTCTTTAAGTCCTCATAAAAACCCTATGAGGTAGGGACTATTACTACTATTTTTAGGCGAGAAAACAGAACTATAGAGAGATTATATAATTTAACCAATGCTCCCAGCTAATAAGTACCTAGTCCAGAATCAAACTTAGGCAATATGACTGCTGAACCCATAATCGTAACCATTATATAAAAATCAAAGAGATCATGAAATTTCCAAAGATGAAGAGGAGGAGAGATGAAAAGCAATTTTCAATCTCTAGCCAAAGATAGGCATTGGGCTCCAGACAGAAAAGTACTTAAAGCTGGGGGAAAAACAAACAAACAAACAAACAAACAAACAAAAAACAGCTTTTTTTATACTGGTGCGTGAAATGAGATGAGGTGGTAGCAAGAAGGAACTGTGACTCCAAGGGTCAGAGACGGAGGAGGAGCCTCTTGACGGGCAGGATGGTGAAACCAAAAACAATGGATAAAACTTTTAAGTTGATGGTTCATCAATTGAAGAACATTAGAAAGTGTTTTTGTAAATTATCTAGCCGGGCATGGCAACGTGTGCCTACATCCCCAGCTATTCGGGAGGCTGAGGCAAGAGGATCACTTGAGCCAGGGATTTTGAGGCTGCAGTGAGCCATGATCGCACCACTGCATTCCAGCCTGGGTGACAGAGTGAGACCTTGTCTCCAACAATAATAACAATGAAATAATTTATTAAATTTTTTAAAATTACCCAAACTGGATATACAATTTGTAATTCCATTGCTGCCGAACAGTTTTTAAACGGTTGTTTAGTTTCACGGCAGATGCTGCATACTGCATTGCAACTAACACTGGGAAGGGATACATTCAAGTGGCAGGACAAAGGTGAGGAGCTCTAATACCAGGGGTAGGTTTCAAGGGATGAATACTCCCCTGGTACCAGAGGAGCAGCAGGAAATCATGGTGTGCAGAAACCATGTTCAGGCGGTTGCCTGTGTGGACCCTAAATTCTGTGTGTGCAGTCCTCTCTTAGGATTGGCCCAGGCATCCAAGAAGCCCACGATGCTGCCTACCCCTTAAATACACAAGGTGCGTACCGGAGGCCCTGGTTCTAGTTCCAGATGTACCATTTGCTAGCTGTGTTTTTTGCAGAGAAGTCCCTTAAACTGCTTAAGCTTCAGTCCTTCATCTGAAAATTATGCATATGGAAGCTGTTTAGGACACCACAGAGTGCCACTGAAAACCCAAAGCAAGATGCAAATGGACACATTTTTTTTCTGAAGACTTAAAAGTGCTATGTGAACATAAGATAAACTGTTATGATTACCCTGCTGTCAGAAGTTATTTTAATCCTGTCAGGGTTGCTAAACTTTCTGATCTGGAACCAAAATTGCTCTTTAAACAGGAAGAGCATTGGTGCTGGTAGGTCACCTACGCCTTTGCCCTCATGGCTTCCCCATGTCCCCCCTAGAGGCACAGGAGGCCACTCACTCTTGGAGGGCATAGCTGGACCAGGAGCATGAGCTGTGGCCCAGACTCAGGGAACCTCTGTGAGTCAGCTGGCAAAGGCTCCCGGGGAGCCTGTCTCTGAATCTGGTCCTAGCCCGTTCACTTGGAAAAAACAGGAGACTTCTCCCAAGGTCAAGGAATTCAGATTTTGGTTTTGGTTTCCAACTTTTTGTAATCCTCAACCTGGGATTTACAGTGCATGTCTCAATTATGTTTCATTCATTGCTTCACAAAGGGAAGGACAAGCACTGGTTCATCTCTTTACACCTATACATTCCTAGCACAGAGTGAGTACTCACAAAAAACATACGGAATACATAGAGGACACTTTATCTGTTGACCCCATTTCCAAATTTTCAGTGTTGAGCCATCTTCTGATTTCTAAACTTCTTTAAATCCCTCTAATTTTAGGTTATACTACAGTAGAAATTTAATTGTAGCTGATAATTATTGAGCACTTACTATGTGGTTGGCACTGCATAAAATGCTTTAGAAAAATTCTTACATCAAATATGTGGAGTAGGTACTAATACTATCCTAACATTAAAGGGGGGGAAATAAAGTTTAGTGTAATTAATTAATTTATTCAAGGTCGCCAAATCATTCAGTGGTAGAAACATGAATCAAGACCAGGCAGTCTGACTGTAAATAAATTCTGAGCCACTCTCTTGCAGAGGACCTCCTGATATTCATCTCCTGAATGGTTGGCAACAGGCCTGTTCATAGTAGACACTCAATAAACTTTGACTAAATGAACAAATGAGTGGTTGTGTTCAAATTTCTACTCACATCATATAGGCCTAGGGATGTGTTACCCTTTATTCTTTTTATTTATTTATTTATTTATTTATTTATTTATTTATTTACTTATTTATTTATTTGAGAAGGAGTCTTCTTCTGTTGCCCAGTCTGGAGTGCAGTTGTTGGCTCACTGCAACTTCTGTCTCCCAGGTTTAAGTGATTCCCCTGCCTCAGCCTCCTGAGTAGCTGGGACTACAGGCGTGGGCCACCATGCCTGGCTAATTTTGTATTTTTAGTAGAGAGGGGGTTTCCCCATGTTGGCCAGGCTGGTCTCGAACTCCTGACCTCAGGTGATCCACCCGCCTCGGCCTCCCAAAGTGCTGGGAACACAGGCGCGAGCCACCGTGCCTGGCCTATTCTTTTAAGTTTGGATATCTTGTGCATTTGGTTTGTCCAATTCATCCTTTTGGCATATTCTTATGCAGTAGATATTAATAATCAAGAATATCCTATTGCTCTAGGATCACAGAGAAGTAAAGAAACAATTTAGGGTTGAAATTTAGCATTTACTATTAAAAATGCTGGGAATACTTATTTATGTTTTATCGTAGGAGTCCATGGCGATTGCCTTCTCACAGAAGTGTGCCAAATGACTGAAACTGTGATTCCAGAAGGCCAGGATGGTACTGGTGCTACACAGGAAGTCATGTCAGGGTGTTGATCTTGAAAACTCTGGCAAGAGGGTGGAGACAACTGTAGGCAATAACTACTGGGAATGAAAGGGATGGGAATTTGTGTGTTGTAGTCAGTTTCCTTGCCGCCTGAGATTGGCACCCGCAGCATCTTTGGCACGTGGACCAGGGATTGCCAACTGCCGACCTGTAGGACTGGTGTTTACTGTTGGCTGTGAGTGTAGAGTACCATTGTTAAATACAGGTTCTTGAGAATAGACAAAAAGGAAAGACATTTGGAATGCTGTCTCACTGGACTTCACAGCTCTCATGTTTTCGCAGCCAGCAGAGAAGTGTCTTACATCCCTTGCTTTCTTCATAAATTTTAAATAGCATTGGCTCATTTTTATCTGTGTTTTTCCAAGCTGTGTTTCTCTGTTTTTAATTTTTGAAATCATGTTGTGCCAAAAGAAGAAGTGAATCCTTGAACACGGTATGATTTGGTCAACAGAATACTGGCTCAGCATGAGAATGTCTGGGCTCTCACGACAATTCCCTCACTTACACACTGTGTGACCTCAGAAAAGTTGCTTAACTCCTCTGGACTTCCATTTCCACACATATAAAATAAAGAATTGAACTAGAAAAACTTTAAGGTCACCTCTTGTTTTCTAATTCCCTGTCTTTATTAGTTTCTTCACATTTCATATTAATTTGGATTTTCACTTTTGTCAAAGGAGTATAAAATAAATTCCATACAGAGAAAATGAAATGGACTTCTGAGGCTAACTGAATCTCTCTGACCTTAAATACAGTAGAACCCCAAAAATACGTACTGGCCAGGCACGATGGCTCATGCCTGTAATCCTAGCACTTTGGGAGGCCGAGGCAGGAGGATCACTTGAGGCCAGGAGTTTGAGACCAGCCTGGCGAATATCATGAACCTTTTCTCTACTAAAAATACAAAAACCAGCCAGGCATGGTGGCATGCGCCTGTAATTCCAGCTACTTGGGAGGCTGGGGCACAAGAATCGCTTGATCCTGGAAGGCAGAGGTTGCAGTGAGCCAGGATCATGCCACTGCACTCCAGCCTGGGTGACAGAGGGAGACTCTGTTTCAAAAAAGGAAAAAAAATAGTACATACTGAAGTAATTAATTAGTTGACTATTTTAGTGCTCTGGGAAATAGAAATTTCATAAGACTGGCTAAAAGGTAACACGAAATGCCCACCTTAAGGAAAGAATATTACTAGGAATAACTTTGATTGGGAATGGTTCTAGGAACTAGACTAAAACATAAATATCTAGTTTTGTACCCATATTACCCACATTGTAGATATACTTTTAAGAGCTAGTATTTGCTGAGAGCTTATGAAATGTCAGGCATTGTGCTAAGGTACATGCATCATTATCATGTCTCAACTTCATAACAATTCTAGTACTTTTATTATTATTATTACAAAAGAAGAGATAGAGGTTCAGAGATAGTAAGAAACTTTTCTATGGTCACACAGCAAGTATCTGACATAACTTGGACTCTAATCCAGGTGAGCCTGACTCCATAACCACTGGGTCATATGGCCTCCCTCTATCCTGGACTTACAGAATCTTTTTCTGTGAACAGTTAAGTAAGGATCAAGAAAATCAGCCTTGAGATCTATTGTACAACTTGGTGATGATAGCTAATAACAATAGATTGTATTGTGAAAAATGTTGACAGAGTAGATTTTAAGTGTTCTCACCATAAAAATGACAAGGGTGTTAGATAATTCATATGGTAATTTGCCCAATTTAGTCATTCCACAATGTACATACATTTCAAAATATCATTTTCTACATGGTAAATCTATACAATTTTGTCAATTAAAAAATAAAACACTTATTTTACTTAATTTTATTTATTTATTTATTTTTGAGATGGAGTTTTGCTCTTGTCGCCCAGGCTGGAGTGCAATGGCACAATCTCAGCTCACTGCAACATCCACCTCCCGATTCAAGGGCTTCTCCTGCCTCAGGCTCCTGAGTAGCTGGAATTACAGGCGGCCACCACCATGCCTGCCTAATTTTTTGCATTTTTAATAGAGACAGGGTTTCACCATGTTGTCCAGGCTGGTGTTGAATGCCTGACCTCAGGTGATCCACCCGCCTCAGGCTCCCAAAGTGCTGGGATTATAGGCATGAGCCACTGCAGCTGGCAGAAAAAAATAAAACGTTTAAAAAGTCCACCATCTTTACCACACACAAAGAAAAGAAAATCAGCTTTAAGAAAATGATTAAAATATAGCTAACGTAGTCCCCAATATATATAACAAGCAAGATAGTAATACACAAACCAGTTTTTTATTGGAAAAAAACACACAGATACAAGTAGAGACAGATAAACTATTTACAGTAGAACAAGTGACAGAGAATAATAAATGTAATGAAAGATGTATAGTTCCTCTAGTAAGTAATAAATTTTAAAGCACAAGATACCATTTTTCACCCATTAGATGGACAAAAATTAAAAGATGGATACTTTCTAGCATCGCTAAGCATGTAGGCAAGTGGATACTTCCCCACAGTCTTAATAGATTTTGGGGAAATTTGGTCATGTCTCTTCAAAAACTAAATTGTTAGTTTTGTTTTGATTTTTCAGAGACAGGGTTTCACTCTGTTGCCCAGGCTGGAGTACAGTGACGCAATCACAGCTCACTGCAGCCTCGGACTCCTGAGCTGAAAACAGCCTCCGACCTCAGTCTCCCGAGTAGCTGGAACTACAGGTGCAAGCCACCATGCCTGGCTAATTTTGTTGTTGTTGGTTGGTAGAGATGGGGTCTATATTGCTTAGGCTGGTATTGAATTCCTGGGCTCAAGTGATCCTCCCTCCTCAGTCTCCCAAAGTGCTGGGATTACAGGCATGAGCCACTGTGCCCGGCCTCAAAAAATAAAATGTGCATACCTTTTGATGCAGCAATTTCAATTCTAAGAACATATCCTACAGAAATATTCCCATATGCATAAATATATACATGTACATATATTTTAAGCAGAAGCAATACTTGTAAATTGATAAATAACCTAATATCAATAGTGAGGTTATTAAATAAAACATTGCAAATATATACAATGAAATATGCAACTCTTAATATAAATAAGTTTTACTAGTATATTAACATCTAATTAGATATTAATGTACAGTTAACATATAAACTAATATTACCATAAGCAAAATTTTCACAAAATGTGAAGTGAGGAAACAAAGTATATTGATACTGTGCTTTCTCATTCACTTAAAAACCTATAGATATGTGTATGTGTGAGAATATATATAGAGACATACACTAAAGCATGGGAAAATGTTTAAAATAATACACATTAAAGACTTAAAGAAGAGACCTCTCAAAATGTAGACTGAACCATGGGAAAGAATATTGCATTATTTGAAAATTTTACAGTAAACCAATGTTCATTCCTTGTTCAGAGGAGGTTTTCCTGACCAGCAGACATCACGCCATCGATTGGTGATTCAGGGACCCAGGGTCCTTACACCTCATGGATCTGCCCTCATTTCCACATGGTTCCCATTATTGTAATGTGTGTTGGAGGGAGACAAAGCATGAAAGTTTCAGTGACCTGGCCCAAAAGTGGACTCTTTATTTCTGCTCACATCCCATTGGCTAAAATTTGGTCACCATGGCGATAAAAAATGAAGTGATTCTGAGAAATGTGGTCTGTATACCCAGGCATAAGAGGAACAATTCTGATAAACATCTAGCAGCCTGTGCCACAGGGAATCAGAGGTTCTGAGTTTCTAGCTCTCTGCCTCTTCAGGACAATAGTAAAACTCAAAAGAAGTAGAGGGACCAAGAGACTTGGGACTCCTCCACAGATCTCCATCATCAGCACCTCCATAGAATTTTTTTTCAATTTTATCTGAATATTTCAATTTTACCTGAATATTTCAATTTTATCTGAATTCAATTTTATCTGAATTTTTTTCAATTTTATCAGACAGTAGATTTTTTTTCAATTTTATCTGAAATACAATCCAAATAGAGCTTCAAGACAAATCCCCTAGCCCCCATTTCAGTACAAACATTCTGAAACTGCTACTGCCCTGATTACCTTCTGAGGGACCCAGACAAAGTCAACCCTGAACCATCAAGTCTCAAGATGTTGGGAAATCCTATAAACCTGGATTCAGGTGCGCCATGATCAGCCTTATCCTTATTTTCCTTCCCTGTCTGTAAAATGGTGATAAGACACCACCCCATTTATTTCAAGGAAATGTGAGCTTCACAAAAGGTAATATACACAGCACTTTGTAAGCTGAAAAGAAGTACTAAAAGTTATTCTTAATCATGAAGCATTGAGATCCATCTATTCTCTTCTCTCACCTTTGTTTTCTCCTTCCTTACTTTCTCTATGTATTATTTACCTGATCCCTTATAAAAGAGGTAAAGGATATACACCTACTATGTACCCACAAATATTAAAAATGTTTTAAAAAATTTAATGTGTTATCTTAAACTAAAACCCACTACAATTTAGTCCCAGGGAAGGCAGTTCTAGGAAAGAGCCAAACAAGGACATATGAACAAAAGGTAATACTGGGCAATAGGACTGGATTTGAGGTAACCAAATCAGACAGGTGTATGATCCTTTCTTCTCAAAAAGTGGGTTGTGATAGGAGATCAGCCATTCCATGCTTTAAGGGGGTAGAGAGAATAAACAGGCTGAATTTCCAGCTATCCCAAATGTGTTTCCCATGGTGTTTGCATTGAACTGGAAGAGAAGAAAGGAAGTGATGACTAAGGTGGATGAAAGGCCAGGTGCAGTGGCTCATGCCTGCAATCCCAGCACTTCGGGAGGCCAAGGCGGGTGGATCACTTGAGGGCAGGACTTCGAGACCAGCCTTGCCAACATGGTGAAACCCCATCTCTACTAAAAATACAAAAATTAGCCGGGCGTCATGGCGCATGCCTGTAAAACCAGCTACTCGGGAGGCTGAGGCAGAATTATCACTTGAACCCGGGAGGCAGAGGTTGCAGTGAGCCGAGATTGCACCATTGCACTCCAGCCTGGGTGGCAGAGGGAGATTCCGTCTCAAAAATAAATAAATAAATAAAATCAGGTAAATGAAGGGTTAAAATACTAAGTAATGAACTCTTCTGGCATGCAGAAGACATCTAGCACTCCATGCCTGCGTGGCTCAACCCTTCCCCATCAGATACAGCAGAACAAAATGTTAGCGTGTGGGCAATGAAAGTCAGTTAGCAGGCTGTAGCAATGCCACTGATGGAATACTATGACCTCAGAAGCTATCTGCCTTTTTTTGAAGCCAACAACTATCCAGTAGGATTTTAGAGGCACTCAAAGCCTTACAATTATCTCTCCCTCCTGCCTTCACATATTCAGAATGTCTTTAGCAAGACAATCTTGTTTCACAATCACAGACAAACTTCCCACGCCGATGTATATGTTCATATAGATAGGTTGTGACTAGCAGGTAATAAGTGTCCTGTTTTGATAAGACTTCGAGTCCTAGATACCTGAAGAGGGTGTGCAGGAAGGGAGGCTAGGGCTCCCCCAACAATTTCATCTATTTTAAACCTTGTCACTTCTGAAACCTGTAATCCCACCAGATTTTTAGCTGTCATTTAAGTCTCTGAAACCTGCCAGGAGCTTTTCTTAATGCAAAAAACAAACAAAACAAATGTCCACTAAGTTCCACCAATACAGGACTGATTAAGTAAAGACCAGTATCTTCATACAATGGAATACCATAAAATTATCAACCAACAGTAAACAATATGGATGGTCTCTAGATCTTACATTGAAAAATCTCCAAGACCCATTCAGAAAAGCAAGAAAAAAGGAAGGGGGTGGATAAACTCTATCTAGATGTGCTTACATATGCATAAAGTCATTCTAGAGGAATACAGAAGAAACTAGGAAGAGAGAGGTTGAAAACAGGGAAGACGGTGACAAGCAGCGGCATATCTAGGCCTGAAGCTTATACAATTTGGGGCAGCTTCTTTAAGAAACAGAATGTGAATGTATGAATACAAAATTAGTTCAGAGCTTTGGAAGGGACTCTTGGAAGGGGTTCTAAGCTTAAGCTTTGCTAGCTTCATGGTAAATCCACTACTGGGGACAAGTAGGAAAGGGAGAATACAAAAAAAATATTTTTGAAAGCTGATTGAAATCTGAGTCATTTATATCTATTCATAAAACTTAATTTAAAAAAAATCAATGTATTTGCCAAAATAGCTCTGGAGAAAGATAACTGACTAGGTGACCAGGCCTCATGAAAAATTTGAGTTCCTATAACCAAATTCATAAAAGGAACACTGCAAAAATGACAACAGTAACCACTGAAATATAATATTTCACCTATTACATTAGCAAAGTCAAAAAGTTTTAAAGGCTGGGTGTGGTGGCTCATGCCTGTAATATCAGCACTTTGGGAGGCTGAGGTGGGAGGATCACTTGAGCCCAGGAGTTCAAGACTACCTTGGGCAACATAGGGAGACTCTGTCTACAAAAAGTAAAAAATCAGCCATGCATAGTGGTGCATTCCTGTGGGAGGCTGAGGTGGCAGGATTACTTGAGCCTGGGAAGTCGAAGCTGCAGTGAGCTGTAATCACGCCATTGCACTCCAGCCTGGGCAACAGAGTGAGACCCTGTCTCAGAAAAAAAAAAAGTTTTAAAAACATACAGTTAGTGAGGCATGGAGTGTCATACATTGCTGTAATTTGGTATAAATGACCTGCATGGAGAAAAGTTTGCCAAAGTCTCCCACAATTACAAATGCACCATTTGACACAGCAATTCTACTTCCAGGAATATAGCCCACAGGTAGACTAGCATGTGTGCTATGCAACAGATGTAAAGGTTATTCACTGCAGCATTGTTTGTACTGCCAAACTACTGGGAAAAACCTCAGCAGGAGACTACACCCATTCAATAAAATCTTGTACAGCTGAAAAATAAATAAGGAAACTATGTGCTAATATAGAACAATCTTCAACCTATATTTTTAAATGAAAAATGCAAGTTTTGAAATATTTTGTGGACTATCATTGATGTAATATATTTCCTGTAAGTGCAAAATATTTTTGGAAGCATTTCACAAACAACTTGTAATATTGGTGCCTTGAGAGAAGATAATTGGATAGCTGGGAAACATGTGGAGGCAGACATTTACTTCTGTGCTTTTAGCTTTTTTGAAGGATGTCAATGTGTAATTTTTTCAAAATATGTCTTGAAGATAAACATAGATCTTTAAAATTTGCAAAATTCACACCAGCCTTAAATTCTAATCAAGCCTGAGACTGTTCAGAGGGAAGCCTGGTGAAGCCCCAAAGCTTTACATCAATTCCACGTTTGATGCAGATCAAACTAGGGATAAGAAAGGTTGAGAACATTGGGCATTTTTTCCCCTCCACTGGAGGGTATACTACTTACATTAAAAAGACTCATTATTTATTAAATGATTCAATGATTTCGTGATTCTAAATAAAACCTTTTCCAGGGACTTTTTTTTTTTTTTGAGATGGGGTCTCACTCCGTCACCCAGGCTGGAGTGTAGTGGTGCGATTACAGTTCATTACAACCTCGAACTCCTGGGCTCAAGTGATCCTCCTGCCTCAGCCTCTGTTCCAGTTCTTCTGTGGGCTCCCAATCCAATGCTTTAGATTCTCAATAATGAAGGGACCTCCTTTTCCCAAGCCCTTTATCAATGAACTCTATTAAGAAGAGAAGTGTCTGATTCACCAGAGGAGACAGAAAAGAACATTGGTACCCAGTGAGTGTTCCTTTATTTAGAAGGCAAGATCCCTTGGGACATGATTAAAATCCAAACCTGAGGACACACATTCTAAAACAAGTGAGATGGGAAGAATATTGGATCCTAAGTACGGTAATTATTCTAAAAAGAAGAAAGTTGCCAGTGCCAGCCTGGGCAGCATAGAGAGACCCCATCTCTACAAAAAATTAGCTGGGTATAGTGGCACACTATGCTACTCGGGAGACTGATGCAGGAGAATTGCTTGAGCCTGGGACTTCGAGACTGTATTGAGCTATGATCACACCACTGCACTCCAGCCTGGGGGACAGAGTAAGACCCTACCTCGAAAGCAAAACAGAAAGAAAGCTGCAGCTGGTGGAGAATGCTAACTCCACCCTCATACAATTAGAATATATGAGAAGTCTTTTGCTACTAATAGATGGTGCATTCCAGGAGTGATTTAGAGCTATGAAGTCATATCAAGATTTACTTTTTTTTTTAAGATGACTAAAATTTTCAGAGCAAGCTTGTGATCCAATGCATTTATTTCCACAAGATGGTGCTATAGCTTCTGCTAAGTACAAAACTCACATTTCCTTTAGGAACTAGAAATACAAAATATGTTTCTAATGGAGAACCAAATGTGCATACGCTCTGGTGAGTCTGTCAAAGAAACACATTGTGCAAAAACGTCCCGGTGGAGGTGGAGGTTGATTTAGGCCTAAAGGGTGAAGATTGTTCCAGGTAATAATACTTTCCGCCACCTCCACACATACCTGAGTTGATGTCTCAAGGCGTCATGCAGCCTTCAGCCTCCTCTTTGTCCAAAATACTGCTCTTCCTACTATCAGGAGTGGGTGTGTGTGTGTTTGTTTGTGTGTGTGTGTGTGTGTGTGTGTGTGTGTGTGTGTCAGACATGGGATTGAGGAGTGGCCCAGAGCTCCCACCACCATGGAAATGCAGCTCCCATGGCCACCCACACTTCCACCCAGGGGCAGCTCAAGGCTCACCCCTTCAATAGAGCCTTTCCTTGCCACTCTGTCCTACATGAATCACACCTGCCTAGGGGTACAAATAATAATGCAACAGAATGTTTTAGAATACCATTTTTCCATTTCCATCTAAGTGTGCCAAGTGTTGGCGGGGGGGTGTGGTGGGCAGAGTCCATTTTATAGCCCACAGCAATGAGGATCCTACCTTGAAATTATGCACAGTGATGATATCACAAATGCTGGCAATCTCAAGCAAGTATTCAGCCACCTTGGTTGGCAGCCTGGGTGACTGGGAGGATGCTGGCCCCGGTTGGCCACTACTTGGACCTAGAAATATGTTAAGTCATCACCTCTTTGGAGTTGTTTGATCATCTCTATCAGGACAGGATTAAACTGTTCTGATTTTTTTTTAATATCTTGTTTTAATGACTTTAACATCTTCAGTATCCCTCTCCTGACAGAGTCATAGAGGTGGGAATATTTGCATCACAAGGGAAATAGAAGGATGTCTCTGCTGAAGTGAATGGCACCTCCCTTCCTATTCATCTTTATTCTTTAAAAAAATTTTTTCTGTCCAGGCGTGATGGCTCATACCTGTAATCCCAGCACTTTGGGAGGCCAAGGTGGGTGGAACATTTGAGATCAGGAGTTTGCGACCAGCCTGGCCAACATGGTGAAACCCCACCTCTACTAAAAACACAAAAATTAGCCGGGAGTGGTGGTGGGCATCTATAGTCCCAGCTACTCGGGAGGCTGCGACAGGAGAATCGCTTGAACCTGGGAGGTGGAGGTTGCAGTGTGCTGAGATCACACCACTGCACTCCAGCCTGGGTGACAGAGCGAGACTCTGTCTCAAAAAGAAAAAAAAAAAATTTTAAATAGAGATAGGGTCCCACTATGTTTCCCAAGCTGGTCTTGAACTCCCGGGCTCAAGCAGTCCTTCCGCCTCCACCTCCCAAAGTGCTGAGATTACAGGCATGAGCCACTACACCGGTCTCATCTTTATTCTTGTCTCCATTTTTCTCTATTTTATTCTGTGCCTCTGTGCCTTGGCAGTCAAAAATGTGACATAGCTGTACAGTCAGCCCTCCTTATCCACAGGCTCCACATCGTAGCTTCAACCAACAATGGATCAAAAAATTCAGGAAAAAAAAATGGATGGTTGTGTCTGTACTGAAAATGTACAGACTTTTTTTCTTGTTATCGTTCCCTAAACAACACAGTATAACGACTATTTTCATAGGATTTACATTGTACTAGCTATTAATCTAGAGATGTCTTAAAGTGTACAGGAGGATGTGCATAGGTTATAGGCAAAGACTAAGCCATTTTATGTCAGAGACTTGAGCATCTGGGGATTTTGGTATCTGCAGGGGGTGGGAAGGGTCCTTGGAACCAATCCCCTAGGATGACTGGACATGGTGGATCACTCCTGCTCTCTTTTGCTACCATATCCTCTCCACTGCCACAGAGGTAAGGGCAGGGTAAGTGGAAGCCTAGGGCCACAGAGACAACAGGGTACTCTGGGCTCACCATCAAGAGTAGAGAAGGAAACCTGTTGTGCTGCTCTAGGAGTAGAGGATGCCTTTTGGAAGATAAGTGGGATAACATGGATTAGGATGGAAAAGAATACTCATACCTAAGAACAATCACTGACTGGGGACTTTGACAGTGGATGGAACACCTCAAGAAATAGGCATCAAGGACATGAGACGAGGGATGAGGCCGAAGACTTTCTATCAGCAAAAAGGAAGGACAGAGTTAGGCTGAACTAAAGACATTTCTGTGTTCAAAATAAACAGCATGCTGTTATTGGGTTTGTCTTATATTATTATGTCTATCAGAAGAAGAGTACACAAAGATACAACTTACTTATACATACTTATAACTTACACAACTTACTTATTATGTCTATCAGAATACACAAAGATACAATTTATTCTTTGAATAGCAGCAGATTTTAGTCTAAAACAGAAAAGATACAAAAAAAAGTAATGTGTGTTTTCTAGCTTCTCCCAAATAGAAAAAAAATAAAATATATATGTATAAAATGATAACAAAAATATTTGGCTTTAAGCCCTCATCACAGGAATTCTTGGAACCCTCTCTCTTCCGACAGATGTAAGAGGCAGTATAAACATCTTTGTATGTGTCAGTATGTATTTGTGTGTGTTGGGTTCTCATCTGATACCAAAAAGACTACCATATTACTCATAAATATATAAACAGAGACATATACATTTAATAAATTCAAGATAGATTTTAAAATAGGGCAATAGAAAAATAAGAATAGAAGATATAAAAGTTCACAAAATATACTTCACTATAAAATGCATCTTTGAAAGGTAGGTTACAATTTTGCTATTCAATTCTATTCTCCAATTCAGAAGGGAAATGTGAGCGGTATAAATTTTCCTCAGACTAGCCTTGCTTTCTCAGTTTCTTCTAGAACTTATGCTAATACAACTTGTTGTTCAGATGCAATTTTCATAACCTTCTAATTTGAGAAAATAGAAGCACCATCTTCAAGGATAAAAGTCAGTTGAAATTCAGTTCCCCACTCAAATTTACTTCCCACCAATAATTACCTAATGTCCTACAATTCACTGGGTGTGGGAACTTCTACTCTCTCCCATCTCAGGGTTAGTTTGATGCCTACTTGCAGTTTTCTTTCAGAGGTTAAAGGGTAATGACTGCCTCCCTTGATTGAATAATCTTAACTTGTATGTTCTGGGGACTCATTTGTTTCTTATATAAAACCAAACCCCTGACAGATTACCTTGATATACAGTGAGCAGTGGAATTAGTGAGTCCCCAACTTTTGCAATGTATAGCACCCTCCAAATGCCAAAAAAAATTAGAGATGAAATAGAAAGGAGAACAAAGAAGAGGGTGATTGTATTAGTCCATTTTCACGCTGCTGATAAAGACATACCCAAAACTGAGGAGAAAAAGAGGTTTACTTGGACTTACAGTTGCACATGGCTGGGGAGGCCTCAGAATCACAGTGGGAGGCAAAAGGTACTTCTTATATGGCAGCGGCAAGAGACAATGAGAGAGAAACAAAAGCAGAAACTCCTGATAAACCCATCAGATCTCCTGAGACTTATTCACTATCACAAAAATAGCATGGGAAAGACCGGCCCCCATGATTCAATTACCTCCCCCTGGGTCCCTCCCACAACACCTGGGAATTCTGGGAGATAACAATTCAAGTTGAGATTTGGGTGGGGGCACAGCCAAACCATATCATTCTGCCCCTGGCCCCTCCAAATCTCATGTTCTCACATTTCAAAACCAATCATGCCTTCCAAACAGTCCCCCAAAGTCTTAACTCATCTCAGCATTAATCCAAAAGTCCGTAGTCCAAAGTCTCATCTGAAACAAGGCAAGTCCCTTCTACCCATGATCCTGTAAAATCAAAAGCAAGCTAGTTACTTCCTACATACAATGGGGATACAGGTAATGGGTAAATACAGCCATTCCAAATGGGAGAAACTGCCCACAACAAAGGCGTTACAAGCCCCATGCAAGTCCAAAATCCAGCGAGGCAGTCAAATTATAACGTTCCAAAATGATCTCCTCTGACTCCATGTCTCACATCCAGGTCACAATGATGCAAGAGGTAGGTTCCCTTAGTCTTGGGCAGCTCTGCCCCTGTGGCTTCACAGGGTATAGTCCCCACTCCTGGCTGCTTTCACGGGCTGGCGTTTAGGGTCTGTGGCTTTTCCAGGTGCACGGTACAAGCTGTCGGTGGATCTACCATTCTGGGGTCTGAAGGACGGTGGCCTTCTTCGCACAGCTCCACTAGGTGGTGCCCCAGTAGGGATTCTGTGTGGGGGCTCCAACCCCACATTTCCCTTCACACTGCCCTAGCAGAGGTTCTCCATGAAGGCTCTGCCCCTGGAGCAAACTTTTGCCTGAGCATCCAGGTGATTCCATACATCTTCTGAAATCTAGATGGAGGTTCCCAAACCTCAATTCTTGACTTCCATGCACCTGCAGGCTCAACACCACATGGAAGCTGCCAAGGTTTGGGGCTTGCACCCTCTGAAACCATGGGCAGAGCTGTACCTCGGCCCTTTTAGCAATGGCTGGAGCAGCTGGGATGCAGGGCACCAAGTCCCTAGGCTGCACACAGCATGGGGACCCTGGGCCTGGCCCACAAAACCATTTTTTCCTCCTAGTCTTCAGGGTCTGTGATGGGAGGGGCTGCCATGAAGACCTGTGACATGCCCTGGAGACATTTTCCCCATTGTCTTGGAGATTAACATTCAGCTCCCTGTAACTTATGCAAATTTCTGCAGCCAGCTTGAATTTCTCCTCAAAAAACAGGTTTCTCTCTTCTGCTGCATCAACTGGCTGCAAATTTTCCAAATTTTTATGCTGTTTCCCTTTTAAAATGAAATGCTTTTAACAGCACCCAAATCACCTCTTGAATGCTTTGCTGCTTAGAAATTTCTTCAGCCAGATACCCTAAATCATCTCTCTCAAGATCAAAGTTCCACAAATCTCTGTGGTAGGGGCAAAATGCCACCAGTCTCTTTGCTAAAACATAACAACAGTCATCTTTGCTCCAGTTCCCTACAAGTTCCTCATCTCCATCTGAGACCCCCTCAGCCTGGACCTTATTGTCCATAGCAATATCAGCATTTTTGTCAAAGCCATTCAACAAGTCTTTAGGAAGTTCCAAACTTTCCCACATTTTCTTGTCTTCTTCTGAGCCTTCCAAACTGTTTCAACCTCTGCCTGTTACCCAGTTCCAAAGTCGCTTCCACATTTTCAGGTATCTTTTCAGCAGCACCCCACTCCACTGGTACCAATTTACTGTATTAGTCAGTTTTCATACTGCTGATAAAGACATATCCAAGACTGGGAAGAAAAAGAGGTTTAACTGGACTTACAGTTGCACATGGCTGGGGAGGCCTCAGAATCATGGTGGGAGGCAAAAGGCACTTCTTACATGGCAGTGGCAAGAGAAAACGAGAGAGAAGTAAAGGTGCAAACCCCTGATAAACCCATCAGATCTCGTGAGACTTAATTCACTATCATGAGAATAGCATGGGAATTCATCATTGAATCAATCATTGAAAAGAATTAGCAGAGGACTGATAAATAAGCATAGAAAGATAGGAAGAGCATTTCAGATTCAATTACCTCCCCGTGGGTCCCTCCCATAACATGTGGGAATTCTGGGAGACACAATTCAAGTTGAGATTTGGGTGGGGACATAGCCAAACCATATCAAGGATAGTCATTTTTTCTCTGCTGTCATATTTATGGCAAGGTTCATTGTTCACTCATCTGGTCTCCATAGTTAAAACATTTCTTTGAAAATACTTTAACCAGATTCATAATATTTTATAAGATATGTAATAAACTGAATGTTTGTGTTCTTTCCTCCACCCTCCCATTCACATAGGAAGCTCTAACCTCAATGCAATGGTATTGGGAGGTGGGGCATTTGGAAAATAATTGTGCTTAGATGAGGTCAGGAGGGTAGATCCCCCTTGATGGGATTAGTGCCCTTATAACTAGAGGAAGAGACACTAGACCTTTCTCTCTGCAGAATATGAGAAGGCATATTAGTCTAAATTAGTCTAAAGAACATATAAGATGAGAAGAATAATTGGGGAGACAGTCTATACTTTTGGGAAGGGTGGTTTATTATCATAAAATCTCAATTCTCCCCCAAATTAACCTCAAGTAAGATTTCAGTTGGGTTTTCTGAGGATCTCTGAAAACCTCTATAATCTACATGGAAAAATAAAGGTCCACAAATAACTAAATAAACGTTGAGAAAGAGGAGAAAAGTAGAAGTAGGGGAGGGAGTGTCCCAACCAAATCCATGGATGTACTACAAAGCCACTGTCATAGAAACAATTTCGAGCAAGAACATTTAAATGGACAAGTAGAACAGAACAGAGAGCAAGCGTCAGAAACAGACTCATCTACTTATAAGAATGTAATACATAATAAAGTTGGTAGCATAAATCAAGAAAAGATGAACATTGGAGTTTAAAAACTGACATAATAGACTGACATAATTAAGTATCTACTCAATATCATTAGACTAAAAAATAGACTCAGGATGGAAAATAAAGCTGTTAAGATAATATAGAAGAATTAATGTGTGGCAAAATTGTTACACATTTCTGTTCAGATTACTAGGAGACAATGTTTTCAATATCTAAAACTTACAGATAACTAACATTAAGATTATACAAGTGACAGGGCCAGATTTGCAACTCAAAAAGATCACCTAAGGGTGCAGCAAACTGTATCTACTCTTTCTCTTCTTTTTCTTTTTCTTTTTGAGATAGGGTCTCATTCTGTCACCCAGGCTGGAGTACAGTGACATGATCCTGGCTCACAGCAGCCTCAACCTCCTTGGCTCAAGCCATCCTTCCACCTAGGCTTTTGCAAGGCAACAAGAAAGTTTTGCAAGGATACAAGAAAGTTTTGCAAGGCAACAGGAAAATGAGAGTAACTCAACAGAAAAGTAGACAAAGGCATGATAGGCAATGTGAATAATCACATGACAACAAATTTACTGAGATCCTCAACCCACTAGTAACCAGAGAAATGAAAATTAAACAGCAGTGTAATACCGCTTTGAAGCTACTCAACTGATCAAAACATGCCCAGTGTTGTTGGGGACATGGGGCTACAAAGACTCTTGCACTGTGATGAACACACAGTCAGTGCAGCCATTCGAGGGAGCAACAGCCAGGATCTGGCTAAATAAGCACACCATCGCTTTCCAACCCCAGAATTCTGATCTTGGATGTTCACATCCCACAGAAATTCTCACACAGGTCCGTAAAGGATGTATACAAGGCTGCTCATTACAGCATCGTTTGTGATACAGGGAAGGTGAAAGGATTTGGGTGGCCACCACTGAAAGTGAGAATAGGTAAAATATGATGAATTCAGACTGTGGAACAAAAGCACTGGTTAGAAGCAAAAGACTACAGATACACAAAGGAAAATGAGTAGATGTTTAAAACTCGTCCTAATTTTAAAAAGTAAAAAGTGTAAAGTCGATAAAAGACAGCATTTATGTAAATTAAAAACACATACAAACAGTGCAGAATTCGTTATAATAAGAAAGGAATAAGTAAACTAAGGCAGGAGCTTGAACAAACCAAAGAAACCAAATGATACCGTGCCATGAAGATTTCAAGGAATTCTATTTTCTGCAACTGTCCTCCCCCAATTTACCAAAATAGGTACTGCAATAAAACCTACAAAGTGCCTTTATAGAGATTAGCTCTAGTGCTCGCTTCAGCAGCACGTATACCATATAAATTAAAAAATACATACATAAAATACATTAGCTCTAAAAAGTGTGGATGTTTGGAGGAGAGAATAAGAAAAGGCTTCACCAAGAAGGTAACAACAGAGATGGATCTTGGAGGACTTGTAAGAGTTCATAGAAAGTAGGGAAAAAGGGAGTGTAATCTGAGGGCAACTGTAAAAGCAAAGGTTTCTAAATACAAGCAAAAGATAAGAAAGGAGAGAATAGGCTGGGTGCAGTGGCTCATACCTACAATCCCAGCACCTTGGGAGGCTGAGGTGGGAGGATCACTTGAGCCCTGGAGTTTGACAGCAGCCTGTGCAACATAGTGAGACCCCATGTCTACAAAAAAAATTAAAAATGAGCCAGGTGTGGTGGTGCATGCCTGTAGTCCCAGCTATTGGGGAGACCAAGGTAGAAGGATGGCTTTAGCCCAGGAGGTTGAGGCAGAAGTGAGCCATGATCACATCACTGCACTCCAGCCTGGGTGACAGAATGAGACCCTATCTCAAAAAGAGAAAGAAGGGAAAGAATTGATACAACTTGCTGCACCTTTAAGTGATCTTTTTGAGATGAAAATCTGGCCCTGTCACTCTCCCTTAGATCCTTCAATGGATTACCTTGCCCTCAAAATAAAGATCAAATTCCTTAACATGGTCTACTAGGCCCACGTGATCCCTGGTCTCTGCTCACATCTTCAGTTTCATCTTCTGCTATGGGATTTCCACCTCTGTCCTCCAGATCTGAAATTTTCTAGCTTTCCTTCAATGACACTCCTGCCTCCAAATTACAGATTTCTCAAACCCTCCAGAAGAGGTCATTCTCAGGTTTTATATATATATACTTTCAGAAATCAAAAACAAAATTCTGAGACCTCCCAACCATCTGAAAGGACACCTCCTCTAGGCCAAAGGCATTCCAAAGTTAAGCTGAAAAACTGTTTCAGGCTGTGATGGAAGTGGGGGTCAGACATGCCTCATTATGCCCTCCTCTTTTTTGGAATTCAGGAAGAGCCGACCGGCACTAACATCAACACAGACCTAAGGCCTGATAAGAAACATTTGCCATATCTTTCCTGTTCCTCACCCTGATCACGCTTGATTTATTGATGGCAGTTCCACCAGGCCTAATCGCCACACACCAGCAAAGGCAGGCTATGCTATAGTACAAGCCACTAGCCCGCCTTTCAGAACCTCTCATTTCCTTTCCATCGTGGAAATCTATCCTCAAGGAAATAATTTCTCAGTGTTCCATCTGCTATTCTACTATTCCTCAGGGATTATTCAGGCCCCCTTCCTTCCCTACACAGCAAGCTCGAGGATTTGCCCCCACCCAGGACTGGCAAATTAGCTTTACTCAACATGTCCGGAGTCAGGAAACTAAAATCTTAATCTCTCCCAATCTAGGTTCCCACGCCGCCCCTAATCCCGCTTGAAGCAGCCCTGAGAAACATCGCTCATTCTCTCTCCATATCACCCCCCAAAAATTTTTGCCACCCCAACACTTCAACACTATTTTGTTTTATTTTTCTTATTAATATAAGAAGGCAGGAATGTCAGGCCTCTGAGCCCAAGCCAAGCCATCACATCCCCTGTGACTTGCAGGTATAGGCCCAGATGGCCTGAAGTAACTGAAGAATCACAAAAGAAGTGAATATGCCCTGCCCCACCTTAACTGATGACATTCCACCACAAAAGAAGTGTAAATGGCCGGTCCTTGCCTTAACTGATGACATTACCTTGTGAAAGTCCTTTTCCTGGCTCATCCTGGCTCAAAAGCACCCCCACCGAGCACCTTGCGACCCCCACTCCTGCCCACTGAGCACCTTGCGACCCCCACTCCTACCCACCAGAGAACAAACCCCCTTTGACTGTAATTTTCCTTTACCTACCCAAATCCTATAAAACGGTCCCACCCTTATCTCCCTTCACTGACTCTCTTTTCGGACTCAGCCCGCCTGCACCCAGGTGAAATAAACAGCCATGTTGCTCACACAAAGCCTGTTTGGTGGTCTCTTCACACGGACGCGCATGAAAATAATACCTACCTCATACATCTGTCATGTAACACTTTAGTGTTCTATATTTGCATAGCTGTATCCTTCCATTAGTTTGTATAGAGCTGACTTAGTATTTTTGGTTGAATAAATGTTGAATGACCTGGCAAAAAAAAAAAAAAAAAGAAACATTTACCATCTATTCTCTCTGAAACCTGCTACTTGGAAGCTTCATCTACATGATAAAACCTTGGTCTCCACAACCCCTTATCATATCCCAGACATTCCTATTGATAATAATTATTTTGACCAGTTACAAATCAGAAAATTTATAAATCTACCTATGACCTGCAAGCCCTCCTACCCCCGCCCTCAAATTGTCCCACCCTTCCAGATTGAACCAATGTAAATCTTACATGTATTGATTGATGTATTATGTCTCCCCAAAAATGTATAAAAGCAAGCTGTACCCTGACCACCTGGGGCACGTCATCGGAACCTCCTGAAACCCTGTCATGGGTACATCCTTAACTTTGGCAAAATAAACTTTCTAAACTTTCTTTGAGACTTGTCTCAGGTACTTTTGAGTTCACACTTTTTAGCATCCATCAAAATTATAGTAATTTATTATTAAGTAATCATTTGTTTAATGTTTATGCGGGCATAACCTAGGTCCTTGAGATCAAAGACCATGTGCACAACTACATCCCTAGCCCCTCATTCAACGCTTTGCACAATATGGGTTGAGTATCCCTTATCTGAAATGCTTGGGACCAGAAGTGTTTTGGATTTTGGATTTCTTTGGATTTGGGAATATTTGCAGGTACTTAACCAGTTGAGCGTCCCAAGGCCAAAAATCCCAAATGTCAAATGTTCCAATGAACACTTCCTTTGAGTATCATATTTCACAATTTGGAGCATTTTGGATTTGAGATTTGGGGATTAGGTCTGCTAAACCTATACATGTGTTGAATGACTGCATAAATTAAGGAATGGAGTAGGAGTGCTTTGGTTGGGGTGGGAACCAGTGATTCTGTTTCAGACAGCTACCCGTGATAGTAGCAGCTAAATAAGAGTTGGGGTCAATTATGGAACCACTGGCCCTGTTCTTTCTCTCAATGTTCTACACAATGGGATCCTCAGTGTATCCACTGGGGGAACGAGATAAAAATATTAGAGCTTTCAATGACATTTATTTGTACCTCATTATTTTAAAACATCTGTGTTTGCATATCATACAGAAGTACACATATATAATTCATAAATAAATAAAACATGCATATACTGGGGAAATGCCTGCTCAAAATTTTTTTATTGACAGGAGGTAGAATGAAAGATGTTTAAAAATCACTGCTGTGGGTCAGAGAGTTTCCACTATTATTAGGCATCCAAATCAGCAAGGAGCTATTTTCAAATAGTTCTGTTTGACCCCAAACCTACAGAATTAAAACTCCGTGGGTTTAGGGCAATGGCAAATTCAGAATGCTGATCAGATGATTATGATGGAAGCCTCTGCTAAAGAACCACTGCTTTTCTATCAGGATTCCTAAACCTGGCTTCTCATCCTAATCATAATCATCTTAAAAACAAACAACAGTCAGGCCCAGTGGCTCATGCCTGTAACCTCTGCACCCAGGGAAGCCAAGGGAGGAGGATCCCTTGAGGCCAGGGGTTCAAAATCAGTCTGGGAAAATAGAGAGTACTGAGACCCCATCTCTACAAACAAATTAAAAATTAGCTGTACATGGTGGTGTGTACCTGTAGTCCCAGCTACCAGGGAGGCTGAGGTGAGAGGATGGCTTGAGCCCAGGAGTTCAAGGCTGCAGTGAGCTATGATCACGCCACTGCACTCCAGCCTAAGCGACATAGCAAGACTCTGTCTCATAGATAGATAGATAGATAGATAGATAGATAGATAGATAGATAGATTGATTGATAGACAGATGGATTTTAAGGAAATTTTGCTGATTTGCCAGGTTTGGGAGCCACTGTGTCAGAAGTGTTCAAACCACAGTGACTCCATCATAAATAGGGACTTGATAAAACAAAGCTGAGACCTATGGGGCTACATTCCCAGGAGGTTAGGCGTTCTTAGTCACAGGATGAGATAGGGGTCGGCACAAGATACAAGTCACAAGGACCTTGCTGATAAAACAGGATACAGTAAAGACACCAGCCAAAACCCACCAAATCCAAAACAGTGATGAAAGTGACCTCTCTGGTCATCCTTACTGCTCATTATATGCTACTCATAATTCATTAGCATGCGAAAAGACACTCCCACCAGTGCCATGACAACTTAAAAATGCCAGGCAGTGTCTGAACTTTAGACCCTATAGGGTCTAAAGTGGAGAGGAACCCTCAGTTCTGGGAACTGCCTGTACCTTTCTTGGAACACTCATGAGTAATCCACCCATTGTTTAGCATATAATGAAGAAATAACTGTAAGTATACTCAGTCGAACAGCCCATTCTTTTATTCCTTTGCTTTCTTAATAAACTTGCTTTCCCTTTACGGGCTTGCCCCAAATTCGTTCTTGTGCAAGGCCCATGAACACTCCCTTGGGGTTGGGACCAGAACCTCTTTCTGGTAACAAATACAGTAGAGCCAGAACTCCACTAAATGAACTTTACTGGTTATAGTCTCTTTAAGAACAGGAATTGGGCTGGGCGCGGTGGCTCACGCCTGTAATCCCAGCACTTTGGGAGGCTGAGGCGGGAGGATCATGAGGTCAGGAGATCAAGACTATCCTGGCCAACACGGTGAAACCCTGCCTCTACTAAAAATACAAAAAATTAGCCGGGCGTGGTGGCGGGCGCCTGTAGTCCCAGCTACTCAGGAGGCTGAGGCAGGAGAATGGCATGAACCCGGGAGGTGGAGCTTGCAGTGAGCCTAGATCATGCCACTGCACTCCAGCCTGGGCCACAGAGCGAGACTCCATTTCAAAAGAACAGGAATTGGCTGAGTGCAGTAGCTCACGCCTGTAATCTCGCCAGCACTTTGGGAGGTTGAGGCAGGTGGATCATTTGAGCCCAGGAGTTTGAGACCAGCCTGGGCAACAAAGTGGGACCCCCATCTCTACAAAACAATACAAAAATTAGCCAGGCATGGTGGTGTGCACCTGTAGTCCCAGCTACTCGGGAGGCTGAGGTGGGAGAATTGCTTGAGCCTGGGAGGTGGAGACTGCAGTAAGCCATGATAGCACCACTGCACTCCAGTCTAGGCAACAAAGCGAGACCCTGTATCAAAAAAATAAAAATAAAAAATAAGGAACAGGGATCATTCCCATCCCCATCCCTATCTTCCAAAAATTTTGGATGGGGAAATTTCCAAAACATCCCAAATCCAAACATTTCAAAAGACAAAAAGCAAGACAACCTGAATAACAGCGCTTCTAGGGATTGCTCACTTGTAGGGCAGGCAGGCAAGGACCCACTCCCTCTTCATGACTGCAACACCTCACCATAGCTATAACCAGCCTCCAGGAGGACCTGGGCATTCTCAGACATTATGTACCAGACGTTTTGGAAATGTTCAACTGAACGAGATTTGGAAGCATACATATTTTTCTATGATATATGCACTCAAGTTAAAAATGTCTTTGTACAGGAGATTCGAAAAATATGAGCCTCTAGTCTAGAGACTTAGGAAGAGTGATGGTGTAACTGCTGACCTATAAGCATCACACAGAGGCATCATCACTTTGGCATTGGTTTATAAACTCACCGACAAGATAATCTTTTCCTCCTCCAAACTCCCATGGCACCTCTAGCATAAAGTGCACTGCACTTCAACACTGTTGTTCATCTGTCACATCCATTACACTGTGAGCTCCTTGACATCAGGGTAGGCAACCTATTCATCTTTTAGAACCCAGCAGAGCTGGTAAGAGGCTATTCTTTTTTTTTTTTTTTTTTTTTTGAGATGGAGTCTTGCTTTGTTGCCCAGGCTGGAGTGCAGTGGTGCAATCTCGGCTCATTGCAATCTCCACCTCCTGGGTTCAAGCGATTCTCCTGTCTCAGTCTCCCGAGTAGCTGGGATTACAGGTGCAAGCCACTGAGCCTGGCTAATTTTTGTATTTTTTTTAGTAGAGACAGGGTTTCGCCATGTTGGCCAGGCTGGTCTTGAACTCCTGACCTCAGGTGATCTGCCCACCTCGGCCTCCCGAAGTGCTGGGATTACAGGCGTGAGCCACCACACCCGGCCAGGGCTGTTCTTTTTTTTTAAGGCAATGGCACTCTTTCCATCTCTTCCTCCTGACCATTCCACCAAACATCTCCCACAGATACAAACCATAGAGAATATCAGGTATTTTCAACTTTGCTAATCAACTCTTTAAAATGATAGTCCATTTTAGAACTTGAACAAATATTTACTATACCATTTATCGACCCCAAGTTGGGCTTTCCTCCTCTTAAAGAAGTTCAGTGAACTACAAGAATTTGTGGATTAAAAAAAAAAAAATTTAACCCAAAGACTCCTAGTGACCTTTGCTGGAGCTAACACAGCATCTCTTAATCCAGCTCTAAAGGATGTGAAGAGCTCCAGGCCTGAGGCACCATGCTGTGCAGCAATTTACTTCTTCATTGCACCAGGCTCATCCCTCATTGCCCACAGCATCCAGGGGTAAACTCGGAACAAAAGATTGCTTACACTTTCATAACTTCAAAAATTACATCACACATGCATGTCCAGTGTTAAACTACAACTGATTACATGTACTGTCTAACGAAATTGTTGAATACTTGCTCTGCTTTTCTCCCTGTTGGCCTTACAATCCCTGTTTCTAATTTCCTTCCATCCTCGGGTCATAAAACTTTATACCCAGTGGCCTGGCACAAAAGTTTCTTTTCTTGTTTCCCTAATATCCTTAAAGCAGGCATTGCAGTCCACTGTACTTCTTCCTTCTATACAAGCTGGAACACCCTGAGTCCTAAGCTTTACTGTGCTTAAGAATGACCCGTGGGAGGCTGAGGTGTGTGGTTCACGAGGTCAGGAGTTCAAGACCAGCCTGGCCAGTATGGTGAAACCCCATCTCTACTAAAAATACAAAAAAATTAGCCAGGCGTAGTGGCGGGCGCCTGCAACCCCAGCTACTTAGGAGGCTGAGGCAGAGAACTGCCTGAACCTGGGAGGCGGAGGTTGTAGTGAGCCAAGATCATGCCACTGCACTCCAGCCTGGGCAACAGAGTAAGACTCCATCTCAAAAAAAAAGAATGACTCACAAAGCGAATTGGAGACTCCAATGCAGGTGTACCACAAACTACACTTTGATCTATGGTGTGGCAGATGTCACAGCCGGATCACCCGCACATCCACAAACTATACTTTGAGACCCTCCGCACACTTAGTTGTTATATACATTATTAATAATTCACAAGTGAACACAACTGTGAATTACTAAAAATTCACAATTCATTCATTCATTCAGGTCGAGGTGGTCTCTTTCACTTCTTAAACTCCCATCCTTTTCCTACACCCATGACTTAATCTCTGAGAATAAGTGAGTTTCTAAATGTCTGAGTTAATAGAAACATTCTTTTTACAAGCAAAACAGACCATTTCCTCAGTAACCCTTCCCAGAACCACCCATCTTACCACTCTTACCACTACTGATTAAAAAAAAGAAAAACAGGTAGTGCTGATTAAACCAGGCAAGCTGAAGCCCATGGCTCCTGGACACAAATGATGACAGCTGTGACTAAACTCCTAGGCAAGGCTCTTTGATGTGTCTATCTGGCCAATAGGCCTCTACATCTTGAAAGCAAAGTAGCAACATTGAGAAAAAAAAGGGCCAGGCTGTGAAATGCAAGTTCAAAGCAAGCAGCAAAGTATTAATAGTTAAGCTTCTTTCTGCAAATAAAACACAGAGCTCTAGAGGCAGCCCCTGCAAAATCAAGAGCAGAACTCCTCAAGGAGTCCTCTCACAAACAGAGAAGTACTCAGAGAGGACATCATTTTATTCACCTCCAACAGTCAACTCTTCAAATCTGACTTGATCATTTTATCTTCAAAAAACAGTCAGCACAATACTAAAATCCATTCCCTGTCTTATTTTCCCATTGCCCCTGCATTCGTTCAAGGTGTCTTCTTTTCTTACCTCCATGACTACAATATCCATCTAATTGCTACAACAGCTGATTGCCTTCCTTGCCCCTCCACTTCACTATCCACACCAGTCCATTCTCTCAACTGCCCCCAGAGCTTTTTTTTCTAAATCTAACCTTAGAATCTGATCTCATCATGACCTTGCTTGAAACCCTTCCAAGGAGGCCTATCCCCAAAAGGATGAAGCCCAAACTCAGTAGCAGGAATGGCCTACAAGGCCTTTCATGATTTGGCTGCCCGACTACCCTTCCAACTTCATTCTCTGCCATTTCTTCACCACATCTCATGTTAAACCCACACTATTTGCACATCCCTGAACAGAGGGTGCTCAGGCTTGTATTTTCGCATATTTCACTTCTGCTGTTGGTATGCTTTTCCTATATCCTCCTCTATACCAGGTTAACAGAATTTTTTTTTTTTTTTTTTGAGACAGATTCTCGCTCTGTCGCCCAGGCTGGAGTGCAGTGGTGCGATCTTGGCTCACTGCAAGCTCTGCCTCCCAGGTTCACGCCATTCTCCTGCCTCAGTCTCCCAAGCCGGGCTAATTTTTTTTGTATTTTTAGTAGAGATGGGGTTTCACCGTGTTAGCCAGGATGGTCTCAATCTCCTGGCCTCGTGATCCCCCGCCTCGGCCTCCCAAAATGCTGGGATTAAAGGCGTGAGCCACCATGCCGGCCAGTAACAGAATATTTTTAAAAGACAAGTCAACTCAAATCTCACCTTCGCTGGGCACGTTGGCTCACACCTGTAATCCCAGCACTTTGGGAGGCCAAGGTGAGTGAATTGCTTGAGTCAAGGAGTTCGAGACCAGCCTGGGTAACATGACAAAACTCTGTCTTTACAAAAATATACCAAAAATTAGCCAGGTGTGCATGGTGGTACACATCTCTAGTTCCAGCCCCAGGAGGCTGAGGTGGGAGGATCACCTAAACCCAGGAGTTTGAGGCTACAGTGAGCCATGATTGCGCCACTACACTCCAGCCTAGGTGACACAGTGAGACCCTATCTCAAAAAGAAAAAAATATATATAATCCACCTTATCCATTCAGGCTTCTCTGATTCCCCAAGGAGTGCCACCTACTCTCTCCTTTATGCTTCCATTGTACTTTGTGTCCATCTCAACATAACACTTACCATGCTCTGCTGCCATTATTTGCCACCTGTTTCTCTCCTCAATCAGATTGAGAGCTTCTTGAAAGCAGAGATCTTGTCTTTGTATATCTGGTTTCTAAGAATGCATACTGAGTAAATGAATAGAAGAAAAAATGAATGAGGCAATTAGTATGTATGCCTTGAATGGCATTAAATTTAGGCTCATGCCAATCAATGTGCAAAGGTTGAGAAAATAAATAAGGGGAAGCCAAGGATAGAAAATAAAACCATGCTCATCAGAATAGAAGAGGATAGGCTGGGCGCGGTGGCTCACGCCTGTAATCCCAATCACTTGGGGTCAATAGTTTGAGATGAGCCTGGCCAACATAGTGAAACCCCATCTCTACTAAAAACACAAAATTAGACAGGCGTGGTGGTGCGCACCTGTAATCCCAGCTACTGGGGAGGCTGAGGCAAGAGAATCACTTGAACCTAGGAGGCAGAGGTTGCAGTGAGCCTAGATCGTGCCACTGCACTCCAGCCTGGGCTGGACAGAGCAAGACTCCATCTCTGAAAAATAAAATAAAATAAAATAAAACAAAAAAACAGAATAGAAGAAGATAGCTAAGAACCACAGTGGTCAAGCCAGCCTGGCTTCAACAGAGATGAATGGAGAGACCACGGTCAGCCCCATTAACAGAAGAACTGGGGCCAGGAACGGTGGCTCATGCCTATAATCCCAGCACTTTGGGAGGCCGAGGCAGGCAGATCATGAGGTCAGGAGTTCGAGACCAGCCTGACCAATATGGTGAAACTCCATCTCTACTAAACATACAAAAATTAGCCGGGTGTGGCAGCACATGCCTGTCATCCCAGCTACTCAGGAGGCTGAGGCAGGAGAAACGCTTGAACCCAGGAGGCAGAGGTAGCCATGAGCCGAGATCACGCCATTGCACTCCAGCCTGGCAACAGAGCGAGACTCCATCTCAAAAAAAAGAAGAACTGAGTTCAAAATCAGTTCAAAAGGTTCAATGTTGGGTCACAGGATCAGGCAAAAAGCAGAGGCAGAAAGGCCTTAGGAGTGTTCCAAGAACTAGCACTGGACCAGCTGAGAGTCAGAGAGAGTTCACCACGTGGGAACAATGCAGCCAGTCATGTGGGATGGTGGCACCATGACAGTATCTAGTCAGGACAATGACAGCCCTAGGGATAATGCTGATGAGTTCCTGCTTCAAAAAAGGTCATTGTCATTCCTTTAGTCCTGATACCTAGAACTATACAAGATTGTTCCCTGCCTCTCCCCAAGCCCCATAACTTGATCTTAAAGGCATTATTGTCAATTAAAGTAGTCCCAAGTTCTAGAAGCTATTTTTATTCAGCCTCGTCTAATAGGGCTTTCATTTTAAAATAGCTTTATTTTGAATCTATTTACTGTTCCCAGCCCCTATCACTTTGTTCTTATAAATATATTCATTCCACATGCATCACTGACAGGCACTGCTAGGAAAGGAAACTAACCCATCTTGGCCACCTTTACACATCAGGTACTTATACTAAGGTGATTTCTATATATTACAGTATTGAATCACCACAACAATCCAGTGACGTAGGTATCATTACATATTATTATCCCCAATTAAGACATTAGGGAAATGAAACGTAGGAAGATTCAGAGAAAGCACAGGAAGGTGAATATGCCCAAGATTTCACATTAAGTAAATGGAATGCAGGATTCAAATTTACCCCTGTCTGAATCTAAATCTCATTCTCTTTCCATGGCATCATTCTCTCTCCTCTCTAGGCCTTTATAGAGGAAATATAGGCCCAAATAAAATATCAAAATCTCAGGATGGGATGACAGGCTTGATTAAGAAACCCAGTCACCAAGACCACGCAGTAAGAAATGAAAAAGAAAAAAAATAATAAAATGCTGAGAACCATAGTCTGCAAAGTGAAAGGAAGAATACCTGGGAGAGCTAGAGTGACCTCCACATGCAAATACACCCTGCAGACAGGAACAGTCTTGATGGGAAGAGCAAACTCCCTAAATGGTCGGTTGTAACTTTCCTACTAGTTGAAAAGTCAGGAAAAGCCTTGTGTGCTAACTCTCTGGACAAGCGCACAAGAATCCAGGGTTGTGACTTCAAAAAAAAATATGCTGACAAGTCAGAGCTGGCAGAACAAGAGGAGGTCGAGTTGATGAGAAAAGAGAGAGAGAGAGAGAGCGAGAGAGAGAGAGCGCTGTAATCAAGGAGAACCAACTGAAGCTGGAGGGAAGCAGAAAGAATAGCCAGGCTGGTTCAGGAGGCAGTTCTGGTACCTCTGACCCCATTGCCCACCCCCAGTAGGCAGCATGAAATATGCCAGAGGTCAACAATTTTTTTTTTTTGTATTTTTTAGACGGAGTCTCACTCTGTCACCCAGGCTGGAGTGCAGTGGTGCAATCTCAGCTCACTGCAGCCTCTGCCTCCTGGGTTCAAGCAATTCTCCTGCCTCAGCCTCCCAAGTAGCTGGGAATACGTGCCCACCACCAAGCCCAGCTAATTTTTGTATTTTCAGTAGAGAAGGGGTTTCGCCATGTTTGGCCAGGCTGGCCTCAAATTCCTGAACTCAGGTGATCCACCGGCCAAGGCCTCCCAATGTGCTGGGATTACAGTTGTGAGTCACCGCACCCGACCCAGAGGTCAACAGCTTCTGCCCTAGATCAGAAGTTTACTCACTTTGCTCACTCGGTATAAATCAAGGACCCTCTCATACCTGGGAATGAGTTTTGTATTCCAGCCTAGAAGTAGAGCCAGTCCCAGTTTGAACTTTTTGCCTTTCTGTACTCCCAGTTCTTACCCTTTTGCTGAGCCTAGGACACATGCAAGGCCTGCCCTTCTTAATCCAGATTTTTGAGTCTTAATCCCAATTTTTCCTATAGTTTCCCATACACTCCATGGCAGCTTAGAGTAGGCTGAAAACTGCTGAACTGTTTAAGACTTAATCCTTCAGAGTAACATGGCAGAAGTAGCACACTTTTTTAACATAAAGCTGTTCAGGACTCTATTACAGAAGAGGCTATACTTCCTTAATTACATTCTATTCTACAGCCACCTCAAAATAACTAGTGAACACGTTCAACCAGGATCATTGGCAACAGCCAATGGGCACAGTGATCTGGAAATGGTCTAGCCAAGCTGTTTGGGCTGTAGACCATGGCATTCCTAAGAGCAAAATAGGCAAGGAGTCCATTAATATTTCACTTGACTTATGTCACCATGGAAACCCCTGGAGTAGTGAATGGCTTTGGGGAGTGGTCAGATTCAACCAAAAATAACAGAAATCTCTGTCCCCCAGGTAAAGGATTCCTACTTTGTGTGTGTCTGTGTGTGCACACAGGCACACTCGAGAGACTTTTGGCATTCTTTGAAGTCACTGGAGGGGCACAGAGATAAACCCACTCAGCCTTGGCCTCCAAGACTAACGAACACAACGTTTCCCTGAAAGAATAAAAAAAAAAATACAGGCATAAGAAAACACACAAACATGGGCTTAGAGATTTAAATACACACACACACACACACACACACACACACACACACACACACACAGGCCCTAGAAGGAACATACACCCTGAGATACGCACTCATTCTAAAATAAACTCGGGAATACAGAAGGACACGGGCATGTCCTTTCAGAGAGGCACACTTCTAGGCCCTAAGTAGGAGAAGGAAGAGGGGAGAGGAAGAGGCAGGGAGAGGGACAGGGAGGGGGGAGGAGGGAGGGAGAGAGAGAGAGAAACGAAGAAGGGGGCGGAGGAGGAGATGGAGGAGACACTCTTTATTCTATAGGAGGAGACATCACGGAAGAGAAATCAACACTGAGGTCTTGGCCGGGCGCGGTGGCTCACGCCTGTAATCCCAGCACTTTGGGAGGCCGAGGCGGGTGCATCACCTGAGGTCAGGAGTTTCCAGACCAGCCTGGCCAACATGGCGAAACCCGGCCTCTACTAAAAAATACAAAAATTAGCCGGGCATGGTGGCGCGGACCTGTAATCCCAGCTACTCGGGAGGCTGAGGCAGGAGAATCTCTTGAACCCGGAGACGGAGGTTGCAGTGAGCCGAGATCGCGCCATTGCACTCCAGCCTGGGCAACAGGGCGAGACTCCGTCTCAGAAACAACAACAACAACAACAACAACAACAACAACAACGAACAAACCAAAAACCAATGAGGCCTGAAGATAAAGACACATGTACAACCACGGATGTCAGACTTCCAGAGGCACGGCCAAGGCAAAAGACAAACACATACAGACTGCAGCAGGCAGACAGGCCGGTTCCAGAGTCAGGCTCCGGTGAAGCTCCGAAGAAACAAACACGCAGGGAGATTTCGGAGGCGTCCGAGGACACCGTGGGGCCCGGCTGGCTCCCTCTGTCTCTGTGCGCGCCCCTTCCCCGGGTCACCCCGCCTGCGCCCGACCTGCGCCCGCGCACCGCGCCCTCGGGGCTCCCTGGGACAGCCCGCGGCCTGGCCCGTGCGCCCGGGCTCCCCTCCCCGCCGGCCCGGCACTTCCCAGCTCTGACGCGGGAGCTTCTTTCACACCAATGGGGCTCGCGCGCGGAGGGGCCCTGCCCCTCCTCCGGGAAGGTGTGTCCCTGTTTCCTCACCTGAAACTTCCTAGGAGAACCCGATCCCTCCCTCCCGTCGGGCGGCCAGGGGCGGGCCGCGGGTGGGGCGGCCGGGCCTGCGCTGGGGACGGCTCTGGGGACTGCGGCCGGCGCCGGGACCTGGAGGGGACGCTGGGGCCGAAGCAGCATGTGACACCGACCAGGTGGGTGCCCTCCTCCCGTCTCGGCCCTGGGCTCCCGGCGGCTGTGGAGCCCGGCGGAGGTGGGGCAGGGACAGGAAGGAAGAGGAAGCCAGGCCTTTCCCAGGGATCAGCCCCCGCTGGGTCCGGGGCGCAGGCTCCGGAAATGGGGGTGCTGGGCCCGCAGGCAGGGCTCGGGGTGTGTGGCTGAGGACCCTGGTGGGGAAGAGGAGAGGAACTAGAGGAAATGTTGTTGCCTACAAGTTTGCTTCCGGTCGGGTCCCGCCTAGGAAATGGGCACCCTGCCCCCAGACGTTCCCCGGGCCAATAATCAGGGCTCTTTCTTCAAAGTAGGCGCCCTGGGGAAAGCTAAGCCATATCAGAAGGAATAACTGAGATTCCCTTTCTAGGCTGTTCCTTACCTGGAGAGGTTTTATCGGCTCCTTTTCCTTAACCAGGCCGGGGCCTTTCCTTATGTATCTCCATAGGTATTTGCATACTGTGTGAGTCTATGTGTAGCTTCTCTCCGTGTTAACCAAAGCTCCGTAACCTGGAACAGTGAATCCTGCCCTGCCCCTCACCCCAGTTCCCCACATATGGGGAGCCTCCTAAAGCTTGATGTGAATCACAACGTTGCATTCTTAGCAAGGTGGAAAGAAGTTATTTAGAGTTGGGGGCTGAGGTAGGCGTTGGGGTGCTAGAATGCGGACGCAGAGCTCTAGAACCCCTGAGCATCTTTTGCAGTTGCCTTCCGGCAAGACTACCGGAGGAGAGCCAGTTGTGATACTACGTCATTTCCAGATCTCAGTCCCTTTCTTCCCTTCCTGGATCTTGGGTTCCAAAGACAGATTTGCCCTCCTGTCTACCTAGAAGTGAACTCTGGCCAGGACTCTTGTCTGGTTGAGAGAGAAGGGTGTGTCAAACAGATGAGAGAGGGTGGTTTTCCTTTCGAGCTTCCTCCCTAGCTTGCTCCCCTACTGCACTCCACTGTCTGGCCTTGCATCTTGGGCCTAATCCAGAGGTCCCAGCTCCAGCTAAAAAGCTCTTGATGTGGCCTCTGTCTCAGACGTCTTGTTTTATCCACATTTGGAGCATGAAGAAGTTCCTGGCATAGGCCTTAGCAAAATGGGTGTCATTTGTTAACCAATCTGTGGGCCTAAAAGTGAAGCCATGGCTAGTGAAGGAGTCCTGGGGAGCTGGGAAGATGGGATGAGGGCGTGTCAGTTCTGGGTGAGACTGATATGCAGGAGGAATGTATGTCATGGTCCTAGTGGGGAGGAGAGAGAAATCAGGAGGAGTGCAAAGGAATCCCTCTCATCAACAGAATATAGTGATTCTCAATAGAGAGAAGAGTGTTCATATATTAGAGGTCCTGAGAGTGTATCAATGCCCTTAACGCGGTCTGTCTGAGGTTCCGTGGCCACATTACACGTGGTGTCTGTGGGATAGACAGGAATACGTCATTTGTGGTGTCTGGAGAGGTCAGTCGCTATGTGGTATGGACAGGAATGGAGTCACTCGTAGGGTCTTGGGTTCAACGGGAGCAGCATTACTCAAGTGTCAGTGGTGTAGACAAACAGGTGACCAACAGCTCTAGTGTAGACAGGGGCTGGGTCACTCACAGTGTCTGTGGAGTAAGCAGGAGTTGATCACTTATAGTGCCTGCAAGGTAGACTGGAACAAAGTCACCCTCAAGGTCTATGTTAATACACAAACACGTCACTCACACTAATGTTATCTGTGTGGATGCCACCAGGACCACAGATGAGATTGTAGAGTGTAAGTCAGCATTGACACTAATAATGTTCTTATATAAACTATCTGGTCTATAAGGCAGTTGGTGTGACATTTTCAGACATTAGAGAATAGATAAATGTGTATTACAGCTTTCACTGGCATGGTGGGACTTTCCCGCAATGGATAGAACACACATTGTAGTAGTCAGTGGTCCAGAAAGCTACCCCTGTTTTGATATCTTTGTAGTATTGAGGGCAGTGATGTCAAACAGTGAATAAAGTTATATATCTATGTGGTGATCTTATTTTAACCTCAATATTATTTTAGTGATTTGTAAGTCAGAATATTTGAAATCAACCTTGCTAGAAAATCCGGGAAGCATGGTCCTCAAAAATATATATATGGCACTGAGTCTCAGTTCAAAGATTTGGCAGTTTGATTGGGGAGAGGTTGTATCCTTGAAATACAGTGTTGTTTCTAGTGACTAGAAATAGACAAGAGCTAAGGTGTTGGGGGGGGCTCTAGGGAAGATAGTGAGCTCTGTCACACATTGTGTTAAAGGGATGACTTGAAGCTTTGCCTCTCAAGAAGTCACACGTGGGTGAGGTTATGTGGATGCAAAATGTCTGTGGTCTGAAGCAAGGCCGTATCCCCATAATCCCATGCCCTGGCTTTGCCTGTACACAGATAAACAGTGATTATTCACCCTCAGTGGAGAAGGAGATGAGGATGTTTGCACTCTAATGTAATGAGCATTGCAAAAAACTCTCTCCTGATGCCTTTACGTGAGTAAGACCATGATTTACAGATTTCCTTTCACTTTGTCACATTTTAGCTTTGTCATGCCTGATTGCAACGGGATCACTGAGATAGGATCAAGTATAGGGAACGTGGGGTATGTTCTCCCTTTGCGGTAACTGGTGGCTGAGCAGGTGACCACTGATATTTCCAAATGAAAAAAGACAGTTAGAAACGGTGTCAATGGGCTTGCAGAGGCAGGCATGCACTGTGCCACTAGATTGGAACAGAAAATGTCCAGGTAGCACATGGTATTTATAGATATACCCTAGATATGGCAGAAACACACTTTTATTTAGAGGCTACTTGTTTTGAAGACGTGATGGTGTATATGGAGGAGAGGGCCTGAACCATGCAGATGTAAGTGAGGAGAGACTACAGGTTTAGTCCCATGGTCTCCTTAGGCCAAGTTTCAGAAAGTGTCTTAAAGTGAGCAAGTATATTATTCGATGTGTGGTTGAGAGAACAGGGCCACATCACAGAATCACCCATAGGGATTATAGTATTTTGTACTTAAGGGCTAGACATAGGGAGCCAATCGCATATGGTGTCAGTTAACTGGAAAAGGACATAAAAGTCCTTCTGCCTGTGTACAATTATGTCAGACATATCTCTTTGCCCCATATAGATGGTATCTCTGTCTCTGGGATGGCCAGAATCTTGTCACATACTACTCTGCAGTGTGCTAGGGACCTGCCTGTTTGGTTATGTCAGGCTCTATTGCAAGAGTTTGTAAGGATGGCTCAGTGTGTGTGTGTGTGTGTGTGTGTGTGTGTGTGTGTACACAATGGCTAAGCAGGACAGTATTCTGAGCAGGTGAGTTTTCAGTTTAAGCCTGGACCAGACAAGAAAGGTGCACGGTCAGGTGCAGCATTGGGTCCATAGAATTCTGGGGTCTTCTCTGGACTGATGGCCTGCCAGCTTTCTTTCAGTAGGACCTCTAAGTGCTTACAGGAGACTTAAGTCAAGCGACTTTGCTTCAGGTTTGCCCATACCATTTGCTTAGGAGATTTGAGCAAGGGTCTAGGGTCTTTGACCTTTAGTTTCTTCATCTGTAAATTGAGCAGTTTCTGTGTGTCTCTGAAGGTCCTTCCGGCTTTATGAATCCTATGTTTCTCTCTTACACTTATTCTCTGTCTCTCAGGTCAACAGTATTTACCACAGCCACCATTTCTATGACCCTTAAAGATAGCAGTGTACATTTTTATGTTACCTTATTTAATCTTTACTAGAACTGTGAAGGAATCCTTTTATCTCCTTTTTAAAGATAAGAAAATGGATGTTCAAATAAATTTAATGGTTTCTACAATTGTCTTAAAACCAGCAAAGATACCAGAGAGGCACAACCAAACACTGATCCACACTCTTCTAACTCTATATTCTTCCGTCATTCATTCATACAATACATCTTTGTTGAGGGCCAACTAGGCTTCAGGCAGAGGGGGTTATATGGCAGTGTTTGTCCCTTCATGGTGCTCATAATCTAGCCTGGAAAATAGACATTAAATATGACATGACAAGTGCAAGGTGTGTTTGAGGAGAAGCAAAGGATTCTCTGTTGCAAAAGAGGATTCCAGGCAGAGGAGCAGTGTCTACAAAGGCCTACAGGTGAGAGACACAGAGAGAAGTGAGCTAAAGACACTGAAAGCCAGTGGGAGAGGGGGGGATGGGGGCAGGGACAGATGGTGACAGGTGAATAGGCTGCTAGAGAAGAAGGCAGAGCCAGGTTGTGCAGGGAGTATAACCCATGCTGAAGATTTAGATTTCATCTCAAGAGCATTCAGAGGCTGCTGAAGAATCTAAGCTAGAACTGGTGCTTTTGAAGCTCACTTAGGTGCTGTATGGAGAAAGGACTGGAATAGCGTGAAATGGGTGGAGGCCAGTGCCCAAGCTGTGGCCGGGTGCAGTGGCCCGGGCGAGACGGTAGCAGCATGCACCAGTGGAGAGGGATGGGATAGAAGTGGACAGTCTTAAGGGATATTTAGCAGACGAGGTCAATAGCACATGGTGATTGATTAGATATGGGGAATCTGGGCCAGGAGGGAAACAAGAATTTTATTTTATTTTAATTAATTAATTAATTTATTTAGAGACAGAGTCTCACTCTGTCACCTAGGCTGGAGTGCAGTGATGTGATCTTGGCTCACTGCAGCCTCTGCCTCCTGGGCTCAAGGGATCCTCCCATCTCAGCCCCCAAGTAGCTGGAACTACAGGCACGTGCCACCATGCTCCACTAATTTTTGTATTTTTTGTGGAGACAGGGTTTCACCAGGTTGTCCAGGCTGGTCTCAAACTCCTAGATTCAAGCAGTCAACCTGCCTCAGCCTCCCAGAGTGTCAGGATTATATATATAAAGTGCATTGGGAAACTCAGTTTTTCATCTGTAAAATGGGCAGAATAATGGTACCCATCTTATACGATGACTCTTAGATGTATGGCACATACATATTTAAAGAAGCATTTCATTATTTTTAATGACATGTATGCAGGAAAACCTTAGTGTTTCAGAATGAAAAATAAGAAAAATTAATTTGTTGTGTATACAGCTCTAAATGTTTAAAGTTCTGTGTAAACTGTTAATCATGATTTTAGGAAAAGGTGGGCATATTCCATTGAAGTAAAAGGATCACATTTTATTCTGACCTGAATTTTATTCTTTATGTGAAAAATATTTATTAAACACTGAGTATAGGCCACTATTAGGCTAAGTATGGATAATTCAGCAAGTCATAGTTCTTAATCTCATAAATTTTACTATCTATTGGTTGCAATAGAGGGTAACTCAAAATACACACATCATTATATAATTATAATTGTATAAATGCTAAAAAGGAAAAGTAAAGAGAATTATAGTTGGTAAGTGCTACAAAGAGGGGTACAATTTAACCTAGTTAAAAGATCAGGGGAGGCCAGGTGTGGTGGCTTACGCCTATAATCACAACACTTCGGGAGGCCGAGGCGGGTGGATAACGAGGTCAGGAGATTGAGACCATCCTGGCCAGAATGGTGAAACCCCGTCTCTACTAAAAGTACAAAAATTAGCTGGGTGTGGTGGCACACACCTATAGTCCCAGCTACTCGGGAGGCTGAGGCAGGAGAATCGCTTGAACCCGGAGATGGAGGTTGCAATGACCCAAGATTGCACCATGGCACTCCAGCCTGGGTGACAGAGCAAGACTCCATCTCAAAAAAAAAAGAAAGAAAAAAAAAGACTGGAGGAAACTGAAGGGGTAAAACCAGGAAAATGTAATACCACAAGTAACAAGAGAGTATTTCTAACCTCAGTACTGTCAAATACTGACAAGAACCACCCAAAATGAAGATCCATAAGGTCTTCTTTGGAATTAACAACATGTCGATTGTAGGGAATATTGGCAGAATGCCGCTATCAAAGCTCGGTTGGAGGCAGGTGGGATGTGAGAGTATGAAGACAGCAGATAAGAGCAACTCCTTCTAGTCATTTGAAAGATGAGAAGAATGTGGGAATGCTTCCATACCCCAGGGGTTGTTCAGCAGGGATGTTGAAGGTATGAGTGCACAGCGTTCCTGGGGAAGCAGGCAAGAAATGACAGAGCATGGAAAGGAGGGATACGTCTTTTCCTGACTGAGGGCGGAAGATAGAAAGAGTGGAAATACAGGTTGCTTTGGATCGCAAGAAATTGAGGTGAGAGAAACCCAGTTCCATCAGTTTCTATTTTCTTTGCAAAATAGGAGATGAGGTGTTCTGCTGGAAGTGAGAAGAAAGGCAGGAAGGTCGAAATCAAAAGACAGGAAGGTCAAAAGAATTAATGAGAAGAGTTCATATGGATACTGAGGCCAAGGGGAGAGTAAGGTGATGCAGAAAGCACCCTTCTGTGGTCTTCCTTCAAGGTGGTAATGTGTCTAGTTCAACACTAATCCAATAAGGCTGTTATCATCCCACTTTACAACAGCTGCCTCTAGAATTGGAAACAAAACTGTTAGTTACAATGCTGTAGTAGACACTATGGAAAATAGAAAGATGAGTAAACTCCAAACCCTCTGTAAAGAAGATGAAACCATAGCACCTCACACATTGGCTATCATAGCCTGGCCTATTTTAACTGATGTCCACAGCTTAAGAGGAAGACCCTCTCCTGACACTGCTTCTCTGGCCTAATAGATCTGAGGTGTGTCCCTTGCTGTGTCTGGGGGTTATATGAGGATGAGTCACTCCTAGTGTCCGAAGAGTAGACAGGGAGAGACAGAAGATGACATAATGGAGTCTAGAGAGAACTGACAACTGGGAGCTTCTGGGCACTCTCTGACAATGGTCCTCTGCTATAATTTAATTGTTCATTATGACCTGTTTCCCTCACAAGACCACAGTCTCCATGACGACAAGATTTTTATCTCATTCACTACTGAATGCCCCACACTTAACAGGGTCGCTAGGAAAATATTTATGAAATAAATACATCAATGACAAGTTTTTTAGAGGCTATTGCTTATTTTGTTGAGAACCTGTTGTCTCAAAGAATGACCCTAAATGGAACCAAATAAATGCATCACTCTTCTTTTTTATGGTCTCTTCCTCTGATAGGTAAAAGCAGAGTTGTTAGAAACATTTGTCTTTGATTCCTCCTTAGGATTCAGCCCTGATGGAGGCTGAGGAGGCCCAGCGTGGAGGCTGAGGAGGCCCAGCGTGGAGCCTCTCCTCCCATCTCTGCCATAGAGGAATTCAGCATTATCCCTGAGGCTCCCATGAGGAGCAGCCAGGTCTCTGCCTTGGGGCTTGAAGCTCAAGAAGATGAGGACCCATCCTATAAGTGGAGAGAGGAACACAGACTCTCAGCAACTCAGCAGAGTGAGTTAAGGGATGTGTGTGACTATGCGATTGAGACGATGCCCTCTTTTCCCAAGGAAGGTTCTGCAGATGTGGAGCCCAATCAGGAAAGCCTTGTGGCTGAGGCCTGTGACACTCCGGAACACTGGGAGGCAGTACCCCAGAGCCTAGCAGGCCGACAAGCAAGGACTCTAGCTCCCCCAGAGCTCTGGGCCTGCCCCATTCAGAGTGAGCATCTAGACATGGCCCCATTTTCCAGTGACCTGGGAAGCGAAGAAGAGGAGGTGGAATTTTGGCCAGGACTTACTTCTTTGACATTGGGATCTGGACAGGCAGAAGAAGAAGAGGAAACCTCTTCAGATAACTCTGGTCAGACCAGATATTATTCTCCCTGCGAAGAGCATCCTGCAGAGACCAACCAGAATGAAGGCTCTGAAAGTGGGACTATCAGGCAGGGGGAAGAGCTGCCACCTGAGGAGCTGCAGGAAAGTCAAGGGCTCTTGCATCCCCAGGAGGTCCAAGTTCTGGAGGAGCAGGGACAGCAGGAAGCAGGATTTCGGGGGGAAGGAACTCTGAGGGAGGATGTTTGTGCCGATGGGCTATTAGGGGAGGAACAGATGATAGAGCAGGTTAATGATGAAAAGGGAGAACAGAAGCAAAAACAGGAACAGGTACAAGATGTGATGCTTGGGAGACAAGGAGAAAGAATGGGGCTCACTGGGGAGCCAGAGGGTCTGAATGACGGTGAGTGGGAGCAGGAGGATATGGAGAGGAAGGCTCAGGGTCAGGGAGGTCCAGAACAGGGAGAAGAGAGGAAGAGGGAGCTGCAGGTGCCAGAAGAGAATAGGGCGGACTCTCAGGACGAAAAGAGTCAAATCTTTTTGGGAAAATCAGAGGAAGTAACTGGAAAGCAAGAAGATCATGGTATAAAGGAGAAAGGGGTGCCAGTCAGCGGGCAGGAGGCGAAAGAGCCAGAGAGTTGGGATGGGGGCAGGCTGGGGGCAGTGGGAAGAGCGAGGAGCAGGGAAGAGGAGAATGAGCATCATGGGCCTTCAATGCCCGCTCTGATAGCCCCTGAGGACTCTCCTCACTGTGACCTGTTTCCAGGTGCCTCATATCTCATGACTCAGATTCCCGGGACTCAGACAGAGTCCAGGGCTGAGGAACTGTCCCCCGCAGCTCTGTCTCCCTCGCTAGAGCCCATCAGGTGCTCTCACCAGCCCATTTCTCTACTGGGCTCCTTTTTGACTGAGGAGTCACCTGACAAGGAAATAGATCAAAACAGCCAGCAAGAGGGATCCAGGCTGAGGAAGGGAACAGTGTCCAGCCAAGGGACTGAGGTGGTCTTTGCCAGTGCATCTGTGACTCCTCCAAGGACACCAGATTCAGCTCCTCCCAGTCCTGCTGAAGCCTACCCCATCACACCTGCCTCGGTATCTGCCAGGCCCCCAGTTGCCTTTCCCAGGAGGGAAACCTCTTGTGCTGCACGTGCTCCAGAAACTGCCAGTGCCCCTCTCTCAATGGATGACCCATCTCCCTGTGGGACTTCTGAGATGTGCCCGGCTGCCCTCTATGGCTTCCCCTCCACCGGGACCAGCCCTCCGAGGCCCCCAGCCAACTCCACAGGCACCGTCCAGCACTTACGGAGTGACTCCTTCCCTGGTTCTCACAGGACAGAGCAGACTCCAGACCTGGTGGGAATGTTGCTTTCCTACTCCCACTCAGAGCTGCCCCAGAGGCCCCCCAAACCTGCCATCTACAGCTCTGTGACCCCAAGAAGGGACAGAAGGAGTGGTAGGGACTACAGCACCGTTTCAGCATCCCCTACTGCCTTATCCACGCTGAAGCAGGACTCTCAAGAATCCATCTCAAATCTAGAGAGACCCAGCAGTCCTCCCAGCATCCAGCCCTGGGTCTCCCCACATAATCCAGCCTTTGCCACAGAGTCTCCCGCCTACGGTTCTTCCCCATCCTTTGTCTCCATGGAGGATGTGAGGATCCACGAACCTCTGCCCCCTCCTCCCCCACAGAGGAGGGACACCCATCCCTCCGTGGTGGAGACAGATGGCCATGCTCGTGTAGTGGTTCCCACGCTGAAGCAGCATAGCCACCCTCCTCCATTGGCCCTAGGTTCAGGGCTGCATGCCCCCCATAAAGGCCCACTTCCCCAAGCCTCTGACCCCGCTGTGGCCAGGCAGCACCGACCTCTGCCATCTACCCCAGACAGCTCCCACCATGCTCAGGCCACCCCCAGGTGGAGATACAACAAGCCGCTACCCCCTACCCCTGATTTGCCGCAGCCCCACCTTCCTCCCATTTCTGCTCCTGGTAGCTCAAGGATCTACAGGCCTCTACCCCCACTACCCATCATAGACCCTCCCACCGAACCACCCCCATTGCCCCCAAAGTCCAGGGGGAGGAGCAGGAGCACTCGGGGAGGACATATGAACTCAGGGGGTCATGCCAAAACAAGACCTGCTTGTCAAGACTGGACAGTCCCCCTCCCTGCCTCTGCTGGACGCACCTCCTGGCCCCCGGCCACAGCTAGATCAACAGAGTCTTTCACTTCCACCAGCAGGAGTAAGAGCGAAGTGTCCCCTGGCATGGCTTTCAGCAACATGACAAACTTCCTATGCCCCTCTTCCCCTACCACTCCCTGGACTCCGGAGCTCCAGGGACCCACCTCTAAGGATGAAGCAGGGGTCTCAGAACACCCTGAGGCCCCTGCGAGAGAACCTTTGAGAAGGACAACCCCTCAGCAAGGAGCCAGTGGCCCAGGGAGGTCACCTGTGGGCCAAGCAAGGCAGCCAGAAAAACCCAGCCATCTGCACCTGGAGAAGGCGTCCAGCTGGCCCCACAGGCGGGACTCAGGGAGGCCACCAGGGGACAGCAGTGGACAGGCTGTGGCTCCTAGTGAGGGGGCCAACAAGCACAAGGGCTGGAGCCGGCAGGGCCTGCGCAGACCTTCCATCTTGCCTGAGGGCTCTTCAGGTGAGCAAGAACCGGGACCACAGTGACACATCAGACCAAGCTTTTCCCAGCTCTTCCCACCTCATCCCATCTTCTGTCCCTAGGGTTCCTAACATTCTCTCTGCTGGCTTCGCTCACATGTGTGCCTAACCTCAACACAGAGAGAGCCCCGAAGTGCCCTCCAAGCTCCTTGGGATGCTCTTCCTTCTTCTTCCCCTCTATCTCCCTGTCTCTCCCTCAACCAGCACCTTCTTTGGATGTCCCAAGGTTATTTTGGACTCCCTTCTACTCTTCAGTTACAGTCCCTGCTTGCTCTCCTCCTGGGGAGTAGAAAAGGCCTTCTGTACTTGTCCCAGTCCCATCCTGACCCGTGGCTCGGGACGTCACTGGTACTGATCTCTTTCACGCTCTCTGCTTTGCCACTTTCTTCCCTCCCAGTTTCCCAATAAAGCCCATTTTCCCTTCTGGACCCCTGCATCTCCTGCTCTAGATCTTCTTTGGCTCTCTCTATCCCTCTGAAATCTCAGTTATCTTCCCCATTTCCACTTTTAGATTCAAGAGGTCCAGCCGTGGAGAAACATCCGGGACCCTCAGACACTGTTGTTTTTCGGTAAGTCACCCTCTCCCCTAACAGCCACACTGTACTCTCTTCACTTGGGATACTGAGAGTCCCCTAGTGAGGATTTCAGTTGATAAGGGTTCTGAGACCCCGAATGGCTCATTCCTGTTTCTTCTTGGTGTAAGGAGGAGAAGAGAGAGATGCCGGGATGCCAGCTTAGGGAGATTGTCTTTATCTACCTCATTCGGTCAGCCGAGCCTACGAGTCATCCATCTTCCCAAGCCCTATGGCTGTGAACTAAACCCCACAAAAGCTCCATGTTAGCCCAAGTGGGTCAAGTTGCAACTCTGTGCCTCTCCGGGGGATTTGGTCTTGACATCCCAGCACACATCCCAGAGGCTAGAGACTTTGTCCCCCACAGTCACCTGGGGTGCTCTGTGTCTAATGGCCAGTAGGTACCCCAGAGCCCTTCTTTACTCCACAGGGAGAAAAAACCAAAGGAGGTGATGGGAGGCTTTTCAAGACGCTGCTCCAAACTCATCAACTCCTGTGAGTACCTTGAAGTGGAACTATAGACCCAGGTGGGCATTCTGCCCAGCACTGGAGAGGGGCTTGTGGATGTCAGCAGTGGGGTGGGGATGTCCCTAGCGAGAAGGCATTGCAGAAGATCTGTTTCCCTGCCTCCGCTCACCGTCCCTTCTTCCTGCTTCTCTTCCTTCCCATGCTTCTTTGCCCTGCAGCCCAGCTGCTTTACCAGGAGTATAGTGATGTTGTCCTGAATAAGGAGATCCAGAGCCAGCAGCGGCTGGAGAGCCTGTCCGAGACACCCGGGCCTAGCTCTCCGCGGCAGCCTCGGAAGGCCCTGGTCTCCTCCGAGTCGTACCTGCAGCGGCTCTCCATGGCCTCCAGCGGCTCCCTCTGGCAGGAAATCCCCGTGGTGCGCAACAGCACCGTGCTGCTCTCCATGACCCATGAAGACCAAAAGCTGCAAGAGGTACTGGGCAGGCCACGGTGGGGAGGGGGCTACAGAAAAGATGACAAGGTCTTGTTTGCTAGCATCCTTCTCTCCTGCTCACCACTGCCACCAAGAGTCGGCTGTCCCCACCACACAGGCGCGTGTACATGCCACAGCTGTGGGTCATGTCCATTCTGAAGAAGTTGAATTGTTTTCTGGATTTCACCACCTCCCCTTTCATCCTCACCTCCTCATGCCATAGGCCACTTGCTCCTACCTGATGTTGGTCTGGGCTATACATGGTGGCCATTGCCTCTGAATTTGTGTGGAGGAATGTGGAGTTAATCCCATCATCACTGCTGTTTCAGGGTAGAGGAAAGCTTCCCTGTTCAACCAGGGTTTCAGGCTACACTACAGTTTTCCTCTTTAGCCAAGGCACATTCCGGGGCTCTTTGTTGGGTCCCTTGAAGAGGGCCCTTTGCAGCTGTCCTGTGGTCCATCAATCTAACAGGGGCCTTAGAGTGATCATCAGTCCCTGCTTGATTGTTACTCCCAACAGCAAGACTGAACTAGAGGCTGTTTGTCTGATTCTAAGCTATTACCATTAGTAAGTTTTACATGGAGAGCGCCTCTTATTAATTTGTCTGAAATATGGGGTAAAACCTTTCTTCCCAGAAAGACAGTATGGAACAATGGAATAGAATAATGTTTAAGAAATTAGGTTCTGGAAGAAATGACCTGGATATGAAAACCACTTTTTTTTTAAATTATTAATTTATTAGAGACAGGGTCTTGCTCTGTCACTCAGGCTGGAGTACAGTGGTACAATCATTGTTCACTGCAGCCTCAACCTCCTGGGCTCGAGCAATCCTCCCGCCTCAGCCTCCCAAGTAGCTAGGACTACAGGTATGTGCCACTATGCCTAGCTAATTTTTTAATTTTTTGAAAAGATGGTGTCTCACTATGTTGCCCAGTTGCCTCGAGCTCCTGGGCTGAAGCAATACTCCCGCCTCGGCCTCCCAAAGTGCTGGAATTACAGGCATGAGCCACTGAGCCCAGCCCCAGAGCCCACTTTAATATTTCCAATTTACCTTTGGCCAAATGACATTTGTAAAACTGAGATACAAACAGTTACTGCAAGGATCAAGAAACATGAATGCCTGGTACATAGTAATTTCTCAAAAAATGTTGACTTTTCATTTTAAGTAAGCCAGACCTAGGTTTGAAACATGACTTCACCATTTGCTAGCTTAGGCAGCCTTATAACATCACTAAATCTCAGTTTCCTCACTTGCAAATTGAGGATAATAATGCCTACCTTTCAGGGTTGCTGAATGGTTTAAATGAAATAATGCATATCTAATTTAGCAGTAATATTTGATGTATAGTTTGATAAATATTAGTGCCGTACTCTCTGCCTTTCAGAGGCAGGGAGGAGTAAAATTTGGGCCAGGAGGACTTATGGATAGACAATGCTTTTACCAAGTCAGAGAGAGAATACATTTTTAGACTTTGCAAAGTTCAGACTTGAGAGCCCTGTTGTGGCTGCAAATTTTTAAGCACAGAGAAGATATTTAGAAAATAACTCATCTTCCCCATATTTGTTGACCAAACAGTGGGAGATGACACGAGTTCTAGCTCTCTTTTACCAACTCCAGCATGCTGGGAAGTCCAGCAGGACTCCTATTCCAGCCCTGGTCTCATGTTTGTGAGAAGAAAGGGCTTTACATTTCTATCTCTTAAACACACATATTCATTTTATAAAGTAGTACCTCTGGGGTTCACAAAGTGCTTTCACAGGCTCCATTTCTTTCAACTGTTGCATCTTCCACAGTGAGATGGGGGTCACTATATCCACATAAAAGGACACGAAAAGTGAGATTCAGAGAGGTTAAATGAGCCACCCAAAGTCAGTCGTGTAGTGAATGTTAGAGCAAGGATGCAAATGAGCCTTCAGTGTCCCTGTTCAGGGTTGTTGTATGGGAGGGTCATCTGGCTGTGTCATTGGTCATCCAAGTCATCACCAGGGTGTGTCTCCTTTCTCTTTTCTATCCAGGCATCTCTCTTGAGGCCACATGCTTGGATGAAAAGCATGAGGAGCCCAGCTAGAGGCACGGTCATGAGTCATAGCGCCCCCTGCTGGAACCTCCAGACAAGTTCTCACATGCTGGGCATGCATTAAACCACAGCTGCGCCATCTTGTTCTCAGATATCCTGCTTCTGTCTCCTGCTTCTCGCGCCATCTTGTTCTCAGATATCCTGCTTCTGTCTCCTGCTTCTCATCTGTCCTCAAACCTCAAACTGAGCTCATCACCTTCATCCCCTAAATCTATGCCTTTTCAAAGTTCTCTGGCTCAGTAAATGACTCCATCATTCACCCAGGTGCCCGACTCAAAAAGCTTTTGCTGTGAGTACAAAACATTAGCTTTGAACCTTCCTTCTCTTTGAGGCCCCATTTCTAGCAAATAATCCAACCCTTCCAATTCTACCTCATAAATAATTATAAAATTAATCTACTTCTCTTCAGCTCCATGGCTATTCAGACCTTCATCTCTCATGTGGAATTATTACAACAGTTTCTTAACATGGATGGCTTTTGCTTCTTTTCATCTTTTCTTCTCATTCTGCTTAGAAATAACTTTATGAAAAACAGGCTGGGCGCAGCGGCTCACACCTGTAATCCCAGCACTTTGGGAAGCCGAGGCGGGTGGATCAACTGAGGTCAGGAGCTTGAGAACAGCCTGGCCAGTATGGTGAAACCCTGTCTCTACTAAAAATACAAAAATTAGCTGGGCGTGGTGGTGCATGCCTGTCATCCCAGCTACTCAGGAGGCTGAGGCAGGAAAATGGCTTGAACCTGGGATGCGGAGGTTGCAGTGGGCTGAGATCGTGCCACTGCACTCCAGCCTGGGTGACAGAGCAAGACTCCATCTCAATTCCAAAAAATAAAAAAAAATAACTTTATATAAAACAAATGTGGTCAAGTTATTCTCCTATGTAAAGCCTGTTTTCATTGTCCCATTGTCTTAAGTCCAAACAATTTTACATTGTTTACATTACCCTTCAGGCCTCCTCGACTGCTGCAGCTTCATCTCTGGCCACTACTGCTGTACACTTGGTTCAAAAAATGCTCAATTTATTTAGTTTAGTTAGTTTGTTTGTTTGTTTTGAGATGGGGTTTCACTCTGTCACCAGGCTGAAGTGCAGTGGTGCAATCTGGGATCACTGCAACCTCACCTCCCAGGCACAAGCAATCCTTCCGCCTCAGCCTCTCAAATAGCTGGGACTACATGTGCACGCCATCACATCCGGCTAATTTTTGTATTTTTTGTAGAGACAGGGTCTCTGTACGTCGCCCAGCCTGGTCCTGAACTCCCAGACTCAAGTGATGCACCCACCTCAGCCTCCCAAAGTGTTGGGATTACAGGCGTGAGCCACTGCACCCAGTCTATTTAGCTTTTTTAATATAAATTTCATTGTGTATATTAAAGATATACAACATGATGTTATGGGCTACATATAAATAGTAACAGAATTACCCTAGTGAAGCAAATTAACATATCCATCTCACTTTGTTACTCATTTTTTGTTCTTGTTTTTGTTATTTAGATTTCTTGAAAGCATATTTTTCTTTTATACCTTTGAAGGCCTGTACCTGTACCCTAGATTAAATCCTACTCAAATGCTCTTCCCCTCCCCGCAGATCAACTTAGGTTCTGGTGTGACTGTGAACCATAAAAGGATCTTGCTCACCGCTCTATCCCCAAAACATTACACAGTGGCTGGCATATTCCAGGGGGTAAATAAAATCCTTAATTAATCTTCCTCATCTCCAACCTCCTAGGTCAAATTTGAGCTGATTGTGTCAGAGGCCTCCTACCTGCGCAGTCTAAACATAGCTGTGGATCATTTCCAACTTTCAACTTCACTCCGGGCCACACTTTCCAACCAGGAGCACCAATGGCTCTTCTCTCGTTTACAGGATGTGCGAGACGTCAGCGCCACGTGAGACTCCCCTTCTCCTAAATACCACTCACTCAGCCTCACTGTTGTTAGGCTTTAAATGTTCCATTATTTTTTTCCCCTCTTAGAAACCCTTTCATTTTCACAGTTATGGGAAGAAATTGGGCCTCAGTTTCTTCCATGATTCCCGATGGTTATAGGAAGAAGAATGGCAAGAAGAGGAGAGGGTCTGTGGGTGGATAGATCCATTAATGGATAAGTAAATGAGCAATGCTTCCTGGGTTGAGGTTTTGGATTACTGTGGTCATGCACTGCATTGGAGATGAGGTGGAAAAACCATCTAAAGATCAGAAAACCTGAACAGGGTCAAAAGAAGAATGAGAAATGGAATATTAGAATAAAAGTGTTAAATCAGGCTCAAACTCAGGACAGTTTTGGAGCGAATTCTAGTGCATAGCAAGGAGCACAGAGCAGAGAGTCAATAGAAGTTATTGGCTAATGGAGTGAAGAAGTCACCAGCTCAGTGTACACCAGGGGCCAGTCAGCTGTTTAGCTGAGGTCCAGAAGTCTCATGAGACTCGTTTAAATCCTGTACAGGTTCCTTTCAGACCTGGAAGAGAACTTTGAGAACAATATCTTCTCCTTCCAAGTATGTGACGTAGTCCTGAACCACGCCCCAGACTTCCGCCGGGTCTACCTGCCTTATGTCACCAACCAGACCTATCAGGAACGCACCTTCCAGAGCCTGATGTGAGACTCATCCCCCATTTAATCCCCATGTAGGCCCTGAGGTGACCATGCACCAGTCCCCAGCCCAGAGGGCTATCCCAAGAGCACACTTTCCCCATTCCGCCCTCTGTATTGGTTACCCCAGCATCACATCTGAGCGCCCTGTACATCAGCTCCCACCGCTCTTTCCCAGCCCACAGATACTCCACTGACCTCCCTTCCCCGCACCTTCACTGCATCCCCCATTGCTCCCCATATCCCCCCTCCCCTAAGGCTCACTCTCCGTGCAGGAATAGCAACAGCAATTTCCGGGAGGTCTTGGAGAAGCTGGAGAGCGACCCCGTCTGCCAGCGCCTTTCCCTCAAGTCCTTTCTGATTCTGCCCTTCCAACGCATCACCCGCCTCAAACTGCTGCTCCAGGTAGGGCAGATGCTACCTTGATCCTCTCCCCTTAACTCAAAGGGATGCCCTCAGGAAGACCCACAACAAAGGACCAACCATTCTTCTGCCAGGTGTCCACATCCTGTCTCCCTGCTGCCCACTGCCTGCTTGCTTGGAAATATTTGCTGCTAAAATGTGGTCCCTGGGCTTCTCCATTCACCAGCCCCCAATCATTTCTTCCTGTTTCCCATTTCTTCCTCCCATCTCACTCCTGCCTACTGTCTGTTCAATAGAACATTCTGAAGAGAACACAGCCTGGCTCCTCGGAGGAGGCAGAGGCCACGAAGGCACACCACGCCCTGGAGCAGGTAGGCAGCCACCACCTCCACTCTGACCCTCTGTGTGTTCTTCTCAGAGAGGTCTTTCCCACCTAGGCCCATGACTCCAGGGAGCATGGGAGGTGGGACCCTGTTGGGAGAGCTCAGCCACCTCCCTGCATCCGCCAAACTTCCAAACATACACACCCCACGGCCACCTCTCCCACGCCGAGCACACTCCACATCAAGGGACTGTGCCCTCTCCACCATCACCCCCCCATTCAGTCTCACTTTTACTCAGTTCAGGAATGTTCTGCCAAGTCATACAAAGTTGCCTAGGACTTGTGCTTGATACTGCCTGCCCAATTCCAGCCTGGGAAAAATGACTGAGGCTGTCATAACCTATTTCCAGATTGCTTGCAAGGGACTCAAAGGTCAAAGCCTCTAACACAGTGCCCTTCCCCTTTCCTCACTCTCTGCACCCCTAGCTGATCCGGGACTGCAATAACAATGTCCAGAGTATGCGACGGACAGAGGAACTAATCTACCTGAGCCAGAAGATTGAGTTTGAGTGCAAAGTGAGTCGGTCCCATGCACCCCATCCCTGCCCATGAACTCCCTTAACATGTCCTGCAGATCACCCCCTAACCTGGAACCACCTTGCTCACATTATCCCCAGCCCCTCCCCTCATTTCTGCCCACCTTCTATTCTGTCCTATTTCTGGGAGGCCTACTTGGGTCTCCAAGACATACTGCTAAGTGAAAAGATGAAGGTAAAGAATTGTGTGTATATTATATCACCTTTGGTATAAAAGTGGGAGGATACAAATCTATACAGGTGTCTGCTTGTGTGTGCATAAGGAAACTCTGGAAGGAGAACAAGAAAAAAAGGAACAGTGGTTACCTGAGGACAAGGGGGGTGCATTTGAGAAATGGGCAAATGAGAGAGAACTTTTCAGGATGAGCCTTTATAAAAGAATGTTTTGGTGCTTGATTCATTTATTACTTTATCAAATCTCTTTCTAGTCTAATCAAACCCACATAAGATTGGATCCAAATTTAGAGCCAGCATCCCTCATTGAAATACAAATCTAAAATAGACATTCCACATTCAAATTCCAACTTAGAACAGATACTATCTTTTTTTTTTTTTTGACAGAGTCTCACTCTGTCACCCCAGGCTAGAGTGCAGTGGTGCGATCTTGGCTCACTGCAACCTCCACCTCCCAGGTTCAAGCGATTCTCATGCCTTGGCCTCCCGAGTAGCTGGGATTCCAGGTCTGCACCACCATGTCTGGCTAATTTTAGTATTTTTAGTAGAGATGGGGTTTCACCATGTTGGCCAAGCTGATCTCCAACTCGTAGCCTCAAGTGATCCACCCACCTCTGCCTTCCAAAGTGCTGGGATTATAGGCGTGAGCCACCACGCCCGTGCTTAGAACACATACTATCTTTACACTCCTGAAAAAGAAGGAAAATCCCTTATTCACATACTAAGCATAGACCACACCCTCATCTTTAACCAAATTCCAGCTCCAAGACGCCCCACCTAGTTCTTCTCACCCCCATGTTTGATTCCAGCTGCTCACATATCTCTGGTATAAAAAATGGAATTGATACCAGACCTGCCTCTAATATTTTATTTTAACCTCTAAGACACATATAGTGTTCACTGACTTGTTCCATCACATACCCTGATTGGACTCTTCCATCCCTCCTTCAGTTCAGGCTTCTAGGGCAGAGCTGTCCCACACACTCACTATCCTGAGTTGGACCATAGGCATCTTCTATTTACCTGAGCATACAACCATGGGAGCCACACACCAGTGGACAGTGGTAGTTAGAGGGTTCAGAGAGAAAGAGAATCTAAGTGATGGGTTATGAGCCAGAAGGCAGATGTGGAAGAGATGCTTGTTCAAGTGGAACTTGCATGGAAGTGGCATGGGGAGGAGGGTGGGACTGGGAGCAAACCTCATGCTTCTCCCATCTGTGACACTGCCTTCTCTCTCTTCCTCTGCCCTGTAGATATTCCCGCTCATTTCTCAGTCACGCTGGCTGGTGAAAAGTGGGGAGCTGACAGCCTTGGAGTTCAGTGCTTCCCCAGGGCTACGAAGGAAGCTGAACACGCGTCCAGTCCACCTGCACCTCTTCAATGACTGTCTGCTGCTGTCTCGGCCCCGAGAGTCAGTGACTGGAGTGGCAGGCCAGGGCACAAGAGGGGAAGGGGATGAGGAAAGAGGGGGGTCTGAAAGGGAGAGAGAAGGGTCATGTTCCTAGAAGAGCCCTTCTCAATGGCTTAACCCATAGAGCCCAGGTCATAGCCTAGAGAAGAGAAAAACAAGCCCAAAGCAAAAAGGGGATCCCATCAAACTGTATCATGAGACCACATAGCAGGACATGTAATATGGTATAGACACAGAGCAAAATGTAGCAAATTAGCTTATCACATTCTCACATGAGTCTATTTGTGGCTTCTATGGACTGGCCTCAACCTGCTATTCTAGAGATACTTAGCTAATTCCAGATCTTAAGTCTCTGGTCTTAAGGTTCTTGGGAAATGTATATAAATTCCATCTCTTCACCTCTTTAAAGTGGTAATGTATCCACTGCACTAGGTGTGTGGTTTGCCAGACTAGGACAAATCCCTGAGGACCCTGGAGCTACCATCTTGGGAGCAAGTTAGGACCATCTTATGGTTTTTGTGGGAATTTGCAGGCTGTAGATGTAGGGATTTCGAACCCAAGGTTATGAGGGTAGGTGAAGTATGGAAACTCTAGAATCAGGTTGAAAAGATTTGTATTTTGCAGGGGTAGCCGATTCCTGGTATTTGACCATGCTCCCTTCTCCTCCATTCGGGGGGAAAAGTGTGAAATGAAGCTACATGGACCTCACAAAAACCTGTTCCGACTCTTTCTGCGGCAGAACACTCAGGGCGCCCAGGCCGAGTTCCTCTTCCGCACGGAGACTCAGTGAGATGGGGCTGGGCAGAGGAGCTGGGGGTGGGGGAAGATGGGCAGCCGAGAAAAGAAGTGAGACCAAGGCAGAAAATGTGTCCAGAAGACAGCCACAGCCTCATTTAGCCCATTCTGGACTGGGGACCACCATAGAGAAATTCAGACTCCTAAAACTAATGGATAACTTGCAGGAGATTGGGGTGGGAGAGGGTACAAAGTCACCACCGAGGCTTAGCATCTATTTTATACTCTTTACTCAAGAGGGACAAGGTCTGTGTAGTATCAGAAAGGAGAAGGACTGGTATGGAGTGAGCAAGGAATTGGAATACTGGTATCTGTGAGCACATGCCTCCATGCCTGAGGCAGAAACCCTTCTATGCCCCAGCTGGTGGGCACAGATGTGAATAAGACAAGTGCTGGGTGACTTTTACTTTCTGTGCTCCCATCTTCCAAACCAGTCCTCTATTGACCAGAAATCCATAGTGTTGAGAATGCTGATTTGCTCATGTTTTCAATAATAATAAAATAAAATACATTCACACAGACATACATTTTTGAGAGTATTAATAGTACCTATAAAATCTGGAACACAGTGCCTGCAATAATGAACATGTAAAAGCCTGTAGCTGTTATTGCTATTATAAAAGATATATGAACAGTCATTTAAAAGTTTGACGTATCTAAGTGTTTGAGGATCCCTATGTTGTAGACACTTTTTCAGTTTTGTCCCTTGGAAGATACTTCAGAGTGGGACCGATAACACCTGTTCTCATTTATTGAACAGAAGGACTAGTATCGGAGTTTGTGTGCAAAACAGCACATAAGTCAAATAATCAGGTGCAGATGCATGTTGTTGGTTTGGTGCTTTGGGCACTGTGCCTGGAACAGTAATAGTCCATTCCCAGTTACCTAGGCACAACTGGGCACAGAGGCTAACAGAATGCAGAAACCTTCAGATGATTACAAACCTAAGCTTGGATTACACCGTGCAACAACAACAAATAAAACAGTAGACATATCTCCCTGATCTAATTATTATTATGAAACAATGATCATCTCTGAGATAGTTAGTTGAAGGGAGATAGGCAAGCGAGTGTCAAGAATCATGCCAAATGATGGAGGGAATCTAAACTGAAATGAACACTTCGCTTAGCACAATTTCCAAAACAGAAAATCTCCAGACTTTATGACTAATGAACATTACGCCCCAACTTGGAAGATATGAGAAGCCATTAGGAGGATAATTCTGGAAAGAGAAGAGGAAAAGTAAAGTGTGACAAGACACATTCACATATAGTTCAAGATTGTGTCATGTTTCCAACCAAAAAGAGTCCTATATAGTGTTTGATAGAAGTCATGGAACTAGATAAGTCCTTCCCACAGTCTTTTGCCATCCCCATCCTTGGCCCTCCTCCTACACCCCCACAATTGATGCTATGACCCTGCTTTGTTTTCTCAGAAGTGAAAAGCTTCGGTGGATCTCAGCCTTGGCCATGCCAAGAGAGGAGTTGGACCTTCTGGAGTGTTACAGTGAGTGAGGGTCTAAGAGGGAGAGAAAAGAAAGCAGGGTCAGATGTCACCTTTGGATACAGGAGTTTAAAGGGCTGGGTGGGAACTCTAGGCCAGTACAGTATTCAATAAATTACATGAAATATTCAACAGCTTACTATAATATAGGCTTTGTGTAAGATGATTTTGCCCAACTGTAGGCTAATGTTAGTGTTCTAAGCATGGTTCAGGTGGGCTAGGCTAAGCTATGATGTTTGGTAGGTTAGGTTTATTAAACATATCTTCAAGCCAGGTATAGTGGTGTGTGCCTATAGTCAGTCCCAGCTCTTCAGGAAGCTGAGGCAGGAGGATTGTTTGAGCTCAAAGACTTTGAGAATATAGTGTACTATGACTACACCTGAGAATAGCCACTGCACTCCAGCCTGGGCAACAGGACAATAGTCTATATTTTTTTAAAAAAAGCATCATCAACTTATAATATTACCAACTTATGATGGGTTTATTGGAACATAATCCTATCATAAGTTGAAGTGTATCTTTATATAGTAGAATATAGTAACATACTACAGACTTATTTTCTCAAAGCATAAAAATAAACCACACTAATGATCATCCATGGGAGAGGGACACCTAGACAATGTCCTGCAAAACGAGAAATACTGGTAAGACATACTTTACATTCCAGACTGAGTCTCTTTCACCATGAAATAAAATCATTAAGAAATTTTTAGTAATATTTTAATTATTATATTTTAATTAAAAATTTAGGTATAGAAAGAAGGTTGTATAGCTTTACATTAAAAATAAATTAGTATGTGACTTGGCTACTTGACACCAAATAGCTTGTGTCAGATTCACCCTCCCACCATAAAAAACTATACAATCTGGCCAAAATATAGAAAAAATTCTTGGCAGGTGTATTAGTCTGTTCTCATGCTGCTAATAAAGACATACCCAAGACTGGGTAATTTATAAAAGAAAGAGGTTTAGTGAACTCACAGTTCCACATGGCTGGGGAGAACTCACAATCATGATAGAAGGCAAAGGAAAAGCAAAGGCACATCTTACATGGTAGACAAGAGAGAGGGCATGTGCAGGGGAGCTCCCCTTTGTAAAACCATCAGATCTCATGAGACTTATTCACTATCACAACAACAGCATGGGAAAGACCCACCCCCATGATTCAATTACCTCTCACCAGCTGCTGAGCATGGTTCAGGTGGGCTGGCTACATGTGGGAATTATGCAAGCTACAATTCAAGATGGGATCTGCGTAAGGACACAGCCAAACCATATCAGCAGGCATTGAAGAACATTGTTGTAGCAAGTCAGGTATGAGATCTTTAAGGAAGGTGAGGCACATGAGGTTAGTACCACATTTGCCAGGATTTTCCAGAAAGGCATCTTCCTGACCTTGGTACAGGAAAATGGGACCCAACCAGGGGTTAATGGTCTTGGGAACCAAAAGAAGCAATGAATAGAGTTCAAAGCTGCTAAATTGGTTAGGAATTGGGGGTCAATGTACCATATGGGAGAGAGAAAGAACCTAGAAATGGGTGTATACATGCCATTTTGGTCCTTCTGTGACTCCTTAGCTATGTGACAGTTGGCTAAGAAGAGGGGAGACCTTGGAGAAAGAAACTGCTGGGATACAGAAAGCAGAAGAGATCATCAGGGACTGAAAACTTCCTGGAAAGCTACTAGAGTTCAGATCCAGCCAAATGGGGAAATGTTGGCAAACAACTGAGAAACTCAGTTGGGACTCTAAAAATTCTCTTAGGAGAGATGCAGTATCCCAGGAGTGAGGCATATGTTCTAAGAGGAAAATAAAATATAATTACCATAACACAGCTTAAAACTAGGTCTTGAGAGCAGCAAGATGATCTGCAAGTAATTACAAATTCTGCCCAGAAAAAAAATTCAAAATTCTTGAGTAGTTCTATATCATATTATCCATAAATTCAGCATACTTTAAAAAAAATACCAAATATACAAAAAAGCAAGTAAAACAGACTGATAAGAAATAAATCAGTTATTAAAAACAAACTCATAGATAATCCAGATATTGGAGTTAACAGATAGGGCATCATAACATCTATGATGAATATAAAGGAAAGAAAGAAAAAATGAAAGACAAAACAGGTTGTGTCAGATTTCTTTCTGGAAGCTTTAAAATGCTCACTTTATTTTCATAGATTCTAATTTCCTAAATTATGTTTGATGTTTCAAGCAAAAATCATAGCATTGTCTAGTGTTATTCTAAATGGATGTAAGACAATTATACTACAAATTTGATAGAGTAAAGAGACATAATATGACAGAAGGTTGCTATACTTCACTCAGACTGGAATAAAGATGATACCAATTGACTGTGATAATGTTTATATAAATGAATATACACTAAGCTGTAAAATGCAACCACTAAGCTATAAAATGCAACCAAAAAAACTATAAAAAAGAAGATACACTATAAACACTATAAATAACAAAATGGAATTCTAAAACAAATGTTCAAGTAACCCACATGAAGTCATGAAAAATAAGCAGAGAAACAAGAATTGATAGAGAAAACAAAAAATGTCAGGCTTACGCATTAAAGTATCAATAATTCATTTAATTATGAATGGTCTACCAAGAGATAGATAATAGAAGAGTGTATTTAAAAGTATGACCCTTTCTTATATGTTTCTTGTATGCTGTGTACAAGAAACTCACTTGAATTTTACCAATACAGGGCAGGCCAAATTAACAGGATGAAAAAAGATATATTACACAAACATTAATGAAAGGAAAGCAAGAGTGTCTGTGTGCATATCAGATAAAGCAAAGAAAACTACCAAAACCAGAGATTATATAATGATCAAAGGTTTAATCCATGAAGAAGACAGCAATTTTAAAAGTGTATTCACCAAAAAATAAAGCTTCAAAATATGTGATGTGAAAACTGCCAGAACTAAGGCGGGCCGGGCTCAGACCAGCGCTGCCTCAGGATGTGAAGTGTAACAAGAGGGCCAGGGGAGGTGGTGGGGGACAACATGGGCCTGTGAGGCCTGTGGGTGCCCGCGTTCCCCAGCTCCCCCCGCAGCCCGCTCCACAGTGGTCCGCTCCGGTTGGTTGTCACGTGCGCATTCGGGTTCCAGACCCAAGGCTGCGTGTTCTCCACCGCTTGTTGTGGCCAGTGTTACTGCGGTGACCGCCAGAGCAGCCTCGACGCTATGGAGGAGCCTGGTGCTACCCCTCAGCCCTACCTGGGGCTGGTCCTGGAGGAGCTACGCAGAGTTGTGGCAGCACTACCTGAGAGTATGAGACCAGATGAGAATCCTTATGGTTTTCCATCGGAACTGGTGGTATGTGCAGCTGTTATTGGATTTTTTGTTGTTCTCCTTTTTTTGTGGAGAAGTTTTAGATCGGTTAGGAGTCGGCTTTACGTGGGAAGAGAGCAAAAACTTGGTGCAACGCTTTCTGGACTAATTGAAGAAAAATGTAAACTACTTGAAAAGTTTAGCCTTATTCAAAAAGAGTATGAAGGCTATGAAGTAGAGTCATCTTTAGAGGATGCCAGCTTTGAGAAGGCGGCAGCAGAAGAAGCACGAAGTTTGGAGGCAACCTGTGAAAAGCTGAACAGGTCCAATTCTGAACTTGAGGATGAAATCCTCTGTCTAGAAAAAGACTTAAAACAAGAGAAATCTAAACATTCTCAACAAGATGAATTGATGGCGGATATTTCAAAAAGTATACAGTCTCTAGAAGATGAGTCAAAATCCCTCAAATCACAAATAGCTGAAGCCAAAATCATCTGCAAGACATTTAAAATGAGTGAAGAACGACGGGCTATAGCAATAAAAGATGCTTTGAATGAAAATTCTCAACTTCAGACAAGCCATAAACAGCTTTTTCAGCAAGAAGCTGAAGTATGGAAAGGACAAGTGAGTGAACTTAATAAACAGAAAATAACATTTGAAGACTCCAAAGTACACGCAGAACAAGTTCTGAATGATAAAGAAAATCACATCAAGACCCTGACTGGACACTTGCCAATGATGAAAGATCAGGCTGCTGTGCTTGAAGAAGACACAATGGATGATGATAACCTGGAATTAGAAGTGAACAGTCAATGGGAAAATGGTGCTAACTTAGATGATCCTCTGAAAGGAGCTTTGAAGAAACTGATTCATGCTGCTAAGTTAAATGTTTCTTTAAAAAGCTTAGAAGGAGAAAGAAACCACATTATTATTCAGTTATCTGAAGTGGACAAAACAAAGGAAGAGCTTACAGAGCATATTAAAAATCTTCAGACTCAACAAGTATCTTTGCAATCAGAAAACATATATTTTGAAAGTGAGAATCAGAAGCTTCAACAGAAACTTAAAATAATGACTGAATTCTATCAAGAAAATGAAATGAAACTCTACAGGAAATTAACAGTGGAGGAAAATTACCGAATAGAGGAAGAAGAGAAGCTTTCTAGAGTGGAAGGAAAGCTCAGCCGTGCCACTGAACAGCTGGAGACCTATAGAAAGCTAGCCAAAGATCTTGAAGAAGAATTGGAGAGAACTGTTCATTTTTATCAAAAGCAGGTTATTTCCTACGAGAAAAGAGGACATGATAATTGGTTGGCAGCTCGGACTGCTGAAAGAAACCTCAGTGATTTAAGGAAAGAAAATGCTCACAACAAACAAAAATTAACTGAAACAGAGTTGAAATTTGAACTTTTAGAAAAAGATCCTAATGCACTCGATGTTTCAAATACAGCATTTGGCAGAGAGCATTCCCCATGTAGTCCCTCACCATTGGGTCGGCCTTCATCTGAAACGAGAGCTTTTCCCTCTCCTCAAACTTTGTTGGAGGATCCACTCAGACTCTCACCTGTGCTTCCAGGGGGAGGAGGAAGAGGCCCAAGCAGCCCAGGGAATCCCCTGGACCATCAGATTACCAATGAAAGAGGAGAACCAAGCTATGACAGGTTAATCGATCCTCACAGGGCTCCTTCTGACACTGGGTCCCTGTCATCTCCGGTGGAACAGGACCGTAGGATGATGTTTCCTCCACCAGGGCAATCATATCCTGATTCAACTCTTCCTCCACAAAGGGAAGACAGATTTTATTCTAATTCTGAAAGACTGTCTGGACCAGCAGAACCCAGAAGTTTTAAAATGACTTCTTTGGATAAAATGGATAGGTCAATGCCTTCAGAAATGGAATCCAGTAGAAATGATGCCAAAGATGATCTTGGTAATTTAAATGTGCCTGATTCATCTCTCCCTGCTGAAAATGAAGCAACTGGCCCTGGCCTTATTCCTCCACCTCTTGCTCCAATCAGCGGTCCATTGTTTCCAGTGGATACAAGGGGCCCGTTCATGAGAAGAGGACCTCCTTTCCCCCCACCTCCTCCAGGAACCATGTTTGGAGCTTCTCGAGGTTATTTTCCACCAAGGGATTTCCCAGGTCCACCACATGCTCCATTTGCAATGAGAAACATCTATCCACCGAGGGGTTTACCTCCTTACCTTCATCCGAGACCTGGATTTTACCCCAACCCCACATTCTGAAGGTAGAAGCGAGTTCCCTTCAGGATTGATTCCGCCTTCAAAGGAGCCTGCTACTGGACATCCAGAACCACAGCAAGAAACCTGACAATATTGTTGCTTTCTTCAAAAGTAATTTTGACTGATCTCATTTTCAGTTTAAGTAACTGCTGTTACTTAAGTGATTGCACTTTTCTCAAATTGAAGTTTAATGGAATAATAGTTCTCAGGATAGTATTTTGTAAATAAAGATGGTTTGAATATGAATCTTATGAGTAAATCATTTCCATTTTATTATATTCTAGATCATATAACTTTTAACTTGGTGAACTAATCCACTCTTAGAGAAACAATAGTGGGAGTTTTATATATGTAATCTTGCAGGTGAGGAGGCTTTAAATTCTAAAGGTTGTGGTGTCTTCATGCCAAGAACTGTATTCACTGTGGTTGTAGATAAATGTGAAAGTAACTTTATGCTTAATTTAATAAATTTTCATTGATTTTTTTTAAAAAAAGAAAACTGAAAGGAGATATAGATGAATCCACAATTATAGTTAGAAATTTCCTCATGCCTTTTTCAATAATTGATAGAACTAGACAGAAAATCAGCAAGGAGTGTTGGCTTTGGCAGCACTTTCTAAAATCAGAATGATGCCAACAAGATTAAAACGGTTCTTGAATATAGATTACACAAAATTTTGTGAAGCATTTCATGTTTTTAAAAAGAGGAAAAAAAAGAAAATCAACAAGAATATAAAACAACTCAAAATGCCATTAACCAAAAGAATCTATTTGGCATTTACAGAATATTCCACACAGTAACAGCAGAATACACATATTTTTTTTGAGTGCTGACGAAACACATGGCAAGATAGAGCTGTCCTAGGCCCTAAAACTCGCCACAACAAATTTAAAAGAGATAGTAATCATCCAGAGCAGGTGAAAACCAGAAATCATTGTAGGGAATCCAATTGGAAATCAGCATAAGAAAGATATGAAAATCCCTACACATTTGGAAATTTAAAAACACACTTCACAATAATCTATCAGTCAAAGAAGTCTCAAGGAAAAATTTAAAAATACATTGAACTGGATAAACATGAAACTGTGACATATCAAAGTACTGAGAAGGAAACTTAGAGCAATAAATGCACGCATTAGTAAAGAGGAAAAGTCTCTAGTGAGCAATAGATTTCCACCTCAGGAACCTAGAAAAAGAAGAGCAGAATAAACTCAAAGCAAGTAGAGGGTGGGGATTAATGAAGATAAGAACAGAAAACACTTACATTTACAAGAGAAAAACAATGGTTAAATCAATGAAACAAAGAGATAGCTATGTTAAAAGATTAATAAAATTTAGCAAACTCAAGCATAAATTAAAAGGAAAAAACAAATTTTAAATATCATAATGAAACAGGCGATATCACTACAGACATAAACACACATAACAAAGGACTATCAAGGAATATTACAAACAACTCCACACACATAAATTAGACAATAGACAAAATGGACAAAATGCAGTGTTCCTCCTGCAACACAAACTAACTCAACTCACCAGGCATGAATAGATCATTTGAATAACTCTATAACCATTAAGAAAATAGAATTCATAATTTTAAAACTACCAATAAATAAATATTTATGCTTAGATGGTTTAACTGGAGAATTCTAACATGTTTTTAAAAAGTTAACACCAATTCTACACAATCTTTTCCAGAAAACAGTAAAAGAGAGAGCATTTCCCAATTTATTTTTTGAAGCTATTATTACAGTGATACCAAAACCAGGAGAGAGAGAGAGAGTGTGTGTGTGTCACACACACACACATATATACATATATATATATAAAGATATGTATAACTTACTTGATAAATAGAGTTCTATAGTATATTTTTCAAAATTTACCCATGTCCAGCGGGGGATTGTTTCCAGAAAAACAGACCTGATTAAATCTCAAAAAGTCAATCAAAATAATCCACCATGTTAACAAACAAAAGAAGGAAAGTTACATTATATCAGTTGATGCATAATAAACATTTAACACATTTCGATATCCATTCATGATAAAAGCTCTCTATAAAGCAGGAATAGAGGAAACTTCATCCACTTGATAAAAAGCATCTACAAAAAGCTAACACTATACAATCACGTGTTGTTTAATGATGCGGATACGTTCTGAGAAATGTGCGGTCAAGTGATTCTGACATTGTGTGAACATCCAGAAAGGACTTCACGGGTAAGAGCATGCATGAGGCTGTCGTCTCCTATGATAGCAACGCCTTCTTCTGGAATACCTCTTGATGGACTTGCCTGAGACTGTTTAGCAGTTAACTTTTTTTAATAAGTAAAAGGAGTGCACTCTAAAATAATGACAAAGGCCAGGCACAGTGGCTCACACCTGTAATCTCAGTACTTTGGGAGGCTGAGGTAGGCAGATCATCTGCAGTCAGGAGTTCAAGAAAACGCTGACCAACATGGTGAAACCCCATCTCTACCAAGAATATAAAAAATTAGCCAAGCATGATGTTGCACACCTATAATCTCAGCTACTTGGGATGCTGAGACACAAGAATCACTTCAACCCAGGAGGCAGAGGTTTCAGTGAACTGAGATTGCACCACTGCACTCCAGCCTGGGCAACAGAACAAGACTCCACCTCCAAAATAAAATAAAATAAAATAATGACAAAAAGTTTAGTAGAGTGTAGTAAATGCATAGTAAAATACATAGTTGTTTGCTTTTAACCACGCTGGGAGTGCAGTAGGATTGTTTACAGCAGCAATCCCACAAACATGTAAGTAATGCATTGTGCTACAATATTATTACGGCTATGACATCAGTTGGCAATATGATTTTTTCACACCCATTATAATCTTGTGGGACCACTCTCATATATGCAGTCCATCACCGACCAAAGTGTTATGTAGGACATAGCTATACTAACATCATATTTAGTGGTGAAAAACTGAATGGTTCCTCTCTAAAATCAAGAATAAAGGAACTATGTCTGCTTTTATCACCCTTATGCAAAACAGTGCTAGAAGTTATACACTGCAATAAGACAAGAAAATAATTAAAGGACATACAGATCAGAATGGAAAAAATAGAACAGTCCCTACTTACAACAGACATGACTTTCTACATAGAAATCCAAATAAATCTATTTTACAAACCTCCTTAAATTAAGAAGTGAGTCCATTAAGGTCACAGAATTTAAGATAAACACAATCAAATTAATTCTATTTCTATATACAGACATAACTCATTTTATCGTTCTGCAATTTATTGTGCTTCGTAGATATTGCATTTCCATTGTGTTAAAATTTTGTGGCTAACCTGCCTCAAGCAAGTCTATCTGCACCATTTTTCCAACAGCATGATCTCATTTTGTGTCCTAGGTCAAATTTTAATAATCTGTACAGTATTTTAAATGGGTTTATTATTATTGTCTGCTATGATGATCTGTGATAGGTGATCTTTGATGTTACTATTGTAATTATTTTAGGGCAGCATAAGCACGTCCACATAAGACAGCAAACTTAATTGATAAATGTTGTGTGTGTTCTGACTGCTCCACCGACAGGCCATTTCCCTCTCTCTCTTCCTCTTCTGGCCTCCCTAGTCCCTGAGACACAACAATGTTGAAGCTAAGCCAATTAACCACCCTATAATGTCCTCTAAATGTTCAAGTGAACGTCATTAAATTAAAAGCTAGAAATTATTAAGCTAAGTGAGAAAGGCATGCCAAGTAAGTATAAATCCGGAGTTGTCCAACTTGAGCTGAAGTGCTATTAGATCTACCAAGTCATAAGACTGAATGGTCACTGCAACCATCTATCCTATAATGGATGCAATATGTTTTAGGGCAAGAGAAAATGCAAAAGACAAAAGTAGGCTGAATGAACAGTTGGCCCAGATCCCTATATCACTGATGCCTCTCTCTCAGCTTATACATACAGTCTCCTAGGTCCTTCCAACCAGCTGATACCTTAGTAAACAAGCCAGGCCTAATGCAAGGGCACTTTGGCTAGGTATATTGGCACAATATGTCAACCACTCAGATGTGGGACCTCAAATATAATCCGTGAGGGTAAACCTACTCTGATAAGTAGAATACATAGATTCATCCCCATCCATAGAAAGGGTTCAGAAAACAGGAGCTGGCCCTGTGCTTTTACAGAGCTTTATCCTTCCCATAAGGGCAGGACCAGATATTATCAAAAAAAAAAAAAAAGAAAATTTTCAAAAGTAAATTTTGCTCAATCCTTATGCCTTATCCATTCTTCTTCTAGACAGGTCAATGAGCCCCACAGATTATTTAAAATGAATCTCCAACATCTACAGATTGGTGCTTAAAAATAAAGTGTCTGAGTTTCTATGTAAAATGACCTAATGATTAAGACCTTGGAATTCAAGTTTATTCTCCCAACAGCTTTTGGGTATTTGGGAAAGCAGACTACACTAAAAGAAATGACTGTAGGAATTAATGTCAAGGTTTTATTTTAACCGCCAAACAAACCTAGACATGGATCTTTGCATCTCCCAAGTGTTTTCTGAATGTTTGGGGAAGGAATAGCATAAATATTCATGAAACTCTAACAAATTCACATATTTTGGTAGCTGTGATAGCCACGTGGTCCCAGGATATTACTTTAGATAATATATGTATCCTTTCAGTTACAAAGGCATTTTCTGTTCTTGCCTTAGTCTCATTCTCTTTATCACTGTGGCTTCCTCAGAGACAGAATGAGACAGAAGCTCAATTCTCTGCCCCTAGAAGAATAACAGTGGTTGGGTTCTTCATGTCTCTATGGAAATCATGCTGGTGCAAGTGAAGCCTATTTTCTCATGCGTCACACAAAGCTCTCATGATAATTGGAAGGTACTCTGTGGAGGTGATGACTTAATAACACCTTCCCTTCTCAAAAGCACTTGAAGAAGCAAGATCCTTCCTTGGCATTTCTCAGATGGGCAGCAGAGTTCCCAGCACCATCAGTAAACTCAGCCACACTGTAGAAATGTTTGCCTTTTCTATATGAAGATTATCTAGGTTCTTACACAGCAGTCATCTCTAGACACCTGGATTTCCTAACTGCCTTTGTGAGTTCTGGTCAAATATAATTTAAGGTCATTTTCATTGCTTGTTTGCTTTTACCGTCACACTTTAATATCATGCAAAAGTACATTTCTACTCTCTTAATGCTCAAATTTTGCTCACCAATAGTTTTAGATAATAGGATAATATGACTAAAATATATTAATAGATATCAGCATATTATCTATCAGTATATTAATATATTAAAGCAATCAATATGTTAATGGTTATTTTGGCTGGTAGCTTTTTTTAAGTTCAAGAAATATCTGTGTGCAACTGACTCTGGTAAATGTTCAACGTTAACAAAAAAGACCAGCACTTTTTTTCTTTAAAATTTTTTTTTCATATAATTACTATTTTAAAAATTTTTTAAAAGAGATGAGGTCTCTATGCTGCCCAGGCTGGTTTCAAATGCCTGGGTTCCAGCGAACCTCCTTCCTCAGCCTCCCAAAGTGCTTAGATTACAGGCATGAGACACCAAGCATAGCCCAGCACTTAATTTTTAAAAAGGCTTAAAGTGTCACATACAGAAGCTCATTAAGTTAACAAGTGTACAGATGCTTGTTTACTTATTACGCACAATCTTACGAGGCCACACAATCTGAGCGATGATTAGGAGCTCAAAGTTTAGATCCAATCTCAGGACAACATGAAATAAATGACAAGAAATCAATAAATAACTAAATTATTTTATTTTCTCAACATGAGCATAATACTTATCCTTGGAATGGTGGTAGGAAAAATCCAATGCAAATGAAATACTTTTTAGTCGGTTTTGCAGGATTAAATTTATAATTTTATGGACATTTAAATGGAGGATTATTGCTCATCCTTCCTATCTCCAAGACAATATAATTTTACATAAAAAAGGAGAATAAAATTTAAGCAAAAATGACAATATCATGCTTATGCTAACATTTTAATTGTGGGATCAAGGAGGCCTGAGTTCAATCAGAGAATTCAGAGACTCTTTCTGCAGCATTCCTCATAAATTCATCGAACTATTGCCAATCACCTGCATAGACAATGCTTAAAACTGTGTATTCTAGAGTGTTTATCAATAGTAAGCCCAAATCCAACAAAAGTTACTGATCCTGTTTTCGTGTTTACATAATGACACGGTGCAAATCTATTCAGTCATTCACATAAATGCTCATCTAAACATTGTGGGAAAGTAAATAACAAAAAATAAGGTTCTGGGCTAAAAAATAAGTCTTTACACTTGGATAAGAAAAGATTTTGTGAGATATTTGCTGTGGAGGTGATGATCAGTGCAAGAGTGGAAAGTTTAAGAGGTGAATGACCACTGGTGTATTTGGCTGATGGTATGTCGAACCTTAGTATAGCCCGCCCTTAATTAAACCTTCCACTTTAAGATTAAACTTAATGTGGTTTTAAGACTTTGACATGTGTATCAGTTAGTGTTCATTGTTTCTGAAACATAGCAGAGAAAAACTCTGAATAATACGACCAAGGAAAAGAAGAATTTATTTGAAGGATATGAGATAGCTCACTGAATCAAACAAAAACTGTGTACTACATTGACATGTGACATTCATCCCTGAAAGGCCTGAGCCAAATTTTTTTTAAAAAAAGACCAAAAGGATATATTAATATGTGACACGTTTATTTTTAAATTTTAGCCTTTATTAAAAAATTAACGTAATAAAAAAGAAACCTATGTATACGTGTGCATGCATGCGTTTTTTTTTCTTTTCTTTTTTTTTTTTTTTTTTCTGGAGACAGAGTCTGGCTCTGTCACCCAGGCTGGAGTGCAGTGTTGTGATCTCGGCTCACTGCAAGCTCCGCCTCCTGGGATCAAGCAATTCTCCTGCCTCAGCCTCCCGAGTAGCTGGGACTACAGGTACACGCCGCCACGCCGGGCTAATTTTTTGTATTTTTAGTAGAAATGGGGTTTCACCGTGTTGTCAATGCTGGTCTCGAACTCCTGAGCTCAGGCAATCCGCCCGCCTCGGCCTCCCAAAGTGCTGGGATTACAGGCGTGAGCTACCGCACCCGGCCTGCATATATTTTTTAAACATTTATTTTAGCGTTACCAAATTGTCTTGAAGCATTCATTTAAAAACACAAAAACTCACTGCAGCTGTCTGAACACTTTTCTACTTCACCAAAGAGTGCCGAACAAGTTAAAATGAATCTGTTTTTAAACACTTCTCCTAAACCATGAGCATTAACTTGATTTCCTCTGTCATAGGGATATGGGGGACAATATAACATCCATCACAGAGTTCCTCCTACTGGGATTTCCCGTTGGCCCAAGGATTCAGATGCTCCTCTTTGGGCTCTTCTCCCTGTTCTACGTCTTCACCCTGCTGGGGAACGGGACCATACTGGGGCTCATCTCACTGGACTCCAGACTGCACGCCCCCATGTACTTCTTCCTCTCACACCTGGCGGTCGTCGACATCGCCTACGCCTGCAACACGGTGCCCCGGATGCTGGTGAACCTCCTGCATCCAGCCAAGCCCATCTCCTTTGCGGGCCGCATGATGCAGACCTTTCTGTTTTCCACTTTTGCTGTCACAGAATGTCTCCTCCTGGTGGTGATGTCCTATGATCTGTACGTGGCCATCTGCCACCCCCTCCGATATTTGGCCATCATGACCTGGAGAGTCTGCATCACCCTCGCGGTGACTTCCTGGACCACTGGAGTCCTTTTATCCTTGATTCATCTTGTGTTACTTCTACCTTTACCCTTCTGTAGGCCCCAGAAAATTTATCACTTTTTTTGTGAAATCTTGGCTGTTCTCAAACTTGCCTGTGCAGATACCCACATCAATGAGAACATGGTCTTGGCCGGAGCAATTTCTGGGCTGGTGGGACCCTTGTCCACAATTGTAGTTTCATATATGTGCATCCTCTGTGCTATCCTTCAGATCCAATCAAGGGAAGTTCAGAGGAAAGCCTTCTGCACCTGCTTCTCCCACCTCTGTGTGATTGGACTCTTTTATGGCACAGCCATTATCATGTATGTTGGACCCAGATATGGGAACCCCAAGGAGCAGAAGAAATATCTCCTGCTGTTTCACAGCCTCTTTAATCCCATGCTCAATCCCCTTATCTGTAGTCTTAGGAACTCAGAAGTGAAGAATACTTTGAAGAGAGTGCTGGGAGTAGAAAGGGCTTTATGAAAAGGATTATGGCATTGTGACTGACAGTGACCTAGGAAGTTACATCATTGAGCGGTTCTTAACCCATCTCTGCACTGGTGGGACCTCTGCCCTCAATGGACATGAGAATTATCTGAGACATTTATTTAAAATGGAGCTATCTCCTGCCCTACCTTTAAATGACTGATTTCAGCAGATGTGGGATGAAATTCTAGAAATTGATCTCTTCAAGTTGTGCTGCAGCCACTCCACACCAGGACAATACCCCTTACAATATCCTCATTAGCTTTTGATCCAGTCCCATACCTCCCATAATGTTTTCCTCAAAACACTGGTCCCTTCAGAGGACTTTAAAAATAAGTTCTATAGTCAAATAAGTTTGAGACTTACTTCACATCAGATGCCTCTGTCTAGGGATCACAATTCATATTAGCATAGTGAATGCTGTAAATATTTCTCTAGGAAAGAATAATTCTATACCAGCTTTAAGCCAGTGTTTTCTAAACTTACGTGAGCACATAAAATTTCCTTTGTAATACTTAGTAACAGTTTCCTGGAACAGGAGATCTTGATATTAATTGACTCATTGTGAATACTTCCTACAGCCCCCTTCTAGGGCAGAATGATTTCTTTTTTCCTTGCAAAGTGAGCCTCTAAAGAGATGTAGTTCTGAGCATTATGCCTCGATCAGTCTGTAAAAATCCGGGTTCTGTTTGGATACAGACCGTGAGGGACCCTGTCTCTACTGTTCAATGGTAGATCATCTAAAGAAAATAAATGCAATCCTGTCCTTCATCATGGATCGGCATTCCTGCTATAGAAGCTTCAGGAGATGACCTCATTCAACCTCACAATCTTCTAAATTTGAGATTTTTAAGAAATATGATTCAGTATACATCTGCCTGTGTTTGCCGCTGAATGAAATCAATCTAATTTTTCTAATTCAGGGTTTTCAAGATAAACCCAGATTTCTCAAGAAAGAAAAATCTAGAAAGATTTCAAAATCCACCACCTACACACTTAAAAGTTGTAGCAGCTTCTTATGCCATGGGAAACATGTCATTTTGAGATGATGTTTTTTCTAGGTTTAAGTTTGGTCTTAAACATTTATATTTAATTTCTCATTGTCTTAGTTCAAAGAATTTACTTTTATATTTTAAAATAACTTTTTACACAATAACTCAGTGTCATATCATGTTAGATATAAAACTATGTCCTAAAACTATTTTATCCTTTTTTTTTTTTTTTTTTTTTGAGACAGTCTTGCTCTATAGCCCAGGCTGGAGTGCGGTGGTGCAATCTCGGCTCACTGCAACCTCTGCCTCCTGGGTTGAAACAATTCTCCTGCCTCAGCCTCCTAAGTAGCTGGGACTACAGGCATGTGCCACCACGCATAGCTAATTTTCAGTAGAGACAGGGTTTGTATTTTTAGTAGAGACAGGGTTTCACCGTGTTGGCCAGGCTGGTCTCAAACTCCTGACCTCAGTTGATTCACCTGCCTCGGCCTCCCAAAGTGCTAGGATTACAGGCATGAGCCATCCTGCCCAGCCTATTTTATACTGCTTATACTATTTATATAGTATAAAAATAGTTTAAAAACTATTTTATGGTATACTTTTTATAAAGTAAAAAGTATACTGTAGTATAATTTTTATACTATATACCATATTATATTTTTATAAAGTTGTTTCCATTTGCTACTAACTTTTTCTTTTGTATGTCAGTTTCCTGATTTCTACATTTCCTGCAGGTCACCTGGAACATCAAAAGAAAAAGAAAAGCTGTAATATTGATGGGTGGCCTACTGTGCAACAAGATTTTCATATAGTGTTTTTGGTGTTATATGGATGTTTCTTCTCGCAGTGGATGTGTAGAGTCAGAGCACAGATGGGCATACTCTCAAACCTTAACAACTGTGCCACATTGCCCTTTGAGTTTATTCTAAACCTTAGCAAGTCAGAGATCACACTGTATGGAACTAACTTCTATCTAAATTGCATGATTGATTGATAGGAGATTTCCAAATAACATTTGGACTGCCTTACATCCAGTAAAAGAACTCAGCAAAATACAAATAAATATGATAATATCTTAGACAGCAAATCTTCTCATCCCACAAGAGGCAGGAAACTGCTAGAGGAAGCTGCCTTGGAGAGGATTCTTTCCTCCCCTCCCGAAAGGAGCTGAACTCAAAATCTCTCCATTTCGCAATAGACATTGGAGAACATTTTCAACAGTGGATTTGCACCGGTGTTTTGTGTCCTAGAAAAACGTTCCCTTCAGGTAGGTTCTAATAAGCCCCACTGGGACATTTTGGACACCCTTGTCTGCTCTCTGCCTCTCTAACCTTAGAGGGTCCCTTGGAATCAACTAATATTTCAGGTCCTTTCTTCCCATTACTGTTGCCACACAAGGAACCCAGATTACATCAGGGAGAGGCTGAGCTCCAGAGGTTCACACCAGGAGCTTAGTCATTGTCACACTGTTCCTGCTTCCTGACAGGTTCACTTGAACCATCTGGAGATTGGGGAACAAGGGCAATGTGAGTATTCATGAAATTCAAATCATGCCAAGTATTCCGGGATGGGAATGGTTGTCTCAGAGGTGTGCTCTGTGGTTGACTGACCTTGAGCTTGCGTTTTCTTCCTTTTCTTTTTTTTTTAAATTATACTTTAGGTTTTATGGTACATGTGCACATTGTGCAGGTTAGTTACATATGTATACATGTGCCATGCTGGTGCGCTGCACCCACTAACTCGTCATCTAGCATTAGGTATATCTCCCAACGCTATCCCTCCCCCCTCCCCCCACCCCAGAACAGTCCCCAGAGTGTGATATTCCCCTTCCTGTGCCCGTGTGATCTCATTGTTCAATTCCCACCTATGAGTGAGAATATGCGGTTTCTTAATATGTGTTTCTTAATTGTGCATCCTGCTGGGGTTGAGAACAGAAATTGAAAAACACAATTGTTTTATCTCTCCTTCCCCGAGGAGTTGAACATGTAGGAAGTTTCATGGCCCAGCCCCTCCTGAGAGCCCTGAACTGCCAACCAGACTGAGCCCATCAGAGAATAACACCTCATTTTCTGAGGATTCTGATACCTTTTCAATCAGAAACAGAAGCAAAGATTCTGCAGCTCCCACAGAAACTCCCAGAAACCTTGCGGTGCTTCACCCTTCTGAGATCCTTGAGTCCGAATGTGGGAGCTAACCAGGTTGCCTTTCTTTACTTACCATGAATTCCTCCTAGACTCGTGGTGGCACCTAGGCTTTGGTTCACTCTCACTCTGTTACTAACACTTTTTATTAAGTAATGGGAAGGGAAGTAAATCATTTATTTTATGGCTAAACATATATGCTCATTATTCATATTATATATCAATGGTTCCAGGGGAAAAATAGATGCACATTTGATGTGCAAATTATGTAAAAGTGTTTAGGACTTGGCTATATATGTTTCTTTGGTGGAGAAATATCTATGTGATAGAGATTTCTTTGGGAAAGATGACACTCACAAAAAAAGCCAGAAATTTCTGTTTTATAGATTTTGATAAAATGTATGAAATAATTTTCACAGCCAAAGGAAAGTATAGCACAGTATATTATGGAGAGATGTTACAGCTCAGGAAAATTAATACATGTCAGCTGTTTAATAAATTATGCATTTAATTATTGCCAGTACAGTCACAATACATGCTAATCTATGAGAATATATTTATTGCAATAGAATATAAACCCAAATGGATGCTAAATCTATGTCTTATCTTTCATTAAGCATGGCACTAAAGAGGGCATAAGGCACCTGCAATGTACTAGATAAATATGTATAAATATTAGATTTTCCATAGACTGGAGGATAAGTTTTTGTGGTGCACATGGAAAGAGTACAGAAAAAGAACTCAGGTGGTAGGTGGTGGTGTAACAAAGTAGGAAAACGATGTAATAATTAATAATACTTTAAATTTTCTTTTTATAGGATTTTTGTTTAATGTGTACCTTTTTATTTATTTCTGCTTTTCCTCCCGAGGCACATCTTCACAATGAAATCTTCACAAGCTCAGAACCATCAACTTGCTACACTGTGTTCCTCCAGTGCCCAGTTCACAGGAAGCACTCAAGAGTAGGATCAATTGTTATCAACCTCTAGCAGATTATTGAATAGACGGTCGTTACATGAAACTGACACTCAGTTCTTCATGGTCCACGATAGTTCTTATATCCAGAAAACGTACTTACGTTATCAACTCTGACTCCATAAGACAACTTTGCAAAGTCTTGGCTCATAACTATGTAAGCAATGAGATAACTTAGTTTTCATTTCTCACTTGTTACTTACAAGTAAACAGCCCTGTAGCTCAGCTGAGCTACAGATTAACTACAGGTAATCACTTCAGCGATTCTGCTTTACCCATGCCCAAGATTTTAAAAAAGAACCTGACAGATCATTAAATTTTGAGATTTGCTTTTTAAAATGCAGGTTCCATAAAGTTACGCTGTTTTGCTTATATATACAGCAACAAATGCCTTCTTAGATATTTACTTTAAAATTCTAGTTTCCTTACCATGTATTAGCCAGATAATCTGTCATTTTTTAAATTCTGAAATTGTACATATATAAATTAATGTACATCTCTATGCCTGAAAGGTACATTTGGAATTACAACGTGTGTCAAGGTAGAGCAAAATCCCCCAGTCCACTCCTTCCAACCCCCTAGAAATTTACTCTGTTTGGTTTCCTCTTGATTGTCTTTAATTAACAATAAGTATGTCACATAGGTATCAAATAAAATAAGAAAAAAAATAGATAAAAGAGAAGTGATTCAAAATTCAAGTGTTTAAACACTTTATGAATCTTCCCGTTGTTCTTGACACATTTTTAAAATTTCATTTTAATTCAGATCATTAGGGATGAAATTCTCCTGAATTGTAGCATTTTATTTCCTTTGGGAAGAAGGGGCTGAATTTGGCATAATTATACTTGACTATACTGTAAAAGAAACCAGATCTAATATAAGGACATCAATACTTAGTTATTAATTCATTTGCTTATATTTATATGTCATTTGAAAATGTGTATTAACATACACAATTAAAGGGATATAAAAATGAACATGCCCTCTCCATTTCTTTAAAAGAAATCAAGGCTGAATCAAACAGGACTACTGTTCTGAAAGAATACTCAGACTATGAGGTACCTTATTTTCCTTCTTTTACACCTGTCTTTCAGTTGGCTTCAAAAAATCATGGCTTTTACTGTGTTTCTTTTTTCCTTTATGTCTTCCTTTTGAGGGAAATGAAAAATTGAGAAAGGAAATTATTATTTTATAAGTGGGTGGGTTTGAATACATCTTTCACAGTCAAATATTTTTCTATGCCTTATGAGCTTAAAAAATAAATTTAGAAAGTTTGATAAACACAGAAATTTTTTATTTTATGTTATTTTATGAGATGAGGGCTTGCCATGTTATCCAGGCTGTCCTGGAACTCCTGGGCTCAAGCTATCCTCCTGCTTTCAGCCTCCCAAGTAGCTGGAACTACAGGTGCATATGACGGCACCTACTGAGAAATTTTTACTATCAACCTAAAATTTAATAAGTCCTGGTCACAAGTGAGGAATTTTTAATTTGTTATTTAGATTATTTTTGTGTCAAGGTAACTTGATCACCTATCAATAATGCTTATAAGAAAATAGATATCTCATCTGTTGCTGTTAGAAAGGAATCTGTCTCTTTCCCCAGTTCTTGCTTCAATGAGGTTTCCTTGACCCAGAGTCTGGTCCTCACATTTTAGATTCAGCTTTGGGAATTTTGTTCAGGAACTGCATCATACAACCCAAAAGCAAAAGAGGAAAATGCATAAGCCAGGATACCTAAATGTTCCTTTATTTAAACTTGAAAATGTGACTGCAAAAGGAGTCAAGAAGTTTAGTACTCAACACATTTCTTCTTTGTAGAAATAACTGCTCAAGAAGATAAATTGTTACCTAACAGTTGATTGATGAATATGAAATCAGAGCAAGAGGGGCTAATTAGAGAAATTACTAGCTAGGGCTATTTACCCAAACCATCTATCCAGACTGTAGACATAGAATCACCAGATGGCTAGGATCCTGGTGCAGCTGGTTCCCCTTTTTCCTTACCCTGAATGTCATTAAGGATGCATTGCCAAATGCTGCCCCTCTGGCCTGATGACTACACTCCATATTGGTCACCTGCCTTCTTTTTCCTACAGTCTTCCTCCAGACAGGCACGCCATACAACCGACTACACTTGGGCTCACTGAATGAATCACATTCTTCTGCTGTGCCTCCCAGAGATTTCATCAAAGCACCCGCAGTGGCCTTCTGGAGGCTCCTCAAACTCTCCACTCAATGTTTCCTGAAAGTGTCGTGTTTCTCACCTCTAGATTGTTATTCTCATCAGTTACATGTGGGTTTCACAAATTTATTTCTCAGAATGCAAGTCTGTCTCTTATATCCTCGGGAAACACACCTTTATATCCCAGTTAGTACTGACAAAAATTAAACTAGGGACTGGCCAAAAACAGTGCCTTTCCTCACTTTAATCTCACTAAAGTAGATAAGACTCAAGTTATTTTGTTCTTGCAATGGCATTGACAAATGTTTGCACCAAAAACCATGTTGAAGTTCATTAAGGAAACTGTGATCCAAGATCCAAGGTCAAAAAAACAAATTCATCAATTCAGCACACCACCAACTCACAGGCTAAGCATCTTACTGCTAATTCATTGATGCTGCCATTTGTCAAGTGCCAAATTGAATTATTGATTTGTCAATAATTTCCTTCCGTTGGTTACTTATATAGTATATTGCAATTCTTGTTGCTGAAGTCAGCTACACTTTTTCTATTTGAAAAACAATTTCTTGCATTTGGGATTTCAGGTATAGTGATTGTTACAAATATGAAGGACTTGAATTAACAGCAAGTTTTCAAGTAAAACTTTACTTATGTATAACTGAATGAGTTCTTAAAGACATTTACTAACAATTTTCCACAAACTAAAAATTTATAAAACAATAAATAAAATAGACTTTAAAAAAAAGCGTGTCACACAGCTGCTTGTTTTTTGTTTGTTTCTTTGTTTGTTTTTTAGTAGTGAAATGGTGAAAAATCAGACAATGGTCACAGAGTTCCTCCTACTGGGATTTCTCCTGGGCCCAAGGATTCAGATGCTCCTCTTTGGGCTCTTCTCCCTGTTCTATGTCTTCACCCTGCTGGGGAATGGGACCATCCTGGGGCTCATCTCACTGGACTCCAGACTCCACACCCCCATGTACTTCTTCCTCTCACACCTGGCCGTCGTCAACATCGCCTATGCCTGCAACACAGTGCCCCAGATGCTGGTGAACCTCCTGCATCCAGCCAAGCCCATCTCCTTTGCTGGCTGCATGACATAGACCTTTCTCTTTTTGAGTTTTGCACATACTGAATGCCTCCTGTTGGTGCTGATGTCCTACGATCGGTACGTGGCCATCTGCCACCCTCTCCGATATTTCATCATCATGACCTGGAAAGTCTGCATCACTCTGGCCATCACTTCCTGGACATGTGGCTCCCTCCTGGCTATGGTCCATGTGAGCCTCATCCTAAGACTGCCCTTTTGTGGGCCTCGTGAAATCAACCACTTCTTCTGTGAAATCCTGTCTGTCCTCAGGCTGGCCTGTGCTGATACCTGGCTCAACCAGGTGGTCATCTTTGCAGCCTGCATGTTCATCCTGGTGGGACCACTCTGCCTGGTGCTGGTCTCCTACTCACACATCCTGGCGGCCATCCTGAGGATCCAGTCTGGGGAGGGCCGCAGAAAGGCCTTCTCCACCTGCTCCTCCCACCTCTGCGTAGTGGGACTCTTCTTTGGCAGCGCCATCGTCATGTACATGGCCCCTAAGTCCCGCCATCCTGAGGAGCAGCAGAAGGTCCTTTTTCTATTTTACAGTTCTTTCAACCCGATGCTAAACCCCCTGATTTACAACCTGAGGAATGTAGAGGTCAAGGGTGCCCTGAGGAGAGCACTGTGCAAGGAAAGTCATTCCTAAGAGGTGTGACATTTGAACTGCCAGCCTCAGTTGTCACGTGGACTCTTGATGCCCAATTATTGCCTCAATCCAGAAAAGTTTACTTCTCTTTATCTGTGCTTTACTGACAGAAGGGCAAGTCTTCTCTCGTTTTTTGCAGATAAAATTTTAGATGTGTTGCATTCATTGGGTTTCTATGAGATGTGGTTTTATCAGACAATTTTTTCTTTTATTTCACAATTACTTTAATATCTGTAAAATAAAGAATTATTTTAATTCATTTTCCCAGTCCCAAAAGTTAAATACAGGCCACTTACTTCTTTAACCAAATGATATAGTTTGGCTCTGTGTCCCCACCCAAATCTCATGTCAAATTGTAATCCCCGCATGTCAGGGGAGGGACCTGGTGGGAGGTGATTGGATCATGGGGAGGGATTTCCCCCTTGCTGTTCTGTTGATAGTGAACGAGTTCTCACGAAATCTGATGGTTTAAAAGTGCAGCACTTCTCCCTTTGCTCTCTCTCTCCTGCTGTGCCATGGTAAGACGTGCCTTGCTTCCCCTGTGGCTTCCGCCATGATTGTACCTTTCCTGAGGCCTCTCCAGCCATGTGGAACTGTGAGCCAATTAAACTTCTTTTCTTTAGAAATTATCCAGTCCCGGGTAGTTCTTTATGGCAGTGTGAAAGCAGACTAATACACCGAACTATATAAACTCACTAACGGCATATGTCATAAGATTTAAAAGAAAATAAAAAGGTTCAGCCAAAGAAGTGATTCCCAAAACCCAGCAGCACACTTGTCCATTCTCACACAATTGCACTTTCCCTGTTAAATAGAGGGATTTAGTTAGTTGTGTTGCATGCGCTGAGAAATTTTGTGTAAAACTTATTAACTCATGTACAGGAGTTAACTAGTAGGCTGAGTGAAGGAACAAACTTAAAAGAAGAGATAAGTCAGGCACAGTGGCTCATGTCCGTAACCCCAGCACTTTGGGAGGCTGAGGTGGGTGGATCACTTGAGGCCAGGAGTTTGAGACCAGCCTGGACAATGTGGCAAAACTGCATCTCTACTAAAAATACAAAAATTAGCTGGGCGTGGTGGTGCATGCCTGTGATCCCAGCTATTCTGGTGACTGAGGAATGAGAATTGCTTGAACCTGGGAGGCAGAGGTTGCAGTGAGCCAAGATTGCGCCACTGCACTCCAGCCTGGGAGACGGGGAGACACTGTCTCAAAAAAGAAAACAAAAAAGGAAAACAAAAAGAACATATATAAGGGAAAAGAGAGAAGAGAAGCAAAAGAACACTACAGACCGTGTGGGAACAGTGAACAGTGTTTACAAAGTTCAGGGTAAACTCAGTAGCTAGTAGCTGGCAAAGAGGCAAAACTGGGCATTCCCTGTTGAAAAGGCTGAAAATGAGTATCCAAGAAAACTATTTGGGTTGTTTATGGTTTCTTCAGAAAACATTGAGTGTTGAGCTGTGTATTGTACATATGCACATCTGTCTCTAAGCGTGATTCTCCAGTGTCTTTTCATCAGCTCTTCCACCTTGGTTAGTCCAGTTGTGGATCATTTCCCTCATTAGAATGTCTTACCCCTGAAAAAGGAAATTTCACCAGACAGTGTAGGTATGTAGCTAGCTCTTCAACCATGGTGGTGAAGAAATTTTTGCTGAGCCAATCTATTTTCCTGTTAAAAGGTAAACTGAGGCACAATAAAATTTTAAAGAGTTTACTTGAGCAAATAGCAATTCATGAATCAGACAGCTCCAAACTATAAGTGGTTCATGGGCTCCACTAAAGGAATGCAAGGGGAGGGCTTTTACAGGACAACCACGGAACTAAAGCAAAGAAAATATTTGATTGGTTACCTTTATACAATTGCCTTAGTTGGCCTATACTGCTGGAAAGTCTTTAGTTATATAACTTAGTTGGCAGCTTCTGAGTGGTTAATCTTAAATTTCATTTTGCTTTAATACAAGTATTTATAAGAAATAGTTCAAGTTAATTTTCACTTGTGTTTGCAAATCAGTCTGGGTTAGGTCACTTATGAGGCCTAACTGGCTTTCCCTGCTCCAGGAAAAGTGATTCCATAAGTGACCTAACCCAGCCTGAATCATCTAAGTGATTCTCCATGTCTGGTTTCCATTTTAATTTTCTTTAACAAATCTTCACTACAAATCTAATGGTTAGAGATGAGTCCCCATGCATTTTAGGTGGCTTCCCAGAGTGTTACCTATAAATTCTACTTTCTAACCTTCCCTAAGATTAGGATGCCACTTGCTTCCAGAGTCTTTCTCAATTTTACAAGAGAGCATGTTAATACTTTTTCAGCAAAATAAGTGTATGCCTTTCACTTAGGGGTTAACAAGTACTCCACCCAACTCATTATTATTCCCTGTGGGTGAAGATACCCAGGCAGAACTTATTAAATGTAAAAACAAATGAGTTTTTGTAATAATAGCTAACATTTTGACTCACCACTCAATGGCATATGCTACATATTAATAGCACTTTACATGGGCCATTTCATTTAGTCATAACAAATCCAGGAAGAAGGTCCTATTGTCACTATTTTACGTATGCACAAACCAGAAAGCAGCAAGTGTCAGACTTATCCCTAGACAGTCTGGCTCCCAGCCTCTGTACATAGCACATCAATGTAGAATTTTAATATCTATGTTATCAAATAAAGGATAAGGTAAATGTATCCCAAGGCAGAACTATTAAAAGAAGGAAGCTTTCTTTATAGTCTGATGTATGCCACAGGGAGCTGATCTGTTCTCTCTAAGGCGTGGAGGACCAGAGATCATGTATGAGAGGCTGGTTGTCCTGGATGGTGACTCTTATGTGCTGAGTCACATGAAAGCACTGGACTTCTAGACAAATGCAGAACATGAAGAAGATGAGAATAAAGGTAGTTCTCACTGAGACTGGCTATTTAGTTCAGCTAAGACCCAGAACCAACACACCCATAGTCAGTCTCTCTCTCTCTCTTTCTTTCTTTCTCTCTGTCTCTCTCTCTCTCACACACACACACACACACACACAAACACACAGAGCTTATTTACTTTGTGCCAGTCACTGCTCTAAGAATTTTACATGTATTACCTCAATTAATCCTCAAAATAACACTTTGAGTCAGAAGATAATCAATATCCTACCTTACATATAAAGAAACTGAGGCACGGAGAGATTAAGCAACTTGCCCGGTACCTCACAGCTAACAATTACCCAGTCCAGGATTGAACTAAGACAATCTGATCCCTGACCCTATAGCCATAACCACTACACAGCACGGCCTCTATAGAGCATATCTGTGAATAAAGATCAAAGAACTCGTGACAGTGAAAGAAAACACATAATTAAGACCAAACTATGGATATTCAGCTTTAGATAGAAAGGGGTATACATCTTCTAAAGGAAGCAGCTTGACTCTAAACAGAGATGTGAAAAAAGTGGGGGAGTGGTCGCAAGAAAGAACTGTGACTCCAAGGGTCAGGGATGCATGGCCGTGAGGACTCTGGGGTTGAGCTGGAGAGTGAAACAGACAACACTGAACGAGAAGACCGACAATGCAGTGTTACAGCAGTGCCTTACCAATTGATGAGAACTAAAATGGATGTTTTATAGCATTTTATCTAAAAACAGCCCCAAGAAAAAGGAATTCAGTTTCATTATTGATATTTAAAATGGTTATAATCTTTCAGGTGGTATTTACCTGAAAGTTTACCTGAGAACATTGCTCAGGTAGGTATCAAATTTCACATCTAAGATGGGGAGCTCCGCAACAGCAGGAATTGGAATCCATTCATTCATTTATCAGTAACATGAGCACATTGCCTAGCACCTAGTAGGCACTCACTAAGCACTGGCTGCACCAATTCATGCACCTTTAACTATCTGCTGAGTACTTAGACACAATTGTCAGTGTTAAACTATATTCTGATTTCTGTATTTTAAAAATCCTTGGGCTTGGCGTGGTGTCTCATGCCTGTAATCCCAGCACTTTGGGAGGCCAAGGCGGGCGGATCACGAGGTCAAGAGTTCAAGACCAGCCTGACCAACATGGAGAAACCCCGTCTCTACTAAGAATACAAAAAAATTAGCCGGGCATGGTGGCATGTACCTGTAATTCCAGCTACTTGGGAGGCTGAGGCAGAAGAATTGCTTGAACCTGGAAAGCGGGGTTTGCAGTGAGCCAAGATCACGCCACTGCACTCCAGCCTGGGCAACAGAGCAAGATTCCATCTCAGAAAAAAATAAAATAAAATAAAATAAAATAAAAATAAAAATAAAAATCATTTTATCTGAATAACACAGAATAGTAGAAAGTAATTGTAGCTTAAAAATTATTTAGCACTTGTGTACGAGACAATATGTTAAATGTTTTTGATATAATCCTCACATCAACACTGTGAATTAAGTACTAATAATATCCTCATTTATAGAGGGGAAATTGAGGTTTAGAGAATTAATTAATTTACTCGATGTCAACGAAATATCAAGTGGTAGAAATAAAACTGTAGTCCAGTCAATCTACTCTACATTAACTGAGAACCATTCTTTTGGAAAGGGCCTATTGATATTTGTATCTTCAGTGGCTAGACCAGGCCAGTTTCATAGTAGTTACTCAATAAATGTTGACTAAATAAATAAATGAGTAATCATGTAGTCCACACTTCTATATTTTTAAAAAAGGATCTCCATAAAATATGTAATTAAATACAGTGTCAGTCAATTTAATCATGTTTAGCTCCAGATACATTCCGTTTTTGCAAAAGTTTCTTCTGAGATGAATATTAATAAACTACATCTCATCTGTCAGTGGCCACAGAGAAATTGTAAACACATTCAGAGAGGATATTTCGAGACTAATATAAAAGAAAACTAGGATGATATATATTTGTTCCTATCATATAGAACAAAGGTTATAGGTCTTTCAAAAAGACTGTCCCAAATTGCCAAACCCTATGGTTATAGTATGACACAACGTGATTGTGCTGGCACAGTAGCCATGGAGAGAGTGTTCCCCTCCTCTGTCTTGCCAAAGAGTAGAGCATAAGGCACTGTAATTACTGAAAATGACACGGATGACACCCTGGGAGTGGAAGTCAGTGCATGCACTACCTTAAATTGGCCCCCATGGTGTCCTTGGTATGTAGAGTGAGCACTGCCATCACTGACCTGTAGGACCATTCTTTACTCTTTGCTAGGTAATGTAGACCAGTGCTTCTCACATGTCAATGTGTATATTAATCATTCAGGGATCTTGCAAAAATACAGGTTCTGATTCAACAGGTCTAAATGAAATAGGCAGAGATTTGCATTTCTTATCATCTCTCATACCTTGCTGATGCTGCGGATCCATAGACCACACTTTGAATATTAATCATATAGAGATTCATTGTTAAATCTATGGTTCCTAAGAAAAAGTGAAGGCCAGGCACAATGGCTTACATCTGTAGTTCAGCACTTTGGGAGGCTGAGGCAGGAGGACTGCTTGAGCCCAGGAGTTTGAGACCAGCCTGGGCAACATAGTGAAACTCTGTCTCTTCAAAAAACTTCAAACATAAAAAAATTAGCCAGGTGAGGTGGCACACGCCTATGGTTCCAGCTGCTTGAAAAGCTGAGATGGGAAACTTGCTTGAGCCTAGGAGGTTGAGTTCGCAGTGAGCCATGGTTGCACCACTGTATTCCACCCTAGGTGACAGAGAAAGACCCTGTCTCAATGGGGGGGGTGGGGGGGGGGAAGAAAAGAAAAGAAAAAAGAAAAAGTGGGAGAAAAACAAGAGTTGGAATGCTGTCTCACAGCTCTGATGTTTTCCCAGACCATATCAATTTTTCTTACCTTCTTGATGAACTTTGATTAAGAGCCCTGCTTTCATTTGACTTGCTGTTTTGGTTTTTGTTTACTTTTTTTGACCTGTCTCTGTTTATTCGTTTGTTTTTAATTTTTGTAATCTTGTTGGGTCAAGAGAAGAGGTTCACTACTAGGCACGGCCTGGTTTGGTCCTCAGATGACTGGCTCAGAGCCAAGACATCTGGATTCTCTAAAATATTGAAAAAACCAAAGGTGCTTTTCCTACTCCTTTGCTTATACTCACACAGTCACTCAACAATTTACTTCTAACAACAGATACGTTGAGGTTTTTCCCCACACACCTAGCAATCTGCAATGGACACCGACTGCATGCCCTAAAAATCAATTCAATTCTGACACTATCTACTGGGAGACAGTGTCAGATCCCACAAGCCTGTTCCCCCCACCCAACACTACAGATGGTAATTGCAAGCCTCAGGTTGCGACCTGTGCTTCTGTTCAACTGGCTATACATTGGGACTCTCATGACCCCCCTCCTTAGGCTCAATTAATTTGCTAAAGTGGCTCACAGAACTCAGGGAAACACTTTACTTAAGTTTGACCATTTACTACGAAGGATATTACAAAGGATAGAGATGAACATCCAGATGAGAGAGATGCATCTGGTGAGGTATTGGAGAAGGGGCATGGAGCTTCCATGACCTCTCTGGGCACACCACCCTCCAGGAACCTCCATGTGTTCAGCAATCAAGAAAGTCTGCAAACCCTCTTTGGTTTTCTGTAAAGCCTTCATTACACAGGCATGATTGATTACATCATTGGCCATTAGTGATCAACTCAAACTTCAGGCCCTCTCCCCTCCCCAGAGGTTGAGGTATAGGCTGAAAGTCCCAACCCACTAAACATGCCTTTGTTTTTGTAGTAACCAGCCCCTATCCTAAAGTTATTTCAGAGCTCCCTGCCAGCAGTCATCTCATTAGCATACCGTCTAAGTCCATTTTGTGTTGCTATAACAGAATATCACAGACTGGGTAATTTATTTAAAATAGAAATTTATTTCTCAGAGTTCTGGAATCTGGGAAGTCCAATATCAAGGTGTCAGCATCTGCAGAGGGCCTTCTTGCTGCATGGTGAAAGGTGAGAGGATGAGAGAGGGACAAACTTGCTTTTGTAACTAACCCAATCTCCACATAACAAGTCCACTCCTGAGACAACACCATTAATCCATGCATTAAGTCAGAGTTTTCATGACCTAATCACCTCTTAGAGGTCCCACCTTTCAACACTGTTACATTGGAGATTAAGTTTCCAACTCATGAACTTTGGGGGACACATTCAAACCACAGAACATACAAAAGATACTCTTATCACTCTGGGGATTCCTAGAGTTTTAGAAACTGTACGCCAAGAAATGGGGACAAAGACCAAATATATATTTCACAAAATTATGGGTTCCTCTCCCAATTTACCACCTACTCACTGCATGACCTTAGAGAAGTCACTTAATTCCTCTGCACATTGGTTTCCCCACATATAAAATGAAATGTCGGACTAGATGATTGTTAAGTTCCTTTTAGTTCTCAAATTCTATGCCTTTTTATTAACTTCCTAGAATGTATGTTGTTTTTCTTTTACATAGGAGACAAAATTAAATGGAATTTTTGAGAATAATTTTTGAGAATTATTCTCGAACTCCTGAGCCTCACAAATAGTAGGAATTCAAGAGTAACCACAAAATTAATTATTGATTTCAATATATTTATGCTGTATGAACTATGAATGGCATAAGACTTGCAGAATAAGGCAAAAGAAGTTTCACATTAACTGTCCTCTCTAAGGAAGTAAAAACAGTTTCATTACCCTATTTGAAAAAGATTAAGAATAACTTTTATTCACAGAGTTTCCCAGATCTGTACATTTGTGCTGGCATTGCACAAGTGACATAATAATATTAATTCCTGGCATTTATTGAGTACTTGTTTCATATCAAACAATGTTTTACACATATGCATTTATGTCTAATCTAATCTTCATAACAATTGCCAGAGGGAAGTATTACTATTATATACAATTTATACATGAAAAAAATCAAGGCACAGAGATGTTAAGTACACCTCAGACAGCTAGTAGGTGGCACAGGAGGACTTTTCTTTAGGTGTTCCAAAGGCCAGAGACTATGTCTGTAACTATTATACTAAGTTATACCAATCTCCTCCAGCCTGGACATATGGAGTCTTTTCTACCCATGATTAAAAGCTTGAGAAAAATGAGCCTGAATTTTTGACTGGCCTGAAATTTCATCCTAAGAAAGAGGATAGTAATGCAGCTAATATATTTTAACATAGGTGAAAAAACCAAAAGGGTAATACACAAATCCATGAGAAAAATGGACAAAAATATGTAGATACAGACAACAGAATAAACACAACATACCAATAAATATGACAATGTCATCTATCTCAATCAGGAAATCTACTATAAAATGAGATTTTTTTACTCAATAGATTGTGAGGGGAAAATGGTGTTACATGTGATGTTGATGACACTCACACATTGTTGGTGGAGGTATAAATTGGCACACATTTTGGATTTAAAAAACTGAAATTATTTACCCAACATTTAAAACACGCATACTAATTCTAAGAATCCATTCTACAGAAATACTTACATATGTAACTGCACAAAGAAATGTGTACATGGATTTGGTATTAAATTGATTTCAAAAATTCAAAAGATCAAGTGTTAATTTTGAAATTACTAAATTATGAAAAATGTTACACAGCTATTAAATAGAACAAGTATTATCTAAAATGAGCTGCAATGAAAATAGCTCATCAAATATAGCTAAATGAAAAAAGCAAGTAACATTTTTATAAGACTTTGTCATTTGTGCAGGGAAATCTCCTAGCTATACATAAATTCGTACACCTGTATATGTGTATGTGAGTACACATGTATGCACATGTGTGTTTACATACATCTGTATTTAATTTCGTGATCTGGAATGATGTACATTAAGTAGTCAACAGAAGTTGCTTTAGGCAGAGGAATGAACTAGGAGAAATAAACCCTTCTATGTTTTTCAATAATATTACAGGAAACACGTATTAATGTTAGAATTTCTAAAAAGCCTTTTCTCAAAAAACGTCTGGCCCCTTAAGTTCTCAAAACAGTACACATTTCTCATATATTTTAGTAAAAGCCAAAATTAAGCAATTATTAAAAGCAGTTTAGAATCTTGTTGGATTGTGCTAAATTGTATCAAAGTGTTTCCTCAAAAATATCATTTTGTATCACTTACATTATTATTCAATATTGGGCTATGTTTAAGTAAGTTAACCTATATTATTAATTAAAATAGTTTGCATGAGAAACCAAATAGCACACAAAATAAACCATGACTCCTCAGACTCTAAGATAACTGCATGACATAAGCAAAAAGTCAGTATTTCATGCCATATGTTGATGCTTTTTAGAATATGAATTGATCTCGAGAGCTCCTAATACCTTAGCTTTAGAGTTACTAGCCCTTCCTCATTCCTCTCATCGCCATAGTAATGTTAAATAATGTATTAGGTAGGATAAACAGCAACAGGTAAACTCCCAAATCACAGTGATTTAACAAAATAAAACTTTACATCTTGCTCATGTAAAGTCCTAGGCAGGGATGACAGACAGCCTTCCACTGGTGATGCAGGGACCCAGGCACCTTCCATCGCATGGTCCCGCCATCCTAGAGCCCTGTAGGCCTTCACTTCCAGCCAGTGATGGGAAGGCCAAACATGGAGGAGGCATGCCCTCCTCCTCCATGCATGCCCTCCTTCCACTGCAGCCCTGGAAGCTGCACAAGTCTCTTCTGCTTGTATACCTTTTGTAAGAACATGACCCCACCTAAATATAAGAGGGCTGGGAAATGCAATCCCACACTGGCAGTTAAGTCCAGAGACAATTGTGCAAGGGAAGAAGACCCCACATCTTTTAAGGAATTTGTCTTAGTTAAGGTAACACTAGCAGCTGAAACAAACCCTAAAAGTAAGTCCTTACAATTATTTCTCTTTTGTTCTCTGTTTCAAAGGATTTCAGATGAACTTCTGCCCTTTTAACTCATAATTATTCATGAAATATAATTGAGAACATTAGCATTTTCACTCTCTTCTCATTCCACTTCTGTCATGCCATCCTGAAGATATATTTACCTATGTCTTGGCTGTTTCTCCGAACATTATTAGCTGCTCTTTTATAAAACATCTCTTAGGATAATTTACTCTGTAAGGTGGCTAAACCCACCCATCTTATGTTAGCTTTTGTCTGTATTACTCTCAAATGAACTCTGTGGTCAAATTCTAAAAGTACTTTAAGCATAGAAGTTATAAATGTTTCAATGAAATCAAATGCCCAATGCTGGAAGATCATGTAAATATTTCTCATTTCAATTAATATTGGCTGTGTCGTTTATGTGCTGAGTTCTTTCATATACTTTTGTGTCATTTTTACTGTCTTCAACAGAAGTTATTTCAATTTAATTTTAACAGAATATTGACAATTTTGAGTTATAGCTATTGATATTCATGTTCCTAAAGGGTTTTTGCTAAGTTTTTGTTTGTGTGACATTCCCAAATGTTATACTTACTTACTAATTATTTTCTATCTTTTTAATTTTTATACCCTCAAATGTGTGTTTATAACCAATGTTCCTAAGGTGTTGGTTATATAGAAATGAATTCTCTAAAGCCATTATTCACAGAACTTTCAGCTGACTACTTGCTCCCAAAAGGCAGTTTCCTGATTTCTGCATACTGGCGTATCATGCAAACATCTGTAAGCATATCCATTTCTACTAAGATCGGACTGTTCTGTCTGTGTTATTTTCCTTCGTATACTTTTACGTTTTGTATGTGTTTACTCTGACCATTTTTAGAAGCTTAAGCTTCTTCAACTTGATATGTGATAAATCATGTAATTTGAGGCGATGCATTTCCTAAATTAGTTTGTTTGGCATCATAAAAACCTTATATTTAACTTGTTTTAGCTCACATTTTCTGTTTTCTACCTTAAAATGACTTTTTCTAACTGATGTTCATATGATGAGGAATATGGAAAAAAGTTCTAAAATTGTTGTTTTCACAGGCTTGTCATTTATATCTGTTGCACTTCACCGGGGTGTGGAAAGAAAAATAAAGAAAAGATTCTAATGTTTATGGATGGCCTACTAGGCACTAGACTTTTCATATGATCAGGAGCATTTTTGTGTGTCCCCAAAGCAATTCACTGTGGACATATACAGCTGGAACACAGGTGAGCGTGTTCTCACACCCTGATTACCTGGGCAAGATTTTCCTTGGGTTTATACCATAACCCCAGCAGGTCAAAGACCACATTGTAATAAACTCATTAGTTTGTAAATTGCATAATTGCTTAATATAAAATTCATAATCCTCCTATGTCCAGTAGAAGAAAGAAGTAGAAATAAACATGAAAATACCTTTGACCAGCAAATATCTCCACCCTCCAGGGAGAGGTAGTAGCTTCTAGGGAAACCATCTTGGAGAGGGTCCTGTCTTCCCCTGAGGTGGGCTCTGAATCCAGCACTCTTCCCCTTTCAGAATAAAGATTAGAGAATAATTCTAATACACGATCTACAGTGGTGGTTTGTGTCTTAGGAGACCCTCCCTTCAGGCAGGTTCTAATAAGCCCCACCGGGACACCTTGGCCCCTCCGTTGACTCCCCAGTCTGCTCTGTGCCTCCCTCACCAGCTCCCCAAAGCATCTCCATACCTTGGAGGGTCACTTGGAACCAGCTAACTTTTCAGGGTCCTTTCTTCCCAGTTCTGCTGCAACACAAGTAACCCAGATTACATCAGGGAGAGGCTGAGCTACAGAGGTTCCTGCCAGGAGCTTATTCATTGTCACACTGGTTCTGCTTCCTGACAGGTTCACTTGAACCATCTGAAGCTTGGGGAACAAGGGCAGTGCTGGGATTCATGAAATCCAAGCATTCCGGGACTATAATGAAAGATGTTGTCTCAGAGGTGTGCTCTGTGGCTGTCGGTGTTTGTTAATTGTGCATCCTGCTGGGGTTAAGAACAGAAATAGAAAAAACCAATTGTCTTGTCTCTCCTTCCCCAAGGAGATGAGCATGCAGGAGGTTTCATGGCCCAGCTCCTCCAGTGATCCCTCAGCTGTCAACCAGGCTGAGCACATCAGAGAATAACACCTCCTTTTCTGAGGATTCTGATACATTTTCAATCAGAAACAGAAGCAAAGATTCTGCAGCTCCCACAGAAACTCCCAGAAACCTTCAGGTGCTTCACTCTTCTGAGATCCTTGAGTCCAAATGTGGGAGCTAACCAGGTTGCCTCTTTTTACTTTACCATGAATTCCTCCTAGACATGTTGTAGCTCCTGGTCTTGGTTAACTTTCACATCCACTACAAACATTGGTAAGGAAATTCACTCCTCTCTAATTATGTGCTGATTATCTTTCTGCAATGGGGATAGTTTGAGGGAAAGTTCATGCTAACTTCTTTGAACATATTATCACAAATAATGTATGTATGTAGAGAATTAAGCTAATTTTTTATATGATGGAGAAGTAACTGCATGAAAGCAACAAAACTATAAACATCAATGCCAGATTTAAATAAATAAAGAATACATCATCCATAAAATTAACATGTTGACTTCCACTGCCATAATCAAGACTACAAAATCAGCTTTAGAGGATCATGGTTTTAAGGGACTATTGTGAACCTTGAAGAGGCAATGCTTGTCAGGTTCATACAATCTTCAGGCTACTCAAGAAATTGTTAAAGACTGATAATAATTGATCTCAGCCATTAAGTGTTCACTGCATACCAGAAATGTGTTCAATGTATAACACAGATCATCTCAATTAATCTTCACAACCACCTCATAAAATAGGTACTATCACTTTTCTCCTTTTTAAAAAAGAGGAAACGAGTTTGGAGAGGCTAAGATATGTGCTCAAGGTCATATAACTAATAAATGTGCATCTGACCACTAAGCCCATGGCTCTTTAATTGCTACTTTTTTTGTTTCTTTCAGTGTTTACTCTGCCTGAGAACCTGATTCACAGAAGAATGTGGAGAGTTCATTAATGTTTTGCTTTCTCATATTTAATCAAATTGATATCTAGTTAGTCAATAAATAATTATTGAACACCTACCATATTCCAGGCACAATATATAGTCAAATGTATTTCACCTTTTTAGTCACTTACTAGATCAATAAATCAAATGAATGAATGAATGCCTAAATATCATTTTTTGGTTTTTTTTGTTGTTGTTTGTTTGTTTGTTTTTTTACCATCTTTGGACTGAATCTGGAATTTCTGGCTTGCTTAAATCTTGCCTACTATAATCGGTATACTTGAAAGACACTACTATTTCTCCACCCACCCCCACCCCATAGTTTCTTTCATTCTATGTGATACAAAGAAAATCTCATTTAAATGCAAATGGATTAAATTCATCAAAGGATTGGAAAAAGTGAAAGAAGATACTAAAAATAAAATTAAATATAACCCAGTTGCAAACATAACGTTCAGGCATTGTGTATGTTTTAAATGATATATATGTACAAGTTAGCCATTTAAAAATTTGGCAAATTATTTTATGACTAATAAATTATCCAACATCTCCATGATTTCTAAGTAAATATGTAAGACTGAAATCATTTCTTTGCAGATGACCAAACCTGTCTATTTCAAAAAGTAAAACTTAAGATCTGATGAGCCAACAAACTCCTAATGAGTCACATCATATTCTTTAAATAAAAGCTATTTTTAAATCCTCAGGTCAAATAAAGTATTAGATGCTTTACTCCCGAGTAATAAGAATATTTGAGGCCAGGTGCAGTGGCTCATGTCTGTATTCTCAGCACTTTGGGAGGCTGAGGCAGAAGGACTGCTTGAGGCCAGTAGTTTGAGACCAGCCTGGACAACACAGTGAGACCCTATCTCTAAAAAAAAGTTTTTAAAAAAAGGTAGCCAGACATGGTAGAGCACACGTGTAATCCCAGCTACTGGGGAGGCTAGGTGGGAGGATCACCTGAGCCTAGGGAGGTTGAGGTTGCAACGAACTATGATTGCGCCACTGCACTCCAGCCTAAGTGACAGAACGAGATCCTGCCTCAAAAAGAGAAAGAAAAAAAAAAAAGACAAAGGAGTGTTATGAGTGTATTAGTTTTAACAAATATTCTTTTTTTCCTTTTCTTTTTGTTGAGACAGGGTCTCACTCTATTGCCCAGGCTGAAGTGCAATGGTTCTATCATAGCTCACCACAACCTCAAACTGCTGGGCTCAAGCAACCCTCCTGCCTCAGCCTCCCAAGCGGGTAGAACTACAGGCATGTGCCACCACGCCCAGCTACTGTTTTTGTTTCTGTTTTACTTGTTTTTTTGAGACAGGGTTTCACTATGTTGCCCAGGCTGGTATTAAACTACTGGTGTCAAGCAATCCTCCTGCCTCAGCCTCCCAAAGTGCTGGGATTACAGGCATGAGCCACCGCATCCAGCCTCAAATATTTCTGATTCTTGGAAATAAATCATCTAATACTTTACTTGACCTGAGGATTTAAAAATAGCTTTCATTTTAAGAATGTTGTGTGACTCATTAGAAAGGAGTTTGTCAGCTCATCAGATCTTAAGTTTTACCTTTTGAAGTAGACAGGTTTCGTCATGTGTAAAGAAATGATTTCAGTCTTACATATTTACTTAGAAGCCATGGAAACGTTGGTTAATTTATTAGTCATCAAATAATTTGCCAAATTTTTAAATGGCTAACTTGTACATATATATCACTTAAAGCAAGCTTGTCCAAATTGCAGGTGGCCCAGGACAGCTTTGAATGTGGCCCAACACAAATTTGTAAATTTTCTTAAAATATTATGTGATTTTTTTTTAAGTTCGTTAGCCATCGTTAGTGTTAGTGGATTTTATGTGTGGCTCAAGACAATTCTTCTTCTTTCAACATGGTCCAGGGAAGCCAAAAGATTGGACACCCCTGAAAGTATACACAATGCCTGAATGTTACATTTGCAACTGGGTTATATTTAATTTTTTTTTTTAGTCTCTCCTTTCACTTTTGCCAACCCTTTGGTAAATTTAATCCATTGAGTTAAGTAAGATGTTCTTTGTATCATGTAGAATGAAAGAAACTATGGGGGAGAAAAAGAAAACAAAAGTGTCTTTCAAGTATTCAGATTATAGTAGACATTCCAGATTCAGTCAAAGGATGGTTAAAAAAACTATGCATTCATTCATTTATTCATTTGTATTTATTGATTAATTTGTCCACACAGTAAGTATTTACTGTCAGGATTACAAAAGTGAGAGCACCTTTTCCTTGTTCACAAGGAGTGTGTTAACAACCCAGTCCTGTAAAAGAATTCAGGGTTTCAACCCATGTGGCAATTGTCCTTAAAGAATCTGAGTGTCTTCACCAAGCTCTCCTTTCTTCTTGACTCTCCATCTAGCTTTCAAAGAAATTCATACTTGTGCATAGTGGATTTTTTTTCTTTGTATAATCATTTGGGGAGTTACAAAAGGAAATAATGAAGGACTAAATAAAGAAATTAAGTTTTTTATAAGATGTAGACTGGGTACACGGTTCATGCCTACAATCCCAGCACTTTGGGAGGCTGAGGTGGGAGGAGCACTTGAACCCAAAAGTTTGAAACCAGCCTGGGTGACATAATAATACATTGTCTGTACAAAAAATATTTATTTAAAAAAATTAGCTAGGTATGGTGGCATGCACCTGTAATCCCAGCTACTTGGGAGGCTGAGGGGGAGGATCACTTGAATCTGATATGTCAAAACTACAGTGAGCCGTAATCACACCACCGCATTCCAGGGCAGGTTTCACAGGGAAACCGTCTCAAAAAAATAAATAAATAAATAAAGATGTTTATAAGGTGTAAATTCAAATGCATTTCACAACCAAATATTTCATATGCTTTGCGTGTTTTCCAATTAAATGTAGAAGGTTGGCCTAGGAGAGTATTTTTTAAATAGAATCCTGAAAAAAAAATATAACCCTTGGCCATGTGTTATGAAGTTACAATATTCACTAGAATTTATTTGTGTCTTGCTGATAATAATCAACAATTTATTGATAATGCTTATAAGTATACAATCATTTGTTACCACTGGAAAAGGATCCAGTGGGAACGTTCTTTAGGGCTCCAATTAGATTAGTTTTTTAACTTTTTCTTTTCTAACTTTTAAGTTCAGGGGTACAAATGCAGGTTTGTTACATAGGTAAACAAACTTGTGTCTTGAGGGTTTTTTGTACAAATTATCTCATCACCCAGATATTAAGCCTAGTACCCATTAGTTATTTTTTGTGATCCTCTTCCTCCTCCCACCCTTTACCCTGTGATAGGCCCCAGTACTGTGTTGTTCCCCTCTATGTGTCCATGTGTTCTCATCATTTAGCTCCTGCTTATATGTGAGAACATTCGGTATTTGGTTTTCTGTTCCTGCATTAGTTTGCTAAGGATAATGGTCTCCAGCTCCATCCATGTCCATCAAAGGACAAGATCTCATTCTTTTTTTATGGCTGCATAGTATTCCATGGTGTATATGTACCACATTTTCTTTATCCAGTCTATCGTTGGTGGACATTTAGGGTGATTCCATGTCTTTGCTCCAATGACAGCTGGACCAGGGTCTTATCAAAAGCAGCATATTTCCTTAATCTGGAGAAGTTCTCCTTAATCCAGAGAAGATTTTTTTTTCAGAGATAAGCAGGTTCAACGGCTCAGCCGCAGGTTATTTTTGCCTAGCAAAGGCACTAACAAAAACATGTGCACTGGCAAAATACTGGATTTCTACATGGTATATTGAGGAAAATGTTATCTAGGACTTAAGGACAAAAACCCAAATATTATTTGGCACATCACCAATTCACAAATACCAATTACCTGACAATTTATTGCTATAATAATCTGCAAAATAATGAAGTCACTAAATTAGCTCTTTGCAAAAAAAGTTTTAATTAGCCACCTGTAAAGTGTTTAGCAATTCTTATGTTGCTGAAGCACAATTAATTTTTTATGAATGGTCATTTCTGGTGTTTTTGAAAGATACTTCATTTAAATTTTTTCTCCATAGTTTCTTTCATTCTACATGTAAAAAGAACATCTTACTTAAACACAAATGGATTAAATTTACCAAAGGGTTGGCAAAAGTGAAAGGAGAGACTAGAAAAGAAATGATATATAACGCAGTGGCAAACATAACATTCAGGCATTGTGAATGTTTTAAATGATACGTATGTACAAACTCGCCCAGAAAAATCTAATTTCTACAAATTGTGTGAGTTGTTATTCAAAACCAGTTTTTGGTAAATCAGTAACTGTGCATCAATCAGTAGATTAACTGCCAAATCACCAATTATCGGTTCCTATTTATGACCCATTGTAAAATAAAGATTGCAATTAGAACCCATTTGTAGCACATCCATTAGTTCCTTCTCAGGAACCCAAACAATCACAATGTCATTAAAATTGTTTTTTGTCTTTCTACTTCTTCTGTTATTATATAAACTGCTCCAGAGTGCAAAGGTTGATTTCAGATGTTGAAAGCAAAATAGTTGATATTTCTACTGAGAAACTGGGATTACATCATCTTTTTTTCTAGGACTACTCTAATTCCCATATTTGGAGTTCTTCCATTACTGATTATTTCTACACTTCAGGAATTCTCTTAGTAATTTTTATATGTGCAGCTTCAAGACAATCCTTATTAGATGGTCATTTTACTTCCACTTTTGGTACGACATTCTTTCTTCCCATGATGTGTCAATGGCTCTATGTATCCTATCATTGGTGACACAATCCCTTCTATAACACTGGATACTTACAATCAGTAATTAACTTAATGTGTAGCTCAATCACTAATGTTAAAAGTTTATCTTTTAAAAATGACTAAATTCATAAAATAATGTCTAGGTGTTTTTTGACAATCTGGTCCTAAGTGATCTTTTTCTTTTTCACAGGGAAATGGGGGAAAATCAGACAATGGTCACAGAGTTCCTCCTACTGGGATTTCTCCTGGGCCCAAGGATTCAGATGCTCCTCTTTGGGCTCTTCTCCCTGTTCTATATCTTCACCCTGCTGGGGAACGGGGCCATCCTGGGGCTCATCTCACTGGACTCCAGACTCCACACCCCCATGTACTTCTTCCTCTCACACCTGGCTGTCGTCGACATCGCCTACGCCTGCAACACGGTGCCCCAGATGCTGGCGAACCTCCTGCATCCAGCCAAGCCCATCTCCTTTGCTGGCTGCATGACGCAGACCTTTCTCTGTTTGAGTTTTGGACACAGCGAATGTCTCCTGCTGGTGCTGATGTCCTACGATCGTTACGTGGCCATCTGCCACCCTCTCCGATACTCCGTCATCATGACCTGGAGAGTCTGCATCACCCTGGCCGTCACTTCTTGGACGTGTGGCTCCCTCCTGGCTCTGGTCCATGTGGTTCTCATCCTAAGACTGCCCTTCTGTGGGCCTCATGAAATCAACCACTTCTTCTGTGAAATCCTGTCTGTCCTCAGGCTGGCCTGTGCTGACACCTGGCTCAACCAGGTGGTCATCTTTGCAGCCTGCGTGTTCTTCCTGGTGGGGCCACCCAGCCTGGTGCTTGTCTCCTACTCGCACATCCTGGCGGCCATCCTGAGGATCCAGTCTGGGGAGGGCCGCAGAAAGGCCTTCTCCACCTGCTCCTCCCACCTCTGCGTGGTGGGACTCTTCTTTGGCAGTGCCATCATCATGTACATGGCCCCCAAGTCCCGCCATCCTGAGGAGCAGCAAAAGGTCTTTTTTCTATTTTACAGTTTTTTCAACCCAACACTTAACCCCCTGATTTACAGCCTGAGGAACGGAGAGGTCAAGGGTGCCCTGAGGAGAGCACTGGGCAAGGAAAGTCATTCCTAACTGGTGTGACATTTGACTCTCCCTCCTCAGTCATCTCCTGGAATCTTGGTACCAAATACCACCTAAGTTCACTACTCTCTTTATATCTGAGACTAAATGAACCAAGAGACTCTGTAAAGCATTCCTTTTTCCTGCCTGGGAAGTATTTAGTTTTTGATGCATTTGTTATACTTAACATTTTTTAATTTAAGCACTTATTGAGTTGAGAATGTCGGGGAAAGATTTATTTTGTACACTGCTATGAGTCCAGAAGTTTAAAACAGACACTCCACCTGTGACTTAGTCAGGTATGCTCAGTAGTAGAGGAATAGCAGTTATTACCAGATAAAGTCATATCTATAAAAAGTTTTTAAAAATACAGCCACAGGCAGAGACTCCAGAACCCATTGATACCTCTGTCCATTTTCATCCTCATTTGGATGTTTCCCCTCAATTGTACTTCCTTTCTTATAAGCAGTAAATGTACCTAAGTGCCTACTTCAGCTTGGAGGGAAATTGATTTTTATAAAATCCTACAAACTGACAATTTCTGTTGTCAGAGAGAGTGAATCCATAAACATTCAGCTGGCAATCTGAAGCAATTACACAACAAAATCCACTTTCCAACCTGCCCTGAGATTGTGATGGTCACTTGTTTCTACTCTTCTCACCTCCTCCAGGGGACTGTCTATGATTGTCTCTAAATAAGCACATGCTCTTCACTTAGAGGAAGTTAGTACCACCACACAACTTTTCACTGCTGGGGACGAATGGAAAGCCCCACACAGAGACAATTCAATGGAAAAAAGCGTTTTAATAATGTTAATAGTTAGCATTATTATAAATTACTCTGCACCATCCACTGCACATTGATAGGTACTTTATAGAGATAACCTCAGTTTATCATTATAGCCAATTCATTTCCCATTATTATCCCATTTTATAGATGTGAACTTTAAGCAGACGGTAAATGTTAGACTCATACCCAGACAATCTGGCTCCCAAGCCTTCTTTACTTAACCAGGACAATGTGGGACTTTATTAGCAACATTTCAAATTAAGAATAAGTCTAACCAATCCTAACGTAGGATATGTTAAGTGAATGTGGGTTTCTTCCCCATCTAGAATGTGCCATGATGAGGCCAGGAGAGTCAGAGATTATTTATGGAAGGCTTCTTATCCTGTTTGACGAGTCCTGTGGGCATGGCTGCAAAGGAGGTTAAGAGATTCAGAGGAACACAGAACACAGACAGGGTGGGAGTAGAGGCTGTTCTCAATGAGATTAGAGAGTAAGTTTAGAACTATACTTGGTTCTGGGTAGTAAGATCCAGAACAAAGACATCTCTAGTTCACGTACAACACTCACATGCTCACGTACATGCGTGTGCACACACACACACACACACATATACGCACAGTGCTTAGTGAAGCACTATTCCAAGAACCTTACAAGTAAGAGCTCTTTAAGTCCTCATAAAAACCCTATGAGGTAGAGACTATTACTACTATTTTTAGGCGAGAAAACAGAACTATAGAGAGATTATATAATTTAACCAATGCTCCCAGCTAATAAGTACCTAGTCCAGAATCAAAGATAGGCAATATGACTGCTGAACCCATAATCGTAACCATTATATAAAAATCAAAGAGATCATGAAATTTCCAAAGATGAAGAGGAGGAGAGATGAAAAGCAATTTTCAATCTCTAGCCAAAGATAGGCATTGGGCTCCAGACAGAAAAGTACTTAAAGCTGGGGGAAAAACAAACAAACAAACAAACAAACAAACAAACAAAAAACAGCTTTTTTTATACTGGTGCGTGAAATGAGATGAGGTGGTAGCAAGAAGGAACTGTGACTCCAAGGGTCAGAGACGGAGGAGGAGCCTCTTGACGGGCAGGATGGTGAAACCAAAAACAATGGATAAAACTTTTAAGTTGATGGTTCATCAATTGAAGAACATTAGAAAGTGTTTTTGTAAATTATCTAGCCGGGCATGGCAACGTGTGCCTACATCCCCAGCTATTCGGGAGGCTGAGGCAAGAGGATCACTTGAGCCAGGGATTTTGAGGCTGCAGTGAGCCATGATCGCACCACTGCATTCCAGCCTGGGTGACAGAGTGAGACCTTGTGTCCAACAATAATAACAATGAAATAATTTATTAAATTTTTTAAAATTACCCAAACTGGATATACAATTTGTAATTCCATTGCTGCCGAACAGTTTTTAAACGGTTGTTTAGTTTCACGGCAGATGCTGCATACTGCATTGCAACTAACACTGGGAAGGGATACATTCAAGTGGCAGGACAAAGGTGAGGAGCTCTAATACCAGGGGTAGGTTTCAAGGGATGAATACTCCCCTGGTACCAGAGGAGCAGCAGGAAATCATGGTGTGCAGAAACCATGTTCAGGCGGTTGCCTGTGTGGACCCTAAATTCTGTGTGTGCAGTCCTCTCTTAGGATTGGCCCAGGCATCCAAGAAGCCCACGATGCTGCCTACCCCTTAAATACACAAGGTGCGTACCGGAGGCCCTGGTTCTAGTTCCAGATGTACCATTTGCTAGCTGTGTTTTTTGCAGAGAAGTCCCTTAAACTGCTTAAGCTTCAGTCCTTCATCTGAAAATTATGCATATGGAAGCTGTTTAGGACACCACAGAGTGCCACTGAAAACCCAAAGCAAGATGCAAATGGACACATTTTTTTTCTGAAGACTTAAAAGTGCTATGTGAACATAAGATAAACTGTTATGATTACCCTGCTGTCAGAAGTTATTTTAATCCTGTCAGGGTTGCTAAACTTTCTGATCTGGAACCAAAATTGCTCTTTAAACAGGAAGAGCATTGGTGCTGGTAGGTCACCTACGCCTTTGCCCTCATGGCTTCCCCATGTCCCCCCTAGAGGCACAGGAGGCCACTCACTCTTGGAGGGCATAGCTGGACCAGGAGCATGAGCTGTGGCCCAGACTCAGGGAACCTCTGTGAGTCAGCTGGCAAAGGCTCCCGGGGAGCCTGTCTCTGAATCTGGTCCTAGCCCGTTCACTTGGAAAAAACAGGAGACTTCTCCCAAGGTCAAGGAATTCAGATTTTGGTTTTGGTTTCCAACTTTTTGTAATCCTCAACCTGGGATTTACAGTGCATGTCTCAATTATGTTTCATTCATTGCTTCACAAAGGGAAGGACAAGCACTGGTTCATCTCTTTACACCTATACATTCCTAGCACAGAGTGAGTACTCACAAAAAACATACGGAATACATAGAGGACACTTTATCTGTTGACCCCATTTCCAAATTTTCAGTGTTGAGCCATCTTCTGATTTCTAAACTTCTTTAAATCCCTCTAATTTTAGGTTATACTACAGTAGAAATTTAATTGTAGCTGATAATTATTGAGCACTTACTATGTGGTTGGCACTGCATAAAATGCTTTAGAAAAATTCTTACATCAAATATGTGGAGTAGGTACTAATACTATCCTAACATTAAAGGGGGGGAAATAAAGTTTAGTGTAATTAATTAATTTATTCAAGGTCGCCAAATCATTCAGTGGTAGAAACATGAATCAAGACCAGGCAGTCTGACTGTAAATAAATTCTGAGCCACTCTCTTGCAGAGGACCTCCTGATATTCATCTCCTGAATGGTTGGCAACAGGCCTGTTCATAGTAGACACACAATAAACTTTGACTAAATGAACAAATGAGTGGTTGTGTTCAAATTTCTACTCACATCATATAGGCCTAGGGATGTGTTACCCTTTATTCTTTTTATTTATTTATTTATTTATTTATTTACTTATTTATTTATTTGAGAAGGAGTCTTCTTCTGTTGCCCAGTCTGGAGTGCAGTTGTTGGCTCACTGCAACTTCTGTCTCCCAGGTTTAAGTGATTCCCCTGCCTCAGCCTCCTGAGTAGCTGGGACTACAGGCGTGGGCCACCATGCCTGGCTAATTTTGTATTTTTAGTAGAGAGGGGGTTTCCCCATGTTGGCCAGGCTGGTCTCGAACTCCTGACCTCAGGTGATCCACCCGCCTCGGCCTCCCAAAGTGCTGGGAACACAGGCGCGAGCCACCGTGCCTGGCCTATTCTTTTAAGTTTGGATATCTTGTGCATTTGGTTTGTCCAATTCATCCTTTTGGCATATTCTTATGCAGTAGATATTAATAATCAAGAATATCCTATTGCTCTAGGATCACAGAGAAGAAAAGAAACAATTTAGGGTTGAAATTTAGCATTTACTATTAAAAATGCTGGGAATACTTATTTATGTTTTATCGTAGGAGTCCATGGCGATTGCCTTCTCACAGAAGTGTGCCAAATGACTGAAACTGTGATTCCAGAAGGCCAGGATGGTACTGGTGCTACACAGGAAGTCATGTCAGGGTGTTGATCTTGAAAACTCTGGCAAGAGGGTGGAGACAACTGTAGGCAATAACTACTGGGAATGAAAGGGATGGGAATTTGTGTGTTGTAGTCAGTTTCCTTGCCGCCTGAGATTGGCACCCGCAGCATCTTTGGCACGTGGACCAGGGATTGCCAACTGCCGACCTGTAGGACTGGTGTTTACTGTTGGCTGTGAGTGTAGAGTACCATTGTTAAATACAGGTTCTTGAGAATAGACAAAAAGGAAAGACATTTGGAATGCTGTCTCACTGGACTTCACAGCTCTCATGTTTTCGCAGCCAGCAGAGAAGTGTCTTACATCCCTTGCTTTCTTCATAAATTTTAAATAGCATTGGCTCATTTTTATCTGTGTTTTTCCAAGCTGTGTTTCTCTGTTTTTAATTTTTGAAATCATGTTGTGCCAAAAGAAGAAGTGAATCCTTGAACACGGTATGATTTGGTCAACAGAATACTGGCTCAGCATGAGAATGTCTGGGCTCTCACGACAATTCCCTCACTTACACACTGTGTGACCTCAGAAAAGTTGCTTAACTCCTCTGGACTTCCATTTCCACACATATAAAATAAAGAATTGAACTAGAAAAACTTTAAGGTCACCTCTTGTTTTCTAATTCCCTGTCTTTATTAGTTTCTTCACATTTCATATTAATTTGGATTTTCACTTTTGTCAAAGGAGTATAAAATAAATTCCATACAGAGAAAATGAAATGGACTTCTGAGGCTAACTGAATCTCTCTGACCTTAAATACAGTAGAACCCCAAAAATACATACTGGCCAGGCACGATGGCTCATGCCTGTAATCCTAGCACTTTGGGAGGCCGAGGCAGGAGGATCACTTGAGGCCAGGAGTTTGAGACCAGCCTGGCGAACATGATGAACCTTTTCTCTACTAAAAATACAAAAACCAGCCAGGCATGGTGGCATGCGCCTGTAATTCCAGCTACTTGGGAGGCTGGGGCACAAGAATCGCTTGATCCTGCAAGGCAGAGGTTGCAGTGAGCCAGGATCATGCCACTGCACTCCAGCCTGGGTGACAGAGGGAGACTCTGTTTCAAAAAAGGAAAAAAAATAGTACATACTGAAGTAATTAATTAGTTGACTATTTTAGTGCTCTGGGAAATAGAAATTTCATAAGACTGGCTAAAAGGTAACACGAAATGCCCACCTTAAGGAAAGAATATTACTAGGAATAACTTTGATTGGGAATGGTTCTAGGAACTAGACTAAAACATAAATATCTAGTTTTGTACCCATATTACCCACATTGTAGATATACTTTTAAGAGCTAGTATTTGCTGAGAGCTTATGAAATGTCAGGCATTGTGCTAAGGTACATGCATCATTATCATGTCTCAACTTCATAACAATTCTAGTACCTTTATTATTATTATTACAAAAGAAGAGATAGAGGTTCAGAGATAGTAAGAAACTTTTCTATGGTCACACAGCAAGTATCTGACATAACTTGGACTCTAATCCAGGTGAGCCTGACTCCATAACCACTGGGTCATATGGCCTCCCTCTATCCTGGACTTACAGAATCTTTTTCTGTGAACAGTTAAGTAAGGATCAAGAAAATCAGCCTTGAGATCTATTGTACAACTTGGTGATGATAGCTAATAACAATAGATTGTATTGTGAAAAATGTTGACAGAGTAGATTTTAAGTGTTCTCACCATAAAAATGACAAGGGTGTTAGATAATTCATATGGTAATTTGCCCAATTTAGTCATTCCACAATGTACATACATTTCAAAATATCATTTTCTACATGGTAAATCTATACAATTTTGTCAATTAAAAAATAAAACACTTATTTTACTTAATTTTATTTATTTATTTATTTATTTTTGAGATGGAGTTTTGCTCTTGTCGCCCAGGCTGGAGTGCAATGGCACAATCTCAGCTCACTGCAACATCCACCTCCCGATTCAAGGGCTTCTCCTGCCTCAGGCTCCTGAGTAGCTGGAATTACAGGCGGCCACCACCATGCCTGCCTAATTTTTTGCATTTTTAATAGAGACAGGGTTTCACCATGTTGTCCAGGCTGGTGTTGAATGCCTGACCTCAGGTGATCCACCCGCCTCAGCCTCCCAAAGTGCTGGGATTATAGGCATGAGCCACTGCAGCCGGCAGAAAAAAATAAAACGTTTAAAAAGTCCACCATCTTTACCACACACAAAGAAAAGAAAATCAGCTTTAAGAAAATGATTAAAATATAGCTAACGTAGTCCCCAATATATATAACAAGCAAAATAGTAATACACAAACCAGTTTTTTATTGGAAAAAAACACATAGATACAAGTAGAGACAGATAAACTATTTACAGTAGAACAAGTGACAGAGAATAATAAATGTAATGAAAGATGTATAGTTCCTCTAGTAAGTAATAAATTTTAAAGCACAAGATACCATTTTTCACCCATTAGATGGACAAAAATTAAAAGATGGATACTTTCTAGCATCGCTAAGCATGTAGGCAAGTGGATACTTCCCCACAGTCTTAATAGATTTCGGGGAAATTTGGTCATGTCTCTTCAAAAACTAAATTGTTAGTTTTGTTTTGATTTTTCAGAGACAGGGTTTCACTCTGTTGCCCAGGCTGGAGTACAGTGACGCAATCACAGCTCACTGCAGCCTCGGACTCCTGAGCTGAAAACAGCCTCCGACCTCAGCCTCCAGAGTAGCTGGAACTACAGGTGCAAGCCACCATGCCTGGCTAATTTTGTTGTTGTTGGTTGGTAGAGATGGGGTCTATATTGCTTAGGCTGGTATTGAATTCCTGGGCTCAAGTGATCCTCCCTCCTCAGTCTCCCAAAGTGCTGGGATTACAGGCATGAGCCACTGTGCCCGGCCTCAAAAAATAAAATGTGCATACCTTTTGATGCAGCAATTTCAATTCTAAGAACATATCCTACAGAAATATTCCCATATGCATAAATATATACATGTACATATATTTTAAGCAGAAGCAATACTTGTAAATTGATAAATAACCTAATATCAATAGTGAGGTTATTAAATAAAACATTGCAAATATATACAATGAAATATGCAACTCTTAATATAAATAAGTTTTACTAGTATATTAACATCTAATTAGATATTAATGTACAGTTAACATATAAACTAATATTACCATAAGCAAAATTTTCACAAAATGTGAAGTGAGGAAACAAAGTATATTGATACTGTGCTTTCTCATTCACTTAAAAACCTATAGATATGTGTATGTGTGAGAATATATATAGAGACATATACTAAAGCATGGGAAAATGTTTAAAATAATACACATTAAAGACTTAAAGAAGAGACCTCTCAAAATGTAGACTGAACCATGGGAAAGAATATTGCATTATTTGAAAATTTTACAGTAAACCAATGTTCATTCCTTGTTCAGAGGAGGTTTTCCTGACCAGCAGACATCACGCCATCAATCGGTGATTCAGGGACCCAGGGTCCTTACACCTCATGGATCTGCCCTCATTTCCACATGGTTCCCATTATTGTCATGTGTGTTGGAGGGAGACAAAGCATGAAAGTTTCAGTGACCTGGCCCAAAAGTGGACTCTTTATTTCTGCTCACATCCCATTGGCTAAAATTTGGTCACCATGGCAATAAAAAATGCAAGTGATTCTGAGAAATGTGGTCTGTATACCCAGGCATAAGAGGAACAATTCTGATAAACATCTAGCAGCCTGTGCCACAGGGAATCAGAGGTTCTGAGTTTCTAGCTCTCTGCCTCTTCAGGACAATAGTAAAACTCAAAAGAAGTAGAGGGACCAAGAGACTTGGGACTCCTCCACAGATCTCCATCATCAGCACCTCCATAGAATTTTTTTTCAATTTTATCTGAATATTTCAATTTTACCTGAATTTTTTTCAATTTTATCAGACAGTAGATTTTTTTTCAATTTTATCTGAAATACAATCCAAATAGAGCTTCAAGACAAATCCCCTAGCCCCCATTTCAGTACAAACATTCTGAAACTGCTACTGCCCTGATTACCTTCTGAGGGACCCAGACAAAGTCAACCCTGAACCATCAAGTCTCAAGATGTTGGGAAATCCTATAAACCTGGATTCAGGTGCGCCATGATCAGCCTTATCCTTATTTTCCTTCCCTGTCTGTAAAATGGTGATAAGACACCACCCCATTTATTTCAAGGAAATGTGAGCTTCACAAAAGGTAATATACACAGCACTTTGTAAGCTGAAAAGAAGTACTAAAAGTTATTCTTAATCATGAAGCATTGAGATCCATCTATTCTCTTCTCTCACCTTTGTTTTCTCCTTCCTTACTTTCTCTATGTATTATTTACCTGATCCCTTATAAAAGAGGTAAAGGATATACACCTACTATGTACCCACAAATATTAAAAGTGTTTTAAAAAATTTAATGTGGTATCTTAAACTAAAACCCACTACAATTTAGTCCCAGGGAAGGCAGTTCTAGGAAAGAGCCAAACAAGGACATATGAACAAAAGGTAATACTGGGCAATAGGACTGGATTTGAGGTAACCAAATCAGACAGGTGTATGATCCTTTCTTCTCAAAAAGTGGGTTGTGATAGGAGATCAGCCATTCCATGCTTTAAGGGGGTAGAGAGAATAAACAGGCTGAATTTCCAGCTATCCCAAATGTGTTTCCCATGGTGTTTGCATTGAACTGGAAGAGAAGAAAGGAAGTGATGACTAAGGTGGATGAAAGGCCAGGTGCAGTGGCTCATGCCTGCAATCCCAGCACTTCGGGAGGCCAAGGTGGGTGGATCACTTGAGGGCAGGACTTCGAGACCAGCCTTGCCAACATGGTGAAACCCCATCTCTACTAAAAATACAAAAATTAGCCGGGCGTCATGGCGCATGCCTGTAAAACCAGCTACTCGGGAGGCTGAGGCAGAATTATCACTTGAACCCGGGAGGCAGAGGTTGCAGTGAGCCGAGATTGCACCATTGCACTCCAGCCTGGGTGGCAGAGGGAGATTCCGTCTCAAAAATAAATAAATAAATAAAATCAGGTAAATGAAGGGTTAAAATACTAAGTAATGAACTCTTCTGGCATGCAGAAGACATCTAGCACTCCATGCCTGCGTGGCTCAACCCTTCCCCATCAGATACAGCAGAACAAAATGTTAGCGTGTGGGCAATGAAAGTCAGTTAGCAGGCTGTAGCAATGCCACTGATGGAATACTATGACCTCAGAAGCTATCTGCCTTTTTTTGAAGCCAACAACTATCCAGTAGGATTTTAGAGGCACTCAAAGCCTTACAATTATCTCTCCCTCCTGCCTTCACATATTCAGAATGTCTTTAGCAAGACAATCTTGTTTCACAATCACAGACAAACTTCCCACGCCGATGTATATGTTCATATAGATAGGTTGTGACTAGCAGGTAATAAGTGTCCTGTTTTGATAAGACTTCGAGTCCTAGATACCTGAAGAGGGTGTGCAGGAAGGGAGGCTAGGGCTCCCCCAACAATTTCATCTATTTTAAACCTTGTCACTTCTGAAACCTGTAATCCCACCAGATTTTTAGCTGTCATTTAAGTCTCTGAAACCTGCCAGGAGCTTTTCTTAATGCAAAAAACAAACAAAACAAATGTCCACTAAGTTCCACCAATACAGGACTGATTAAGTAAAGACCAGTATCTTCATACAACGGAATACCATAAAATTATCAACCAACAGTAAACAATATGGATGGTCTCTAGATCTTACATTGAAAAATCTCCAAGACCCATTCAGAAAAGCAAGAAAAAAGGAAGGGGGTGGATAAACTCTAACTAGATGTGCTTACATATGCATAAAGTCATTCTAGAGGAATACAGAAGAAACTAGGAAGAGAGAGGTTGAAAACAGGGAAGACGGTGACAAGCAGCGGCATATCTAGGCCTGAAGCTTATACAATTTGGGGCAGCTTCTTTAAGAAACAGAATGTGAATGTATGAATACAAAATTAGTTCAGAGCTTTGGAAGGGACTCTTGGAAGGGGTTCTAAGCTTAAGCTTTGCTAGCTTCATGGTAAATCCACTACTGGGGACAAGTAGGAAAGGGAGAATACAAAAAAAATATTTTTGAAAGCTGATTGAAATCTGAGTCATTTATATCTATTCATAAAACTTAATTTTAAAAAAATCAATGTATTTGCCAAAATAGCTCTGGAGAAAGATAACTGACTAGGTGACCAGGCCTCATGAAAAATTTGAGTTCCTATAACCAAATTCATAAAAGGAACACTGCAAAAATGACAACAGTAACCACTGAAATATAATATTTCACCTATTACATTAGCAAAGTCAAAAAGTTTTAAAGGCTGGGTGTGGTGGCTCATGCCTGTAATATCAGCACTTTGGGAGGCTGAGGTGGGAGGATCACTTGAGCCCAGGAGTTCAAGACTACCTTGGGCAACATAGGGAGACTCTGTCTACAAAAAGTAAAAAATCAGCCATGCATAGTGGTGCATTCCTGTGGGAGGCTGAGGTGGCAGGATTACTTGAGCCTGGGAAGTCGAAGCTGCAGTGAGCTGTAATCACGCCATTGCACTCCAGCCTGGGCAACAGAGTGAGACCCTGTCTCAGAAAAAAAAAAAGTTTTAAAAACATACAGTTAGTGAGGCATGGAGTGTCATACATTGCTGTAATTTGGTATAAATGACCTCCATGGAGAAAAGTTTGCCAAAGTCTCCCACAATTACAAATGCACCATTTGACACAGCAATTCTACTTCCAGGAATATAGCCCACAGGTAGACTAGCATGTGTGCTATGCAACAGATGTAAAGGTTATTCACTGCAGCATTGTTTGTACTGCCAAACTACTGGGAAAAACCTCAGCAGGAGACTACACCCATTCAATAAAATCTTGTACAGCTGAAAAATAAATAAGGAAACTATGTGCTAATATAGAACAATCTTCAACCTATATTTTTAAATGAAAAATGCAAGTTTTGAAATATTTTGTGGACTATCATTGATGTAATATATTTCCTGTAAGTGCAAAATATTTTTGGAAGCATTTCACAAACAACTTGTAATATTGGTGCCTTGAGAGAAGATAATTGGATAGCTGGGAAACATGTGGAGGCAGACATTTACTTCTGTGCTTTTAGCTTTTTTGAAGGATGTCAATGTGTAATTTTTTCAAAATATGTCTTGAAGATAAACATAGATCTTTAAAATTTGCAAAATTCACACCAGCCTTAAATTCTAATCAAGCCTGAGACTGTTCAGAGGGAAGCCTGGTGAAGCCCCAAAGCTTTACATCAATTCCACGTTTGATGCAGATCAAACTAGGGATAAGAAAGGTTGAGAACATTGGGCATTTTTTCCCCTCCACTGGAGGGTATACTACTTACATTAAAAAGACTCATTATTTATTAAATGATTCAATGATTTCGTGATTCTAAATAAAACCTTTTCCAGGGACTTTTTTTTTTTTTTGAGATGGGGTCTCACTCCGTCACCCAGGCTGGAGTGTAGTGGTGCGATTACAGTTCATTACAACCTCGAACTCCTGGGCTCAAGTGATCCTCCTGCCTCAGCCTCTGTTCCAGTTCTTCTGTGGGCTCCCAATCCAATGCTTTAGATTCTCAATAATGAAGGGACCTCCTTTTCCCAAGCCCTTTATCAATGAACTCTATTAAGAAGAGAAGTGTCTGATTCACCAGAGGAGACAGAAAAGAACATTGGTACCCAGTGAGTGTTCCTTTATTTAGAAGGCAAGATCCCTTGGGACATGATTAAAATCCAAACCTGAGGACACACATTCTAAAACAAGTGAGATGGGAAGAATATTGGATCCTAAGTACGGTAATTATTCTAAAAAGAAGAAAGTTGCCAGTGCCAGCCTGGGCAGCATAGAGAGACCCCATCTCTACAAAAAATTAGCTGGGTATAGTGGCACACTATGCTACTCGGGAGACTGATGCAGGAGAATTGCTTGAGCCTGGGACTTCGAGACTGTATTGAGCTATGATCACACCACTGCACTCCAGCCTGGGGGACAGAGTAAGACCCTACCTCGAAAGCAAAACAGAAAGAAAGCTGCAGCTGGTGGAGAATGCTAACTCCACCCTCATACAATTACAATATATGAGAAGTCTTTTGCTACTAATAGATGGTGCATTCCAGGAGTGATTTAGAGCTATGAAGTCATATCAAGATTTACTTTTTTTTTTAAGATGACTAAAATTTTCAGAGCAAGCTTGTGATCCAATGCATTTATTTCCACAAGATGGTGCTATAGCTTCTGCTAAGTACAAAACTCACATTTCCTTTAGGAACTAGAAATACAAAATATGTTTCTAATGGAGAACCAAATGTGCATACGCTCTGGTGAGTCTGTCAAAGAAACACATTGTGCAAAAACGTCCCGGTGGAGGTGGAGGTTGATTTAGGCCTAAAGGGTGAAGATTGTTCCAGGTAATAATACTTTCCGCCACCTCCACACATACCTGAGTTGATGTCTCAAGGCGTCATGCAGCCTTCAGCCTCCTCTTTGTCCAAAATACTGCTCTTCCTACTATCAGGAGTGGGTGTGTGTGTGTTTGTTTGTGTGTGTGTGTGTGTGTGTGTGTGTGTGTGTGTGTCAGACATGGGATTGAGGAGTGGCCCAGAGCTCCCACCACCATGGAAATGCAGCTCCCATGGCCACCCACACTTCCACCCAGGGGCAGCTCAAGGCTCGCCCCTTCAATAGAGCCTTTCCTTGCCACTCTGTCCCACATGAATCACACCTGCCTAGGGGTACAAATAATAATGCAACAGAATGTTTTAGAATACCATTTTTCCATTTCCATCTAAGTGTGCCAAGTGTTGGCGGGGGGGTGTGGTGGGCAGAGTCCATTTTATAGCCCACAGCAATGAGGATCCTACCTTGAAATTATGCACAGTGATGATATCACAAATGCTGGCAATCTCAAGCAAGTATTCAGCCACCTTGGTTGGCAGCCTGGGTGACTGGGAGGATGCTGGCCCCGGTTGGCCACTACTTGGACCTAGAAATATGTTAAGTCATCACCTCTTTGGAGTTGTTTGATCATCTCTACCAGGACAGGATTAAACTGTTCTGATTTTTTTTAATATCTTGTTTTAATGACTTTAACATCTTCAGTATCCCTCTCCTGACAGAGTCATAGAGGTGGGAATATTTGCATCACAAGGGAAATAGAAGGATGTCTCTGCTGAAGTGAATGGCACCTCCCTTCCTATTCATCTTTATTCTTTAAAAAAATTTTTTCTGTCCAGGCGTGATGGCTCATACCTGTAATCCCAGCACTTTGGGAGGCCAAGGTGGGTGGAACATTTGAGATCAGGAGTTTGCGATCAGCCTGGCCAACATGGTGAAACCCCACCTCTACTAAAAACACAAAAATTAGCCGGGAGTGGTGGTGGGCATCTATAGTCCCAGCTACTCGGGAGGCTGCGACAGGAGAATCGCTTGAACCTGGGAGGTGGAGGTTGCAGTGTGCTGAGATCACACCACTGCACTCCAGCCTGGGTGACAGAGCGAGACTCTGTCTCAAAAAGAAAAAAAAAATTTTAAATAGAGATAGGGTCCCACTATGTTTCCCAAGCTGGTCTTGAACTCCCGGGCTCAAGCAGTCCTTCCGCCTCCACCTCCCAAAGTGCTGAGATTACAGGCGTGAGCCACTACACTGGTCTCATCTTTATTCTTGTCTCCATTTTTCTCTATTTTATTCTGTGCCTCTGTGCCTTGGCAGTCAAAAATGTGACATAGCTGTACAGTCAGCCCTCCTTATCCACAGGCTCCACATCGTAGCTTCAACCAACAATGGATCAAAAAATTCAGGAAAAAAAATGGATGGTTGTGTCTGTACTGAAAATGTACAGACTTTTTTTCTTGTTATCGTTCCCTAAACAACACAGTATAACGACTATTTTCATAGGATTTACATTGTACTAGCTATTAATCTAGAGATGTCTTAAAGTGTACAGGAGGATGTGCATAGGTTATAGGCAAAGACTAAGCCATTTTATGTCAGAGACTTGAGCATCTGGGGATTTTGGTATCTGCAGGGGGTGGGAAGGGTCCTTGGAACCAATCCCCTAGGATGACTGGACATGGTGGATCACTCCTGCTCTCTTTTGCTACCATATCCTCTCCACTGCCACAGAGGTAAGGGCAGGGTAAGTGGAAGCCTAGGGCCACAGAGACAACAGGGTACTCTGGGCTCACCATCAAGAGTAGAGAAGGAAACCTGTTGTGCTGCTCTAGGAGTAGAGGATGCCTTTTGGAAGATAAGTGGGATAACATGGATTAGGATGGAAAAGAATACTCATACCTAAGAACAATCACTGACTGGGGACTTTGACAGTGGATGGAACACCTCAAGAAATAGGCATCAAGGACGTGAGACGAGGGATGAGGCCGAAGACTTTCTATCAGCAAAAAGGAAGGACAGAGTTAGGCTGAACTAAAGACATTTCTGTGTTCAAAATAAACAGCATGCTGTTATTGGGTTTGTCTTATATTATTATGTCTATCAGAAGAAGAGTACACAAAGATACAACTTACTTATACATACTTATAACTTACACAACTTACTTATTATGTCTATCAGAATACACAAAGATACAATTTATTCTTTGAATAGCAGCAGATTTTAGTCTAAAACAGAAAAGATACAAAAAAAAGTAATGTGTGTTTTCTAGCTTCTCCCAAATAGAAAAAAAATAAAATATATATGTATAAAATGATAACAAAAATATTTGGCTTTAAGCCCTCATCACAGGAATTCTTGGAACCCTCTCTCTTCCGACAGATGTAAGAGGCAGTATAAACATCTTTGTATGTGTCAGTATGTATTTGTGTGTGTTGGGTTCTCATCTGATACCAAAAAGACTACCATATTACTCATAAATATATAAACAGAGACATATACATTTAATAAATTCAAGATAGATTTTAAAATAGGGCAATAGAAAAATAAGAATAGAAGATATAAAAGTTCACAAAATATACTTCACTATAAAATGCATCTTTGAAAGGTAGGTTACAATTTTGCTATTCAATTCTATTCTCCAATTCAGAAGGGAAATGTGAGCGGTATAAATTTTCCTCAGACTAGCCTTGCTTTCTCAGTTTCTTCTAGAACTTATGCTAATACAACTTGTTGTTCAGATGCAATTTTCATAACCTTCTAATTTGAGAAAATAGAAGCACCATCTTCAAGGATAAAAGTCAGTTGAAATTCAGTTCCCCACTCAAATTTACTTCCCACCAATAATTACCTAATGTCCTACAATTCACTGGGTGTGGGAACTTCTACTCTCTCCCATCTCAGGGTTAGTTTGATGCCTACTTGCAGTTTTCTTTCAGAGGTTAAAGGGTAATGACTGCCTCCCTTGATTGAATAATCTTAACTTGTATGTTCTGGGGACTCATTTGTTTCTTATATAAAACCAAACCCCTGACAGATTACCTTGATATACAGTGAGCAGTGGAATTAGTGAGTCCCCAACTTTTGCAATGTATAGCACCCTCCAAATGCCAAAAAAAATTAGAGATGAAATAGAAAGGAGAACAAAGAAGAGGGTGATTGTATTAGTCCATTTTCACGCTGCTGATAAAGACATACCCAAAACTGAGGAGAAAAAGAGGTTTACTTGGACTTACAGTTGCACATGGCTGGGGAGGCCTCAGAATCACAGTGGGAGGCAAAAGGTACTTCTTATATGGCAGCGGCAAGAGACAATGAGAGAGAAACAAAAGCAGAAACTCCTGATAAACCCATCAGATCTCCTGAGACTTATTCACTATCACAAAAATAGCATGGGAAAGACCGGCCCCCATGATTCAATTACCTCCCCCTGGGTCCCTCCCACAACACCTGGGAATTCTGGGAGATAACAATTCAAGTTGAGATTTGGGTGGGGGCACAGCCAAACCATATCATTCTGCCCCTGGCCCCTCCAAATCTCATGTTCTCACATTTCAAAACCAATCATGCCTTCCAAACAGTCCCCCAAAGTCTTAACTCATCTCAGCATTAATCCAAAAGTCCGTAGTCCAAAGTCTCATCTGAAACAAGGCAAGTCCCTTCTACCCATGATCCTGTAAAATCAAAAGCAAGCTAGTTACTTCCTACATACAATGGGGATACAGGTAATGGGTAAATACAGCCATTCCAAATGGGAGAAACTGCCCACAACAAAGGCGTTACAAGCCCCATGCAAGTCCAAAATCCAGCGAGGCAGTCAAATTATAACGTTCCAAAATGATCTCCTCTGACTCCATGTCTCACATCCAGGTCACAATGATGCAAGAGGTAGGTTCCCTTAGTCTTGGGCAGCTCTGCCCCTGTGGCTTCACAGGGTATAGTCCCCACTCCTGGCTGCTTTCACGGGCTGGCGTTTAGGGTCTGTGGCTTTTCCAGGTGCACGGTACAAGCTGTCGGTGGATCTACCATTCTGGGGTCTGAAGGACGGTGGCCTTCTTCGCACAGCTCCACTAGGTGGTGCCCCAGTAGGGATTCTGTGTGGGGGCTCCAACCCCACATTTCCCTTCACACTGCCCTAGCAGAGGTTCTCCATGAAGGCTCTGCCCCTGGAGCAAACTTTTGCCTGAGCATCCAGGTGATTCCATACATCTTCTGAAATCTAGATGGAGGTTCCCAAACCTCAATTCTTGACTTCCATGCACCTGCAGGCTCAACACCACATGGAAGCTGCCAAGGTTTGGGGCTTGCACCCTCTGAAACCATGGGCAGAGCTGTACCTCGGCCCTTTTAGCAATGGCTGGAGCAGCTGGGATGCAGGGCACCAAGTCCCTAGGCTGCACACAGCATGGGGACCCTGGGCCTGGCCCACAAAACCATTTTTTCCTCCTAGTCTTCAGGGTCTGTGATGGGAGGGGCTGCCATGAAGACCTGTGACATGCCCTGGAGACATTTTCCCCATTGTCTTGGAGATTAACATTCAGCTCCCTGTAACTTATGCAAATTTCTGCAGCCAGCTTGAATTTCTCCTCAAAAAACAGGTTTCTCTCTTCTGCTGCATCAACTGGCTGCAAATTTTCCAAATTTTTATGCTGTTTCCCTTTTAAAATGAAATGCTTTTAACAGCACCCAAATCACCTCTTGAATGCTTTGCTGCTTAGAAATTTCTTCAGCCAGATACCCTAAATCATCTCTCTCAAGATCAAAGTTCCACAAATCTCTGTGGTAGGGGCAAAATGCCACCAGTCTCTTTGCTAAAACATAACAACAGTCATCTTTGCTCCAGTTCCCTACAAGTTCCTCATCTCCATCTGAGACCCCCTCAGCCTGGACCTTATTGTCCATAGCAATATCAGCATTTTTGTCAAAGCCATTCAACAAGTCTTTAGGAAGTTCCAAACTTTCCCACATTTTCTTGTCTTCTTCTGAGCCTTCCAAACTGTTTCAACCTCTGCCTGTTACCCAGTTCCAAAGTCGCTTCCACATTTTCAGGTATCTTTTCAGCAGCACCCCACTCCACTGGTACCAATTTACTGTATTAGTCAGTTTTCATACTGCTGATAAAGACATATCCAAGACTGGGAAGAAAAAGAGGTTTAACTGGACTTACAGTTGCACATGGCTGGGGAGGCCTCAGAATCATGGTGGGAGGCAAAAGGCACTTCTTACATGGCAGTGGCAAGAGAAAACGAGAGAGAAGTAAAGGTGCAAACCCCTGATAAACCCATCAGATCTCGTGAGACTTAATTCACTATCATGAGAATAGCATGGGAATTCATCATTGAATCAATCATTGAAAAGAATTAGCAGAGGACTGATAAATAAGCATAGAAAGATAGGAAGAGCATTTCAGATTCAATTACCTCCCCGTGGGTCCCTCCCATAACATGTGGGAATTCTGGGAGACACAATTCAAGTTGAGATTTGGGTGGGGACATAGCCAAACCATATCAAGGATAGTCATTTTTTCTCTGCTGTCATATTTATGGCAAGGTTCATTGTTCACTCATCTGGTCTCCATAGTTAAAACATTTCTTTGAAAATACTTTAACCAGATTCATAATATTTTATAAGATATGTAATAAACTGAATGTTTGTGTTCTTTCCTCCACCCTCCCATTCACATAGGAAGCTCTAACCTCAATGCAATGGTATTGGGAGGTGGGGCATTTGGAAAATAATTGTGCTTAGATGAGGTCAGGAGGGTAGATCCCCCTTGATGGGATTAGTGCCCTTATAACTAGAGGAAGAGACACTAGACCTTTCTCTCTGCAGAATATGAGAAGGCATATTAGTCTAAATTAGTCTAAAGAACATATAAGATGAGAAGAATAATTGGGGAGACAGTCTATACTTTTGGGAAGGGTGGTTTATTATCATAAAATCTCAATTCTCCCCCAAATTAACCTCAAGTAAGATTTCAGTTGGGTTTTCTGAGGATCTCTGAAAACCTCTATAATCTACATGGAAAAATAAAGGTCCACAAATAACTAAATAAACGTTGAGAAAGAGGAGAAAAGTAGAAGTAGGGGAGGGAGTGTCCCAACCAAATCCATGGATGTACTACAAAGCCACTGTCATAGAAACAATTTCGAGCAAGAACATTTAAATGGACAAGTAGAACAGAACAGAGAGCAAGCGTCAGAAACAGACTCATCTACTTATAAGAATGTAATACATAATAAAGTTGGTAGCATAAATCAAGAAAAGATGAACATTGGAGTTTAAAAACTGACATAATAGACTGACATAATTAAGTATCTACTCAATATCATTAGACTAAAAAATAGACTCAGGATGGAAAATAAAGCTGTTAAGATAATATAGAAGAATTAATGTGTGGCAAAATTGTTACACATTTCTGTTCAGATTACTAGGAGACAATGTTTTCAATATCTAAAACTTACAGATAACTAACATTAAGATTATACAAGTGACAGGGCCAGATTTGCAACTCAAAAAGATCACCTAAGGGTGCAGCAAACTGTATCTACTCTTTCTCTTCTTTTTCTTTTTCTTTTTGAGATAGGGTCTCATTCTGTCACCCAGGCTGGAGTACAGTGACATGATCCTGGCTCACAGCAGCCTCAACCTCCTTGGCTCAAGCCATCCTTCCACCTAGGCTTTTGCAAGGCAACAAGAAAGTTTTGCAAGGATACAAGAAAGTTTTGCAAGGCAACAGGAAAATGAGAGTAACTCAACAGAAAAGTAGACAAAGGCATGATAGGCAATGTGAATAATCACATGACAACAAATTTACTGAGATCCTCAACCCACTAGTAACCAGAGAAATGAAAATTAAACAGCAGTGTAATACCGCTTTGAAGCTACTCAACTGATCAAAACATGCCCAGTGTTGTTGGGGACATGGGGCTACAAAGACTCTTGCACTGTGATGAACACACAGTCAGTGCAGCCATTCGAGGGAGCAACAGCCAGGATCTGGCTAAATAAGCACACCATCGCTTTCCAACCCCAGAATTCTGATCTTGGATGTTCACATCCCACAGAAATTCTCACACAGGTCCGTAAAGGATGTATACAAGGCTGCTCATTACAGCATCGTTTGTGATACAGGGAAGGTGAAAGGATTTGGGTGGCCACCACTGAAAGTGAGAATAGGTAAAATATGATGAATTCAGACTGTGGAACAAAAGCACTGGTTAGAAGCAAAAGACTACAGATACACAAAGGAAAATGAGTAGATGTTTAAAACTCGTCCTAATTTTAAAAAGTAAAAAGTGTAAAGTCGATAAAAGACAGCATTTATGTAAATTAAAAACACATACAAACAGTGCAGAATTCGTTATAATAAGAAAGGAATAAGTAAACTAAGGCAGGAGCTTGAACAAACCAAAGAAACCAAATGATACCGTGCCATGAAGATTTCAAGGAATTCTATTTTCTGCAACTGTCCTCCCCCAATTTACCAAAATAGGTACTGCAATAAAACCTACAAAGTGCCTTTATAGAGATTAGCTCTAGTGCTCGCTTCAGCAGCACGTATACCATATAAATTAAAAAATACATACATAAAATACATTAGCTCTAAAAAGTGTGGATGTTTGGAGGAGAGAATAAGAAAAGGCTTCACCAAGAAGGTAACAACAGAGATGGATCTTGGAGGACTTGTAAGAGTTCATAGAAAGTAGGGAAAAAGGGAGTGTAATCTGAGGGCAACTGTAAAAGCAAAGGTTTCTAAATACAAGCAAAAGATAAGAAAGGAGAGAATAGGCTGGGTGCAGTGGCTCATACCTACAATCCCAGCACCTTGGGAGGCTGAGGTGGGAGGATCACTTGAGCCCTGGAGTTTGACAGCAGCCTGTGCAACATAGTGAGACCCCATGTCTACAAAAAAAATTAAAAATGAGCCAGGTGTGGTGGTGCATGCCTGTAGTCCCAGCTATTGGGGAGACCAAGGTAGAAGGATGGCTTTAGCCCAGGAGGTTGAGGCAGAAGTGAGCCATGATCACATCACTGCACTCCAGCCTGGGTGACAGAATGAGACCCTATCTCAAAAAGAGAAAGAAGGGAAAGAATTGATACAACTTGCTGCACCTTTAAGTGATCTTTTTGAGATGAAAATCTGGCCCTGTCACTCTCCCTTAGATCCTTCAATGGATTACCTTGCCCTCAAAATAAAGATCAAATTCCTTAACATGGTCTACTAGGCCCACGTGATCCCTGGTCTCTGCTCACATCTTCAGTTTCATCTTCTGCTATGGGATTTCCACCTCTGTCCTCCAGATCTGAAATTTTCTAGCTTTCCTTCAATGACACTCCTGCCTCCAAATTACAGATTTCTCAAACCCTCCAGAAGAGGTCATTCTCAGGTTTTATATATATATACTTTCAGAAATCAAAAACAAAATTCTGAGACCTCCCAACCATCTGAAAGGACACCTCCTCTAGGCCAAAGGCATTCCAAAGTTAAGCTGAAAAACTGTTTCAGGCTGTGATGGAAGTGGGGGTCAGACATGCCTCATTATGCCCTCCTCTTTTTTGGAATTCAGGAAGAGCCGACCGGCACTAACATCAACACAGACCTAAGGCCTGATAAGAAACATTTGCCATATCTTTCCTGTTCCTCACCCTGATCACGCTTGATTTATTGATGGCAGTTCCACCAGGCCTAATCGCCACACACCAGCAAAGGCAGGCTATGCTATAGTACAAGCCACTAGCCCGCCTTTCAGAACCTCTCATTTCCTTTCCATCGTGGAAATCTATCCTCAAGGAAATAATTTCTCAGTGTTCCATCTGCTATTCTACTATTCCTCAGGGATTATTCAGGCCCCCTTCCTTCCCTACACAGCAAGCTCGAGGATTTGCCCCCACCCAGGACTGGCAAATTAGCTTTACTCAACATGTCCAGAGTCAGGAAACTAAAATCTTAATCTCTCCCAATCTAGGTTCCCACGCCGCCCCTAATCCCGCTTGAAGCAGCCCTGAGAAACATCGCCCATTCTCTCTCCATATCACCCCCCAAAAATTTTTGCCACCCCAACACTTCAACACTATTTTGTTTCATTTTTCTTATTAATATAAGAAGGCAGGAATGTCAGGCCTCTGAGCCCAAGCCAAGCCATCACATCCCCTGTGACTTGCAGGTATAGGCCCAGATGGCCTGAAGTAACTGAAGAATCACAAAAGAAGTGAATATGCCCTGCCCCACCTTAACTGATGACATTCCACCACAAAAGAAGTGTAAATGGCCGGTCCTTGCCTTAACTGATGACATTACCTTGTGAAAGTCCTTTTCCTGGCTCATCCTGGCTCAAAAGCACCCCCACTGAGCACCTTGCGACCCCCACTCCTGCCCACTGAGCACCTTGCGACCCCCACTCCTACCCACCAGAGAACAAACCCCCTTTGACTGTAATTTTCCTTTACCTACCCAAATCCTATAAAACGGTCCCACCCTTATCTCCCTTCACTGACTCTCTTTTCGGACTCAGCCCGCCTGCACCCAGGTGAAATAAACAGCCATGTTGCTCACACAAAGCCTGTTTGGTGGTCTCTTCACACGGACGCGCATGAAAATAATACCTACCTCATACATCTGTCATGTAACACTTTAGTGTTCTATATTTGCATAGCTGTATCCTTCCATTAGTTTGTATAGAGCTGACTTAGTATTTTTGGTTGAATAAATGTTGAATGACCTGGCAAAAAAAAAAAAAAAAAGAAACATTTACCATCTATTCTCTCTGAAACCTGCCACTTGGAAGCTTCATCTACATGATAAAACCTTGGTCTCCACAACCCCTTAACATATCCCAGACATTCCTATTGATAATAATTATTTTGACCAGTTACAAATCAGAAAATTTATAAATCTACCTATGACCTGCAAGCCCTCCTACCCCCGCCCTCAAATTGTCCCACCCTTCCAGATTGAACCAATGTAAATCTTACATGTATTGATTGATGTATTATGTCTCCCCAAAAATGTATAAAAGCAAGCTGTACCCTGACCACCTCGGGCACGTCATCGGAACCTCCTGAAACCCTGTCATGGGTATATCCTTAACTCTGGCAAAATAAACTTTCTAAACTTTCTTTGAGACTTGTCTCAGGTACTTTTGAGTTCACACTTTTTAGCATCCATCAAAATTATAGTAATTTATTATTAAGTAATCATTTGTTTAATGTTTATGCGGGCATAACCTAGGTCCTTGAGATCAAAGACCATGTGCACAACTATATCCCTAGCCCCTCATTCAACGCTTTGCACAATATGGGTTGAGTATCCCTTATCTGAAATGCTTGGGACCAGAAGTGTTTTGGATTTTGGATTTCTTTGGATTTGGGAATATTTGCAGGTACTTAGCCAGTTGAGCGTCCCAAGTCCAAAAATCCCAAATGTCAAATGTTCCAATGAACACTTCCTTTGAGTATCATATTTCACAATTTGGAGCATTTTGGATTTGAGATTTGGGGATTAGGTCTGCTAAACCTATACATGTGTTGAATGACTGCATAAATTAAGGAATGGAGTAGGAGTGCTTTGGTTGGGGTGGGAACCAGTGATTCTGTTTCAGACAGCTACCCGTGATAGTAGCAGCTAAATAAGAGTTGGGGTCAATTATGGAACCACTGGCCCTGTTCTTTCTCTCAATGTTCTACACAATGGGATCCTCAGTGTATCCACTGGGGGAACGAGATAAAAATATTAGAGCTTTCAATGACATTTATTTGTACCTCATTATTTTAAAACATCTGTGTTTGCATATCATACAGAAGTACACATATATAATTCATAAATAAATAAAACATGCATATACTGGGGAAATGCCTGCTCAAAATTTTTTTATTGACAGGAGGTAGAATGAAAGATGTTTAAAAATCACTGCTGTGGGTCAGAGAGTTTCCACTATTATTAGGCATCCAAATCAGCAAGGAGCTATTTTCAAATAGTTCTGTTTGACCCCAAACCTACAGAATTAAAACTCCGTGGGTTTAGGGCAATGGCAAATTCAGAATGCTGATCAGATGATTATGATGGAAGCCTCTGCTAAAGAACCACTGCTTTTCTATCAGGATTCCTAAACCTGGCTTCTCATCCTAATCATAATCATCTTAAAAACAAACAACAGTCAGGCCCAGTGGCTCATGCCTGTAACCTCTGCACCCAGGGAAGCCAAGGGAGGAGGATCCCTTGAGGCCAGGGGTTCAAAATCAGTCTGGGAAAATAGAGAGTACTGAGACCCCATCTCTACAAACAAATTAAAAATTAGCTGTACATGGTGGTGTGTACCTGTAGTCCCAGCTACCAGGGAGGCTGAGGTGAGAGGATGGCTTGAGCCCAGGAGTTCAAGGCTGCAGTGAGCTATGATCACGCCACTGCACTCCAGCCTAAGCGACATAGCAAGACTCTGTCTCATAGATAGATAGATAGATAGATAGATAGATAGATAGATAGATAGATAGATTGATTGATAGACAGATGGATTTTAAGGAAATTTTGCTGATTTGCCAGGTTTGGGAGCCACTGTGTCAGAAGTGTTCAAACCACAGTGACTCCATCATAAATAGGGACTTGATAAAACAAAGCTGAGACCTATGGGGCTACATTCCCAGGAGGTTAGGCGTTCTTAGTCACAGGATGAGATAGGGGTCGGCACAAGATACAAGTCACAAGGACCTTGCTGATAAAACAGGATACAGTAAAGACACCAGCCAAAACCCACCAAATCCAAAACAGTGATGAAAGTGACCTCTCTGGTCATCCTTACTGCTCATTATATGCTACTCATAATTCATTAGCATGCGAAAAGACACTCCCACCAGTGCCATGACAACTTAAAAATGCCAGGCAGTGTCTGAACTTTAGACCCTATAGGGTCTAAAGTGGAGAGGAACCCTCAGTTCTGGGAACTGCCTGTACCTTTCTTGGAACACTCATGAGTAATCCACCCATTGTTTAGCATATAATGAAGAAATAACTGTAAGTATACTCAGTCGAACAGCCCATTCTTTTATTCCTTTGCTTTCTTAATAAACTTGCTTTCCCTTTACGGGCTTGCCCCAAATTCGTTCTTGTGCAAGGCCCGTGAACACTCCCTTGGGGTTGGGACCAGAACCTCTTTCTGGTAACAAATACAGTAGAGCCAGAACTCCACTAAATGAACTTTACTGGTTATAGTCTCTTTAAGAACAGGAATTGGGCTGGGCGCGGTGGCTCACGCCTGTAATCCCAGCACTTTGGGAGGCTGAGGCGGGAGGATCATGAGGTCAGGAGATCAAGACTATCCTGGCCAACACGGTGAAACCCTGCCTCTACTAAAAATACAAAAAATTAGCCGGGCGTGGTGGCGGGCGCCTGTAGTCCCAGCTACTCAGGAGGCTGAGGCAGGAGAATGGCATGAACCCGGGAGGTGGAGCTTGCAGTGAGCCTAGATCATGCCACTGCACTCCAGCCTGGGCCACAGAGCGAGACTCCATTTCAAAAGAACAGGAATTGGCTGAGTGCAGTGGCTCACGCCTGTAATCTCGCCAGCACTTTGGGAGGTTGAGGCAGGTGGATCATTTGAGCCCAGGAGTTTGAGACCAGCCTGGGCAACAAAGTGGGACCCCCATCTCTACAAAACAATACAAAAATTAGCCAGGCATGGTGGTGTGCACCTGTAGTCCCAGCTACTCGGGAGGCTGAGGTGGGAGGATTGCTTGAGCCTGGGAGGTGGAGACTGCAGTAAGCCATGATAGCACCACTGCACTCCAGTCTAGGCAACAAAGCGAGACCCTGTATCAAAAAAATAAAAATAAAAAATAAGGAACAGGGATCATTCCCATCCCCATCCCTATCTTCCAAAAATTTTGGATGGGGAAATTTCCAAAACATCCCAAATCCAAACATTTCAAAAGACAAAAAGCAAGACAACCTGAATAACAGCGCTTCTAGGGATTGCTCACTGTAGGGCAGGCAGGCAAGGACCCACTCCCTCTTCATGACTGCAACACCTCACCATAGCTATACCCAGCCTCCAGGAGGACCTGGGCATTCTCAGACATTATGTACCAGACGTTTTGGAAATGTTCAACTGAATGAGATTTGGAAGTATACATATTTTTCTATGATATATGCACTCAAGTTAAAAATGTCTTTGTACAGGAGATTCGAAAAATATGAGCCTCTAGTCTAGAGACTTAGGAAGAGTGATGGTGTAACTGCTGACCTACAAGCATCACACAGAGGCATCATCACTTTGGCATTGGTTTATAAACTCACCGACAAGATAATCTTTTCCTCCTCCAAACTCCCATGGCACCTCTAGCATAAAGTGCACTGCACTTCAACACTGTTGTTCATCTGTCACATCCATTACACTGTGAGCTCCTTGACATCAGGGTAGGCAACCTATTCATCTTTTAGAACCCAGCAGAGCTGGTAAGAGGCTATTCTTTTTTTTTTTTTTTTTTTTTTTTGAGATGGAGTCTTGCTTTGTTGCCCAGGCTGGAGTGCAGTGGTGCAATCTCGGCTCATTGCAATCTCCACCTCCTGGGTTCAAGCGATTCTCCTGTCTCAGTCTCCCGAGTAGCTGGGATTACAGGTGCAAGCCACTGAGCCTGGCTAATTTTTGTATTTTTTTTAGTAGAGACAGGGTTTTGCCATGTTGGCCAGGCTGGTCTTGAACTCCTGACCTCAGGTGATCTGCCCACCTTGGCCTCCCGAAGTGCTGGGATTACAGGCGTGAGCCACCACACCCGGCCAGGGCTGTTCTTTTTTTTTAAGGCAATGGCACTCTTTCCATCTCTTCCTCCTGACCATTCCACCAAACATCTCCCACAGATACAAACCATAGAGAATATCAGGTATTTTCAACTTTGCTAATCAACTCTTTAAAATGATAGTCCATTTCAGAACTTGAACAAATATTTACTATACCATTTATCGACCCCAAGTTGGGCTTTCCTCCTCTTAAAGAAGTTCAGTGAACTACAAGAATTTGTGGATTAAAAAAAAAAAAATTTAACCCAAAGACTCCTAGTGACCTTTGCTGGAGCTAACACAGCATCTCTTAATCCAGCTCTAAAGGATGTGAAGAGCTCCAGGCCTGAGGCACCATGCTGTGCAGCAATTTACTTCTTCATTGCACCAGGCTCATCCCTCATTGCCCACAGCATCCAGGGGTAAACTCGGAACAAAAGATTGCTTACACTTTCATAACTTCAAAAATTACATCACACATGCATGTCCAGTGTTAAACTACAACTGATTACATGTACTGTCTAACGAAATTGTTGAATACTTGCTCTGCTTTTCTCCCTGTTGGCCTTACAATCCCTGTTTCTAATTTCCTTCCATCCTCGGGTCATAAAACTTTATACCCAGTGGCCTGGCACAAAAGTTTCTTTTCTTGTTTCCCTAATATCCTTAAAGCAGGCATTGCAGTCCACTGTACTTCTTCCTTCTATACAAGCTGGAACACCCTGAGTCCTAAGCTTTACTGTGCTTAAGAATGACCCGTGGGAGGCTGAGGTGTGTGGTTCACGAGGTCAGGAGTTCAAGACCAGCCTGGCCAGTATGGTGAAACCCCATCTCTACTAAAAATACAAAAACATTAGCCAGGCGTAGTGGCGGGCGCCTGCAACCCCAGCTACTTAGGAGGCTGAGGCAGAGAACTGCCTGAACCTGGGAGGCGGAGGTTGTAGTGAGCCAAGATCATGCCACTGCACTCCAGCCTGGGCAACAGAGTAAGACTCCATCTCAAAAAAAAAGAATGACTCACAAAGCGAATTGGAGACTCCAATGCAGGTGTACCACAAACTACACTTTGATCTATGGTGTGGCAGATGTCACAGCTGGATCACCCGCACATCCACAAACTATACGTTGAGACCCTCCGCACACTTAGTTGTTATATACATTATTAATAATTCACAAGTGAACACAACTGTGAATTATTAAAAATTCACAATTCATTCATTCATTCAGGTCGAGGTGGTCTCTTTCACTTCTTAAACTCCCATCCTTTTCCTACACCCATGACTTAATATCTCTGAGAATAAGTGAGTTTCTAAATGTCTGAGTTAATAGAAACATTCTTTTTACAAGCAAAACAGACCATTTCCTCAGTAACCCTTCCCAGAACCACCCATCTTACCACTCTTACCACTACTGATTAAAAAAAAGAAAAACAGGTAGTGCCGATCAAACCAGGCAAGCTGAAGCCCATGGCTCCTGGACACAAATGATGACAGCTGTGACTAAACTCCTAGGCAAGGCTCTTTGATGTGTCTATCTGGCCAATAGGCCTCTACATCTTGAAAGCAAAGTAGCAACATTGAGAAAAAAAAGGGCCAGGCTGTGAAATGCAAGTTCAAAGCAAGCAGCAAAGTATTAATAGTTGAGCTTCTTTCTGCAAATAAAACACAGAGCTCTAGAGGCAGCCCCTGCAAAATCAAGAGCAGAACTCCTCAAGGAGTCCTCTCACAAACAGAGAAGTACTCAGAGAGGACATCATTTTATTCACCTCCAACAGTCAATTCTTCAAATCTGACTTGATCATTTTATCTTCAAAAAACAGTCAGCACGGCCGGGCGCGGTGGCTCACGCCTGTAATCCCAGCACTTTGGGAGGCCGAGGCGGGCGGATCACGAGGTCAGGAGATCGAGACCATCCCGGCTAAAACGGTGAAACCCCGTCTCTACTAAAAATACAAAAAAATTAGCCGGGCGTAGTGGTGGGCGCCTGTAGTCCCAGCTACTTGGGAGGCTGAGGCAGGAGAATGGCGTGAACCCGGGAGGCGGAGCTTGCAGTGAGCCGAGATCCCGCCACTGCACTCCAGCCTGGGTGACAGAGTGAGACTCCGTCTCAAAAAAAAAAATAAATAAAATAAATAAATAAAAAAAAAAAAAACAGTCAGCACAATACTAAAATCCATTCCCTGTCTTATTTTCCCATTGCCCCTGCATTCGTTCAAGGTGTCTTCTTTTCTTACCTCCATGACTACAATATCCATCTAATTGCTACAACAGCTGATTGCCTTCCTTGCCCCTCCACTTCACTATCCACACCAGTCCATTCTCTCAACTGCCCCCAGAGCTTTTTTTTCTAAATCTAACCTTAGAATCTGATCTCATCATGACCTTGCTTGAAACCCTTCCAAGGAGGCCTATCCCCAGAAGGATGAAGTCCAAACTCAGTAGCAGGAATGGCCTACAAGGCCTTTCATGATTTGGCTGCCCGACTACCCTTCCAACTTCATTCTCTGCCATTTCTTCACCACATCTCATGTTAAACCCACACTATTTGCACATCCCTGAACAGAGGGTGCTCAGGCTTGTATTTTTGCATATTTCACTTCTGCTATTGGTATGCTTTTCCTATATCCTCCTCTATACCAGGTTAACAGAATTTTTTTTTTTTTTTTTTTGAGACAGATTCTCGCTCTGTCGCCCAGGCTGGAGTGCAGTGGTGCGATCTCGGCTCACTGCAAGCTCTGCCTCCCAGGTTCACGCCATTCTCCTGCCTCAGTCTCCCAAGCCCGGCTAATTTTTTTTGTATTTTTAGTAGAGACGGGGTTTCACCATGTTAGCCAGGATGGTCTCAATCTCCTGGCCTCGTGATCCCCCGCCTCGGCCTCCCAAAATGCTGGGATTAAAGGCATGAGCCACCATGCCGGCCAGTAACAGAATATTTTTAAAAGACAAGTCAACTCAAATCTCACCTTCGCCGGGCACGTTGGCTCACACCTGTAATCCCAGCACTTTGGGAGGCCAAGGTGAGTGAATTGCTTGAGTCAAGGAGTTCGAGACCAGCCTGGGTAACATGACAAAACTCTGTCTTTACAAAAATATACCAAAAATTAGCCAGGTGTGCATGGTGGTACACATCTCTAGTTCCAGCCCCAGGAGGCTGAGGTGGGAGGATCACCTAAACCCAGGAGTTTGAGGCTACAGTGAGCCATGATTGCGCCACTACACTCCAGCCTAGGTGACACAGTGAGACCCTATCTCAAAAAGAAAAAAATATATATAATCCACCTTATCCATTCAGGCTTCTCTGATTCCCCAAGGAGTGCCACCTACTCTCTCCTTTATGCTTCCATTGTACTTTGTGTCCATCTCAACATAACACTTACCATGCTCTGCTGCCATTATTTGCTACCTGTTTCTCTCCTCAATCAGATTGAGAGCTTCTTGAAAGCAGAGATCTTGTCTTTGTATATCTGGTTTCTAAGAATGCATACTGAGTAAATGAATAGAAGAAAAAATGAATGAGGCAATTAGTATGTATGCCTTGAATGGCATTAAATTTAGGCCTATGCCAATCAATGTGTAAAGGTTGAGAAAATAAATAAGGGGAAGCCAAGGATAGAAAATAAAACCATGCTCATCAGAATAGAAGAGGATAGGCTGGGCGCAGTGGCTCACGCCTGTAATCCCAATCACTTGGGGTCAATAGTTTGAGATGAGCCTGGCCAACATAGTGAAACCCCATCTCTACTAAAAACACAAAATTAGCCAGGCTTGGTGGTGCGCACCTGTAATCCCAGCTACTGGGGAGGCTGAGGCAAGAGAATCACTTGAACCTAGGAGGCAGAGGTTGCAGTGAGCCTAGATCGTGCCACTGCACTCCAGCCTGGGCTGGACAGAGCAAGACTCCATCTCTGAAAAATAAAATAAAATAAAATAAAACAAAAAAACAGAATAGAAGAAGATAGCTAAGAACCACAGTGGTCAAGCCAGCCTGGCTTCAACAGAGATGAATGGAGAGACCACGGTCAGCCCCATTAACAGAAGAACTGGGGCCAGGAACGGTGGCTCATGCCTATAATCCCAGCACTTTGGGAGGCCGAGGCAGGCAGATCATGAGGTCAGGAGTTCGAGACCAGCCTGACCAATATGGTGAAACCCCATCTCTACTAAACATACAAAAATTAGCCGGGTGTGGCAGCACATGCCTGTCATCCCAGCTACTCAGGAGGCTGAGGCAGGAGAAACGCTTGAACCCAGGAGGCAGAGGTAGCCATGAGCCGAGATCACGCCATTGCACTCCAGCCTGGCGACAGAGCGAGACTCCATCTCAAAAAAAAGAAGAACTGAGTTCAAAATCAGTTCGAAAGGTTCAATGTTGGGTCACAGGATCAGGCAAAAAGCAGAGGCAGAAAGGCCTTAGGAGTGTTCCAAGAACTAGCACTGGACCAGCTGAGAGTCAGAGAGAGTTCACCACGTGGGAACAATGCAGCCAGTCATGTGGGATGGTGGCACCATGACAGTATCTAGTCAGGACAATGACAGCCCTAGGGATAATGCTGATGAGTTCCTGCTTCAAAAAAGGTCATTGTCATTCCTTTAGTCCTGATACCTAGAACTATACAAGATTGTTCCCTGCCTCTCCCCAAGCCCCATAACTTGATCTTAAAGGCATTATTGTCAATTAAAGTAGTCCCAAGTTCTAGAAGCTATTTTTATTCAGCCTCGTCTAATAGGGCTTTCATTTTAAAATAGCTTTATTTTGAATCTATTTACTGTTCCCAGCCCCTATCACTTTGTTCTTATAAATATATTCATTCCACATGCATCACTGACAGGCACTGCTAGGAAAGGAAACTAACCCATCTTGGCCACCTTTACACATCAGGTACTTATACTAAGGTGATTTCTATATATTACAGTATTGAATCACCACAACAATCCAGTGACGTAGGTATCATTACATATTATTATCCCCAATTAAGACATTAGGGAAATGAAACGTAGGAAGATTCAGAGAAAGCACAGGAAGGTGAATATGCCCAAGATTTCACATTAAGTAAATGGAATGCAGGATTCAAATTTACCCCTGTCTGAATCTAAATCTCATTCTCTTTCCATGGCATCATTCTCTCTCCTCTCTAGGCCTTTATAGAGGAAATATAGGCCCAAATAAAATATCAAAATCTCAGGATGGGATGACAGGCTTGATTAAGAAACCCAGTCACCAAGACCACGCAGTAAGAAATGAAAAAGAAAAAAAATAATAAAATGCTGAGAACCATAGTCTGCAAAGTGAAAGGAAGAATACCTGGGAGAGCTAGAGTGACCTCCACATGCAAATACACCCTGCAGACAGGAACAGTCTTGATGGGAAGAGCAAACTCCCTAAATGGTCGGTTGTAACTTTCCTACTAGTTGAAAAGTCAGGAAAAGCCTTGTGTGCTAACTCTCTGGACAAGCGCACAAGAATCCAGGGTTGTGACTTCAAAAAAAAATATGCTGACAAGTCAGAGCTGGCAGAACAAGAGGAGGTCAAGTTGATGAGAAAAGAGAGAGAGAGAGAGAGAGAGAGAGAGAGCGCTGTAATCAAGGAGAACCAACTGAAGCTGGAGGGAAGCAGAAAGAATAGCCAGGCTGGTTCAGGAGGCAGTTCTGGTACCTCTGACCCCATTGCCCACCCCCAGTAGGCAGCATGAAATATGCCAGAGGTCAACAATTTTTTTTTTTTTTGTATTTTTTAGACAGAGTCTCACTCTGTCACCCAGGCTGGAGTGCAGTGGTGCAATCTCAGCTCACTGCAGCCTCTGCCTCCTGGGTTCAAGCAATTCTCCTGCCTCAGCCTCCCAAGTAGCTGGGAATACGTGCCCACCACCAAGCCCAGCTAATTTTTGTATTTTCAGTAGAGAAGGGGTTTCGCCATGTTTGGCCAGGCTGGCCTCAAATTCCTGAACTCAGGTGATCCACCGGCCAAGGCCTCCCAATGTGCTGGGATTACAGTTGTGAGTCACCGCACCCGACCCAGAGGTCAACAGCTTCTGCCCTAGATCAGAAGTTTACTCACTTTGCTCACTCGGTATAAATCAAGGACCCTCTCATACCTGGGAATGAGTTTTGTATTCCAGCCTAGAAGTAGAGCCAGTCCCAGTTTGAACTTTTTGCCTTTCTGTACTCCCAGTTCTTACCCTTTTGCTGAGCCTAGGACACATGCAAGGCCTGCCCTTCTTAATCCAGATTTTTGAGTCTTAATCCCAATTTTTCCTATAGTTTCCCATACACTCCATGGCAGCTTAGAGTAGGCTGAAAACTGCTGAACTGTTTAAGACTTAATCCTTCAGAGTAACATGGCAGAAGTAGCACACTTTTTTAACATAAAGCTGTTCAGGACTCTATTACAGAAGAGGCTATACTTCCTTAATTACATTCTATTCTACAGCCACCTCAAAATAACTAGTGAACACGTTCAACCAGGATCATTGGCAACAGCCAATGGGCACAGTGATCTGGAAATGGTCTAGCCAAGCTGTTTGGGCTGTAGACCATGGCATTCCTAAGAGCAAAATACGCAAGGAGTCCATTAATATTTCACTTGACTTATGTCACCATGGAAACCCCTGGAGTAGTGAATGGCTTTGGGGAGTGGTCAGATTCAACCAAAAATAACAGAAATCTCTGTCCCCCAGGTAAAGGATTCCTACTTTGTGTGTGTCTGTGTGTGCACACAGGCACACTCGAGAGACTTTTGGCATTCTTTGAAGTCACTGGAGGGGCACAGAGATAAACCCACTCAGCCTTGGCCTCCAAGACTAACAGAACACAACGTTTCCCTGAAAGAATAAAAAAAAAAATACAGGCATAAGAAAACACACAAACATGGGCTTAGAGATTTAAATACACACACACACACACACACACACACACACACACACACACAGGCCCTAGAAGGAACATACACCCTGAGATACGCACTCATTCTAAAATAAACTCGGGAATACAGAAGGACACGGGCATGTCCTTTCAGAGAGGCACACTTCTAGGCCCTAAGTAGGAGAAGGAAGAGGGGAGAGGAAGAGGCAGGGAGAGGGACAGGGAGGGGGGAGGAGGGAGGGAGAGAGAGAGAGAAACGAAGAAGGGGGCGGAGGAGGAGATGGAGGAGACACTCTTTATTCTATAGGAGGAGACATCACGGAAGAGAAATCAACACTGAGGCCTTGGCCGGGCGCGGTGGCTCACGCCTGTAATCCCAGCACTTTGGGAGGCCGAGGCGGGTGCATCACCTGAGGTCAGGAGTTTCCAGACCAGCCTGGCCAACATGGCGAAACCCGGCCTCTACTAAAAAATACAAAAATTAGCCGGGCATGGTGGCGCGGACCTGTAATCCCAGCTACTCGGGAGGCTGAGGCAGGAGAATCTCTTGAACCCGGAGACGGAGGTTGCAGTGAGCCGAGATCGCGCCATTGCACTCCAGCCTGGGCAACAGGGCGAGACTCCGTCTCAGAAAAAACAACAACAACAACAACAACAACAACAACAACAACGAACAAACCAAAAACCAATGAGGCCTGAAGATAAAGACACATGTACAACCACGGATGTCAGACTTCCAGAGGCACGGCCAAGGCAAAAGACAAACACATACAGACTGCAGCAGGCAGACAGGCCGGTTCCAGAGTCAGGCTCCGGTGAAGCTCCGAAGAAACAAACACGCAGGGAGATTTCGGAGGCGTCCGAGGACACCGTGGGGCCCGGCTGGCTCCCTCTGTCTCTGTGCGCGCCCCTTCCCCGGGTCACCCCGCCTGCGCCCGACCTGCGCCCGCGCACCGCGCCCTCGGGGCTCCCTGGGACAGCCCGCGGCCTGGCCCGTGCGCCCGGGCTCCCCTCCCCGCCGGCCCGGCACTTCCCAGCTCTGACGCGGGAGCTTCTTTCACACCAATGGGGCTCGCGCGCGGAGGGGCCCTGCCCCTCCTCCGGGAAGGTGTGTCCCTGTTTCCTCACCTGAAACTTCCTAGGAGAACCCGATCCCTCCCTCCCGTCGGGCGGCCAGGGGCGGGCCGCGGGTGGGGCGGCCGGGCCTGCGCTGGGGACGGCTCTGGGGACTGCGGCCGGCGCCGGGACCTGGAGGGGACGCTGGGGCCGAAGCAGCATGTGACACCGACCAGGTGGGTGCCCTCCTCCCGTCTCGGCCCTGGGCTCCCGGCGGCTGTGGAGCCCGGCGGAGGTGGGGCAGGGACAGGAAGGAAGAGGAAGCCAGGCCTTTCCCAGGGATCAGCCCCCGCTGGGTCCGGGGCGCAGGCTCCGGAAATGGGGGGGCTGGGCCCGCAGGCAGGGCTCGGGGTGTGTGGCTGAGGACCCTGGTGGGGAAGAGGAGAGGAACTAGAGGAAATGTTGTTGCCTACAAGTTTGCTTCCGGTCGGGTCCCGCCTAGGAAATGGGCACCCTGCCCCCAGACGTTCCCCGGGCCAATAATCAGGGCTCTTTCTTCAAAGTAGGCGCCCTGGGGAAAGCTAAGCCATATCAGAAGGAATAACTGAGATTCCCTTTCTAGGCTGTTCCTTACCTGGAGAGGTTTTATCGGCTCCTTTTCCTTAACCAGGCCGGGGCCTTTCCTTATGTATCTCCATAGGTATTTGCATACTGTGTGAGTCTATGTGTAGCTTCTCTCCGTGTTAACCAAAGCTCCGTAACCTGGAACAGTGAATCCTGCCCTGCCCCTCACCCCAGTTCCCTACATATGGGGAGCCTCCTAAAGCTTGATGTGAATCACAACGTTGCATTCTTAGCAAGGTGGAAAGAAGTTATTTAGAGTTGGGGGCTGAGGTAGGCGTTGGGGTGCTAGAATGCGGACGCAGAGCTCTAGAACCCCTGAGCATCTTTTGCAGTTGCCTTCCGGCAAGACTACCGGAGGAGAGCCAGTTGTGATACTACGTCATTTCCAGATCTCAGTCCCTTTCTTCCCTTCCTGGATCTTGGGTTCCAAAGACAGATTTGCCCTCCTGTCTACCTAGAAGTGAACTCTGGCCAGGACTCTTGTCTGGTTGAGAGAGAAGGGTGTGTCAAACAGATGAGAGAGGGTGGTTTTCCTTTCGAGCTTCCTCCCTAGCTTGCTCCCCTACTGCACTCCACTGTCTGGCCTTGCATCTTGGGCCTAATCCAGAGGTCCCAGCTCCAGCTAAAAAGCTCTTGATGTGGCCTCTGTCTCAGACGTCTTGTTTTATCCACATTTGGAGCATGAAGAAGTTCCTGGCATAGGCCTTAGCAAAATAGGTGTCATTTGTTAACCAATCTGTGGGCCTAAAAGTGAAGCCATGGCTAGTGAAGGAGTCCTGGGGAGCTGGGAAGATGGGATGAGGGCGTGTCAGTTCTGGGTGAGACTGATATGCAGGAGGAATGTATGTCATGGTCCTAGTGGGGAGGAGAGAGAAATCAGGAGGAGTGCAAAGGAATCCCTCTCATCAACAGAATATAGTGATTCTCAATAGAGAGAAGAGTGTTCATATATTAGAGGTCCTGAGAGTGTATCAGTGCCCTTAACGCGGTCTGTCTGAGGTTCCGTGGCCACGTTACACGTGGTGTCTGTGGGATAGACAGGAATACGTCATTTGTGGTGTCTGGAGAGGTCAGTCGCTATGTGGTATGGACAGGAATGGAGTCACTCGTAGGGTCTTGGGTTCAACGGGAGCAGCATTACTCAAGTGTCAGTGGTGTAGACAAACAGGTGACCAACAGCTCTAGTGTAGACAGGGGCTGGGTCACTCACAGTGTCTGTGGAGTAAGCAGGAGCCGATCACTTATAGTGCCTGCAAGGTAGACTGGAACAAAGTCACCCTCAAGGTCTGTGTTAATACACAAACACGTCACTCACACTAATGTTATCTGTGTGGATGCCACCAGGACCACAGATGAGATTGTAGAGTGTAAGTCAGCATTGACACTAATAATGTTCTTATATAAACTATCTGGTCTATAAGGCAGTTGGTGTGACATTTTCAGACATTAGAGAATAGATAAATGTGTATTACAGCTTTCACTGGCATGATGGGACTTTCCCGCAATGGATAGAACACACATTGTAGTAGTCAGTGGTCCAGAAAGCTACCCCTGTTTTGATATCTTTGTAGTATTGAGGGCAGTGATGTCAAACAGTGAATAAAGTTATATATCTATGTGGTGATCTTATTTTAACCTCAATATTATTTTAGTGATTTGTAAGTCAGAATATTTGAAATCAACCTTGCTAGAAAATCCAGGAAGCATGGTCCTCAAAAATATATATATGGCACTGAGTCTCAGTTCAAAGATTTGGCAGTTTGATTGGGGAGGGGTTGTATCCTTGAAATACAGTGTTGTTTCTAGTGACTAGAAATAGACAAGAGCTAAGGTGTTGGGGGGGGCTCTAGGGAAGATAGTGAGCTCTGTCACACATTATGTTAAAGGGATGACTTGAAGCTTTGCCTCTCAAGAAGTCACACGTGGGTGAGGTTATGTGGATGCAGAATGTCTGTGGTCTGAAGCAAGGCCGTATCCCCATAATCCCATGCCCTGGCTTTGCCTGTACACAGATAAACAGTGATTATTCACCCTCAGTGGAGAAGGAGATGAGGATGTTTGCACTCTAACGTAATGAGCATTGCAAAAAACTCTCTCCTGATGCCTTTACGTGAGTAAGACCATGATTTACAGATTTCCTTTCACTTTGTCACATTTTAGCTTTGTCATGCCTGATTGCAACGGGATCACTGAGATAGGATCAAGTATAGGGAACGTGGGGTATGTTCTCCCTTTGCGGTAACTGGTGGCTGAGCAGGTGACCACTGATATTTCCAAATGAAAAAAGACAGTTAGAAACGGTGTCAATGGGCTTGCAGAGGCAGGCATGCACTGTGCCACTAGATTGGAACAGAAAATGTCCAGGTAGCACATGGTATTTATAGATATACCCTAGATATGGCAGAAACACACTTTTATTTAGAGGCTACTTGTTTTGAAGACGTGATGGTGTATATGGAGGAGAGGGCCTGAACCATGCAGATGTAAGTGAGGAGAGACTACAGGTTTAGTCCCATGGTCTCCTTAGGCCAAGTTTCAGAAAGTGTCTTAAAGTAAGCAAGTATATTATTCGATGTGTGGTTGAGAGAACAGGGCCACATCACAGAATCACCCATAGGGATTATAGTATTTTGTACTTAAGGGCTAGACATAGGGAGCCAATCGCATATGGTGTCAGTTAACTGGAAAAGGACATAAAAGTCCTTCTGCCTGTGTACAATTATGTCAGACATATCTCTTTGCCCCATATAGATGGTATCTCTGTCTCTGGGATGGCCAGAATCTTGTCACATACTACTCTGCAGTGTGCTAGGGACCTGCCTGTTTGGTTATGTCAGGCTCTATTGCAAGAGTTTGTAAGGATGGCTCAGTGTGTGTGTGTGTGTGTGTGTGTGTGTGTGTGTGTGTGTGTACACACACAGTGGCTAAGCAGGACAGTATTCTGAGCAGGTGAGTTTTCAGTTTAAGCCTGGACCAGACAAGAAAGGTGCACGGTCAGGTGCAGCATTGGGTCCATAGAATTCTGGGGTCTTCTCTGGACTGATGGCCTGCCAGCTTTCTTTCAGTAGGACCTCTAAGTGCTTACAGGAGACTTAAGTCAAGCGACTTTGCTTCAGGTTTGCCCATACCATTTGCTTAGGAGATTTGAGCAAGGGTCTAGGGTCTTTGACCTTTAGTTTCTTCATCTGTAAATTGAGCAGTTTCTGTGTGTCTCTGAAGGTCCTTCCGGCTTTATGAATCCTGTGTTTCTCTCTTACACTTATTCTCTGTCTCTCAGGTCAACAGTATTTACCACAGCCACCATTTCTATGACCCTTAAAGATAGCAGTGTACATTTTTATGTTACCTTATTTAATCTTTACTAGAACTGTGAAGGAATCCTTTTATCTCCTTTTTAAAGATAAGAAAATGGATGTTCAAATAAATTTAATGGTTTCTACAATTGTCTTAAAACCAGCAAAGATACCAGAGAGGCACAACCAAACACTGATCCATACTCTTCTAACTCTATATTCTTCCGTCATTCATTCATACAATACATCTTTGTTGAGGGCCAACTAGGCTTCAGGCAGAGGGGGTTATATGGCAGTGTTTGTCCCTTCATGGTGCTCATAATCTAGCCTGGAAAATAGACATTAAATATGACATGACAAGTGCAAGGTGTGTTTGAGGAGAAGCAAAGGATTCTCTGTTGCAAAAGAGGATTCCAGGCAGAGGAGCAGTGTCTACAAAGGCCTACAGGTGAGAGACACAGAGAGAAGTGAGCTAAAGACACTGAAAGCCAGTGGGAGAGGGGGGGGATGGGGGCAGGGACAGATGGTGACAGGTGAATAGGCTGCTAGAGAAGAAGGCAGAGCCAGGTTGTGCAGGGAGTATAACCCATGCTGAAGATTTAGATTTCATCTCAAGAGCATTCAGAGGCTGCTGAAGAATCTAAGCTAGAACTGGTGCTTTTGAAGCTCACTTAGGTGCTGTATGGAGAAAGGACTGGAATAACGTGAAATGGGTGGAGGCCAGTGCCCAAGCTGTGGCCGGGTGCAGTGGCCCGGGCGAGACGGTAGCAGCATGCACCAGTGGAGAGGGATGGGATAGAAGTGGACAGTCTTAAGGGATATTTAGCAGACGAGGTCAATAGCACATGGTGATTGATTAGATATGGGGAATCTGGGCCAGGAGGGAAACAAGAATTTTATTTTATTTTAATTAATTAATTAATTTATTTAGAGACAGAGTCTCACTCTGTCACCTAGGCTGGAGTGCAGTGATGTGATCTTGGCTCACTGCAGCCTCTGCCTCCTGGGCTCAAGGGATCCTCCCATCTCAGCCCCCAAGTAGCTGGAACTACAGGCACGTGCCACCATGCTCCACTAATTTTTGTATTTTTTGTGGAGACAGGGTTTCACCAGGTTGTCCAGGCTGGTCTCAAACTCCTAGATTCAAGCAATCAACCTGCCTCAGCCTCCCAGAGTGTCAGGATTATATATATAAAGTGCATTGGGAAACTCAGTTTTTCATCTGTAAAATGGGCAGAATAATGGTACCCATCTTATACGATGACTCTTAGATGTATGGCACATACATATTTAAAGAAGCATTTCATTATTTTTAATGACATGTATGCAGGAAAACCTTAGTGTTTCAGAATGAAAAATAAGAAAAATTAATTTGTTGTGTATAGAGCTCTAAATGTTTAAAGTTCTGTGTAAACTGTTAATCATGATTTTGGGAAAAGGTGGGCATATTCCATTGAAGTAAAAGGATCACATTTTATTCTGACCTGAATTTTATTCTTTATGTGAAAAATATTTATTAAACACTGAGTATAGGCCACTGTTAGGCTAAGTATGGATAATTCAGCAAGTCATAGTTCTTAATCTCATAAATTTTACTATCTATTGGTTGCAATAGAGGGTAACTCAAAATACACACATCATTATATAATTATAATTGTATAAATGCTACAAAGGAAAAGTAAAGTGAATTATAGTTGGTAAGTGCTACAAAGAGGGGTACAATTTAACCTAGTTAAAAGATCAGGGGAGGCCAGGTGCAGTGGCTTACGCCTATAATCACAACACTTCGGGAGGCCGAGGCGGGTGGATAACGAGGTCAGGAGATTGAGACCATCCTGGCCAAAATGGTGAAACCCCGTCTCTACTAAAAGTACAAAAATTAGCTGGGTGTGGTGGCACACACCTATAGTCCCAGCTACTCGGGAGGCTGAGGCAGGAGAATCTCTTGAACCCGGAGGTGGAGGTTGCAATGACCCAAGATTGCACCACGGCACTCCAGCCTGGGTGACAGAGCAAGACTCCATCTCAAAAAAAAAAAAAAAAAAAAGAAAAAAAAAAAAAGACTGGAGGAAACTGAAGGGGTAAAACCAGGAAAATGTAATACCACAAGTAACAAGAGAGTATTTCTAACCTCAGTACTGTCAAATACTGACAAGAACCACCCAAAATGAAGATCCATAAGGTCTTCTTTGGAATTAACAACATGTCGATTGTAGGGAATATTGGCAGAATGCCGCTATCAAAGCTCAGTTGGAGGCAGGTGGGATGTGAGAGTATGAAGACAGCAGATAAGAGCAACTCCTTCTAGTCATTTGAAAGATGAGAAGAATGTGGGAATGCTTCCATACCCCAGGGGTTGTTCAGCAGGGATGTTGAAGGTATGAGTGCACAGTGTTCCTGGGGAAGCAGGCAAGAAATGACAGAGCATGGAAAGGAGGGATACGTCTTTTCCTGACTGAGGGCGGAAGATAGAAAGAGTGGAAATACAGGTTGCTTTGGATCACAAGAAATTGAGGTGAGAGAAACCCAGTTCCATCAGTTTCTATTTTCTTTGCAAAATAGGAGATGAGGTGTTCTGCTGGAAGTGAGAAGAAAGGCAGGAAGGTCGAAATCAAAAGACAGGAAGGTCAAAAGAATTAATGAGAAGAGTTCATATGGATACTGAGGCCAAGGGGAGAGTAAGGTGATGCAGAAAGCACCCTTCTGTGGTCTTCCTTCAAGGTGGTAATGTGTCTAGTTCAACACTAATCCAATAAGGCTGTTATCATCCCACTTTACAACAGCTGCCTCTAGAATTGGAAACAAAACTGTTAGTTACAATGCTGTAGTAGACACTATGGAAAACAGAAAGATGAGTAAACTCCAAACCCTCTGTAAAGAAGATGAAACCATAGCACCTCACACATTGGCTATCATAGCCTGGCCTATTTTAACTGATGTCCACAGCTTAAGAGGAAGACCCTCTCCTGACACTGCTTCTCTGGCCTAATAGATCTGAGGTGTGTCCCTTGCTGTGTCTGGGGGTTATATGAGGATGAGTCACTCCTAGTGTCCGAAGAGTAGACAGGGAGAGACAGAAGATGACATAATGGAGTCTAGAGAGAACTGACAACTGGGAGCTTCTGGGCACTCTCTGACAATGGTCCTCTGCTATAATTTAATTGTTCATTATGACCTGTTTCCCTCACAAGACCACAGTCTCCATGACGACAAGATCTTTATCTCATTCACTACTGAATGCCCCACACTTAACAGGGTCGCTAGGAAAATATTTATGAAATAAATACATCAATGACAAGTTTTTTAGAGGCTATTGCTTATTTTGTTGAGAACCTGTTGTCTCAAAGAATGACCCTAAATGGAACCAAATAAATGCATCACTCTTCTTTTTTATGGTCTCTTCCTCTGATAGGTAAAAGCAGAGTTGTTAGAAACATTTGTCTTTGATTCCTCCTTAGGATTCAGCCCTGATGGAGGCTGAGGAGGCCCAGCGTGGAGCCTCTCCTCCCATCTCTGCCATAGAGGAATTCAGCATTATCCCTGAGGCTCCCATGAGGAGCAGCCAGGTCTCTGCCTTGGGGCTTGAAGCTCAAGAAGATGAGGACCCATCCTATAAGTGGAGAGAGGAACACAGACTCTCAGCAACTCAGCAGAGTGAGTTAAGGGATGTGTGTGACTATGCGATTGAGACGATGCCCTCTTTTCCCAAGGAAGGTTCTGCAGATGTGGAGCCCAATCAGGAAAGCCTTGTGGCTGAGGCCTGTGACACTCCGGAACACTGGGAGGCAGTACCCCAGAGCCTAGCAGGCCGACAAGCAAGGACTCTAGCTCCCCCAGAGCTCTGGGCCTGCCCCATTCAGAGTGAGCATCTAGACATGGCCCCATTTTCCAGTGACCTGGGAGGCGAAGAAGAGGAGGTGGAATTTTGGCCAGGACTTACTTCTTTGACATTGGGATCTGGACAGGCAGAAGAAGAAGAGGAAACCTCTTCAGATAACTCTGGTCAGACCAGATATTATTCTCCCTGCGAAGAGCATCCTGCAGAGACCAACCAGAATGAAGGCGCTGAAAGTGGGACTATCAGGCAGGGGGAAGAGCTGCCATCTGAGGAGCTGCAGGAAAGTCAAGGGCTCTTGCATCCCCAGGAGGTCCAAGTTCTGGAGGAGCAGGGACAGCAGGAAGCAGGATTTCGGGGGGAAGGAACTCTGAGGGAGGATGTTTGTGCCGATGGGCTATTAGGGGAGGAACAGATGATAGAGCAGGTTAATGATGAAAAAGGAGAACAGAAGCAAAAACAGGAACAGGTACAAGATGTGATGCTTGGGAGACAAGGAGAAAGAATGGGGCTCACTGGGGAGCCAGAGGGTCTGAATGACGGTGAGTGGGAGCAGGAGGATATGGAGAGGAAGGCTCAGGGTCAGGGAGGTCCAGAACAGGGAGAAGAGAGGAAGAGGGAGCTGCAGGTGCCAGAAGAGAACAGGGCGGACTCTCAGGACGAAAAGAGTCAAATCTTTTTGGGAAAATCAGAGGAAGTAACTGGAAAGCAAGAAGATCATGGTATAAAGGAGAAAGGGGTGCCAGTCAGCGGGCAGGAGGCGAAAGAGCCAGAGAGTTGGGATGGGGGCAGGCTGGGGGCAGTGGGAAGAGCGAGGAGCAGGGAAGAGGAGAATGAGCATCATGGGCCTTCAATGCCCGCTCTGATAGCCCCTGAGGACTCTCCTCACTGTGACCTGTTTCCAGGTGCCTCATATCTCGTGACTCAGATTCCCGGGACTCAGACAGAGTCCAGGGCTGAGGAACTGTCCCCCGCAGCTCTGTCTCCCTCGCTAGAGCCCATCAGGTGCTCTCACCAGCCCATTTCTCTACTGGGCTCCTTTTTGACTGAGGAGTCACCTGACAAGGAAATAGATCAAAACAGCCAGCAAGAGGGATCCAGGCTGAGGAAGGGAACAGTGTCCAGCCAAGGGACTGAGGTGGTCTTTGCCAGTGCATCTGTGACTCCTCCAAGGACACCAGATTCAGCTCCTCCCAGTCCTGCTGAAGCCTACCCCATCACACCTGCCTCGGTATCTGCCAGGCCCCCAGTTGCCTTTCCCAGGAGGGAAACCTCTTGTGCTGCACGTGCTCCAGAAACTGCCAGTGCCCCTCTCTCAATGGATGACCCATCTCCCTGTGGGACTTCTGAGATGTGCCCGGCTGCCCTCTATTGCTTCCCCTCCACCGGGACCAGCCCTCCGAGGCCCCCAGCCAACTCCACAGGCACCGTCCAGCACTTACGGAGTGACTCCTTCCCTGGTTCTCACAGGACAGAGCAGACTCCAGACCTGGTGGGAATGTTGCTTTCCTACTCCCACTCAGAGCTGCCCCAGAGGCCCCCCAAACCTGCCATCTACAGCTCTGTGACCCCAAGAAGGGACAGAAGGAGTGGTAGGGACTACAGCACCGTTTCAGCATCCCCTACTGCCTTATCCACGCTGAAGCAGGACTCTCAAGAATCCATCTCAAATCTAGAGAGACCCAGCAGTCCTCCCAGCATCCAGCCCTGGGTCTCCCCACATAATCCAGCCTTTGCCACAGAGTCTCCCGCCTACGGTTCTTCCCCATCCTTTGTCTCCATGGAGGATGTGAGGATCCACGAACCTCTGCCCCCTCCTCCCCCACAGAGGAGGGACACCCATCCCTCCGTGGTGGAGACAGATGGCCATGCTCGTGTAGTGGTTCCCACGCTGAAGCAGCATAGCCACCCTCCTCCATTGGCCCTAGGTTCAGGGCTGCATGCCCCCCATAAAGGCCCACTTCCCCAAGCCTCTGACCCCGCTGTGGCCAGGCAGCACCGACCTCTGCCATCTACCCCAGACAGCTCCCACCATGCTCAGGCCACCCCCAGGTGGAGATACAACAAGCCGCTACCCCCTACCCCTGATTTGCCGCAGCCCCACCTTCCTCCCATTTCTGCTCCTGGTAGCTCAAGGATCTACAGGCCTCTACCCCCACTACCCATCATAGACCCTCCCACCGAACCACCCCCATTGCCCCCAAAGTCCAGGGGGAGGAGCAGGAGCACTCGGGGAGGACATATGAACTCAGGGGGTCATGCCAAAACAAGACCTGCTTGTCAAGACTGGACAGTCCCCCTCCCTGCCTCTGCTGGACGCACCTCCTGGCCCCCGGCCACAGCTAGATCAACAGAGTCTTTCACTTCCACCAGCAGGAGTAAGAGCGAAGTGTCCCCTGGCATGGCTTTCAGCAACATGACAAACTTCCTATGCCCCTCTTCCCCTACCACTCCCTGGACTCCGGAGCTCCAGGGACCCACCTCTAAGGATGAAGCAGGGGTCTCAGAACACCCTGAGGCCCCTGCGAGAGAACCTTTGAGAAGGACAACCCCTCAGCAAGGAGCCAGTGGCCCAGGGAGGTCACCTGTGGGCCAAGCAAGGCAGCCAGAAAAACCCAGCCATCTGCACCTGGAGAAGGCGTCCAGCTGGCCCCACAGGCGGGACTCAGGGAGGCCACCAGGGGACAGCAGTGGACAGGCTGTGGCTCCTAGTGAGGGGGCCAACAAGCACAAGGGCTGGAGCCGGCAGGGCCTGCGCAGACCTTCCATCTTGCCTGAGGGCTCTTCAGGTGAGCAAGAACCGGGACCACAGTGACACATCAGACCAAGCTTTTCCCAGCTCTTCCCACCTCATCCCATCTTCTGTCCCTAGGGTTCCTAACATTCTCTCTGCTGGCTTCGCTCACATGTGTGCCTAACCTCAACACAGAGAGAGCCCCGAAGTGCCCTCCAAGCTCCTTGGGATGCTCTTCCTTCTTCTTCCCCTCTATCTCCCTGTCTCTCCCTCAACCAGCACCTTCTTTGGATGTCCCAAGGTTATTTTGGACTCCCTTCTACTCTTCAGTTACAGTCCCTGCTTGCTCTCCTCCTGGGGAGTAGAAAAGGCCTTCTGTACTTGTCCCAGTCCCATCCTGACCCGTGGCTCGGGACGTCACTGGTACTGATCTCTTTCACGCTCTCTGCTTTGCCACTTTCTTCCCTCCCAGTTTCCCAATAAAGCCCATTTTCCCTTCTGGACCCCTGCATCTCCTGCTCTAGATCTTCTTTGGCTCTCTCTATCCCTCTGAAATCTCAGTTATCTTCCCCATTTCCACTTTTAGATTCAAGAGGTCCAGCCGTGGAGAAACATCCGGGACCCTCAGACACTGTTGTTTTTCGGTAAGTCACCCTCTCCCCTAACAGCCACACTGTACTCTCTTCACTTGGGATACTGAGAGTCCCCTAGTGAGGATTTCAGTTGATAAGGGTTCTGAGACCCCGAATGGCTCATTCCTGTTTCTTCTTGGTGTAAGGAGGAGAAGAGAGAGATGCCGGGATGCCAGCTTAGGGAGATTGTCTTTATCTACCTCATTCGGTCAGCCGAGCCTACGAGTCATCCATCTTCCCAAGCCCTATGGCTGTGAACTAAACCCCACAAAAGCTCCATGTTAGCCCAAGTGGGTCAAGTTGCAACTCTGTGCCTCTCCGGGGGATTTGGTCTTGACATCCCAGCACACATCCCAGAGGCTAGAGACTTTGTCCCCCACAGTCACCTGGGGTGCTCTGTGTCTAATGGCCAGTAGGTACCCCAGAGCCCTTCTTTACTCCACAGGGAGAAAAAACCAAAGGAGGTGATGGGAGGCTTTTCAAGACGCTGCTCCAAACTCATCAACTCCTGTGAGTACCTTGAAGTGGAACTATAGACCCAGGTGGGCATTCTGCCCAGCACTGGAGAGGGGCTTGTGGATGTCAGCAGTGGGGTGGGGATGTCCCTAGCGAGAAGGCATTGCAGAAGATCTGTTTCCCTGCCTCCGCTCACCGTCCCTTCTTCCTGCTTCTCTTCCTTCCCATGCTTCTTTGCCCTGCAGCCCAGCTGCTTTACCAGGAGTATAGTGATGTTGTCCTGAATAAGGAGATCCAGAGCCAGCAGCGGCTGGAGAGCCTGTCCGAGACACCCGGGCCTAGCTCTCCGCGGCAGCCTCGGAAGGCCCTGGTCTCCTCCGAGTCGTACCTGCAGCGGCTCTCCATGGCCTCCAGCGGCTCCCTCTGGCAGGAAATCCCCGTGGTGCGCAACAGCACCGTGCTGCTCTCCATGACCCATGAAGACCAAAAGCTGCAAGAGGTACTGGGCAGGCCACGGTGGGGAGGGGGCTACAGAAAAGATGACAAGGTCTTGTTTGCTAGCATCCTTCTCTCCTGCTCACCACTGCCACCAAGAGTCGGCTGTCCCCACCACACAGGCGCGTGTACATGCCACAGCTGTGGGTCATGTCCATTCTGAAGAAGTTGAATTGTTTTCTGGATTTCACCACCTCCCCTTTCATCCTCACCTCCTCATGCCATAGGCCACTTGCTCCTACCTGATGTTGGTCTGGGCTATACATGGTGGCCATTGCCTCTGAATTTGTGTGGAGGAATGTGGAGTTAATCCCATCATCACTGCTGTTTCAGGGTAGAGGAAAGCTTCCCTGTTCAACCAGGGTTTCAGGCTACACTACAGTTTTCCTCTTTAGCCAAGGCACATTCCGGGGCTCTTTGTTGGGTCCCTTGAAGAGGGCCCTTTGCAGCTGTCCTGTGGTCCATCAATCTAACAGGGGCCTTAGAGTGATCATCAGTCCCTGCTTGATTGTTACTCCCAACAGCAAGACTGAACTAGAGGCTGTTTGTCTGATTCTAAGCTATTACCATTAGTAAGTTTTACATGGAGAGCGCCTCTTATTAATTTGTCTGAAATATGGGGTAAAACCTTTCTTCCCAGAAAGACAGTATGGAACAATGGAATAGAATAATGTTTAAGAAATTAGGTTCTGGAAGAAATGACCTGGATATGAAAACCACTTTTTTTTTAAATTATTAATTTATTAGAGACAGGGTCTTGCTCTGTCACTCAGGCTGGAGTACAGTGGTACAATCATTGTTCACTGCAGCCTCAACCTCCTGGGCTCGAGCAATCCTCCCGCCTCAGCCTCCCAAGTAGCTAGGACTACAGGTATGTGCCACTATGCCTAGCTAATTTTTTAATTTTTTGAAAAGATGGTGTCTCACTATGTTGCCCAGTTGTCTCGAGCTCCTGGGCTGAAGCAATACTCCCGCCTCGGCCTCCCAAAGTGCTGGAATTACAGGCATGAGCCACTGAGCCCAGCCCCAGAGCCCACTTTAATATTTCCAATTTACCTTTGGCCAAATGACATTTGTAAAACTGAGATACAAACAGTTACTGCAAGGATCAAGAAACATGAATGCCTGGTACATAGTAATTTCTCAAAAAATGTTGACTTTTCATTTTAAGTAAGCCAGACCTAGGTTTGAAACATGACTTCACCATTTGCTAGCTTAGGCAGCCTTATAACATCACTAAATCTCAGTTTCCTCACTTGCAAATTGAGGATAATAATGCCTACCTTTCAGGGTTGCTGAATGGTTTAAATGAAATAATGCATATCTAATTTAGCAGTAATATTTGATGTATAGTTTGATAAATATTAGTGCCGTACTCTCTGCCTTTCAGAGGCAGGGAGGAGTAAAATTTGGGCCAGGAGGACTTATGGATAGACAATGCTTTTACCAAGTCAGAGAGAGAATACATTTTTAGACTTTGCAAAGTTCAGACTTGAGAGCCCTGTTGTGGCTGCAAATTTTTAAGCACAGAGAAGATATTTAGAAAATAACTCATCTTCCCCATATTTGTTGACCAAACAGTGGGAGATGACACGAGTTCTAGCTCTCTTTTACCAACTCCAGCATGCTGGGAAGTCCAGCAGGCCTCCTATTCCAGCCCTGGTCTCATGTTTGTGAGAAGAAAGGGCTTTACATTTCTATCTCTTAAACACACATATTCATTTTATAAAGTAGTACCTCTGGGGTTCACAAAGTGCTTTCACAGGCTCCATTTCTTTCAACTGTTGCATCTTCCACAGTGAGATGGGGGTCACTATATCCACATAAAAGGACACGAAAAGTGAGATTCAGAGAGGTTAAATGAGCCACCCAAAGTCAGTCGTGTAGTGAATGTTAGAGCAAGGATGCAAATGAGCCTTCAGTGTCCCTGTTCAGGGTTGTTGTATGGGAGGGTCATCTGGCTGTGTCATTGGTCATCCAAGTCATCACCAGGGTGTGTCTCCTTTCTCTTTTCTATCCAGGCATCTCTCTTGAGGCCACATGCTTGGATGAAAAGCATGAGGAGCCCAGCTAGAGGCACGGTCATGAGTCATAGCGCCCCCTGCTGGAACCTTCAGACAAGTTCTCACATGCTGGGCATGCATTAAACCACAGCTGCGCCATCTTGTTCTCAGATATCCTGCTTCTGTCTCCTGCTTCTCGCGCCATCTTGTTCTCAGATATCCTGCTTCTGTCTCCTGCTTCTCATCTGTCCTCAAACCTCAAACTGAGCTCATCACCTTCATCCCCTAAATCTATGCCTTTTCAAAGTTCTCTGGCTCAGTAAATGACTCCATCATTCACCCAGGTGCCCGACTCAAAAAGCTTTTGCTGTGAGTACAAAACATTAGCTTTGAACCTTCCTTCTCTTTGAGGCCCCATTTCTAGCAAATAATCCAACCCTTCCAATTCTACCTCATAAATAATTATAAAATTAATCTACTTCTCTTCAGCTCCATGGCTATTCAGACCTTCATCTCTCATGTGGAATTATTACAACAGTTTCTTAACATGGATGGCTTTTGCTTCTTTTCATCTTTTCTTCTCATTCTGCTTAGAAATAACTTTATGAAAAACAGGCTGGGCGCAGCGGCTCACACCTGTAATCCCAGCACTTTGGGAAGCCGAGGCGGGTGGATCAACTGAGGTCAGGAGCTTGAGAACAGCCTGGCCAGTATGGTGAAACCCTGTCTCTACTAAAAATACAAAAATTAGCTGGGCGTGGTGGTGCATGCCTGTCATCCCAGCTACTCAGGAGGCTGAGGCAGGAAAATGGCTTGAACCTGGGATGCGGAGGTTGCAGTGGGCTGAGATCGTGCCACTGCACTCCAGCCTGGGTGACAGAGCAAGACTCCATCTCAATTCCAAAAAATAAAAAAAAATAACTTTATATAAAACAAATGTGGTCAAGTTATTCTCCTATGTAAAGCCTGTTTTCATTGTCCCATTGTCTTAAGTCCAAACAATTTTACATTGTTTACATTACCCTTCAGGCCTCCTCGACTGCTGCAGCTTCATCTCTGGCCACTACTGCTGTACACTTGGTTCAAAAAATGCTCAATTTATTTAGTTTAGTTAGTTTGTTTGTTTGTTTTGAGATGGGGTTTCACTCTGTCACCAGGCTGAAGTGCAGTGGTGCAATCTGGGATCACTGCAACCTCACCTCCCAGGCACAAGCAATCCTTCCGCCTCAGCCTCTCAAATAGCTGGGACTACATGTGCACGCCATCACATCCGGCTAATTTTTGTATTTTTTGTAGAGACAGGGTCTCTGTACGTCGCCCAGCCTGGTCCTGAACTCCCAGACTCAAGTGATGCACCCACCTCAGCCTCCCAAAGTGTTGGGATTACAGGCGTGAGCCACTGCACCCAGTCTATTTAGCTTTTTTAATATAAATTTCATTGTGTATATTAAAGATATACAACATGATGTTATGGGCTACATATAAATAGTAACAGAATTACCCTAGTGAAGCAAATTAACATATCCATCTCACTTTGTTACTCATTTTTTGTTCTTGTTTTTGTTATTTAGATTTCTTGAAAGCATATTTTTCTTTTATACCTTTGAAGGCCTGTACCTGTACCCTAGATTAAATCCTACTCAAATGCTCTTCCCCTCCCCGCAGATCAACTTAGGTTCTGGTGTGACTGTGAACCATAAAAGGATCTTGCTCACTGCTCTATCCCCAAAACATTACACAGTGGCTGGCATATTCCAGGGGGTAAATAAAATCCTTAATTAATCTTCCTCATCTCCAACCTCCTAGGTCAAATTTGAGCTGATTGTGTCAGAGGCCTCCTACCTGCGCAGTCTAAACATAGCTGTGGATCATTTCCAACTTTCAACTTCACTCCGGGCCACACTTTCCAACCAGGAGCACCAATGGCTCTTCTCTCGTTTACAGGATGTGCGAGACGTCAGCGCCACGTGAGACTCCCCTTCTCCTAAATACCACTCACTCAGCCTCACTGTTGTTAGGCTTTAAATGTTCCATTATTTTTTTCCCCTCTTAGAAACCCTTTCATTTTCACAGTTATGGGAAGAAATTGGGCCTCAGTTTCTTCCATGATTCCCGATGGTTATAGAAAGAAGAATGGCAAGAAGAGGAGAGGGTCTGTGGGTGGATAGATCCATTAATGGATAAGTAAATGAGCAATGCTTCCTGGGTTGAGGTTTTGGATTACTGTGGTCATGCACTGCATTGGAGATGAGGTGGAAAAACCATCTAAAGATCAGAAAACCTGAACAGGGTCAAAAGAAGAATGAGAAATGGAATATTAGAATAAAAGTGTTAAATCAGGCTCAAACTCAGGACAGTTTTGGAGCGAATTCTAGTGCATAGCAAGGAGCACAGAGCAGAGAGTCAATAGAAGTTATTGGCTAATGGAGTGAAGAAGTCACCAGCTCAGTGTACACCAGGGGCCAGTCAGCTGTTTAGCTGAGGTCCAGAAGTCTCATGAGACTCGTTTAAATCCTGTACAGGTTCCTTTCAGACCTGGAAGAGAACTTTGAGAACAATATCTTCTCCTTCCAAGTATGTGACGTAGTCCTGAACCACGCCCCAGACTTCCGCCGGGTCTACCTGCCTTATGTCACCAACCAGACCTATCAGGAACGCACCTTCCAGAGCCTGATGTGAGACTCATCCCCCATTTAATCCCCATGTAGGCCCTGAGGTGACCATGCACCAGTCCCCAGCCCAGAGGGCTATCCCAAGAGCACACTTTCCCCATTCCGCCCTCTGTATTGGTTACCCCAGCATCACATCTGAGCGCCCTGTACATCAGCTCCCACCGCTCTTTCCCAGCCCACAGATACTCCACTGACCTCCCTTCCCCGCACCTTCACTGCATCCCCCATTGCTCCCCATATCCCCCCTCCCCTAAGGCTCACTCTCCGTGCAGGAATAGCAACAGCAATTTCCGGGAGGTCTTGGAGAAGCTGGAGAGCGACCCCGTCTGCCAGCGCCTTTCCCTCAAGTCCTTTCTGATTCTGCCCTTCCAACGCATCACCCGCCTCAAACTGCTGCTCCAGGTAGGGCAGATGCTACCTTGATCCTCTCCCCTTAACTCAAAGGGATGCCCTCAGGAAGACCCACAACAAAGGACCAACCATTCTTCTGCCAGGTGTCCACATCCTGTCTCCCTGCTGCCCACTGCCTGCTTGCTTGGAAATATTTGCTGCTAAAATGTGGTCCCTGGGCTTCTCCATTCACCAGCCCCCAATCATTTCTTCCTGTTTCCCATTTCTTCCTCCCATCTCACTCCTGCCTACTGTCTGTTCAATAGAACATTCTGAAGAGAACACAGCCTGGCTCCTCGGAGGAGGCAGAGGCCACGAAGGCACACCACGCCCTGGAGCAGGTAGGCAGCCACCACCTCCACTCTGACCCTCTGTGTGTTCTTCTCAGAGAGGTCTTTCCCACCTAGGCCCATGACTCCAGGGAGCATGGGAGGTGGGACCCTGTTGGGAGAGCTCAGCCACCTCCCTGCATCCGCCAAACTTCCAAACATACACACCCCACGGCCACCTCTCCCACGCCGAGCACACTCCACATCAAGGGACTGTGCCCTCTCCACCATCACCCCCACATTCAGTCTCACTTTTACTCAGTTCAGGAATGTTCTGCCAAGTCATACAAAGTTGCCTAGGACTTGTGCTTGATACTGCCTGCCCAATTCCAGCCTGGGAAAAATGACTGAGGCTGTCATAACCTATTTCCAGATTGCTTGCAAGGGACTCAAAGGTCAAAGCCTCTAACACAGTGCCCTTCCCCTTTCCTCACTCTCTGCACCCCTAGCTGATCCGGGACTGCAATAACAATGTCCAGAGTATGCGACGGACAGAGGAGCTAATCTACCTGAGCCAGAAGATTGAGTTTGAGTGCAAAGTGAGTCGGTCCCATGCACCCCATCCCTGCCCATGAACTCCCTTAACATGTCCTGCAGATCACCCCCTAACCTGGAACCACCTTGCTCACATTATCCCCAGCCCCTCCCCTCATTTCTGCCCACCTTCTATTCTGTCCTATTTCTGGGAGGCCTACTTGGGTCTCCAAGACATACTGCTAAGTGAAAAGATGAAGGTAAAGAATTGTGTGTATATTATATCACCTTTGGTATAAAAGTGGGAGGATACAAATCTATACAGGTGTCTGCTTGTGTGTGCATAAGGAAACTCTGGAAGGAGAACAAGAAAAAAAGGAACAGTGGTTACCTGAGGACAAGGGGGGTGCATTTGAGAAATGGGCAAATGAGAGAGAACTTTTCAGGATGAGCCTTTATAAAAGAATGTTTTGGTGCTTGATTCATTTATTACTTTATCAAATCTCTTTCTAGTCTAATCAAACCCACATAAGATTGGATCCAAATTTAGAGCCAGCATCCCTCATTGAAATACAAATCTAAAATAGACATTCCACATTCAAATTCCAACTTAGAACAGATACTATCTTTTTTTTTTTTTTGACAGAGTCTCACTCTGTCACCCCAGGCTAGAGTGCAGTGGTGCGATCTTGGCTCACTGCAACCTCCACCTCCCAGGTTCAAGCGATTCTCATGCCTTGGCCTCCCGAGTAGCTGGGATTCCAGGTCTGCACCACCATGTCTGGCTAATTTTAGTATTTTTAGTAGAGATGGGGTTTCACCATGTTGGCCAAGCTGATCTCCAACTCGTAGCCTCAAGTGATCCACCCACCTCTGCCTTCCAAAGTGCTGTGATTATAGGCGTGAGCCACCACGCCCGTGCTTAGAACACATACTATCTTTACACTCCTGAAAAAGAAGGAAAATCCCTTATTCACATACTAAGCATAGACCACACCCTCATCTTTAACCAAATTCCAGCTCCAAGACGCCCCACCTAGTTCTTCTCACCCCCATGTTTGATTCCAGCTGCTCACATATCTCTGGTATAAAAAATGGAATTGATACCAGACCTGCCTCTAATATTTTATTTTAACCTCTAAGACACATATAGTGTTCACTGACTTGTTCCATCACATACCCTGATTGGACTCTTCCATCCCTCCTTCAGTTCAGGCTTCTAGGGCAGAGCTGTCCCACACACTCACTATCCTGAGTTGGACCATAGGCATCTTCTATTTACCTGAGCATACGACCATGGGAGCCACACACCAGTGGACAGTGGTAGTTAGAGGGTTCAGAGAGAAAGAGAATCTAAGTGATGGGTTATGAGCCAGAAGGCAGATGTGGAAGAGATGCTTGTTCAAGTGGAACTTGCATGGAAGTGGCATGGGGAGGAGGGTGGGACTGGGAGCAAACCTCATGCTTCTCCCATCTGTGACACTGCCTTCTCTCTCTTCCTCTGCCCTGTAGATATTCCCGCTCATTTCTCAGTCACGCTGGCTGGTGAAAAGTGGGGAGCTGACAGCCTTGGAGTTCAGTGCTTCCCCAGGGCTACGAAGGAAGCTGAACACGCGTCCAGTCCACCTGCACCTCTTCAATGACTGTCTGCTGCTGTCTCGGCCCCGAGAGTCAGTGACTGGAGTGGCAGGCCAGGGCACAAGAGGGGAAGGGGATGAGGAAAGAGGGGGGTCTGAAAGGGAGAGAGAAGGGTCATGTTCCTAGAAGAGCCCTTCTCAATGGCTTAACCCATAGAGCCCAGGTCATAGCCTAGAGAAGAGAAAAACAAGCCCAAAGCAAAAAGGGGATCCCATCAAACTGTATCATGAGACCACATAGCAGGACATGTAATATGGTATAGACACAGAGCAAAATGTAGCAAATTAGCTTATCACATTCTCACATGAGTCTATTTGTGGCTTCTTTGGACTGGCCTCAACCTGCTATTCTAGAGATACTTAGCTAATTCCAGATCTTAAGTCTCTGGTCTTAAGGTTCTTGGGAAATGTATATAAATTCCATCTCTTCACCTCTTTAAAGTGGTAATGTATCCACTGCACTAGGTGTGTGGTTTGCCAGACTAGGACAAATCCCTGAGGACCCTGGAGCTACCATCTTGGGAGCAAGTTAGGACCATCTTATGGTTTTTGTGGGAATTTGCAGGCTGTAGATGTAGGGATTTCGAACCCAAGGTTATGAGGGTAGGTGAAGTATGGAAACTCTAGAATCAGGTTGAAAAGATTTGTATTTTGCAGGGGTAGCCGATTCCTGGTATTTGACCATGCTCCCTTCTCCTCCATTCGGGGGGAAAAGTGTGAAATGAAGCTACATGGACCTCACAAAAACCTGTTCCGACTCTTTCTGCGGCAGAACACTCAGGGCGCCCAGGCCGAGTTCCTCTTCCGCACGGAGACTCAGTGAGATGGGGCTGGGCAGAGGAGCTGGGGGTGGGGGAAGATGGGCAGCCGAGAAAAGAAGTGAGACCAAGGCAGAAAATGTGTCCAGAAGACAGCCACAGCCTCATTTAGCCCATTCTGGACTGGGGACCACCATAGAGAAATTCAGACTCCTAAAACTAATGGATAACTTGCAGGAGATTGGGGTGGGAGAGGGTACAAAGTCACCACCGAGGCTTAGCATCTATTTTATACTCTTTACTCAAGAGGGACAAGGTCTGTGTAGTATCAGAAAGGAGAAGGACTGGTATGGAGTGAGCAAGGAATTGGAATACTGGTATCTGTGAGCACATGCCTCCATGCCTGAGGCAGAAACCCTTCTATGCCCCAGCTGGTGGGCACAGATGTGAATAAGACAAGTGCTGGGTGACTTTTACTTTCTGTGCTCCCATCTTCCAAACCAGTCCTCTATTGACCAGAAATCCATAGTGTTGAGAATGCTGATTTGCTCATGTTTTCAATAATAATAAAATAAAATACATTCACACAGACATACATTTTTGAGAGTATTAATAGTACCTATAAAATCTGGAACACAGTGCCTGCAATAATGAACATGTAAAAGCCTGTAGCTGTTATTGCTATTATAAAAGATATATGAACAGTCATTTAAAAGTTTGACGTATCTAAGTGTTTGAGGATCCCTATGTTGTAGACACTTTTTCAGTTTTGTCCCTTGGAAGATACTTCAGAGTGGGACCGATAACACCTGTTCTCATTTATTGAACAGAAGGACTAGTATCGGAGTTTGTGTGCAAAACAGCACATAAGTCAAATAATCAGGTGCAGATGCATGTTGTTGGTTTGGTGCTTTGGGCACTGTGCCTGGAACAGTAATAGTCCATTCCCAGTTACCTAGGCACAACTGGGCACAGAGGCTAACAGAATGCAGAAACCTTCAGATGATTACAAACCTAAGCTTGGATTACACCGTGCAACAACAACAAATAAAACAGTAGACATATCTCCCTGATCTAATTATTATTATGAAACAATGATCATCTCTGAGATAGTTAGTTGAAGGGAGATAGGCAAGCGAGTGTCAAGAATCATGCCAAATGATGGAGGGAATCTAAACTGAAATGAACACTTCGCTTAGCACAATTTCCAAAACAGAAAATCTCCAGACTTTATGACTAATGAACTTTACGCCCCAACTTGGAAGATATGAGAAGCCATTAGGAGGAGAATTCTGGAAAGAGAAGAGGAAAAGTAAAGTGTGACAAGACACATTCACATATAGTTCAAGATTGTGTCATGTTTCCAACCAAAAAGAGTCCTATATAGTGTTTGATAGAAGTCATGGAACTAGATAAGTCCTTCCCACAGTCTTTTGCCATCCCCATCCTTGGCCCTCCTCCTACACCCCCACAATTGATGCTATGACCCTGCTTTGTTTTCTCAGAAGTGAAAAGCTTCGGTGGATCTCAGCCTTGGCCATGCCAAGAGAGGAGTTGGACCTTCTGGAGTGTTACAGTGAGTGAGGGTCTAAGAGGGAGAGAAAAGAAAGCAGGGTCAGATGTCACCTTTGGATACAGGAGTTTAAAGGGCTGGGTGGGAACTCTAGGCTTTCATTTATTGATATTCCGTAAAATGTCAGGGTGGAAGATTGGCCTCTAGAGCTTAAAAACCTGAAATATATCGCCTAAAACTGCTCATCACTATGGCAGTCCCCCTTCCCCATACATTCCCTTCCTTGGGCAATAGTTTGCTCTTTTTAAAAATATTTGTCCCCTTAAGTCTAAGCTGACATTATTTTGCCTAGATTTTACCTGCTTGAAGGTCTTGTTGGGGTAGGGGAAGAAAGCCTGACGGTGGTAGGAGGTGTGCAGGAGGATAGCACCCCAGATCTATCTTGACCACACCTAAGAGGATGACCTGAGGTCACCTACCCCAGGCTTCTGGGTGCCCATGGGGAGCCACAGGCACACACACATTATGTATGTGTCTGTGTTCACACCAAGACTGGACTTCTTATGCCTCTCATGTCAGCCCCACAGTTGTCCTCCAGCAAAGATTCCCTAATTTAAATCCAGAGAGAATCTGACCTCAACCCTGGACCTTTAGTGACTGAAAAGAACAAACAACTACAAGGAACCCTGGGAATGAAGTAGGAGAGCCGTGTAGTAACTGAACGCTGTTAACTTGCTCACTGTGCACTCCATCTGCTGGCTTCAGTTCCCCAGTGGGTGAGGAGGGCAGGAGCATTCTTCCTCCTTCATTTTGACCTTGTGAATGGCAGATGGGGAGGATCTTGAGAAAGCAAATAGTAATGCAGTATTCCATTTATTTTACAAGAGAATCAAGGCAGTGTAGTAACAAAAAAGAGCCATAAACCCACATATGATGGAATACTGATAGGTGAAGCATTCTCTGAGGCTTGTTTTCTTGAGCTTCAGATCTATGGACATGTCTCCTGGTTCTCAAAAACATAGAAATAGAGAAATCTTGAATGTCCTCAAGATTCATCTGATCAACCTTGATCAATAACCATCTTGATCACTGATAGATGAGTAAACTGAAGCTCCAGGGCTTTCAGTCTCTGGCTTAGGTCAAACCTGGGACACCACTAGTTAAGTCTTTCTTGGTTCCACATCTGGTACTGGGAAGAAAATGAAGAATAAGACACAGACTCAGATTTTATAATCCAGTTGGAGAGGCAAAACACGTCCATGTAGCAGTTAAATAAGGGATAAATGCCTTGGCATGAACAAGCAGTCTTAAAAGAGTTCAGAACCCATTGAAGACTAGAGTCAGGGACGGTTTCAGAGGGAAGATGGGTCATTAGCTGGATCTCAGGTATTTGAGATGATCACATGTATTTCTCAACCCGTCTCCTCTGGAGAAGTGGAATTTTTGGTCCATTTCATTTCTGGTATGTCTATTTCTTTATTAACCATTTTCAAATTTCCTCTTTTGTCTGTGACTTTCAACAGCCCAAGTCTGTCTCTATCTCAAGTCCTCCCACGCCACCCCCCTCCAAGTCCCTGTCTGTGTTCCAATCCCCTGCCTCTCCTAACCTCTCTTCACACTCTTCTCTTCCAAAGACTCCCCCCAGGTACAGTGCCTTCGAGCCTACAAGCCCCGAGAGAATGATGAATTGGCACTGGAGAAAGCCGACGTGGTGATGGTGACTCAGCAGAGCAGTGACGGTAAGCGGGAGCATGCGTGAGCAGCAGGCCAGGCACTGCAGGCAGGGCAGTGCTGGGAGTGTGTTCACTTCCTGCAGCTGCCATGACAAAGTACCATGGACTGGGTGGCTTATGGCAACAGAAATGCATTCTCTCACAGTTCTGGAGGCAAGAAGTCCCAAATCAAGGTGTGGGCAGAGCCACGCGTCTTTTGAAACCTGTAGGGAAGATCCTTCCGTACCTTTTCCAGTCTGGTAGCCCCAGCTGTTCCTTGGCTTGTGGCAGCATCCCTCCAATCTCTGCCTCTGTCTTCCTGTGGCTAGCTGCCTTCCTGTGTCTGTGTCCAAGTTTTCCTCCTTTATTTTTTTATTTTATGTATTATTATTATTTTTGAGACAGAGTCTTGCTCTGTTGCCCAGGCTGGAGTGCAGTGGCGCAATCTTGGCTCACTGCAACTTCCAACTCCTGGGTTCAAGTGATTCTCCTGTCTCAGTCTCCCAAGTAGCTGCGTGAGCCACCACACCTGGCTAATTTTTGTATTTTTAGTAGAGATGGGGTTTCACCATATTGGTCAGGCTGGTCTTGAACTCCTGACCTCAAGCAGTCCACCCGCCTCGGCCTCCCAAAGTGCTGGGATTACAGGCGTGAGCCACCACGCCCAGCCCAAGTTTTCCTCCTTTATATAGACACCTGTTATACTGGATTAATGGCCACCTTACTCCAGTATGACATCATCTTAACTTTATTAATTATATTTGTGGCAACCTCATTCCCCATAAGGTCACATTTTGAGGTATAGAGGATTAGAACATCAACATAAATGTTGGGAGGGACACGATGCAACCATAACAGTGGTGAAGGCTCAGGAATGGACAGCTGTAGACTTGGCCACACCCAGGGCCGCCATGTTAGGACACTTGGAGGCTGGGTTTATGCTGGAGGCTCCCCAGTTCACTCAGCCTGAGGATTCAGAAAAGTCTCCAGGAAGGTGATCCAGAGAAGCTATCGTGAGCCTTTCCCAGGTAATTCTTCCCACTCACCCTGTGCCCACAGGCTGGCTGGAGGGCGTGAGGCTCTCAGACGGGGAGCGAGGCTGGTTTCCTGTGCAGCAGGTGGAGTTCATTTCCAACCCAGAGGTCCGTGCACAGAACCTGAAGGAAGCTCATCGAGTCAAGACTGCCAAACTACAGCTGGTGGAACAGCAAGCCTAAGTCTTCTCTGAGAGGAGTTTCGTGAGCTGAAGAACAAGCTGCTCATGGCAAGGGCTGGCCCCAGAACCCTGCAAGAGAGGCCTTCTGTGGATGGAGAACTAGGCCTTCTCAAAGCTCAAGGACAAAATCCAGCTAACCCAGTCCCTCGGCCCAGGCCTCCTTTCGTGCTTTGTGCTTGGTGGGGGGGATTTCGAGGGACTTTGCACTGGACTCTGGGAACCTTTCATCATTAAAAAAAGGGGGACCATTGGGGCCTGAGCCAAGGAACTTTCCTTCTACTGCCTTATAGTGCTTAAACATTCTCCGCCTCCAGGGTGCAGATTCAGAGCTGGCCAGAGTTTCAGTGATAGCCGTATGTTAAACAGAATCTCACCTCAGTCTCCTGGAGGGAGATGTTTAAGAGGGGTTAACACATCAGATGGGAGGGTCAGCCCGGTGACCTCTAAGGTATCTTCTAACCTAGAAACTCACCATAATTATGGTGCAAGGTCAGTGTGTCTCTGAGATCTATGTCTGTTGGTGGCAATGTGAGGGTGATACTCTCTCACTCTAATAAACTTGGCACTTCTCCGAGTATTTTCTTCTCAAACTCCTCAGCACTGAAAAAGGTTCAAAACATGGAATCCCGAGAGTTCCTGCCTGTTGGGTTTAGGTGTCATAAAAGTCTAAGGTGGTGCATAGGTGATGGCAGTTCCTGACTCCTGCTTTCTGACCCCTGAGAGTTTGGACAGATTTTCTGCTTGTTACAGCTTCAAAGGTTGTAGAAAAAGTTAGAAGTAATTGATAGGTGATGAAAACCCCATCTTTGCTGTACCCATAAGGTATAGGTATAGACTAGTTTGGGTGGATTGGGCAAATCCGACTCGGACCATCCATGATTTTATATTGTGACCTGAATTATTGTGAAAATATCTTCTCAGCTGCTTTAGCTTTCTTCTTTGTGAAAGGCAGAATGGAAAGAGGCCTGGGATCCAAGTCACAAGACCCAAACTGCAGGCCCCACACTGCCACAGTTCAACCCTTCTGTGTCTCTGTGCCCTGAAATGTAAAACATGGGCTTGAACCAAGTAACGTCCAAAGCCCTACTTAACTCTAACAAATGTGTTATTCTCTAGTTTCTTTCAGGTTGCCTGTCTCAGTTGAAGAATATGACTAAATTTTTTTCTCATTAGCATCCATATATAACAATACCATAGTCATCTTTTATGCCATCTTTTCATCTATAATAGTCCTTCCTTTGATACTCTACTACTCTGTTTCATATTTAGGAGGCTCAAAAGTAGAATTGCATTGCAGCCTCGTACAGAGGTAAGAATGATGCTATAAAATTTGTCCTAGGCCCACTTAACAATGATGTGACATATTTGTCGTCCTTTTAATAACACACACTGTTTTCAATGTATCCTAACATGTTAGCTTGCTTAATTTTTTATTTTTTAAATGTTTTAAGTTTAATTAATTTTTTTGTAGAGACAGGATCTTGCTATGCTGCCCAGGCTGGTCTCAAACTCCTGGCCTTAAGCAATTCTCCTGACTTGGCCTCCCAAAGTACTGGGATTACAGGTGTGAGCCACTGTGTTTGGCCAGTTTACTTTATGTTGAAAAAAATCATCACCATAACCATTAAGATGTGGGCTAGGCTGGATGTGGTGGCTCATGACTGTAACCCTAGCGCTTTGGAGGCCGAGGCGGGTGGATCACCTGAGGTCAGGAGTTCGAGACCAGCCTAGCCAACATGGTGAAACCCTGTCTCTACTAAAAATACAAAAATTAGCTGGGCATGGTGGTGCATGCCTGTAATCCCAGCTACCCAGGAGGCTGAGGCAGGAGAATTGCTGGAACCCAGGAGTCAGAGGCTGCACTGAGCCAAAATTGTGCCACTGCACTCCAGCCTGGGCAACAGAGTGAGACTCCATGTCAAAAAAAAAAATGTTGTGGGCTAATATTATTTTATCATAAACAAGATGACATTGCTAAAATATCCAAAACAGGATGGTTTTAGAGAAGTTCAATTGAGGTTTTTCACTCTTTTCAAAAAGCCAGATTTTTAAAGTAAATAACATATATTATTTGTATATGCTATAATTTGCATATACTAACATATAAAATAATAATTGATTCATATTGATTGCAATAACAATAATTATAATCCAAACTATTTGTACAAACCAGTATTTGAATACTGGCCATATGGCTCAAACAGTTCCATATCCAGCCCTATATTATTTTCAAGGCAAATTCTCCATTATTTTCTCAGAGAGGTACAATAGCAGCTTCTGAATGCAAATAATTTTTTTGAGTTGCATGGCTGCTGCTTTGCTTGAAGTTGTTAAGGCTTTCTCATCCTTTTGAACATAAGTTCTGTAAGACTTCTAACTAAAACTATTCTTTAGATTTTTAATATGTATTCATTTAATTGGGTTATACTCACCTAATCTGGGATATTAGAAAGCATTAGGCTTTACCTGTCTTTTAAGTCCTTGGTTAAAAAAAGAAAAAGAGAAATTTAGATATGAGTAATGTCTCTTCGGTTGAATTACTGAACTATACTTTAGGTTTAGAAAAATTGAATATAGGTTCACTCATTGTCCTCTCCGTCTTCAAATTTCCAGAATTGAACTCAACTTCTTCAGTGATTACTGGAACCATTACATGGCCATTTCTTAAAAGAGATTATGAAAACAATCATTAACCAAGACTTTTTGGACAGAACTGCATTTGAAGCATGTATGATTATACAGTATTTTGTTGTTTTCTTAAGCAAAACAATGCATTGAGTAGTGTCTTCAGGAGACAAAAATAGTTCTATTCATAGAACCTTTTCTGAATTGTAATATGCTTGGAGCTTAAAATCATATAGATGTGTGCTCAATTATTTTATTTGTGCACTTGACCACACTGGACTTCTGTCATTTTTGCCTAAGCACACAGCTTAGAAAGCTATTTTTTTAAGTTTATTTTTACTACCAACTTTTACTTAAAGTTAACTATGACCTTTAGCTTTTAGCTGTGCACTACTTGCTCTGTCTTGGCCATTTATAGTGATTTTAATAAGACCAGCCTGCAAGTATCTGGAAGGCACACCGTTTAATATGTGTTTATTTTCCCTAATTTTGTTTTTTGTCTCAAATAACTTTTATATCCATGACAGATAAAATGAATCTGAGTTCTATGACTGATTTTGTTTTAAATTAGCCTTTAGGATAGAAGTGGTTAAAAAGTCTTTTAAGGCTGGGTACAGTGGCTCACGCCTGTAATCCCAGCACTTTGGGAGGCTGAGGCGGGCAGATCACGAGATCAGGAGATTGAGACCATCCTGGCTAACCAGGTGAAACCCCGTCTCTACTAAAAATACAAAAAATTAGCCGGGCATGGTGGCAGGTGCCTGTAGTCCCAGCTACTCGGGAGGCTGAGGCAGGAGAATGGTGTGAACCCGGGAGGTGGAGCTTGCAGTGAGCTGAGATCACGCCACTGCGCTCCAGCCTGGGCAACAGTGTGAGACTCCATCCCCCAAAAAACAACAACAACAACAAAATGTCTTTTAAAACCCTGATTACATTTGCTGGTTCCCCTTCCTTTGCACACATATTTACCCCCTTAAATAAACTTGATTCCCTGAGGGACCTCATGTTGGTCTGTTCTTTTTTTTTTTTTCCCTGAAATGGAGTCTTGCTCTGTCACCCAAGCTGGAGTGCAGTGGAGCGGTCTCAGTTCACTGCAACCTCCGGCCCCTGGGTTCAAGCAATTCTCCTGCCTCAGCCTCCCGTGTAGCTGGGATTACAGGCGCATGCCACAAAATAATTTTTGTATTTTTAGTAGAGACGGGGTTTCACAATCTTGGCCAGGCTGGTCTCGAACTCCTGACCTCGTGATTCACCCACCTTGGCCTCCCAAAGTGCTGGGATTACAGGCGTGAGCCACCGTGCCCGGCCTGGTCTATTCTTGATAGTCTGTGTGCTTTTTAAGTATTTAGTGATGTTGCCCTTATCATAAACTCCTCTTGTTTATGGGGTCAAATGAGAATTCCAGTGTTTTGATATAGTGGCCCTTCACAGACAGTTATTCCCCACCCATCCCCTCAAGACACACCACTGAGACTTGTGCAGGTTTATACTTGTTGATGTTTCAGACTTACACGTAAATATCTTTTGTGGTGGTAACTCTGCTCTATCGCTAACACAGTCCAGTGACCCCAGAGCCACACTGGCTGTAAACATGACTCAGAAGCTGTGTGATTACAGCAGTTCCAAGCCTGTAGTTGAGGGTAATCTTCTAACTCTGAAGTCAGGTGTGTGGAAGGGCCGAAGGTTATGAGTAAATGAGCTGAAGAGAGACAGATGCCAAACTCAGTCGTGATTCAAATGCACTTCTTGCTTAGATTTAGAAAACATTCTCTATGCTTAATAGTCTTTGACCCATTTTTTCCAACCCGCCCATTGTAAATGACAGTCATGGAGTGGAAATTTCCCTAGCTTCTTCCTTGGAAGAGCATCCATTCACCCTGCAGTTCCCAAGGAGCGTCGCAAAAACGAGGCTAAGGGCACAGACAAAACTCGGGCAGTGAAGGTGAGTGAGTGAGGTTGTTGATTCTGGGTGGCTGTGAGTGGGGCATCTGTGTAGGAAAGGAGCCGGGTTGGTGTGCGTTACAAACTTTTTCCGCGCTGCTGGGGTGGGGGTAGCTGGTGTCTGCTGCTCCATGAATGAGTCATGGGCTGAGGGTAGAACTTGCTCTAGGGAGGGGCTGCGTCTGGCTCACAGCATTCTCCAGGAGCACCAAGGGGCAGATGAATATTTTCTGGCAGTTTACCTGAGCATTTCAGAGAGGCAACTAGCTCTGAACAATGCAGATGGAAACCCAGAAGGAGAGAGGGAGCCAGTCCACATGGTGTGCTGAGATGGGGGCTCTGCATTTGCTCAGACCAAGGGGCTCCTGAGCACCAGGGAGAACATTCAGACTGTTGGGGAAAGGGTGGGCAAGAGCAACAGACCGTGGGATATTGTGGGAGAGTCATAGCAGCTCAACAGGACAGACTGTAGGCTATCCCAGAAGCAGACAGTCTCAGGGAGAAAAGGGAAATGCAGAAAGCAAAGAAATGATGGGCCCTCAGTGGGACTCAGCCAGCCCGTTCTAAAGTACTTTCTTATTGAGATCAACGTGTGGTGCAAATGAGAAAATTATCCACTGCTGGATTTGAAAGAACCTTGAAAGTCTTTGTGTCTAACACCCTCACTGGTTACAGTGGAGCCTGGAGAGGGGAAGTGATTTACCTAAGGTCATACAGTCGGTTGCTTATAAAGGACAGATTTGTCCAGCTCTATGTCCACTGCTAGGATGTAAGCAAGTGACCTGCTGAGCTTGTGCTCATCACCCAAAGGGTGAAGGTGACCTGCCATACACTGCAAAGGTTGAGTGAACAGAAAATGCACAGGCAGAATATTTTTGAGAGAGCAGGAGGAGGTGGTGGTCAGACTTGTGGAATTGTTAATAAGCAGGTTTGGGTTATGGAATTGAGCTTAGTCAGGCAACATGATCCAGAAAACACGAATCAAGGTGGTGTTTTCAAAGCAGTTCATTGTCCTTGCACAAGCAGGGCCTTAAAGAACTGAAGAGTCCTCTGTGTGTGTGTGTGTGTGTGTGTGTGTGTGTGTGTGTGTGTGTAGAGGTGGCTGCTTAGATTCAAGGGAGGAGAGTACAAACAGATCTTTGGGAGAAATGGGATTTATGCAGTAAGACTGGGCTTCCTCCCCGAAATAAAATAATACTTGTGATGGGCTCAGTGGCTCACCTCTGTAATCCCAACACTTTGGGAGGCTAAGGTGGGCAGATCCCTTGGGCCCAGGAGTTTAAGACCAGCTTGGGCAACATGGCAAAGCCCCATCTCTACAAAAAATTTAAAAATTAGCCAGGTGTGGTGGTATGCACCTGTAGTCCCAGCTACTGGGGAGGCTGAAGTGAGAGGATAGCTTGAGCTCAGGAGGTTGAGGCTGCAGTGAGCCATGATCACGCCACTGCATTCCAGCCTGGACAACACAGCAAGACCCTGTCTCAAAAAAATGGATTAAATAAAATAATATTTGCATTAACAAATATTAGGGGAAAAAGATAAGGTGTGTTCCAGTTAAGAAACCAAGAGAAATGAATATATATATTGAGATAGGATGTCACTCTTGCCCAGGCTAGAGTACAGTGGCATAATGTCAGCTTACTGCAGTTTTGACTTCCTGGGCTCAAGTAATTCTCCCACCTCAGCCTCCCAGAGTAGCTGGGACTACAGGCGTGTGCCACCATGCCCAACTAATTTTTTTGATTTCTAGTAGAGATGAGGTCTTGCTATGTCACCCAGGCTGGTCTTGAACTCCTGAACTCAAGTGATCCTCCCACCTTGGCCTCCCAAAGTGCTGGGATTACAGGCATGAGCCACTGCACCCTGCCAAATGTATATTTTTTTAAAGTGTTTGACAGTCATCTTTTGAATATGGTTCTGGGAACATTTTTTGTTTATCGGGTATGAAAATATACCTGATCTCACCAATTTAAGTAATTTATAGGAAGTAATAGAAAAGTCAGACTAAAATGAACAATCTGTTTTGTATGGGGCAATGAAGTGAAATAATGAAATAGTCAAATTGGAATGCTTGGAAACATTAAATGCTTGTTGTGGTTGGTAGCTCAGATGAAGGGGCTTTTGAGAAACAGAGGATTGTATCCCTGGCAGGCTAGATGAATATGGGTTGGGGTAAGGGTGCAGGAGCTTGAGAAGGGGCACTTTGGGTAGAATTATGTGGAAAGAATGACATAAAAACCAATAGAATGAAAGTGTACCAGAAAGCACTCTAGAATCTCTGTGGGTGGAAATTCCATTCTTAGATAATGAAGCTGTGGCAGTAGGAATGTATGTGAGGCAACCTGCCAGGGTAATGAGATGAAGAAACAAATAAAATGTAAAGGCTACAGAATGAAGAAGCAAGTAAGGTGTAGATGCCACAACCCTGGGTCTGACACCAACTCCTCCCCTGGGCTTGTGTATTTTGCACATCTTACTCCCAGATGCCTGGGCTCTGAAACCCAGAGTCCGTTTGATATTCTCTCCTCCTCACTCATGCAGTCAACTCATTGATTTCTTCACAGCATTGATCACATTGACTGCTTTCCTATTTCCCTACTGCTGTTTTGGTCTCGGTCCCCTCATCTCTGGGTACTGGAATGACTTCCCCACTGGTCCATCTACTCTCAGTCTTTTCACCCACAATCTATCTGGAAGAGTGTTCCACAGTCTCAAATTTGACTTTATATTATTTACCCCTCTCGTTGTCTACCAGGTAATAATGCTGGGCCCAACCTAGCCATCCAGCGTCCATGAGCCCCCTCTGTTTCTCACACTGCTCCTTAGGTTACACGTTCACTAACCTCACTACCTGTTCTTCTCACACATCCCAACTCCCTTTCTAGTTTTGGAACATTCAGCTTCCTGCTCCCTTTGACGACTATTCTCTCTTGCCTCTTACATATCACAATAATGTGTCTATTTCTTTTTAAATCAAACTAAACAGTACTGAGTATTTAAGTTATTTAAACACAGACCCAGGGCCTGTGGAAAGATTTGATTCTAGCTCAAATCTAGCTTATACCCACTCTTTTCTGACATGTCCCACCCAATCCCAGCTTTTGACCTTCTTTAACACCTCCTTCTAAAACTATCACTAGACATTGCTTATTGCAGTTGACACCTCATGAATGGGCTTAAATCATGTCCAGAATGTATTCCTTTTGCAACTTTGGGCAAATAACTTCAATCTCTCTGAGTCTCAGATTTTCAGTTGTCAAATAAAGAATACCTTATACGGTGGTTGTGAAATAAAATTACCTAGCAGAGAGCTAGATACATGATGAATGCCAAATAAATAGCTAGCATCATCATTAATATTTTGCCTAAGGACCAATTTCTGGATTAAGTAAGCTATTTCAGCTCCTGATGGTTTTGTAAAACATACAAGCACACAAAATTGGCTATCATTTATAGCCTTTTACTTGTTAAGGCTCTTTCAGTTTTTTCAAAGATATATTAGCATTCCCAAAGCAAGACTCTTCTATCTGCACTTGCTGAAGTGGAGAATAAAAAACTAAAAGACTTCTATCTAGACTTGGTCAAGGCATTTATTTTAATTTCATTTTCTTAAAAGATAATTGTAAGATAATTTTTAAAATAGAGATGGGGGTTGGGAGGGGGGGGTGGTCTCGCTATATTGCCCAGGCTGGTCTTGAACTCCTGGACTCAAGTCATCCTCCCACCTCGGCCTCCTAAAGTGCTGGATTACAGGCATGAGCCACCACACCTGACCTTGGTTAAGGCATTTTTAGGTAATCGTTTAAACCTGTTTCTTGCTCTGTGAATTTGGATAATTGCATTTATATTTTCACACCTGTTCAACCTCCCTCCCCAGGACCTATGGCCCTGTTTGGGCTTTTGATCATTTCCCAATCCAGCACCTCTTGGAGCTCTTTCTACTTGTACTCTCAGGCTGTCCCTGACCCATTATCAATGCCACTTTTTCTTCTGCCCAGTGCTCCTTCACTATGTTGTTCTTTCCGTAGGAAACATAGTGAGCCTGCCTAAGACCAGTTTTCTTCCTGCTACGTGCTGTGCCTGCGTGACTTTCTCTTGACTTGAACTAGTGTTCTCTATGCTGAATAGGCCTAAGAGCTGCCTTTGGTCTTTTTAGTCCTTGTCTCTGTTACAGACCCTAGTTCTATATTTTTCTTACAACAAAGATCTGTAAGTTCTACCCTATGGGGGGAACTTACAGACCCTACTCTACCCAGATAACCACTTATCTAACCAGATAACTACAGAAATTTTATCCTCAACATATATAAACGAACTCTCCTTTTCCCTAAATTTGCTTCATCTCTGATATGGTCTGGATGTTTGTCCCTTCCAAATCTTACGTTGAAATGTAATTCCCAATGTTGGAGGTGGGGCCTGGTAGAAGGTGTTTGGGTCATGGGGGAGGATCCCTCATGAATAGCTTGGTGCTGCCTTGCAATCATGACTGAGTTCTCGCTTTGATTTCATGCCATATATGGTCATCTGGTTGTTTAAAGGAGTGTGGCACCCTCCTCCTCTTCCCTTGCTTGTTCCTGCTCTCCCTTTGCCTTCGCCATGACCCTGCACTTTCTGAGACCCTCACCAGGCAAATGCCGCCACCATGGTTCCTGTACAGCCTGCAGAACCGTGAGCCAGTTAAACTTCTTTTATTTACCCAGCCTAGCAATGCAAAAATGGCATAATACAATCTCCATTATTTTTTCTCAATTATAGCATTTCTTAGTTACCAAAGTCTTATTTTCTTTCAGTTAATTATCTACCACATTATATTGATTCTGACTTAAATATTCGTCAAAGCTGGGCACAGTGGCTCACACCTATAATCCCGGCACTTCGGGAGGCTGAGGTGGGTGGATCATCTGAGGTCAGGAGGTCGAGACCATCCTGACCAACATGGTGAAACCCTGTCTGTACTAAAAATACAAAATTAGCCAGGTGTGGTGGCGCATACCTGTAATCCCAGCTACTTCGGAGGCTGAGGCAGGAGAATCGCTTGAACCTGGGAGGCGGAGTTTGCAGTGAACCAAGATAGTGCCATTGCACTCCAGCCTGGGCAACAAAAGTGAAACTCCATCTCAAAATATTCCTCAAGTCTGTTCGCTCTTCTCTCTTCACCCTGCCCTACTCTACACATCTCTCAGTGAGGCTGTCTCAGCAGCCTTGGATTATGTCCCTGCATCTCCTCTTTCCTTCTATCAATCTCATTCTCTGTTCAACTTTCTTTTTTTTTTTTTTTTTTTTTTTTGAGACAGAGTCTCGCTCTGTCACTAGGCTGGAGTGCAGTGGAGCAATCTCGGCTCACTGCAACCTCCACCTCCTGGGTTCAAGCAATTCTCCTGCCTCAGCCTCCTGAGTAGCTGGGACTACAGGCACACACCACCATGCCCAGCTATTTTTTGTATTTTTGGTAGAGACGGGGTTTCACCATGTTGGCCAGGATCATCTCAATCTCTTGACCTCGTGATCCTCCCACCTCAGCCTCCCAAAGTGCTGGGATTACAGGCATGAGCCACCGTGCCCGGCCTGTTCAACTTTCTAAAACACAAATGTGGGCGAGTCATGCCCATGAGTTAAAACTGCCAGTGCCACTGTTTGCCCAAAGAATACATGCAAACACTCAGCATCGTGTGAGGCCTTTCCCAATCTCCCTGCCAGCCTCATCTGCCACCCCAGCCCCTCCACTCAAACCCTACCACTCTGAGCATCTCTCTCATCCTCTTACCAATCTCAGTGGTCTTATACTGGCTATACTTTCTGCCTGAAATATCCTTCCTTCCTTCCTCTGCTTATCCAGATTCCACTGTTCCTTCACGAGCTAGCTTTAATGCCTTAGACTCTAGAGCTTTCTTACGTGGCTTTTCCTCCATTTGAGTTCCTGCCACTCTTTGTTCCCAGGCTGGCACCTCACAGCATTGGCCCCCTGTATTGTAACTGGTCATGTGATTGTCAGACTCCCCAGAGAGAGTGGCAGTTCCCTGAAAGCTGAGACGAGATTTTGTTTATCTTTGTGCTGACCCAGTACTGTCTGTGCCTGTAAACCCCCGTCACCTGATGGAATGGATGTCTGCCCTATATCTCAGGGCTTTGTTATAAACTCAAATGAAAGGATATTTATGAAAGAACAGTATGAACTAAACTACAAACACAAGAACGCTGAATCTCCCGGACTGGCCCTCTGGACTCGAATATCAGCACTTGGGGGTGAATGAAGAAGGTGCATCATTTCCAGGGAAGCAGATTTGCTGTTGACTAATAAAGACCATTTACTTGGAGTGGGGCCAACAAAAGCCTAATTGTCTTTTGTAGCCTGTTTCTGTTTTGTGTTCCATTTCCGCAAATAATATTTAAATAGACATTTAAAATTAATTCTAATGGGCTATCTCATAAAATTATCTGAATAACTAATATAAAAGATTCAGGGCCAGGTGAAGTGGCTCAGGCCTGTAATCCCAGAACTTTGGGAAGCCAAGGCAGGAGGATCACTTGAGCTCAGTCTGGGTAACATAGTGAGACCCCAACTCTACAAAATATCAAAAATTTAGCCGGGCGTGGTGGTGCTTGCCTGTAGTCCTAGCTGCTCGGGAGGCTGAGGCGACAGGGTTGCTTGAGTTCAGGAGGTCAAGGCTGCAGTAAGCCATGATCATACCACTACACTCCAGCCTGGGTAACAGAGTGAGACTCTGTCTCAAAATTAAAAAAATATTCAGCCTACAGGAACAAAAAATAGAATGGGGATCAAACAGTTTTAGAACATGAAAGGAAATGATTTTTTTGGACAGTTGCAGAGCCTCTATGAGAGTCCTAATGGTGAGGGGTGGGGTGAGGAGTTACTAAAATGCCAGCAGTGAACCCAGGGCTGCCTAGGCGTCTGAACAGTAAGAAAGTTGGGTAAAACATGGAGGCCAACTTCAGGATTATCTGTTTGAACTGCAAAACTAACATGGATGTAGATGTCCTTAGCAAAGTGCTACAACTAGGATTTGCCAGGTTTAGCAAAAAAAAAAAAAAAAAAAAAAATTAAAAATGCAAGATATCCAAATAGTGTGCAGGGAACAGGCTTATGCTACAAAATTATTTGTTGTTTTTCTGAAATTCGAAGTTAACTGCACATCCTTTTTTTTATCTGGAAAACCAAGCTATAACCCAAATGACTTCAACAACTTTGAGCCCGATATTATTGACAGGATGGGGCTCTGGGGCATTTTGGAGAAAGAATTGAGGAAGATTCGCGTGGACTCTTCTTGCTGTAAACAACCAGAGTAGTTTAGGGCCACAGTGAAACTGGTGGTAGATTGCCATCTAGTGGAAAGATATTAGTAGTGAAAGCTAAAATTGGAGGACTGGACAGATTTTTTGTTTTTTGTTTTTTGGTTTTTTTTCCGGAGTTTGCCAGGAAGGATTCCGCTCTGGCCAACTGCAAAGTCCTGAGGTTGCACTGTTAAACGAGGAGGACATGGGTGGGGGGAAGGGAGGGTAGGAAGCAGATGGAATAGGAGCAAGGCTGAAATGCGTTTACCTCGTGTTCTAAGCAGAGTGCCTGGACCATTGTTCCATTCCAGCATGCAGAAACTTTGCTCCCTCTCCACGCAAAACCAGAGCAAAAGCTAGAGCTTCCTGTAAGAAGCGCAAGATTCTTCCACCTGAGGATGGCTCAAAGTGATGTGGAACTATCAGAAACAAAATTGTAAAGATATAATCACTCATCGTTACAACCAGCGACAAAGGAAGTCATCCAAAAGGTGACAGTGTGGCTGGCTACACAGGCAAGCTCAGATCTTGAAAAGGTTGAAAAAATGCAAAAGTTAAAAGAAAGCACACACTGGAATTCCAAAGACGGTATCTCAAAGTGAGAAGCCTGGAAGAAACTCCGCTCTGCAAGCATGCTGAAGACCAATACGAACAGTAACACTAGCAATGATAATAATAAAGCCAAACTTGGGACAGGAAGGAGAGAGAAAAGAGAAATGTACTCCTGCGGGCAGACATCATAATGTCAACATACAATACAAACACAGCAGATGCACTTGAGTTTTATTTCAGACTATCTTCCCAAAGAAATGAAAATATTCTAGAAATTAAAAGAGTTGGGCCGGGCGCAGTGGCTCATGCCTGTAATCCCAGCACTTTGGGAGGCCGAGGCAGGTGGATCACGAGGTCAAGAGATTGAGACCAGCCTGGCCAACATGGTGTAACCCCATCTCTACTAAAAATACAAAAAGTAGCTGGGCGTGGTGGCACGTGCCTGTAATCCCAGCTACTCGGGAGTCTGAGGCAGGAGAATCGCCTGAACCCGGGAGGCAGAGGTTGCAGTGAGCCGAGATCATGCAATTGCACTTCAGCCTGGGCAACAGGGTGAGACTCTGTCTCAAAAAAAAAAAAAAAGAGTTGGACAAAAAAAAAAAATAATACTAAGATGGACTTAAAAACCCAAATTGGAGCCTTATAACTTTTAAATCATCCTATATGTTTTCTAGTATAGGACAAGAGAGGGTTTCTAAGACTTACTAGAGGCAAATATCCTAATTTCCAATGACATGATTTGTTGAAACTAAAGGACAATAAATTTAATGTAAAATCTTATGGAATTCTATGAGATTCTTGAAAAGTGGCTTATGAACACTTAGGTAAAAATTAGCCAGAAAAGACAACAGGTGTTCTAAACTAATCTGTCTCATTTGTTATATATTTAGGTTTACAAGAATGTTATATTATCAGAGTGCTATACAGAGAATATGTTTTTGATTTTATTGAATCATAGAGGAGTTTTATTCCTAAATCCTTGAGGGAGATAGTAAAGGATGGTATGGGATGATAATACAGTTAAGGAAGATTTGTAGCTAGTTTAACCCTCTATACAAAAAAAGAAGTACCCATTAATGGAGTATTTTCAAAGAGGAGTACCAAAATGTCCTGTGCTGACCTATATTCTGTTTACTAATTTATTAATGATTTGATTATAAAATGTGTAAAACATATTGATCAGATCTGCAGGCAGAACAAAACTGCAAAAAAATGGCTAATATTATATAAGAACTCCAGAGCATCTTAAGCTCAATATTGGGCTAAAATTAACAAAATGAAACTGAACAGGCCATATAAATCTCTGTATGTTTAGATTAGAAATGTTAATTCTCCAAGTGCAAAATGAGGAGGGTGAACTGCCTTTAAAACAGCTTCTATTTAAATGACCTAGAGGTCATAGTTTTGGACCAAGAATATGAACCAGCTGCACAAAAATGCTAATGTGTTTTAATAGAGACACCATTTGTAGGGTATCCTATTTAATGGAGATGACAGCTGTACCAAAATGTTGACCAGACCACATTCAAAGTAGGCTTCATTTCTGACACCACTCCTAAAAGGAACATGGGCAAACTCACATTTATTTGAAAAGAGGCATACGGGGTGGCAAAGAGCCTGGAGCCCGAGCCCCATGAGGGCTAGCAGACAGAGCTCCCACCATCACCTGTAGAAGGCAAAGCTTTTATAATAGGAATGATATACAGTCCTTAGATTTGTGATTTATTTTTTGTAGTACTTGGAAAACAAAACCCAGATCAATCAAACAAGATATTGGTTTATTTCTAGTAGAAGAATTTTATAATAAAGCTCTTCAAAAATTCTGCAGGTTCTTGTGAAAGGGAGTTAGCCCCAAGCCTCGGGCCCTCCACTGGGAAAACAATACTGAATGATGCCCCATCAATGGTGGGTAGAAGAGATTCCTGCAAGTCAGGAGCTTGGATTTTTTCTTTCACCCCTAAGTTTCCATGCTTCTAAGAAGTTTTCACGATTTTCTCTTTGTTTAGTGTTTGTTTTTAATTCTCAATTCATTTTATTTTTAGTATACTATTAAATCAACACTTTTTATCTAAGAGTTGCATGTAAGGACAGATGTCAAAGTTGATTTCCGTTCGATTCTTGGTGTTAGATGCTGTATTTGCTCCATACAAAGGTGCTGCTAATCATTGAATAGCGGGAGCATGAACCAATTAAGATCTGGAGGAGAAAATATCCAGCCACCATGTAGGGCTTTGAAAGCAACAGAATGCTCTGGTGATTAATAGAAAGAGCAGTTACAGTCTTCCATCTATTTTGCCCTATGTCTGTCTTTAGGCTGTTCATTTCATGAGCCTCATGAGACAGAATGTGAAAACAAAATGAGATATGTAAATATATACTTTTAAAAACTCAGTTGTTATGCATCATAAAACATTTCACAATTTAACAAATACATATCCTAATCCCTAAATTAAGGGTACTGAAACCTGGCTATTACAATCTCCATCACATATCCGCCAAGTCGACCTTCTGGTTTTCTCCTGACTTCTGCCCCTCTGGTGGATTTCTGCATTCTTTCAGAGACATTTTCTCATTGGCTTGCACTTATCTATTGTTTTAATCACACCTCTCTAATCCCTAAACACTCCTCTTCTTTATCTATTAGGAGGACATTGATCTTTATAACTATTTACTGACTCTCCCCCTTTTCATATTCATCTTCCTGTCCCTTCAGCTTTTTTTTTTTTTTTTTTTTGAGATGGAGTCTCGCTCTGTCTCCCAGGCTGAAGTGCAGTGGCGGGATCTCGGCTCACTGCAAGCCAAGCTCCACCTCCCAGGTTCACCCCATTCTCCTGCCTCAGCCTCCTGAGTAGCTGGGACTACAGGCACCCGCCACCACACCTGGCTAATTTTTTTTTTTTTTTTTTTTTTTGGATTTTTAGTAGAGACGGGGTTTCACCATGTTAGCCAGGATGGTCTCGATCTCCTGACCTCGTGATCCACCTGCCTCGGCCTCCCAAAGTGCTGGGATTACAGGCGTGAGCCACCGCGCCCGGCCTTTCTCTGCTCGTTTTCCATTCCACTTTCTGACTCCTGTGCCATCTCCTGTCTCTCCTGCCCCCTAGCCTCTTTCCTTTGTTCCCTTCCTGACCTGTTCTTTCCTACTTTAGTACCCCTCAGGTCCCTTTCCTCCAATCTCCAGATCTGTGCCTTACCTTTTCTTTTCTGTTTAGATGTATTTTAGGATAGATTTTTCTTCTGTGGTTATCTTTCTCTTTCATCACCCAGTCAATGTTTTGCTGCTTCTTATACTACTGTCTTCACCCTTCATTCATCTTTCTGGTCCTTTTCAGTCCCATCTCGCCCTTCTCCCAGGCACCACCCACTTCTCTTTTTATACAAATTGGTTGTTTACCCTCCTTCTCATGCTCCCTTTAGCCCTTAACATACTAAAGCAGGATCTCAAGCATAGAACCAATAAGGTCTAATTGATGTTTCTTCCTTCATTGCCTAATTTGTCATTTGCCTAATTTGGCTCACCACCAGAGGACGGAAGGAAGCTATTCAAGTTCAATGTGGATGCAGAATCACTCTGTGCAATGGAACAGGAGGGTGGTACATCCTCAGTCAGTGTCCATTCTTTCCTGAGCTCCTGACCCCTTGTGCAGACATCTAGGGAGCATTCTCCATCTTTGGTTAAGTTCTCTCTTGTTCCCTCCTCTTCCTACATCTCAACCTATAACCAAACCTCCCGAGATTAGCACCCAACCTCAAACGGTAACCATAAACAAATGGAGGAGGTAAAATTGCAGTCTATGGGTGAGAGTTAAGCATGAAATGGTTGGTGATCATTTTAGGGGGTGATCTCTCAAGGTGCTTAGCAAAGTGTCTTTTGGTGCCTCTGCAAGCTAGGGTGGGAGAGACAGAGAACATTCTGGACCCTTCGTCCTGGCCCAGTGAGGTCTGGGCCATTATAGTCTGGGGATGCTGTCACATCCTCCTGTGCGGGAGAGAACTGTCTACTTGCTATCCTCGGAGTGCTCCCCAGCCCCGCCCCCCATACACAAAAACAAGAGCTGTGGGAAAATAAGTCCTAGTTCACAATACTAGAGAAGTGACTTCAGATATTCTCAGGCTTCTCTTGTGATCCTGTCCCTATGGGGCCCAACTTCCAGAGAAAGGCCCAGACTCAGATTTGCTCAGAGTCAGTCATGGGTTTGGGAATAGAATATGGTTAAATGTCAGGACCGAAGGAAAAGCCCAAGATGCCCAGTTCCTTCTTTAGTGGGAGAGATGAGCCCAGGGAAGAGGCCCTCCATGTGGTCATGCCTGGTGGTGCCCACTTGAGAATGGCATCCAATGACTGCTCAGCCAAGTGGAATAAAAGGACGAAAATGGAGCTCTTCATTAGTGTGAGTGTGGAGACACATAATGGAGACACATAACCACAGAGAAAACCGCAGGACGGACTAGTTTACTGCTTACGGTGGACACTCCAGCTCATTTGTCAAGCAAGGATAGGAAACAAACAAAAACACCTGATACAACATTCAGAAGTAACACAGGCCACCTGCTTCCTTCAGGACCCCCACACAGAGTGTGAAGAAAAGGGAAGCGCCAGCCCTCTTTCTTCCTTCTCATATCAACAAGACGAGCCTACACAGGGGAAACGTCTAACTCTCCCCTCAGTCTACAGAGTCCACACTCTTTCCCAAACCCCCAACCCCTGTCCTCTCAGCGAGCCCAATCCTATCCCACCCAAGCAGCCTCTTTTCACTCTTTGACCCCCCAACTAGGGGACATGGCTATTCTTGTCATCCCCTCTGGCCTCCTCCAGTGCTGAGGGCTGATCCAGGGAAGCAGCTGGTGGTTCCTCTTTTGCCTTGCTGAGTAAGGGCCCAGTCCCTGGTCTGGCCCCTTCAGGCATCCATGAGAGAGCTGACGAAGGCTGCCTGCCCAGAGCCTGGGGGCAGGGAGTTGGAAATAGATCAGGAAAGTAGCCATCCCCTCCTGGGGGATGCCCCAGAGCTTGTGGGCAGAACGGACCAGGGAAGGGCAGCTCTGGCAAACAGGGGTCACTCCAGGAGGCTGTACCTGTGGGGTCGGAGGGTGTAGGAATTACCAGACAGGATGGAGAGTATCAACTATCATTAACAGTGTTCTACAACAGATCCCCCCGTGCCCCAACACACATAGACGCAGCTTAGGACCTCAGTGTAAGTCTGGGTCAAACTCTAGCCTCGGGGTCTGTCCTTAGGACCACACAGGCTCCAGCACTCAAGGTCCTGTGGTTTAGTAACATTGACACAAAGTGAACCATGGATCAGGCCAATGCTGTTTCGTACATGCAACAAGGAGACCAGGAACCACCTGATCTTTCCTCCCCTTCTGCTAGAATCTAGTCTTAATATGACAGATGTTTCTGGGATTTCAGAGGTCCAAGTGGCCCAGCAGAATATTAGCTGCCATCTACTCTAGGCCAAATATTTTCACTCCTATTGTATCTAATCCTCACCAAGTCCCTCCCTGACATAGAACTGTGAGTCCCATTTCAGAGTCCCAGAAACTGAGACTCAGGAGAGCTAGTAACTGGCTGAGCTGGACTTCAAGCCTGTTTTCCTGATGCCAAACTCCAGAGTTCTCTGCTAACTCTCACTGTGCTCTGCAGCCTCTGCAGAATTCGAGGGAGAAGAGCTTAATAGAACTAGGGGCAAACAGAAGGATTCATTCACCACCCATGACCTGCCTCAGTCTACCCTCCAGATAACTTGGCTCTTTGTCCCCTCCCACCTTCCTCAATCTCAAGGGGACCTTCTCTCCCAGCCTCAACTCACCTATATTCCCAGCAGGTGGTTGCATCAGGATCTGTCCTGAGGAGGCACCTGGGCAATAGCCCTGCGATGTGCCCCCGCTGGGGCCACAGGGAAACATAAAGAGAGAGTCTTCGGGCGGTGGAAGCGTCAGTGAACTGGGCATGGAGAAGGGGAAAGTGGGGAGGTAGGGCAACTTGGGCTGAGGGGACTGGAAAAGCGGGGGCTGTGGAGCCTGGGAGAACTGGAGGGGTCCTGGCTGGTTGCTCTGTTGGTAATCCTGGGGCTCCAGCTCCTCCAAATATGAACAGGGGGGTGGCAGGGTGATGCTGCAAGGACAGAGGAACAGCTGGTGAGGTGCAGGGGTGGGGGAGCTCCCTGTTCCTACCACAGTAGCGGAGTCCCTACCTCTCGCCTCCTCCTCATCTCCATGGTAAGCCCAGCCTTGCAAGGCTGCTGCAGCTGCCTCTTCTCCCCACTCCCGCTCCTAGCATCTTACCCTTGTTTCTGCTCTATTGCTGTGATCCCCCAGGTCATTCCCCAGATCCCCTTATCCCTTTCATCCCCATCTCCTGTACCACTCTGTGCTCCTCTCAGTTAACCCTCTCCTCTCTGTGTCTATCTTCTCTCCATCTACACCCCCCTACCCCCACCCAGATAACTAGAGTGACCTACCCCCGTAGGTTCCTTACCTTGTCCCCCAGGACCCACAGGGGCCGTCCTTGTGGCTGCTGTCACTGCCAGCAACATCCATCAGCAGTGGCATCAGTTGGGGGGTGTGGACAGGGCCAAGGGGGAAAGGAAGATCGGCCCTTCGCACAGGTGGGGGGCTGAAGAGTGGGGGGGTCACCACCCTCTGAGCACCCTCACTGGGTTGGGTGGGGGCCAAAGTCTGGTCAGAAGTCAGCAGCATGGGGGGCTCTAGGAACAGAAGGCAAAGAGGTGCTATAACGGTAAGGAAATGGGAGGCAGGTTTGGCATCGCTGAATGGTAGACACAAGCCATGCCCAGGTCCCCCTGAATAGGCCCTGCTGGCTGAAACACTGGAGGACTCCAGTCACTCCCACCTCCATCAAACAAGGCCTGTCTTCACTATCTTTAGTTGTCATTTTCCCCCAGCTCTGAAGGTGGGAACTCACCTGGAAAGGTATCCAGAGGGGACTCCTGAGGGAAAGGGTCAGGCTTTGGCTCCATGGGCACAGCAGGTAGGATCTCAGCTGCAGAGCTGGAGGCAGGAAGAATGAAGATTGTAGCTTTGGTGGTCTCTGGATTTGCACAGGTGCCTCATTGCCAGGAGAGACACCAATTCCCAAACTCTGCCTCCTACAGGGCATTGGCAACTTCCCGATCCCATGGCAGCCAAAATCCCTCTAAATCTTAGCTGGCAACCCTAGGACTCATGCCTAGCCTTCCAATGGTCTCCTTCTAGACCCTCAGGATCCCAGCTTGGACCCCACTTCTACCCACAGGGATGATACAGAAAGAGGAGGAATTCTGACCTGCATTGACTGCTGGCAGGGCCAGGGGCTGCAGGATTGTCCTTGCTTTCTTTCCCATTCAGTTTCTCCATTTTTCGCCACTTGGCCCGGCGATTCTGGAACCACACCTATGGGGGGAAAGGTGCTTGAAGAACTGGAGAAGAGGGGCAGAGACTGAGGCTTAGGTCCTGGCTGTTGCACAAGGAGCTACAGGACTTTGGAAGGTCACTCCAGCACTCTGCTTCTGAGCCCTCCGTCAGGCTGGTTTTATCAAAAGTCTCTGCAGTGCCTTCCTCTCCTAATGCTCTCAGGCTGTGGCACTCTGGAAACAGTCAGGGACACAGCCACGTCTGAGGCCTCAATTCAGCTCCTACCCAGGCTACCGCTGAGCGCTCACTCTGCAATTCGAGTGTTTCAATGGTGGGCCCTCCGCCACTCCACCCTGCCACCAGTGAGCCGGCCCCCTTTACCATGATGCGCTGGGGGGTCACCCCCACCGTCTGGGCAATCTCTCGGCGTTTATCACTGTCAGGATAGTGGTCTTCTTGGAATATCTTCTCTAGCTCCTCCAGCTGATCTGAAAGAAGAAGAAACTTGTGTGAGGAGGACAAATGCCAGTGACAGGTAGGTGAAGAGAAAGAGAGGTGCTCACCAAGTATCTCCAACAGATGGGGCCACTGCCCCTAACCCAACACTTTCCCAAAGCCTTTTTCCTATTGGGCTGGGCCTTCTCGCTCTTGGGTGCTACAGCAGAGAGCAGTATGTTTACTTTCTTTACTCTTCTACCCTGGTCCCAACATCATTTTCTTTTTTTCTTTTTTAGACGGAGTCTCACTCTGTTGCCCAGGCTGGAGTGCAGTGGCGCAATCTCAGCTCATTGCAACCTCTGCCTCCCAGGTTCAAGCAATTCCCCTGCTTCGACCTACCAAATAGCTGGGATTACAGGCACAGGCCAGCATGTCTGGCTAATGTTTGTATTTTCAGTAGAGGCGGGGTTTCACCATGATGGCCAGGCTGGTCTCAAACTCCTGACTTCAGGTAATCCACCTGCCTCGGCCTCCCAAAGTGCTGGGATTACAGGCATGAGCCACTGTGCCTGGCTCCAGCCTCATTTTCTGATGTGATAACCCAACCTTCCCTCTGAGGGTCAGAGATAGTTGCACTACCGCGGCCCAAGAGAGAATCCGGGACGAAGTGACATACAAACTAACCCCATCCCTCAGGTCTCCTGGGGGTAGATTCTTCACACAGCCCCACCTTTCCCCAGGATGACCCCAGATCTCTTCGGTTTCCTCTCTTTAGGGACTTACCTGAGCGGTATAGGGTTCGTGTCTTTTTCCTAATTTGGCAGGTCACTTCCGGGGGCCCCTGCTTGTGGTCTCTGTTTTGGTTGCTCTGCGCCAATGTACTGAGGAGATTGGCCAGGTGGCAGGGCCCCCGGCCTGACCCACAGGGCACTGGGTTGTGTGTGGCACGGGCTGAGTTAGGGGCACCCGGAGATGATGTTGGGGCCAGACCCATGGCATTAGGCTTTTTCTGCTTCCCGGGGGCTGGAGAATAGGACCTCTTTCCTATCTTCACCTCTCCCACTGGGAGGGAACAATCTTCCCCCTGAGTCTGGGGCCTGGAGCGGGCTAGAGTTCTGTCTTTGTGGGGAGCCCTGGAGCGGGGGGGCGGGCACAGTCTCCCAGCATCAGCCCCGGTGGCTTCTCCAGAGACTGCTGGCGGCTTCTTCTCTCCTGAGATGGTGCAGGAGGGTGGCAGTTCCTCACTCTGAGTGTCCTGAGCATGAGGGGCTGAGCCCCGGAGCAGTTCCTCCTCCCCGGGTCCTGCAGCCAGGGGCTTCTCTCCAGCTTTCTGGCCTGTGGGGAGCCAACATCCACTGACCTTAGCACCAGGGAGAAGGAAGAACTGGACCAAGAGGAAGTGCTGCTTCCTGCTTTGCAAACGGTTTGATCTTAAGCTTTAATTTGTCTACCTATCAAATGGGGTAATAATTCCACACTTACCTTCCTAGCTTGACTATTGTGAGGATTAAATCAGATAACCCAACTTCTTTGAAAAATGCAGACAAATTTATGCAATTCTGAGACGGCGTTAGCTCATGGTATCTCCTAATTTGGGGGTACTCACCCCTTGTGAGTTCCCTTTTCCCAGACACCAAGGGTATGAGTTTGAGGGACTGTTCAGGTATCTCTAAGGGATCATGTTGGGGCTGCGGATGGACCAGGAAGACAAAGAGAAACAGATTGACAGAGATTCTGCTTCTCCCAAGGCGGGATGCTGTTTCTGCTGCACAACAGGCATTATTGCTTGGAGAAGGGACAAGAAAGGATTCGATTGTCTCCAGCAGCCGAGGCAAGAGCATCAAAAGAGATAACAGGGAGAACCATGGAACTCTGTCTCTGCCAACTCTCCTCAGCTCCATACATGCCCCCCCGCCCGCACCCCCCACCCCACTACCATCCAGCACATCCACTTCCTCCCCCTCCCTGCAAAGCAGGATCTCACTCTCTGGTAAACCTCTCTTTCGAGTAAGGAAACTGGGACCCAGCTAGAACTAAAAACCCTACCACTCATCCCTAAAGCTTGCCTTCCTTTCTGTGAGCTGACTGATGCATTGGGAGCTTATCATGTTCCAGGCATGGCGCTAAGCACCTTTCAAAGATTAGCACAGTGCATATTTAATCTCTGCAAGAACGGCACTGCTAATATTCCCTTCTAACAGATGAAGAAATGAGGATGAGACAGCAGAGTAATATGTCCAAGATCACACAGCACCCTGAGCACGTACTCTGTGTACTTAATCACCACATGGAGTCCTTCCTGGGGCCATCAAATGATCCCCCCACTTTCACCTCCCAACTGACTCATAACTCCAAGAACCCTCAGCTCAGGGAGCTGCTTTATCATTTCCAACTAAATTGGAACATTTGTAATGAATGCTAAGTAACGACTAAGAGCTACTGTTACTTTAATGAAAATTGCATGAGATAGGTCTTAAGGAATAACATTTTTTTTTTTTTTTTTTTTTTGAGATGGAGTCTCGCTCCGTCGCCCAGGCTGCAGTGACGTGGTGCAATTCTGGCTCACTGCAACCTTGGCCCCCTGGGTTCAAGCGATTCTCGTGCCTCTGCCTCCCAAGTAGCTGGGATTACAGGTGTGTGCCACCACACCCAGCTAATTTTTGTATTTTTAGTAGAGATGGGGTTTTGCCATGTTGGCCAGGCTGGTCTCCAACTCCTGACCTCAGGTGGTCCACCAGCCTCGCCCTCCCAACGTGCTGGGATTACAGACTTGAGCCACTGCGCCTGACCCTAGGAATGACTTTGTAACAGAGTGTCAAGGAAAAAGGTCATGGTCAAGGGTGCTGTTCCAAGTCCTTTCCTAGGACACAGGCTGGACCCGACTTGCATGAGAGGGTCTGGGCTGGTGAAGAGGGTGAGCAGGCCTCTATGGAGTGAAGGGACAAAGCTGGCTGGTGGTGTGGGGAAGCAGGGACAAATTTGTTTTACAGCATTTTAGGAGAGCTTGTACTGTAGCAAAAAGCCTGGTACCCAGCACTGTGGGTGCTCCGTAAGCACGTGTCCTATGGGAGTGATGTGCGCTAGTAAGAAGGGGACGGGTGTCAGACCTAAGACTAGAAGGGTCCTGGGGCTCCCAGGGTTCTCTCCCCTGCGCGCTGGGAGACTGGAGGCGGGCAGGGGGCGCGGGGGAGCGGGGAGGGGGGTTGCAATCCCAAAGCACAGGGGGCAGTGAGGTCGGCCTCCTCCCACCCTACCCCACCCGACTCCACCCGGCCCTCGGCCTACTGAAGCTCTTAGGTCGGCTAACGCTGACCTGGTGATCACAGGCCTCCCCCCCTCCCCGAACCCCCAAAGCCTGACCCCCTCGCACGACGGGGTCTCCACACTCACCCAGCGGTCCCTGGCAGGGATTCTCTGTGGGTTCCATGGCCTGGACTCCCGCCGCCGCGGCCGGCCCGTGATGCACAGGCGCGGCCTAATGAAGCCTCGCCGGGCGGGCAGGTGTGCAGCCCGCACGGGCCGGGCCGGGGGAGCCGTAGCCCGAGGCTGCGCCCCCTCACCCCCACCCCCACCCCCAGGGCGAGGCCGGCCCGGGAGGCTCGGCTGGGGCAGCTGCGAGGGCGGGGAGGACCCGGGCCTGGGCGCCGCCTGCTCCGCTCCCCCCAGCCAGGAGCCCAGGCCCAGGTGCGGGTCTCCTTCAGGCGGCCCCTCCCGTGGCGGGGCTGGAGGGCGAGGCTGGGGTGGGAGGCGGGAGCGAGGCTACCCGGTGGTCTTCGGGGGGCTGGGCCCAGCCGTGGGGCTCACCCACACCCTATGGAGGACTCAGTCCTGGATCGTGGCTAAAGCCCTTCCCTGTGGACTGTGGAAGGCGATTTCTAGAGCCACTCCTCAAAGGGGAAGCGCTGGGTTGCCCAACTCCCATGCTAGGGCCCCTCCAAGCCTCAGTATTAAGGAGCTTCAAAGTCCCCTTCCTGATTTTGTTTGTTTTTGTTTTTGAGACGGAGTCTTGCTCTGTCGCCCAGGCTGGAGTGCAGTGGGGGATCTCGGCTCACTGCAACCTCTGCCTCCCGGGTTCAAGCGATTCTCCTGCCTCAGCCTCGCGAGTAGCTGGGACTACAGGCGCCCGCCACCACGCCCAGCTAATCTTTTGTATTTTTAGTAGAGACGGGGTTTCACCACGTTGGCTAGGCTGGGCTAGAACTCCTGACTTCAAGTTATCTGCCCGCCTGGGCTTCCCAAACTGCTGGAATTACAGGCGTGAGCCACAGCGCTCGCCCCCCGTACTGATTTGAGGGTCTCCAGAGCACAAAGGCTGCACCGGATGATGAAGAAGGAGCTGAAAGAGCCACAGACTCCGTAGATCCGGTACAGTCCACACACAGGAAATTCAGGTACAGCCAGGGGCGGCCCTGCCAGGGACGGTGTGGTTACTGTGTTTCCATCCATTTGGTGTTTCGATTTTATTCTCTGAGAATGGAAGGGACTTTCTTGGGGGAGATCTCACAGGGGTGCAGCCTTATGATTCCTGGTTCACGGAATGTTTCTTACTATCTTTATACAAACAAAATCAGAATTTAAAAATTCTTGCCTCTTCTGAGCGGGGAGGGGTAGAAAGTCGGAGGGCTGGTCAGATAGAAACAGGTGCTTGGAGCTGGGTGGGGAGCGGGGCGGCCTGGAACAGAATCCAGGTGTTTTGCTTTAAGGATTTAAAAGACTCTGGACACCACGTGCTTTCATGCTGAAATCAGCTGTGGGTACATTTTCCTATTCCTTTAATTGCCTTGAGGGGCTTGGCCTACACATGTGGACTTTGGAGGATTGTGAGACCTTTAGTTCTTTCTGAAACACAAAAATGTAAACTAACTTCGAATATGATCAAGACTTCAGGCATCTGCTGTTTCATTCTGATGCCTTCCATAAGGCGGATAGCTTCTGTTTTATGAGGCGTTCAGATAGATGGGGCCCAGTTTCTGTGCTAGAAATGAAGCATTCCAGGACAAGTGAGCAAGCAGTTGTGGGGCACTGACATTGCTTCCAGGATCATTTGATGGTGAAAAATCAGGACCATTTGGTGGCGACATGGTAAATGGAACCCAGGCACGTCCTTGCTCACAGAAGCTTACTGGTGGAGGGGAGATCATCAAATGATCATGTCAGGGTAGTGTGGTCAGTGGTGAGTTAGAAGTATGAAAGGCTACTATGGAGTACGGAGGAGCAGGAACCCCTTCTGGACTAGGATGGAAGCTTCTTGGAGAAGGCGACACGTGGGCTATGAGCTGTGGAGTTTACCACATCACAGTCCCGCTTAAAACCTGACAGTGACCCCTGACTGCCAGGATGAACGGCAAGCTCTGACATCTGGGTCTTTCCCCTGGATCCTCAGCTCCCCTGTGTTGCCCACCTGGGTATTTCAGTGGTGGTGTGTGTATGTCTTTTTTGGCCTAATGTTTCTCAAAGAATGTTCTTAAAACCCCCTGGATCAGAATTTCTTAGGGAATTTGTTTAAAATGGGGGTTCCAATCCCCAGAAATCTTAATTGGTTGGTCCAAGGAGGTACCCAGAAACATCCATTTGAATCCCCTCAGGTAATTTTTGTGCGTTTCAGAGTTTGAGACACTTTTAGACTTTGCAAAAACTAAGTCAGTTAAAAACTATCCTGGGGATAGGAGTAGGGGCAAGGGATGGTAGGGGCCTGTGTGGGGAAAGGAAATGACCTTTTGCCCTTTACTGAGGTGTCTGCTGCAGTGAGAAGTGGGTGCAATTAATTTCTTAACAGATTATCCTGTCACATTAAACTGAAAATAAGTCATCCTTCTCTGCCATTGTTTATGTTGTATTTCCTCTCTCTAGCTGGCTCCCCTCTGCCAGGGTGAAGGTCAGAAAGCAAAGATCCAAATTGCCCATAGGCTGTATGGCACCCTTCCACAAACTGAAAGATACAGGGTCTGAGTCTACAATAGATTTGCATAGGGACTTAGAGAATTTAAAATATTGGCATTTTTCCAGCGGGGCACAGTGGCTCATGCCTGTAATCCCAGCACGTTGGGAGGCCAAGGTGGGCAGATCACCTGAGGTCAGGAGTTTGAGACCAGCCTGGCCAACATGGTGAAACCCTGTCTCTACTAAAAATACAAAATTTAGCTGGGTGTGGTGGCACACGCCTGTAATCCCAGCTACTTGGGAGGCTGAGGCAGGAGAATTGCTGGAATCCAGGAGGTGGAGGTTGGAATAAGCCAAGATCATGCCACTGCACTCCAACCTGGGTGACAGAGTGAGACTCCGTCTCAAAAAAGAAAAAAAAAAAAATTGGCATTTTTCCAAACATAGAAATGAGGTTTTTTTCCCCCACAAATAATATAGTTGGATGTTTTGTTTATTTACATGAAGAATTTTATTGGCTGCAAGTGAATTTTATCTAAGATGTACATTGCATGGGAAAATGTCTGGTGAGTTTTGTTGGGAAGGTGTTGTGTTTTTGATATATCTTGTTAAGTCATATCTTCCATGGATCAACTTCAAGTGAAGGAGGTTTGCTATGGAAGTTAAAATACTGGCTAGAGCAAAGAGACGGCTCAATTATATAGAGGACAACAAGGTATTGTTTTAGGGGAACTTGGGGCTGTTTCTTCCTAAGTCCTGTTTGGTTGCATTTCATCTTTGTGATCAGCTGACTAGTTCATAGCCTAACTCAACTTTGTTTAGAGGACAGGGAGGTATTTTTTTTTAATTTTTAATTTTTTTTTTTTGGTTTCTTAGTTTTCAGAGCTAGACTTTACACCATTACCACCATGCACTTAGCAAGAGTCATTTCTTCCAAAATCTTTTTTTCCCCTCACAGATATGAGAATGCCAGAACAAAAAGAAAGGTGTCTGATACTAAAAAAAAAGTAGTTAATTTTTTTCAGTCTATGAAGAGTAAGTGAAATAAGTGTTCTTGATCCTTCTCCCTCTCTCTCTATAATGAGAAAAATAACCAGAAGAAGGCGGCTGATTGAGAACATTTTTTGAAGCAAAACCACAAGGTAATGTGTTCTTGTTCTATGGGCCACACCCCAGTGTAGGCAGCATCAGGTCATTGGAACACCTAGGACCAGAAAGGCAAGAATAAGTTGTGAAAGACAGGCAGAAATCTGCAGGGAGATTGTAGTCACAGCCAGGGAGATCGTAGTCACAGCAAGGTATGGGAGGTCAGGGCCCCCGGAAAACCACCAGGAAGAGATGACCTGTCCAAAGCAGAGAGAGCGAAGGGAAGCCTGAGCCAGGCACGTGCTCAGGGACCGGCACTGCCAGAGCCCGGGCAAATGGCCAGATGATTGGATAAATACTGGGGACCGATGACAGGGAAAAAGTGAATGGTCCCAGAGACTGGGAGAGACACTGGCAACTGCCAAAGTATCTGCCCAGGGGCTTCCTTTGAAATCCCAGAAAAGGATGGTTTCAGGTTGCCTGTGAAGGGAATTAGGAACACCTGGCTAGAGTGGAAACTGCCGGGCAGGGCCAGGACAAGTTCTGGCGTGAATTAGCGTTGTAACTTCTAATGCCCTTGCCCCAGACACTCAGGATAATCTGCGTTTAACAAGAATGGTGACTGTGTTTTAAACATTCTGCTGCTGCTGCTATTGTTTACGATTAATCGCCACTGCTGGTGTTTTGTAATTTAGAATGTACTTTCACATCCATTCTAATTCTCCTGATGTGCCTGAGTCTGGGATGCACTTTCTTCTTTCTATTCTATTCTAGTCTTCTCCAGGATTGCAATCGCTGTGCTAATTATAGCATGGCATTCAAGGACCCCTCAAAACCCGGCCCCAACCTTCACTCAGGCTTCCTCTTTGGCCACCACCACTCCCCTGCCCTGCCCCAAAGTCTCCCCCACTCTTCCAGGTTTTTGTTCCAAGCTTTTACCCTTTAGAAATCGCCATGCCTTCTCAGGGTCACTGATCAAGCTGTATATCAGCATGAAACTTTTTTTTTTTTTTTTTCCTGGCAAAGTCTTACTCATCCTCCAAAACCCAACCCAAATATTCCCTTTCTGGGGAAGCCTGGCTCAGCCTTCCACAGCCAGAATTAACTGCCCCCTCCTAGGTCCTCCCCTTGTACTGTGTTTACATGTATATTACATCACTGCATACAGGCTGAACTGATTAGCGTTTTGTGTATTCTCCACTGGATTGGGAGTTCTTAGATGGTAACATGCATCTATTCAGGCCCGGTGCTTTCTTCTTGCTTTCTAAGTATCAACTCATTGAATTCTAACAACCTATGAAGTTCTATCATATGATTATCCCCATCTTATTGAAGAAAATGTAGCATAAAGAGTTTAATACTTCTCCGAAGGTGACAGTGGCCACCTCAGATTTGAACCCAGTTAGTCTGGTTCCTGCCTGCACTCCTAAACACTAGGCTACACTGTTTATTTGATTGTATCCATCACTGTACTGGCATAGTGAATCCCGCATGGGGGATGGATCATTGTTCAGTGACAAAAAGTTGACCATTGCCAGGAGTTAGGGAGCAGGGGAGGGAAGTGGCTGTGAGTTCAAAAGCGTAGTAGCAGTGATGGAACCGTTCTGAATCTTGGCTATAGTGGTGGTTCCACAAGTCTACACACAAGATAAAACTGCACAGAACTAAATACACACCAGTGCATGAAAACTGGTGAAATCTGAGTAAGGTCACAGACTGTATCAAAGTCAATTTCCTGGTGTGGTATTGTACTGGCGTGACAGAAGATGTAAAACGGGGAAAGCGTATATGGAATCCCTGTATTATTTCTTACAACTGCATGTGAATCTACAATTATCTCAAAAAGCAGGAAAAAAGTTGATCCTAGTGTTCTGACCACAAGTTTGGTTCTCCTGGACTTGGTTAAATATAATTCACAGAAATAATGTTTTGGTATAGTAGCATTATTAACTTTTGCTTAATAGTAACTTTAAAATATAGATTTAAATGATATCTACACCTTTAACAGGGGTGTGGGTGAGCAAGCAGGAGAATTTATATCTAATTTGTTCTAAAAGTAAAACAATAACATGTCTCATAATAGGAATGCAAATTTATTAGAAAAAAGGGTAAATACCGAACAACTGAAAAATGAAGAAGATGCTATTTCTCATCAAACAACAGTATCGGTTATTAACAATTTGGCACATTTCCTCACAGCATTTTTTCCATTATTGCTGTTTTGTATATGATTTTCATGATTGTAATTACACTCCATATATAATTTCAAGCATGTCTCCCTTAAAATGTACTATGAAAAGCACAGTTCTGTATTGTTTCAAAGTCTTCAGAATTTATTGAGTGGCAGTACTGTTATTTAACTATTTTTCAACTGTTGGAGCAATCTTTTGAACTTAAATATTATACGTTTTAAAAAATTAAAAAGGCAAATTTGAAATACAGCTTGCATATTTTTCCCTTAATGGCTTTTAAAAAATAAAAACCTCTTCCACTTGGTTATTCATCTCCCTCTAGATTTTTTTAATAGTCCCAAACCCATGAGAAGCCATGAGGCTGTTTATTTCACAGGAATAGACAGGCTGCCTGGCTGGCAAGTGGATAGCTAAGCGTAACTTCAAGAAGGGGTCCGGGATTCTAAGGTCGTAAACCTGACAGCCAGCAGGGCAGCTTTAGTGAGAGGCAAGAAATGTCCCTGAACAAGGTATTTTTTCCTCCTTTGGTATCTTGGGTCTGTACCAGTTCTGCTGGTGGCTTGATAGATTTTTCCAATGTTTGAGTCTAGGGTCACTGGCTCCCAAGAGGGGATGCTCTACCAAGAGTCCTCAGTGTATGGGAAGACAACTCTGTCTTCTGTTCAGAGTGTGGTGCTCACAATTTTGCTGTTGCTTCCAGGACATGAGCTCACCCTCCTGGGCTTTGAAGCCATCCTTGTCTCTGGTGTCCCAGGTACCCTCCAGGTCTGGTGATGTTAGTGTCAAAAGGAGAGCCATGTCATGGCCAGCAGGTTCCTCTATCCTTTTGGGGCAACACACTTTAAGCTCACTAACTTTATGGTGACAATTCTAGATCTGTAAAATTGAAGATACTCGAGCTTGTCTTTAAATATCTCCTTTGCTTGATGTCAATTGAGGGCAAGATCAGTAGTGTGGGTTAGAAGCTGGGAGCAGCTTCCTTTGCACGGAGGAGAGAATGGTGAAATATTAGGCTTGCGTTTAGTGAGGCATAGAGATTAAACAATGATAGCAGACTAGATTGATTACCTGACAAATAATTAGGCCTGCAAAACCTGTCATTCCGTTGCTTGGAAGGAAGCAATCAAACTGGATAGGCTATGAGATCCAGCCTTTGTTTTGCAAAGGGATTCTGATCGTTTCTGTTTTACAAGCTGCATTGCTGTATGCTGCACATGTTATTAAGGTGGTGCAAGGCAGTGCAGGTTGTGAGTGGGCAACCTGGAGCTCAGTCAGGCTCTCATTCAGAGCAGTCCTAAGGAAAAGGAGAGCAGAGCAACAGAGAGGGAAAAGCCATATTTGGAACTAGAGATGTACTAGATATCACTGGATATGCATTCTTGAGTCAGGAGACCTAGTTTATGATCTGAGCTCTTAGAGATCCTGCTCCAAGGTCCAGTTCTTCAGCTTCTCGGTTGATGTGGGCTCCTGAGCAAGGGAAACACATCTCTCAAACTTAACCTGATTTTCAAACTGAATTCCTGATTCCCACCCGCAAACTTGTCACTCCTCCTGTCCTCCCGATCTTTGTATCCTCCACCCAGCTGGAATCACCCTTGATTTCTCTCTCACACACAGCATCTATAGAAACTGCCAGATTATTCCTGTTGCCCTCTTTTTACTCCCAGCCCACTGTCACCCATTTTCCAGAGATTTGCATGTGAAAGTCTTAAAATGTAAATTAAGGCCGGGTGCGGTGGCTCACGCCGGTAATCTCAGCAATTTGGGAGGCCAAGGCAGGAGGATCATGCGGTCAAGAGACGGAGACCATCCTGGCCAACATGGTGAAACCCTGTCTCCACTAAAAATACAAAAAAATTAGCTGGGCATGGTGGTGCACGCCTGTTGTCTCAGCTACTCAGGAGGCTGAGGCAGGAGAATCACTTGAACCTGGGAGGCTGAGCTTGCAGTGAGCCGAGATGGCGCCACTGCACTCTGGCTACAGAGCAAGATTCTGTTTCAAAAAAAAAAGAAAAAAAAAAAAAGGTAAATTAAGCCATATATGTTTTTCTCCTATTTGTATGCTTCAGTGATTTTCCAGTGTACTTACAGGAAAATTAAAACTTCTTGCTGTGGTCCTGTGTGATCCGGCTCCGGTTTACCACCCCAGCTTCATCTCAGGTGACTCTTCTGATCCTTCAAGCACTTGAAATAGATCAAATTTTCCCATTTCAAGGTGTTCACATATGCTGTTCCTGTGCTTGGCCAAACTATTCTCTTTGTTCTTGTGATTAGTTCATAGTCAGGATTGAGTTTAAATGGTATCCCTCAATGTCAAGTCCTTCAGCCACATTATCTGCTTAACATCTGCCTCCTGATACTTTCTGTTTCCATTACAACTCCTAACACAACATATAATTATATGTTTATTTGTTTACAATCTATCTCTTTTACTATATTTTAAGTTTCATGGGTACAGAAACTATCCCAGTTTGTTTCAACAATGTATACCTGTGTGTAGGACATATCTAGCACAGTGGCTGGGCTCTAAGTGTTAACTGTTTGTTGAATGAATAAATGAACTAATAATGTGGACCTTTTAGTTGGAAAAAAGAGAAAATTATCAGATTTATGGCACAAATGGCAGTTTTGGGAAATTCACAATTTGATACATTACAGGTATTTGGTAAGCAGATTAAGTTACAATGCTTCCTGAAAATATGGATTGGCCATTTTGAGAACTGAAGAATCCAGAAACTAGGGATAAAATGTGGCATTTTAATGTCCATTCTAGAGAATATAATGAGACTTGCATTACACTTTGGTAAAGTCCATAGTCACCAGAGGCCATTGCTTTTCAGAGGCTGAGAAGAAAAGCAATAGTCAGAGCTACAGCCCATTAAGGCTGTTACAGTCTTCAAAGATGGGCACAGACAACAAAAAATGGCTTTGTAGGCAACATATAGTTGAATCTTGCTTTTTAAAATTCAGTCTGACAATCTCTGCCTTTTGATTAGGGCATTTAGACCACATATAAAAGTTGTTGAGCCTGTAATTCCAGTACTTTGGGAGGCCGAAGTGGGTGGATCACAAGGTCAAGAGATCAAGACCATCCTGGCCAACATGGTGAAACCCCGTCTCTACTAAAAATACAAAAATTAGCTGGGCGTGGTGGTATGAGTCTGTAGTTCCAGCTACTCAGGAGGCAGAGTCAGAAGAATTGCTTGAACCCAGGAAGTGGAGGTTGCAGTAAGCTGAGATCGCTCCACTGCACTCCAGCCTGGCGACAGAGCAAGATTCTGTCTCAAAAAAAAAAAAAATTATTGATATAGTTGAGTTTAAATTTATGATCTTAGTGCTCTTTTTCTATTTGTCACACCTCTTCTTATTTCCTGTTTTCTCCTTATTTTTGAGTCATTGAATATTTTTATGACTTAATTTTATCTCATTTGTTGGCTTATTGAGTATATTATTGATTTATAAAATTCATTGATTTTTTTTTTAGTGATTGCATTGGGACTTAAAAGATATATGTTTAATTTATCAGAATGTGCCTTAAAGTGACATTAAATCACTTCATTGAAATATAAGAACCTTACAACATTAGACTTCTTCTTCTTTTTTTTTTTTTTTTTTTGAGGCAGAGTCTCGCTCTGTCGCCCAGGCTGAAGTGCAGTTGCGCCATCTCAGCTCACTGCAACCTCCGCCTCCTGGGTTCAAGTGATTCTCCCAGCTCAGCCTCCCGAGTAGCTGGGATTACAGGTGTGTACCACCACACCTGGCTAATTTTTGTATTTTCAGTAGAGACAATATTTCACTATGTTGGCCAGGCTGGTCTTGAACTCCTGACCTTAGGTGATCTGCCCGCCTTGGCCTCCCAAAGTGCTGGGATTACAGACAACATTAGACTTCTGTGTCTCCCCTCTCAGCCTTTGTGCTATCATTATACAGTTTTCTTCTATGTGTTATAAACCCCACAACACATTGTTATTTTTTATTTCAATGGTCAGTTATCTTTAAAAAATATTTTCAAAATAAGGAAAAAGAGTATTCTGTATTTACTTACATATTTATCATTTCCAGTGCTCTATCCTTTGGATATATCCAAAGGATATCATTTTCCATGTTAAAGCAATGTCTTCAAGATTTCCTGTAGTAAAAATCTGGTGACAATTTCTTTCAGCTTTTATATTTGTGAATGGTGTTTATTTTGTCTTCATTTCTGAAAGCTGGGTATAGAATTCTATGCTGATATGTTTTGTTGTTTCTTGAATACTACTATGAAGATGTTGGTCCATTTTCTTCTACCTTATATAATGTCACTAAAGAAAAAGCTGCTATCACAATTCTTATCTTTGTTTCTCTGCACAGGTGACTTTTTGTCTTTAGCTGATTTTAATATTTTCTCTTTATCACTAATTTTAAATAGTTTATGATGTGCCTTAGTGTAGTTTTCTGTATGTGTCTTGTGTTTGGGATTCATTTAGCTTCTTGAATTTGTGAGTTTATAGTTTCCATCAAATTAGGAGATTTTTTTCATTGATTATTTCTTCAAATATTTTTTTCCATCCTTCTCTCTCTCCCTTTCTTTGGGGCCACCAATTTTACAGATATTAGCCTTTTGAAGTTGCCTTATGGTTCCCTAAGGCAACTGTTTTTTTGTCTCTGTGTTTCATTTTGGAGAGTTTCTATTGCTATATCTTCAAGTTTTGTATTTTTTTCTTCTTCAGTGTCTGTAGTTATTATATCCAGTTTGTCATCTCAGACATTAATTTTTTTCATCCCTAGACATTTGATTTGGGTGTTTTATATCTTCAATGTCTAAACATGCAAATATTCTCCTTTATCTTCCTGAATAGATGAAATAAAATTATGTAACTGCTTTAACGCCCTTGTCTACTATTTTTATATCTATTTCTATCAATACTTTTGTCTAGATTATGGCTCATTTTTTTCTGCTGCTTTGCGTAGCTGGAAGTGTTTTATTAGATGCTAGACATTGTAACATTGTGAATTTTACCTTACCGGATTTACTGTGTGAGAGGGTGTGTGTATATGTAAGTGTGTGTGTGTGCTTGTGTGCTTGTTCTGTATCCTGTTACTTGGAAGTACTATCACCTTTTCAAGACTTACTTTTAAGTTTTTTAAGATAGAGAGGGATTCCAACTAAGGCTAATTTTCCCTGCCAAAGCAATATCTTCTAAATACTCCACCCAATGCCCCATGAATTACAATGTCCTTCCACTCTGGCTGGTAGAAATCCAAACTATTCCTGGCCCTGTGTGAACTTCACTGGTTATTTTACCTTTTCTTTTTCATTGGTTCTTTCCTCGCTAGGGTAGTTTCCTCACACACATGTAGTAATTAGTACCCAGCTGAGGGTTCTCTTTCTCCATCCTTCTCTCCTTCAGCTCCTCTCTGGGTGGTGCTCTCCTTCCCAGTACCCACCTTCGTCTTCCCAAATTCTCAATTCTGTATCCTCAACTCAGCTAGACCACCCTCTGGCCTGAAATCTGGAACTTTCCTCTAGACAATAAGCCACAGTAATTGTGGGCTCATCTTGTTTCCTTTTTCTCAAGAATGATTGTCTCGTACTGGCTGTTGTGCAATATCTGAAAACCATTGTTTTACATATTTTGTAAAGTGTTCTAATTGTTTGGGATGGTAGGGTAAATCTGGTTTCTGTTTGCCCATTTTGGCTGGAAGATGAAGTGCCCACAAACTGTACATATTGACTAGTTCTCCACTGTGTACAGGATAAAGTTCGAACTCATTAGTTTAGCATACTTAGTACATTACAAGCAGACTTCATGACAATCTCCTACCCACACCTCACCCACTTCTAGTAACTCAAGACGGCATGCCACCTCTTGACCATATCCATACTTTTTCATGTCTTAGTGCATTGCACATGCTCTTGTCTTTGTCTAGGATGACTTTATTCCCCTGTATCTTCCATCTTTCCAAATCCCGCTTGTTCCTCAAGACCCAACTCAATTACCAGTTCTTCTGTTAAATTTTACCAGACCTGAGTGTTAGTTGCTACAGGATATGATTTTATTATGTTCTTATAACACTATTATAGAGTGTCTTTATTTGACTTACACACCTGATGGAGATGTCTTCATCTCCTCAAGGGCAGTAACCTCGACATCTTATTCACATTTTCATCTCTCAGCCTAGCTTAGTGCCTGACTTAGGTTCTTGGCAAATGTCTACTTCTGAATGAATGCCCTGTCATAGTGCATAATCTTGCTTTCTGAAAATAGTATTGGCTTGCTTATTTGGAGGCATGTGGGAATGATTAAAAAAATAAAATAAAACTTGGACTGGAATAGCCACCATGGTCTAGCAGGTGTTCTGTGTTATGTTAATCACAGAGGATGCTGGGCAGGTGCTGGTTCCCTTCTAAGCCTTTATCTCAGCATTAAAACAATTCATAGCCAATAGCTGGGATTTTTCTCTCACAGATGGTGGAGTTCTGTGACTTATGTCTGGGAGAGGTAAGTGCAGGAAGAGTTGTTCCTTGGAAGTTCCATAAAGGGAATATAATCACTTCCAAAGCATCAGCTTCAACTGAAAGAGCTGGAATCAGCTACTTCTGGCCTGACCAAAGCCAGTATCTTAGACAGCTATGTCTCAGGTATGCCCTGAACTGCCTGGGGCATGTGTCTCAGGATAATGTATATTAAGGATTCAAGATTCTTAACTGTTCTTGAAGGCTAACAATTTAGGAAAGAGCAAACATTTTAGAAGCCCACCTCCTTATTCAAGATGGAGAAGAGTAATCAGATATGTCTCTGAATAAAACAAAGTCCACCAGAATGTTAAACACACACACACACACACACACTCACACACTCACACACTCTTACTCTTACTCTCTCTCTCTCTTCTGAGTTTGTTTACTTGCCTGCCAGACAAAGGAGTATACACTGTCAACAAAATTCACTGAATACTTAATGGGAGGGGGTCAGGGTGAGGAACAAAAGGCTTTATTCACTAGAAAAGGGCTTCAAGGTGGTTATACTAAGTAGTGATTGAAAACTCCCTCTCTGAATGGAAAAAAATGAGTTCTTGTCCATACATGTTTGGCTTAATCATGTCCCATTTTAGAAAGTAATCTGTACTTTGGTACACTGAGGTTCTGACATACCAGATTACTCACAATTCTGAGTCCTTTATCAGCTTGAGATGTTGGCTTGCTGAAAGTTCATGGCTGTTCAGTGACTTCATCTGATTGGAAACAGTTTTGATGAACCCAACACTCAGTTTTGACTTCTTCTATGCACATGTAGCTATAAGTGTAAAATTGTCCTTTTATAGATGTGATCATGTAATTTATCCCACGTTGAATTTGGGCAGGGGGCATACCTGATTTAGCTTGGAGAAGGGCACAACATGAACTGTATATTGGTGGGCGAAAATTAATGATATTTGATATATATAAGACTCTAAAAAATATAATTTATCAAATGCTGAAGAAAAGAATTTGGGCTTTGCAGTAAGGAAGACTTAGTTTTGCATTGCATTTCTGAACATATTCATCTTAATCTGTTTTTTTCATATAAAACAAAATATCAGTCTTATCAGCTAATGGGAAGATTAAATGAGATGATGTATGTAAGCAACTCCCACAGTGTCCTACTGTGTCCGGAATCGGTGGGTTCTTGGTCTCACTGACTTCAAAATTGAAGCCGCGGACCCTCGCAGTGAGTGTTACAGTTCTTAAAGGCGGCGTGTCCGGAGTTTGTTCCTTCTAAGGTTCGGATGTGTTCGGAGTTTCTTCCTTCTGGTGGGTTCGTGGTCTCGATGGCTTCAGGAGTGAAGCTGTAGACCTTCGCGGTGAGTGTTACAGCTCATAAAGGCAGTGTGGACCCAAAGAGTGAGCAGTAGCAAGATTTATTGCAAAGAGCGAAAGAACAAAGCTTCTGCAGTGTGGAAGGGGACTCGAGCAGGTTGCCACTGCTGGCTCTGCCAGCCTGCTTTTATTCTCTTATCTGGCCCCACCCACATCCTGCTGATTGGTCCATTTTGCAGAGAGCCAATTGGTCTGTTTTACAGAGAGCTGATTAGTCCGTTTTGACAAGGTGCTGATTGGTGCGCTTACAATCCCTGAGCTAGACACAAAAGTTCTCCACATCCCCACTAGATTAGCTAGATACAGAGTGTCAATTGGTGTATTTACAAACCCTGCGCTAGACACAGAGTGCTGATTGGTGCATTTACAAACCTTGAGCTAGATACAGAGTGCCGATTGGTGCATTCAAAATCCCTTAGCTAGGCATAAAGATTCTCCAAGTCCCCACCAGACTAACTAGATACAGAGTGCTGATTGGTGCATTCACAAACCCTGAGCTAGACACAGAGTGCTGATTGGTGCATTTACAAACCTTGAGCTAGATACAGAGTGCTGATTGGTGTATTTACAATCCCTTAGCTAGACATAAAGATTCTCCAAGTCCCCACCAGACTCAGGAGCCCAGCTGGCTTCACGCAGTGGATCCCGCACCAGGGCCGCAGGTGGAGCTGCCTGCCAGTCCCGCGCTGTGTGCCCGCACTCCTCAGCCCTTGGGTGGTTGATGGGACTGGGCACCGTGGAGTAGGGGGTGGTGCTTGTCGGGGAGGCTTGGGCTGTGCAGGAGCCCACGGCGGGGTGGGGGGCTCAGGCATGGCAGGCTGCAGGTCCCGAGCCCTGCCCCACGGGGAGGCAGCTAAGGCCCAGCGAGAAGTTGAGCACAGCATCTGCTGGCCCAGGTGCTAAGCCCCTCACTGCCCGAGTGTGGGGCCCGCCGAGCCCACGCCCACCTGGAACTCATGCTGGCCCGCAAGCGCCATGCGCAGCCCTGGTTCCCGCCTGCATCTCTCCCTCCATACCTCCCTGCAAGCTGAGGGAGCTGGCTCCGGCCTTGTCCAGCCCAGAAAGAGGCTCCCACAGTGCAGTGGCAGGCTGAAGGGCTCCTCAAGCACGGCCAGAGTGGGCACCAAGGCTGAGGAGGCACTGAGAGCGAGCGAGGGCTGTGAGGGCTGCCAGCAGGCTGTCACCTCTCAATCCCCCCTCTAAACAGGACACCCCAACTGCTGTTGGGAATTTGGCCGATGACCGCTCTAGCTACTTCCTGCTGGATAGGGGCAAAGAAGGGGCCCTGCAGTTGTAGTGTCCTCCAGAGGGGAACTCTCTAGGCCAGTGGAAGTGCCAGTGGATCGGTCCAGGGGTCCTTGGTAGAAGTTGTTAGTTGAACTCATTTGGGGTTCCATTTGTAAGACCATCTGTAGCTTGATGGCTTCGATCCTAGAGGAAACAAATTTGACAAGAAGGTTAAAAATACAGGGCCCAAAGGCGAGTAACAGCAAGATGGCTGCCATGGGACCTAGAAATGGGAGAAGCCATGTTGCCCAACTCCAGAGGTTGGTATAAGAGTTTGAAAGGCATTGTCTGATATCAGAAGCCCTTTCCTGTAAATGCCAGGTGGCATCTCGTACTATCCCTGACTGGTTAGTGTAAAAACAACACTCTTCCCCTAAGAAGGTGCAGAGTCCTCCTTTCTCAGCAGTGAGGAGGTGTGGGCCTCGGCGGTTTTGGAGAGTCATTGCTGCCAAAGAGTCTAATTGGGATTGTAAAGTAAGAATAGATTTCATTATTTCTTGCAAACTGTCTGAGAAATTCTTTGAGAGTGTATGGTAGTAGGATAATGAAGTAGATAAACCGGCTATTCCAGTTCCTGTAGCAGTAGCCATTCCTAACCCTATAAATAGGGATATTAGTTGTATGGCTCTGCACTGACGGACTTTAGCTTTGACAGGTACCAATAGGGTCTGATTTCCTGGGGCAATGTTAATGTTGGGACTTAGAAAGACTAAGGTTCAGGTGCCTGTCCAGTTAGTGGGGAGGCAGATATAGGTTGATGTTCCACATAAGAAGAATATGCCTTGGCTAGGTAGACAGAAATTTACCCTGGCTTTTAAAGGAATAGGGTATACTGTTTTTTCTTTACTACTTCTTTCTCTCTTCAAGTTCTTCTTTGTTTCTTCCTCTCTTTTTTTCTTTCTCTGACTTTCTCTTTTTTTCTTTACTTCTTGCTGGTCTTTCCCTACTTCTGCCAGCCACTTTTGCTGCTGTTTTCCCCTCTCCTTCCCCATTTTGATGGCTTTGGCAGTGTAAGACTGCCACCTCCTTGTGTTTTTGCATTGGGTGCAATAACTCTATAATTTCCTTGTGGTATTTAATGGTGGTTGCCCCAGAGGTTAGGAACTCCCTCTCTTTCCATATTGCAGCATAGGCATGTAGGATTAGATAAGCATACTTGCTATCTGTATACACATTTATTCTTTTTCCCTTTCCCAGTTCTAAGGCTCGGGTAGGTGCCACTAGTTCTGCTAACTGGGCACTGGTCCCTGGGGGAAGAGGCTTACTTTCAAGTATGGTTACATCACTAACTATGGTGTAACCTGCCCTTCGTATCCCATTCTCCACAAATGAACTTCCATTGATATATAGGTTAAGGTCAGGATTAGCTAAGGGGACTTCTAAGAGATCATCTTGGGTGGCATAAGTCTGGACTATAATTTGTTGGCAGGCATGCTCGATTGGTTTCCCATCCTCTGGGAGAAAAGTGGCAGGGTTGAGGGCCATGCACATGCATATTTGAAGCACCGGTCCCTCAAGGAGTAGCGCCTGGTATCTAAGTAGGCAGTTATCTGATAGCCATAAACTTCCTTTGGCACCTAGTATGCCATTTACATCATGAGTAGTCCAGACAGTGAGATCCTTTCCTTGTATTATTTTGATAGCCTCTGACATTAAGACGGCCACTGCTGCAACTACCCTTAAACAGTGAGGCCAGCCTTTTGCTACTACATCAGTTTCCTTACTTAGGTATGCCACTGGTTGTGGGGTTGTCCCACAAGTCAGTGTAAGGACTCCAAGGGCTATCCCAGCAATCTCTGTGATGTAGAAAGAGAAGTTTTGTCCTGTGGGAGGGCTTAAAGCTGGAGCTTGTACTAGGGCCTGCTTTAAGGTTTTGAAGGCTGTTTCTGCCTCTGGTTCCCATTCTACTAGATGAGTATTTGCCCTCTGGGTTTCCTTGATTAAAGTATAGAGGGGCCTGGCTATCTCACTGTATCCAGGGATCCATAGTCGGCAAAAGGCAGTAATTCCAAGGAACCCCCGCAACTGTTTTAATGTCTTAGGGTGAGGATAAGCCAGTATAGGCTGTATTCATTCCTTGCTGAGGGCCCTGGTCCCTCTGGAAAAGATTAGGCCTAGATATTTGACCTGCTGTAGGCAAAGCTGGGCCTTCGACCTAGACACCTTGTACCCTTGATTAGCTAGAAAGTTCAAGAGATCTACAGTAGCCTGCTGGGACGAGGCTTCTGAACTGGTAGCCAAGAGTAAATCATCCACATATTGAAGGACCAGAGTGCCTGGACTTCAGAAGTGGCCTAGATCTTGGGCCAGTGCCTGACCAAACATATGAGGGCTATCCCTAAACCCTTGGCACAAGACCATCCACATAAGTTGGGACGTGTGGTCTGTGGGATCCTCAAAGGCAAAGAGAAACTGGGAGTCAGAGTGCAGGGGAATACAGAAGAAGGCATCCTTGAGGTCCAGAACCATGAACCATTCTGCTTCCTCTGGTATTTGAGAGAGCAGGGTATAGGGGTTGGGTACAACTGGATATAGAGGAATTACTGCCTCATTGATGAGTCTAAGATCTTGCACTAGTCCCCACTGACCATTCGGTTTTTGTACTCCTAGAATTGGGGTGTTGCAGGGACTGCTGCATTTCCTTACTAAGCCTTGAGCTTTCAAATGTTTAACAATATTCTGTAATCCTTTATGAGCTTCAGGCCTTAAGGGATATTGCCTTTGATAAGGAAAAGTGGTGGGATCTTTTAACCTGATTTGGACTGGGCGGGCATTTTTCTCCCTTCCAAATTGTCATTCCAATGCCCAGACCTCAGGGTTGATTCCCTCCTCAAGTAGGGGACAACAAATGGGTAACTTGTTCCCCATATTCATGTAGATAATAGCTCCGGCCTTGGCTAATATATCCCTCCCTAATAAGGGTGTGGGACTTTCAGGCATAACAAGAAAGGCATGTGAAAAGAGCAAAGTCTCCCAATTACAACTGAGGAGGTGGGAGAAATACCTGGTTACAGGCTGTCTCAGAATTCCTCGGATGGTAACGGACCTTGAGGATAGTCATCCAGGACAGGAGATTAACACTGAGAAGGTCATGCCAGTGTCCAGGAGGAAGTCAATTTCCTGGCCCTCAATAGATAAACATACCCAGGGCTCAGTGAGGGTGATGACATGAGCTGGCGCTTGCCCCAGGCACCCTCAGTCCTGTTGTTGGATCATCTGGTTGGGGGCTTCTGACCCAGGGAACCTTCATCCTCTGGGGCAGTGCACCTTCCAGTGATTGCCTCGGCATTGTGGACATGGATGAGGGGGCAGCTTGTTTCTCATTGGACAATCTTTTTTAAAGTGTCCTAGTAAACCACACTGATAACAAGCCCTACCAGGTGATTGACCTGCCCCATTTTCTGTCCTCTCTGAACCACCAGGGTTTGTTTGTCTGAGGGCCATGACTAAGGCTGTGGCTTTCCTCTGATCTCGCTTTTCCTTTTGGGCCTGTTCCTCTTGGTCCCTATTATAGAACACCAAGGTTGCCAGGTTTAATAATGCCTCTAAGATTTTGTTCAGGGCCCAGGGCTTGCTTTTGGAGCTTTCTCCTGATATCTGCAGCTGATTGGGTAATAAACTTATCTTTTAGAATCAATTGACCCTCGAGTGATTCGGGTGACAGGGGAGTATATTTTCTTAAGGCCTCTCATAGCCGCTCGAGGAAGGAAGGATTTTCTTCCTTTCCCTGAGTTATGGTGGACATCATTGAATAATTCATGGGCTTTTTTCTAATTCTCCTTAGTCCTTCTAGAACACAGATCAACAGATGTTTATGACTCCATTCCCCATGATCTGAGTCAAGGTCCCAGTGGGGATCCATACTGGGGATGGCTTGCTGACCAGTAGGGAATTTGTCCCTTTTTTCAGCTGTCATTCTATCATTTACTGACTAAGATACCAGGTATCTCCAAACTCTCAGGCTGCAGCTAAAGCTGCGTTCTTTTCATTAAAGGCCAGGGTTTGAACTAACAGTAGCATGACATCTTTCCAAGCGAGGTCTAAGGTTTGCCCTAGACCCTGTAGGACATCTATGTACCTATCAGGATCATCTGAAAACTTCCCCATGTCTGCCTTGACCTGCTTTAAATCAGAGAGGGAGAAGGGGACATGTACCCGGGTTGGGCCAAATTCCCCTCCTCCTGCAGCTTGAAGGGGACATAACCGATAACCTGGGGGTCTTTGTGGTCCTTTGGAGATTTCTTTGCTTATTTCCTTCTGGGCAGGGGAGATTAGAGGAGGATTATCATTAGTAGGAAGGGGAGCTATTGGGAGGCTGGGATATGGGGGTAAGCTGAGAGGTCCTCCTGTGGGATGTAAATTGTAAGCTTTGCATAGTTGTGTATTCTCCCTCAATGAAAAGAAAGCTTGGATGTAAGGTATTTCACTCGATTTGCCTTCCCTCTTACAGAGAAGGTCAAGCTGCAGGATAGTATTGTAATTTGTACTTCCCTCAGGTGGCCATTTTTCCCCATCAGAGAGAATATTGGGGCCAAGCCATAGTGCAGAAAAAAATGAGCCACCTCTTTTTCAGGGTTTATGGGTCAAATTGGTCCCAATAGCTTAGGATGCATTTCAAGGGTGAGCCTGTTGATGCCTGAGTGTTTCCCATCTGAAAGACAAAACTGCCCATGGTTTTGATTTGTTTTGTTTCTCCCCCTGCCCAAGAACCCACAACAGTCCCTGGACCCTGCTGATCGGAATAGTTGTGCTCACCGACGCAGCAGCAGAAACACTAGTTTTCCTCCCAGACCACATGGAGGACCAAGGAAGGTTGGATTTAGTGGCCTTTACCAATGCATTCTCAAAAACCTGCATCCTTGCCTGTCCTCCTAGACCACAAGGAGGACTGACCAAGAAAAATCGGATTTAGTGGCCCTTACCGACACATTCTCGAAAACCTGCTAGAGTCCTAAGCATTCTCCTGTTAGTATTGGGACGTTACCCCTGTCCTATAAAGATGTTATGCCCCAAAAATGAAGTGGAGGGCTATGCCCTTAGGGAGGGAAGGGATCTCCAGGGTTGGAATAGCGACACCTTTTGTCCTCACTTATATGAATAGGAAGGATACAATTTCTGAGGCTCCCCATATTCTAGCTTCAGGAATAGGTTTTGTTAGGCCTGTTAGTCTGAGGAGGGATCCTAAAATTCCAAGTAGTCCCCAGGACAATGGGGCTTTGGGCAAAAATTATGTCTTTCTGATTGGTGAGCCCAGGTGCCTAAAGAAGGTAACAAAGTCCTGGAGTTTATACTAGAAATCATTTTTATAGAAGAAACTAGAAAAGCACCAGAGACAGGTAGCAATTTTTAGAAGCGGGACTAACCTTGGAGAAGAGAGGCAAGAGGAAGTTTGTCTGGCAGGCATTAGGACCCAGGGGGCAAGGGTCAGGATAGATAGGAGAGATGGGCGAGTCTTGCTTGGGCAACATGCCTTTGAGAGTTCCACTCATGGCCGCAGGGTCAACCAACTTGTTGTCGGGACCCCGGAGCTGCATGGCTTTCCTCTCTGTCAACCCTAGGCTCAGCCCAGAAGTACAAGAAAAGTGGAAGCTGGTTCGAGGCACACCAACGCTCCCAACTCCAAAGAGTCGGGGGTTGTTAGAGAGCCCTATCCCAGAAAACCTGACACCCATGTCTTTAGTCTGGCGGCCACGCTAGTCGCTTTTAACTGGCCGACAGGTACCCGGTATTTAGCCCCGGAATTCTAAGGAAAAATAGGACAGAATAGCAAGCGAAAGGGGTCCAATGGTACTCACTGCTTGGCAATAGGCGATTGTCTTGCCGCTCAGCAATAGGTGATGGTCTCACCGCCCACGCCTCTCCCTCCACACCTCCCTGCAAGCTGAGGGAGCCAGCTCCAGCCTTGGCCAGCCCAGAAAGGGGCTCCCACAGTGCAGCGGCGGGCTGAAGAGCTCCTCAAGTGTGGCTAGAGTGGGCGCCAAGGCCGAGGAGGCACCGAGAGCGAGTGAGGGCTGCAAGGGCTGCCAGCACGCTGTCACCTCTCACTACCTGCTTCTCATGGGATAAACAGTGAATAGCTGATAGCTTTTCTGTGGTGCAAACCCCCACCTACATGTACCCCACATATGTGCGTGCCTCCACTGTCCTTGCATACCCTCCTGCACTCTTTGCCTCCTTCTGACAATGTCCCTTCCACTTCTATACTTGCACCCCCCTTTTCATGTATAACTTATTTCTTGTTTCTCCCTAAAAACACACTATTTGCAGATCTAAAATATTACCTTAATTCATAGTCTTCATTAAAATTAGATTCTATTGTAACTTCAGTACACTGTTCCTGTTTATTATAAGATTCTGAATGCTTGGTGTTGGAAATAAGACTGCCCTGAGGAAGGCAAATCATCAAATGCATCTGCAAAACAGTTTTAGATTTGGGAACATCAGAGAACTAGCATCTTAGATGTTCAGAACCAGTGAGTATTACTCCCTTCATCCTCTATTCCCAATACGGGGCCCTACATGGCCTATGGCATAATTCTAATTTTACTCAAATGGCAAAGGCCTTCTTTGATACACTGAGAACACTGTGGAATATTTGGTACTTGTTGACCAAGACTGGGAGATCTGTCCTTCTTTCTGTGCACAGGAGAAAACAGTCATATTTGAGATCAAGGAATTTGTGCAATTATAAACCAACAAATGCTCAACTTCCCATAAAACAAGATGGAGAACTGGGTGCCCTATTTCATTAAAAAAAAAAAAAAAGCATATCCTTTGAGAATATATAAGAATCCTGGATATCTGGCCCTGAAATCTGAGGGACTTTCTTCACCATTTTCTCACCAAATCTAGTTTAAAGCTTTCTCTAGTGCATTTGAAAGGAGTGACAAAAGTACATGGTACAAAGTGGCTTAGAGTGACTGCAATGTTGTTTTGCAACATTTTAGGCAAGATTGGGACTGTAATATTCATTATTGTTTGATATAGTTTGACTCTGTGTCCCCACCCAAATCTCACCTTGAATTGTATTCCCATAATTCCCACATGCTGTGGGAGGGACCAGGTGGAAGATGATTGAATCATGGGGGTGGATTCTCCCATACTGTTCTCGTGGTAGTGAATAAGTCTCATGAGAGCTGATGATTTTATCAGGGGTTTCCACTTTCATGTCTTGCTCATTCTCTCTTTGCCTGCTGCCATCCATGTAAGATGTGACTTGCTCTTCCTTGCCTTCCACCATGATTGTGAGGCTTCCCGAACCACATGGAACTGTAACCAATTAAACCTCTTTCTTTTGTAAATTACCCAGACTTGGGTATGTCTTTATCAGCAGTGTGAAAACAAACTAATACACTGTTTGTTCAAAAAGAGCCATCCATTAAAGATGTGTACAGTGTGAAACTTATCAAAGAGGGAAAAGAAGACTGCAGTGTGACTGGGACAGGATACGTTATGCTGCAATTTAAAAAAATGAATCCTCAAATTCCAGAGTCTTGAAACAACACCACTCATTTGTCACTCATAGTACATGTCCATCACTGGTCAGCAGGGCATTCTGCTGCATGTACACAAAGGCCCAAGCTGACCATCTTACAGCTCCTTCATCTGGAAAGCACATCTTCCTCCTCAGCCCTGCCAGCAGGAGAAATGAAGGCCTTTCAACTGCCTCAGCTTCTTCTATCTCTCCATTCTTCCTGAAAACTTACTATCCATGGGTCCAAAAGATGATCTTTATTCATATTCCTCATTGGGAGAATGGAAATTGAAGACTGACCCCCTCCTTTCTGCTCATATTTTGTTAGCCTGAAGTAGTCTATGGTCATGATTAATTGGAAGGGAACCAGGAAATGTGTGAGAAAAATGGAATGGAATATTTGGGACAACAGTATTGTCTTTGCCTCAGCCTGCTCTTTTGATCACTGAATGTCTATTTACCCCCCATATTAGTCCATTTTTGCACTGCTAGTAAAGACATACCCAAGAGTGGGCAATTTACAAAATAAAGAGGTTTAATGGACTTAACAGTTCCACATGGCTGGGGAGGTTTCACAATCATGGTGGACGGCAAGGAGGAGCAAGTTACATCTTACGTGGATGGTGGCAGGCAGAGAGCTTGTGCAGGGAAACTCCCCTTTTAAAAACCATCAGATCTCATGAGACTTATTCACTATCAAGAGATCAGCATGGGAAAGGCCTGCCCCCATGATTCAATTACCTCCCACCGGGTCCCTCCCACAACAGGTGGGAATTTGAGATGAGATTTGGGTGGAGACACAGCCAAACCATATCATTTAGTCCCTGGCCCCTCCCAAATCTCATGTCCTCACATTTCAAAACCAATCATGCCTTCCCAACAGTCCCTTAAAGTCTTAACTTATTTAAGCATTAACTCAAAAGTCCACAGTCCAAAGTCTTATCTGAGACAAGGTAAGATCCTTTTGCTTATGAGCCTGTAAAATCAAAAGCAAGTTAGTTACTCCCTAGAAACAATGGGGGTACAGGCATTGAGTAATTTCAGCCATTCCAAATGGGAGAAATTGGCCAGAACAAAGTGGCTACAGGCCTCATGCAAGTCCAAAACCCAAAATGATCTCCTTTGACTCCATGTCTCACATCCAGGTCACACTGATGCAAGAGGTGGCTTTTCATGGTCTTTGGCAGCTCTGCCCCTGTGGCTTGGCAGGGTACAGCCTCTCTCCTGGCTGCTTTCACAGGCTGGTGTTGAGTGTCTGTGGCTTTTCTGGGCCCATGGTGCACGCTGTCAGTGGATCTACCATTCATTCTGGGGTCTGGAGGATGGTGGCCCTCTTCTCACAGCTCCACTAGGCGGTGCCCCAGTGGGGACTCTGTTTGGGCGCTCTGACCCCACATTTCCCTTCTGTACTGCCCTAGCAGAAGTTCTCTTTGAGAGCCCCGCCCCTGCAGCAAACTTCTGCCTGGGCATCCAGGCATTTCCATACATCTTCTGAAATCTAGGTGGAGGTTCCCAAACCCCATTTCTTGACTTCTGTGTATTTGCAGGCTCAACACCATGTGGAAACTGCCAAGGCTTGGGGCTTGCACCCTCTGAAGCCACAGGCAAGTTCTACCTTGGCCCCTTTCAGCCATGGCTGGAGCAGCTGCAATGTAGGGCACCAAGTCCCTAGGCTGCACACAGCACAAGGACCGTGGGCCCAGCCCATGAAACCATTTTTTCCTCCTAGGCCTCCAGGCCTGTGATGGGAGGGGCTGCCCAGAAGACCTCTGATATGCCCTGGAGACGTTTTCCCTATTGTCTTGGGGATTAACATTTGGCTCCTTGTTACTTAAGCAGATTTCTGCAGCTGGCTTTAACTTCTCCTCAGAAAATTGGATTTTCTTTTCTATTGTATTGTCAGGCTGCACATTTTCCAAACTTTTATGTTCTCCTTCCCTTATAAAACTGAATGCTTTTAACAGCACCCAAGTTACCTCTTGAATGCTTTGCTGCTTAGAAATTTCTTCCACCAGACATCCTAAATCATCTCTCTCAAGTTCAAAGTTCTACAAATCTCTAGGGCCGGGGCAAAATGCCACCAGTCTCTTTGCTAAAACATAACAAGAGTTACCTTTGCTCCAGTTCCCAACAAGTTCCTCATCTCCTTCTGAGACCACCTCAGCCTGGACTTTGTTGTCCTATTGCTATCAACATTTTGGGCAAAGCCATTCAACAAGTCTCTAGGAAGTTCCAAACTTTCCCACATTTTCCTGTCTTCTTCTGAGCCCTTCAAATTGTTCCAACCTCTACCTGTTACCCAGTTCCAAATTCGCTTCCATATTTTTGGGTATATTTTCAGCAACACTCCACTCTGGTACCAATTTTCTACATTAGTCCGTCTTCATGCTGCTGATAAAGATTTACCCAAGACTGGGCAATTTACAAAGATAGAGGTTTAATTGGATTTACAGTTCCATGCAGCTGAGGAGGCCTCACAATCATGGGGGAAAGCAAAGAGAAGCAAGTCACATCTTATGTGGATGGCAGCAGGCAAAGAGAGAGAGAGCTTGTGCAGAGAAACTCCCCTTTTTAAAACCATCAGATCTCGTGAGACTTATTCACTATCACGTGATCAGCATGGAAAAGACCTGCTCCCAAGATTCAGTTACCTTCCACTGGGTCTCTCCTACAACCTGTGGGAATTTGAGATGAGATTTGGGTGGGGACACAGCCAAACCATGTCACTTCCTTATTCTCAATTTCCATAGACAACCAAAAAGTTCAATTTGATCAATGCATCTGGCACCCATTCCAGGATCACTGAGTGCTATACAATAGTCACTATATCAGATTAGGACCTGGCTCTTCTTGGTCTGCAGATCTAAGAGCTAAGAAGACAAGTTTTCTGCTGCCCATATAACTAGTACCCAGTGGAAGAACAAGAACAGATTAACATCAATAAACACATTCTGGAAATCCAAGAATGGAAGTTATGAGCCTTCACTCTTCTGCTTTATTGGCCTCTTCTCACTAGAAAGAAGGAGCTCTTCTTCCACTTTCTGGCTTTTTTCTGCTGTCTGAAAGGGATCTCATAGTTCTAATTATAATCTATCCCACTGCATAATTAGTGTAAATGATGTTAAAGTGTCTGGTGGGGAGGAGAGAGGCGAGTATCTTTGAAAGGGGCAAAGACATTTCCCAAGGAGGAAGAGGTCATGGTGGGAACCCAGGTACTGCTTTGGCAAAGTTTTATGCGGAGGGAGAGGAACCCCACAGGGTTGGCTTAGTTTGTATCTCAGGACACCCAGGGGAACTGCCATTCCACCTGTTTTTCCTTTTTCAAGGCTCAGTCTTTCCTTTCTTCTTCCCTGCCTCCCTTACATAATTCTGGAGCACACGCTGTGTGCAGACAGCCCTTGGAAGTGGCCTGTGGATTTTTCAGGGAATACGTGATAGTTCTTACCCTGTTGGCACCAACAGTCTACTGGGAGAAATAATTATAATATTGTATGATAATTCTTAAAATAGAAATATTATCAATGTAATCTGGGAGGAGAGAAAAGGAAATGGCCAGCCCTAGAACATCGGTTTCTTCAGTGAACTCTTTATTAATTTCTGTGGTATTGTGCTCTCCTGAATCCTTATCTCAAGAAATTATCTGACTCTTTGTTTTTTGAATGTGCTTTCTCTGTCTCATATCTTTGTAGTTCTTTTTAATATCCAGAGGAATTTATCATGGGTCTGTTTTTGTCCTCTAGGGTTCTTCAAATCTTATAAACTGATGCAGTATGGGAATTTATGGAAAAATATATAAGTAGCTCATAGATTCTAGCAGCAGTGAAAAACAAGACTTGGAAAATGGCTTAGCAGAAGAGAAGTTCCTACTCCAGTAAGATTCTGGGTAGGGCATTACCGTGGGAACCTTGACACTAGAGTGGTGGTTGCTGGGACATCTCTCAACTCTTTCTGCTTTGAGTCTCCAATTCAACACACCAAGTCCTGAGTGGAAGCATCTAATTGACCTCACCTTGATGTGTGTTTACATCCTGGTCACTAGAGGGTAGGGGGAGGGAATAACTGACTTCTTTGCTCCCATAGTGAGGGGTGGGGCCCTGCTCCCACCAAGATCCACACAGTAAAGGTTCTTCCAAAATAGGAGAGTGTTTGGATATTGAATATATAGACAAGCAACTTCTCCCTGTGTCATTGCCTGCCTCCATTTTATCAGAAAATTCTGATTCATCCCGGTTCTATAACAACAGCTCTGACCATCTACTCCTGTTTTTCCAAATGCATTCGGGGCATCCTCTTGGGTGCTCCATGGCATCTAAACTCACATAGGATAATGACCAGGCACATCATTCTTCTTCCCCTTCTCAGACTGTTTCTTTGAGAATCACCTGAGAAATGAGTTAAAAATGCAGATTTCCTAGACTTCCTCTCCCTCCTCTGCAATGCTGATTTTTGAGCTTCTGGAGGAAAGCCGAGGAATCTGCCATTTTCAGCAGGTAGCCCGGGAGATTTTCAGACTAATAATGGCTATGCTCTTTGGGAAACAGGGTTTTCACCTATTACAAATTTTTGCCAATGTTTTCTCTGCTGTATCTCTCAAGTCTTCCCACTCTATTCCCTAAAACAGTATGTCTTCTCTATTGCAAAGACTACTTTCACGCCATCTTTATTATTGGCTTTATACTGTATATGTCCCACCATCACCAGTACAGAACTTCTCATAGGCCTCTCTACCTATTCTGTGGCGATAGCATCAGGGAGAGCCAGGGAAACTACCTTCTACTTTCTGCATCCCTTGGAATTTGTCTGGATTTCCAGAAATTGAGTTTTGTGTGGCTGTTTCGGTTGATACAGTATGAGATAACTGGAGGCCGGGCTTGGTGGCTCATGCCTGTAATCCCAGCACTTTGGGAGGCTGAGGCGGGAGGATCACTTGAGCCTAGGAGTTCAAGACCAGCCTGAGAAACATGGTGAGACCCCATCTCTATAAAAAATAAGAAAATTACCCGGGTGCAATGGTGCATGCCTGTGGTCCAAGCTACTGGGGAGACTGAAGTGGGAAGATCACTTGAGTCCAGGAGGTTGAGGCTGCAGTGAGCCATGTTCATGCCACTGCACTCCAGCCTGGGTGACAGAGTGAGAACCTGTCTCAAGAAAAAAAAAAAAAAAGATAACTAGAAAGGCACAGGTACTGACCATTTAGAATGGATACTGAATAGAAGCAATAGGTGACTGATGCAAAAGTGGCCTGAATCCTCATCATAGTAAACAGTAACTCTTTGACTAGACTTCTGTTTCTGCAACCCAACAGGTTTTCACTAAGGCAGATTTGCACAAGTCATGCCATAAGTCAAATTATTTGTCCATGTGACCTGGCCCTGCTCAAGGGATGTTCTGTATGACCTGCGGTGAATATTCACTCTCTCGTTTGGGCACAGTATGGGCACATTATGATCCAGCCCTTATGATCTCCTTTGGATCTTTCTTTTCAGGCATGATGGTTTAAAGGATTGTTTTGTACCATGGAACTATCCATAGAAAATTATTTTCAGGGTTCTTCTATTGTTCACTAGCCTGGCTTAAAAGTATAGCTTTACTTTCTGTCTTTACAGTAAGCGAGAGGTTAGAAGGATATGCTTGAATAAGGAGACTGCCTTCCTCTACACTGCCAGTATTTTATTAAGAGTATTAGAACATTTTCTTTGTCTTGTATTTTATATATTGATATGATTTTATGTCTTCTCTCACCTTGAAACTTTCATTGTAGATTTTAATTTAAAAGGTGAAGAGGTAGGCCTCAATTTCCTTGATTCTTCGAACTCTGAGTTGGAAGATGATGGTAGTAAATCATTGGAGGCTTAGAGGTGAGAGAGTACCATTTGTTCTGGGAGGATTCTACGTCGTAAATTTGTACTTAGATGTACAAGAATGTTAAACACCAAAGAAAGAAGCCTACATGATCTCTATTCTCGACCTTGAGCAAGGATTAGCATTGTCCTGGGCAGCCTGTAGGAACACACAGTATCACTGCTCCCTTGCGTTTGTACACTAAAGCTTTGCTCTTCCTGGTCAGTCAGAGCAGTACAACCAACAGCTGAATAATATGGGAACTTATCCTGAGAGCTTCCAATCTATTTAACAACATACATATTAATCTAGGTTCACATATTCATATTATGTGAGAAATACTATCTTTCCTTTTTTTTTTTTTTTTTTTTTTCGAGACGGAGTTTCACTCCTGTTGCCCAGGGTGGAGTGCAATGGTACGATCTCAGCTCACTGCAACCTCTGCCTCCTGGGTTCAGGTGATCCTCCTGACTCAGCCTCCTATGTAGCTGGGATTACAGGCATGCACCACCACACCCGGCTAATTTTGTACTTTTAGTAGAGACAGGGTTTCTCCATGTTGGTCGGGCTGGTCTCGAACTCCCGACCTCAGGTGATCCATCTGCCTTGGCCTCCCAAAGTGCTGAGGTTACAGGCTACTATCTTTCTTTATGTTCTCCAAGTCAGTCTAATTTTGACTTTGTAGGCTATATCTCTCCAGGCTGGCAAGAAATTGGGCATGTCATGCTGAGTGTTTCTTTGGGTCCTGGGCCTTATACAGAAGAGACTGCCTGCTTGTCTGTTATTTGTCCTTATAGATCGTCAGAGACATCTGCTCTCCTTGTCTACACATTCTCTTTAGGTCTGAGATCTCTCTGCTTAGGAAAACAAGATATTCTGGGCCGGGCACGATGGCTAACGCCTGTAATCCCAGCACTTTGGGAGGCCGAAGCAGGCGGATCATGAGGTCAGGAGATCGAGACCATCCTGGCTAACACGGTGAAACCCTGTCTCTACTAAAAATACAAAAGAAAAATTAGCCGGGCGTGGTGGCCCGTGCCTGTAGTCCCAGTTGCTTGGGAGGCTGAGGCAGGAGAATTGCTTGAACCCAGGAGGCGGAGCTTGCAGTGAGCCGAGATTGTGCCACTGCACTCCAGCCAGGGTGACAGAGCGAGACTCCATCCCCCCCTCAAAAAAAAAAAGAAAAAGAAAAAGATATCTGTAAACTGTAATCTGTAAACTGGTTCAGTGGTTCTATCTCTGTAGAAGCAGCACAGTCCTCTTCTCTGAGGTCTTGCTTCTCCTCACTGACACTCCCCACCTCCTCAGCCCAGGGACAGATCTTTCTTTTATGAAGCTCCTTCCTGCTGTCTGCTTTCCCACTCCATTCTACAATTTCCCTCAAACCTTGTTCTTACACTGAATCATTAACGACAAAAATTTAGTTTCTCTTTCCTTGAGAACACAAGGACAAAGGCTCAGAAATTGAGGGGTCTATTTGCATCTTATCCTTCTAGTGTAGCAAAGAAAAAAAGAAGGCTGAAACTAGAAGTCTCATATCCTAGCAACCAGGCATTTGTTGAGTTCCTACTATGTATAACACTCAATACGCATTCCTTCTTGTGAATTGGTGCTGATGGTAGCTCAGGCACTCTGTTAAGCATTGAAGGCATATGGTTGTCCTTGCCTACATCAGGTGGGGTTCAGGGTGCAGTCAAAAAAATCAATTCTTGCAAATTTAAGCAAAAGGGGCTGGGTGCATCAAAGAAGTCCCCACTCTCCCTCCACCGCCAAAAAAACAAAACAAAAAACAAAAAAAACCATGATGTGGAGTTAGCCAGATGAATGAGAGAAAACACTTAAGAAATATGTAGAGGCCAGGTACTGGAAATGAAGAAAGGCAAATAACAATGAATAATCTAGGCTCTGCCCTCAAAGGGCTTTACAGCTTGGTGAGGAAATGGACCTTTATACTCATAATACAAGGCAATGAATGAAAGGAGGCAAAGCTAGTCACGGTTCGGCTTGGAAATTGCAGCATCAGGGCTTTTAGAAGAAAAGTTGGTCTTGAGCAGCATATAACCTTTAAATACTAACACAGTGGTGGAGCTGATGTTCAAATTGTCTGGACAGATCAAATCTGTCTGGACAAGGGAGAAGAGAGTAGGCTGCCTTGCGTAAACAGTAGAACATTCTAAATGGAGAAGCCATTTTAAAATTCTCTTCCTTGAAACCTTGTCTGGTCAGTGGCAAAATGTCATAGCTGAGTTTGGAAGATTACATACCATTTGCATTGATTAAATTATTTTTGTTAATCAGGGCAGTTAATATTAACAGTGTAATGCTACATGCTGGATGGATGTGTTGTTATGTACTATTGCTACTTATAAAATAGCAACACCTGATCAATTTGGAAGAATAACTTATATTAAGGTGTTCATCTGTATTTTAGCATCATTGCTATAAACAAATCAGAAAGAATGGAAGCTCTTATTTCTTTGTGGACAACTCAATCCTCTCACCCCACACGTCAACATTTTCTTTACCTAACAAGCAGAAATTTGAACCCAAGACCAGGGATGGTGACAGTGGGGTCTTTGCTGTCCCTAGAGCAGATTTAGAGGAGTGCACTCCCTCAAATCTTTGAATCATGGTGTGGAGGAAAAAGGTAAGGGCTTTGAAGAGGCTGATGGGCCAAACCTGGAGGATAGTTTATCTGCAATGAGAAAAGGGGTAAGTTCATGACACCATTTCTTTCTCTCGTTTTTTGTTGTTAGTTTTTATCTCATGATCATAAACTTAACCCTGCAATCCAGCTAGATGTGGAAGAGAATAAGGAAAATATGGAACCCAAAGAATTATAGCAAGAGCACAACGATTATAGGATGCTGAGAGCAAATAGGGTAGAGGGGTGCTCTCCTGAGCTACAAAAGGAATGGTCTGGTAGCTAAGGTAAAACACAAAGCAAATTTATTAGATTTGTCCACAGTCAGCAGTGATGATCTTCTTGCTGGTCTTGCCATTCCTAGAACAGAAGCACTCCATGGCTTCCACAATATTCATGCCATCTTTTACCCTGCCAAAGACCACATCCCTGCCATCCAGCCACTCAGTTTTGGCAGTGCAGATGAAGAACTGGGAATCATTTGTGTTGTGTCCAGCATTTGCCATGGACAAGATGCCAGGACCCATAGGCCTCAGGATGAGGTTCTCATCATCAGACTTCTCCCTGCAGATGGACTTGCCACCAGTGCCCTTATGGTGTGTGAATTCACCACCCTGACACATAAACCCTGGAATCATTCTGTGAAAGCAAGAACCCTTATAACCAAATCCTTTTTCTCAAGTTCTTAGAACAAGACTGTTTTCTGAGGTCTTTGGAACTTTGTCTGCAAACAGCTCAGAGGAGATGCTGCCCAGGGGCTTGCTATGGCGATGATGAAGAACACTGTGAGGTTGAACGTGGCTAGTGGCAAGGGGCTCTGGGTAGCATGGGTGGCATACGCAAATCTCCCCTCATGACTATTTCATGTGTGTATGTATGTGCATGTGTGTTTGTAATCTGTGAATGGTAAAGATCCATGCCCCATTTACACATTACTTCTTATTTGGTTAATAGAATTCTGTCTGATGTGTGAATGCTTGGGGTGGGGATAGGAGATGAACTCTGAGATCCATGCTCTTGAGGCTTATCAAGAAGGATTGCTAGGCCTAAGCTTAGAATAATGAAATACACCACCTATCTGTGAATGAATGATGTGGGCTCAGACAGTAAGCATCTCGGCAGCAGTCTGCACTAAAGATTCTTATGCCCCAAACATTACTGAGTTTGAGTTTCTCAACATGCTGGTGCATGAGAGCTAAAGATCACATTTAATTTGATTCAGGTGTTATTACCAATAAAATAATCTATAAAAAAGTTGCAAGACTGCTTGCAAGGGTATGTTAAAATGAAGAAGCCAAGTTTTTTTTTTTTTTTTTTTTTTTTTCGAGATGGAGTCTTGCTTTGTCACCCAGGCTGGAGTGCAGTGGTGCAATCTCGGCTCACTGCAACCTCTGCCTCCTGGATTCAAGTGATTCTCGTGCCTCAGCCTCCAGAGTAGCTGGGATTACAGGCATGCGCCACCATGCCCAGCTAATTTTTGTGTTTTTAATAGAGACAGGGTTTTGCCACATTGGCCATGCTGGTTTTGAACTCCCGACCTCAGGTGATCTGCCCACCTTGGCCTCCCAAAGTGCTGGGATTGCAGGCGTGAGCCACCGTGCCTGGCCAGAAGCCAAGTTCTAATTTTGAATTCTGTAAATACTTAGAGCTTTCTGATGTGGCTATGGAATAGACTGGTGTCCAATAGAACTTTCTGTGATGATGGAAATGTTTTAGATCTGCACTATTCAGCCCAGTAGCCACTATATGTGGCTATTTAAACTTTTAATTAAAATTAAATACAATTTTAATTCCCAAGTCACACTAACCACATTTCATGTGCTTGGTAGACACATATGGTAGTGGCTTCCATATTGGATAATTCTGGAATCAAAAGAGTCTTCTGTATGGGTGATCTTTATAGCTGGTATTTGGGAAATAGTTTTCAACTTTTCTGCTAACTCTGATAGATTTATCAACCAGAAGGGTCTGCTTGAAGCATTGTGTGGGAAGGACTTGCAATCATATTTAGATACACTGAGAGAGAATGTTGTGGTAGATGGTAATCTGAGTGTGAGAATGAGGTACAGTGCTATGGTTTAATTATTTACCTTTTCTCATTTTCAACTTTTCCTCACATCAGAGAGACCGTGTGTGTTGAGCAAACCTTTCAAAACCTCGCTTCCCGTGTGATCCTGCTTCCCATCCGTTTGGTTCAGCTGTCTCGAGACATCTGTTTCTACTCTTCGTTAAGGGTGGGGACAGTGACAGTGAGTGCGCCCCCGTCCCTATCCCCACAAATCATATACAGTTACACACAGAGTGTACTATAGTTGATCAGCAAACTTGCCTGTGCTGTTCTCTCTTGCAGACTTATATGTCGGATCCTCAGAGAAGACTCAGGCAAATGGAAACTGGGCAGGCAAGCCTTGATTACAAGGAGGAGTAAATGGTGAAGGAAAGAACCGCTTTTTCTGTCCTCATTCCCCTATAAAATTTACATTTTTCCCCCACTAAGAACAACAGTAACATCTCTGCTAATATTATGCTACCATGAACTAACATCTTCCTTTCTTTCCCTATTTTGAACCCTTGGGTGATTTGTCTGGCCATCACACATCGTGATTTTTGAAAGAATTAAGTACATTGACCTCTCGCTGTTAGCATTTCTGTAGTTTGCTCAAGGAGTTTATTTGGGGAAGGGGAGAGGAAAGGTTCATAGGAATAATTTCTTTTTATTTTACTCCCTTATTGTGTATGAGTCAATTTTTTCCCCAATAGCTATGACCTTCTTACAATAAGGGACCATCCTGCAAGTAAGGATGTAAAGTATGAGTCTATTTTTGCCCCAGTAGCTATGACCTTCTTACAGTGGTGTCTAGAAGAGAGGTTGACAAAAGCCAACATGCAATATAGGATTTATTGAACTGAGGTGCCTGGGATTTAATGGAAAGCCTTGTATTTTAGGACTATGTCAAGGATACACTATCTGATTTTCTCAACTTCCATGGCTAAATGAAGATTATCAGAGACAGGAACCCAATTCAGGCTGGACTGCCAACAGCTACCCGAGTCGCTGTTAAGCCCTGGTACCCTAATAATGCCACTGGTATCAATCCCCCATTTTTTCAGTACTTTATCATTAGGATACTGTTCATAGGGTTTGCAGATGGTGGGCCCACTGAACTGAGCTGAAAATATAGATGTCTACCTGGCCAACAAGTAGTGGAAATAGACACACTACTTGTATGTATGTGGAATATACAAATCATAGTTTAGTAAGGTTTGACTGCCACCTGGTGGGGGAAATTCTGCAGTATGTTCATTTCAATGTCAAAGGCATAAATAAGACTCAAGTCATTAGTCACCTAACTGTAGGCTTGGATGCCTAAGATATTCCAAAATAGTTCAGTTGCCTTAAAGGAATTAAAGACTTATAATTGTGGTTGTGTTAGGGCATGTGCCTGCTATCTGCAAATATGATTGCTCATTAATCAAGTAAAACTCAGGCACCAGATTCATTGTCTTCGAGGGTTCTTTCCAGCTCTGAGGTTGTGTCAGTCTTCACCTAGACTTTGAGAATAAACTTGAGGCCAGAATTATTAAGATTCTTATTGCCAGCTGGAGCTAACATACATCCTACCAATTCCAAGCCGGGTGTGAAATCTCCTAGAAACCACCCACTCTTAGATCTCATGGAACAAATTAGAACAGGAAGGAATCCTCATCTCTCTTTATCAGAAAATAGCCCTGTAAGCAAGGAGCATGTAAAGAAGTAGAATGGAAAAGCAGGCAAGTTAAGTTTTAACAATGCTAAGCACCTGATAGATTTTCCTTAAGTTGATTCTTTTTTTTTTTTTTTTTTACCAATGTCTGAAAAAAAAAAAAAAACTACACAAAACAAGGAAAATGATCTACTTTCTTTGGGTTGTGGAACAATCTAGGGTATAAGGAAGACATCTTTATCTTGTAGAATGACCAGTATAACAATATGTTGTATCAGATTTATACCCTTCCCAGATTTCCTTGCTCCCTTTTCCTGGGCCACTGGCTGCTGGCTCCATGAAGAGTCCCATCACTTCTGTCCCCTCATGGAACATCACTGTCCACCTTGTCTTCCTCCAATGATGAAGGCCCAGTTTAATGGGCCTAGTCAGGTCAGGTGTGGGCACCAACGCCGCTGCAGCTTCCACTGTGCCAGGTTCAGTGAGAGCCATGCTGGAGCCTACCTTCCCCTGGGAGAGGCCAAGGGAGATGTCACTGAAGTGCCTGGACTCAGCTTCCTCACTGGCTGCCTGGAAGAACCAGTGACAACCCTAGTGAAAGTGCAGTGGTAGGCGCTGGGTCATAGGCAGAGGGATTTGCTTGTGCAAAGGACTTGGGAGAGCAAAGAGAGTTCAGAGAACTGCCCATTGTCGGCGTGGCTGGAGTGTGATGAGCAGATGGGAGAGGAAGGCAGACAGATGACACAAGGCTTTGCAGGATGACCTTGAACCTTAGCCCATGTCATTGGTAAGCTATGTAAGCAAAAGAGTATTGCAAGCAGGTTTGTGGTTTAAGATCTGGCTGCATGGTAGGGACATGATTAGAGGGAGACAGAGCTTGAGAAAGGGAGATAAGGAGATGGTTGGGGGAATGGAGACTGGAGATGATGGGGGCACTACGTGGTGGCAATTGACTTGTAGTCAGGTGACCAAAAGTCCTGTTCTGGCTCTGTCACTAACTTTGGTTGAATTATTTAAGTCTTCTGCTGTTCCATGTTCTCATCTATGAGTCAGAGTTAAAACTACCTCAGCTGGGTTCAGTGGCTCACATCTGTATCCCAGCACTTTGGGAGGCCGAGGCATGCAAATCACCTGGGCTCAGGAGTTTGAGACCAGCCTGGCCGACATGGTGAAACCCTGTCTCTACTAAAATACAAAAATTAGCCAGGCGTGGTGGCACGCACCTGTAATCCCAGCTACTTGGGAGGCTGAGGCAGGAGAATCACTTGAACCCTGGAGGCAGAGGTTGCAATGAGCTGAAATCACACCATTGTACTCCATCCTGGGCCAAAAGAGCGAAACTCCATCTCAAAAAAGCAAAACAAAAGAAAACAAAAACTACCTCATTCCTAGTCTTGAAAATTAAATAATTTGAATGCACTTACTAATAGGTGCTTCATAAATACGATTTGGGTGTGAAAGGTGTGAGGATGGAGTGGCCTCCCCTGAGTTAGCACAGCTGTCAGGCCAGCTGAGCACAGCCACCACCAAGACCTCACTAAAGTAGGCCCTAGGTTTTCTCAAGATAACAAGTGATTTACTTGGATGTAAGGAGCGTTATCTGTAAATACTGTCTCCACAGGATTAAGGGGGCAGAACGATTGCCGGTGATAGAAATGTCAACAGCAAAAGGCCAGTAGGACACTAGAAACAGCAGTGTCAGGATGTGCCAGCTGGCATTTGCTGCACGCTGTGCTATGAGTGTGTGAGCACACAGATAAACATTGTAATTAACCATCCTGGGGTGATAGTATGTTCATACAGTCAAAACAGGTGATAGATTCGAAATGCAATTTGAACTTAATCATTTGGGTGGGGTGATTTCAGAGTCAAGTAATTTAGCAAACCATTTTTAAAGGGTGCTAATTAAAAATTGCCTGGGGTTATCAATTTGCTGCCAGAACTGCAGAAAAATGGGCATGGAAAAATTTCAGTCCAGCTAATTATTGGCTAAAGCATAAGACTTGATTACCATGTCAGGGGAATTTTTTAAATGGGGATATTTTCATTCAAAGCTTTTAATTTTTTAATTTAGGGGAAGAATTATTGAGACAATAGAATTAGATATATTGAGAGACTATACTCCCGGGGTGAGAAAGACACAGTATCTTATTTGCTTTATTTTGTTCATCATTAATTATATCTAGTGTCATTAAGGCAAATAAATTTTTGTGTACTGGATTGAGGAACCTTGGAGTCCTAGTTTGCAGACGCTTAATTGTCTGAGATACCACTGAACCCTAAAACACAAGTGCACAGTTATGGTGTTTATTTCAGTCAGCAGAGTCTCAGAGTTTGATGAGAGCATTTAGTGTGCTGTGAGGGTGGCTGATGCAATTCTTCTTGGTGCTTTTCCACTTTCCTATAGATATTTTAAAAGTTAGGTGTCCAGGAAATCTCAATAAGAATCAGACTGTGAAGTTTAAAGGGGACAGACAGCATGATGGTCTTATTCTGTGCTCAACTCCCAGTGCCTGGCATATGGGAAATTCTCAGCAGGCGTTTGCTGAATGAAGGAATGCACCTGCCCTGTTGCTCTAGAGCCTTGGGAAACATCTGTGAAAACAACAAAAGTCGCTGCCCTCATGGAGATTACATTCTAGCAAGGGGAAGAGAGGTAATATAATAAGTAAATTATGTGGGATGCTAGGTGACGAATTCTTTGGAAAAAATAAAATTAACACTAAGTAAGGGGCATTGAAAGTGCCAGGGATACGGTGGGGTGGAGTTGGGTTAGTGGGCCTATTTCTTTATTCAATACGAAGCTCCAAGGAGGCCTTGTTGAGAAAGTGAGGTTTGAAAAATGATATGAAAATGGCAAGGGCTCTGGCTAGACAGACATATGGGGAGGTGCATTCTAGGCAGAGGGAACAGCTAGTGCCAAGGCTGCAAGGGTTGTGTCTGAGGAGTAAGGAGGCCTGTGAAGCTTGAGCAGAGTGAGCAGAGGGAGAGCAAAAAATAAGATTAGAGAAGTAATGAGGGGAGTCAGTCAGGCTATCTAGGACATTTCAGTCCATTGTAAAGACTTTGCCTTTCTTCCTAATCCTAAGCAGGATTTTAAGTAGAGAAATGGCATGACCGGCTGTGGCCACTGTGCTAACAGTCAGGAAGGAGCTCAGGGTAGAAGCAGGAACCATTGGGAGGCTACTGCAGTCATTCACAAGAGAGACCACATGGCCTGAACCAGAGTGATCATGACAGAGACAGCAAGAAGGAGTCAAAATCCATTTTGAAAGCAGAACTAGCAAGTGCAAGAGAAAGAGGAAATCAGAATGACTCCATGGCTTTGGGCTTGAAAACGAGAAGGATGGGATTACCAGCAATTGAGATGGGGAGGTAGGAGATGACACAGGCTTTTAGGAGAAGAGTACTGGTTTAGTCTTCGACATGCTGAGTGCGAAAAGTCCATCAGATATCAGAGTGGAGATGACAAGTAGAAGATTCAGTATGTGACTTTCCATGCATACGTTGTTGGAGACCGTATGTACTAGGTGTGACCACTAAGAGTGAGACACAATGAAAAATAAAAGAACGAGGCCTTACCTAGGAGCCGTCCTACATTAAAAAGCTGGAGGAAAAGATGAGGAACCAGTGAAGGGTACAGAAGACTGACCAGTGAGATAGATGTAACACCAGGAGAGTGGAGAGTTTAGTGTCCTGGGAGTCAAGGGTAGAATGTGATAATTGTATTAAATATTGATGAGCTATGTCAAGTCCATTGAGGACTGAGGCTTGACCACTGACTTTAGCAATATGGATGTCACCAGCGCCCAGTTGTTTTGGTGGAATGGGGAGGACAACGCATCCTTGGAGTGGGTTTAAGAGAGAAACAGGAGGGGAATTGGAACTAGAGTGCACTTAGACAACATTTAAAAGTATACTGCGAAGGAGAATAAAGAAATGAGTTGGTGGCTGATAAAGGAAGCAGGGCCAATAAAACAATTTAAGATAGTACTTTTTATGCCAATTGGAATGATCCAGGGGAAAGGAGGACAAAACCCATGATGTAGGAAAGAGAGGGGCAGATTGCAGGATGACCCTGAAGGGACCAGAAAGGAGAACTGTGCACAAGTGGATGGCCAGCTTTGATGGGAACGGTGGATGGTTCACTATGGTAACAGAAGGAAAGGCGGCAGGGGCAGATGCTGGTGGGTGGAGAATGGGATGGAGTCTGAGTTCTTTTTTGATTGCTACAATTTTCTCAGAGAAGTTGGAAGCTAGGTCACCAAATGGAAGTGAGGAGTTGGGGAAGACGTACTGAAAGTCTGAGGAAGAGGAGCAGCCATGAAAGAGAAACAAAGAAAATGGGAGAATGAATGGATTGGGGACATGCAGTAGAATTGCCAGGCATCATTGAAGACCCACTTAAAAAAGGTGTATCTGGATGTGTGCATGCAATTTTAAGTGAGGTCAGTCGTCACAGTTGTCATGTTTTGTTTTTGTATTTTTTTTTTTTTTTGAGACAGAGTTTCGCTCTTTTTGCCCAGGCTGGAATGCAGTGCCGTGATCTCAGCTCACTGCAAACTCTGCCTCCTGGGTTCAAGTGATTCTCCTGTCTCAGCCTCCCGAGTAGCTCGGATTACAGGGATGTGCCACCACGCCCGGCTAATTTTGTATTTTTAGTTGAGACGAGGTTTCTCCATGTTGGTCAGGCTGGTCTCCAACTCCCGACCTCAGATGATCCACCCGCCTCGGCCTCCCAAAGTGCTGGGATTACAGGTGTGAGCCACCGCGCCCGGGCCCTTGTTTTTTTTTCCTTATTCCCCCCAGCAATTTTCAGGTGCAGGAGAGGGAGAGGGTGGGATTGTGATTGGGTTTCGCCTGGTGAGCCTGAGTCCACGGGATAAGCAATAGCATGATTCTAACTGAAATGGAGTTTGCACAGATGCTTAATGATTGTCTGTTGAATGAATAAATGATTTAAGGAAAAGCTGAAACTTTATAAAAAAGAAAAAACATGTGCATGGGAATAATAAGTGCCATCTCAATGTCTGAGAAATTGCAGAATGAGTCAGACGATGAGGGTCTTCGTGCTGGCTGCTGTTCTGTGTGCCCTGTCAGCCTCTGCCTATTCCTCTGTCCTCCTTCCGTGGCCTGTCTACACGTTTCTATTCATGAGGACCTTGGAGAATTAGATTGTGTCTGCCTCTATGGGCCTTGTTGAGCCTCTCTGTTTCTGTGAATGTCTTCATAATGTTTGAATAATAATTTACTGAGAAGGTTTATTTTTTTCTTACATATATTTTAAATATTTTAAATCATATACACCAGTTTTTAAAAATTCTGATTTATAAACATACATGTAACCTATTTTTACAAAATATAGAAAAATGTAGATAGATTTATAATGAAAAAGTTTACCTACAATATCATCATTCAAAGTCAACCATGTTAAAAATTAAATATATTCTCTTCCAGTATTGGCTATTATTTACATAAATGTAATCAAAATTACATATGCACTGTATCCTTTATGCTCTTAGTATTAGTCTATTATAAATTTCTCACAAACATTCTTTTTACTGGATACATAAAATCCCATCTTCCACTTCTATAGTAACTTCGGTGTTAATAATTTAAGGTAGGCCAGGCACGGTGGCTCACGCCTGTAATCTCAGCACTTTTGGAGGCCAAGGTGGGTAGATCACCTGAGGTCAGGAATTCAAGACCAGCCTGGCCAACATGGTGAAACCTCATCTCTAATAAAAATACAAAAAGTTAGCCAGGCATGGTGGCAAGTACCTCAGGAGGCTGAGGCAGGAGAATTGCTTGAACTTGGGAGGTAGAGGTTGCAGTAAGCTGAGATCGCGCCACTGAACTCCAGCCTGGGAAACAACAGCAAAACTTCCTCTCAAAACAAAGCAAAACAATAATTTAAGGTAATTCTGTCATTCCGAGTGGTTTAGAGAAGGGAAGCAAACTTTCCACTCTCTTCTTCTTTCCCTATCTCCTGTGCCCACAGTGAATGCTCCACTTTAGCACTATCTGCAGTCTTCCCCATCTGTGTTCCCATGTACTTCTGCCTCTTTTTCTTCCTCTTCCCATGTCTCTTTGACTCCTGGCTCCTTTCTCTCATTTGTCTCCTATTCATTTACCATAATGTAAGTTCTGTGAGGGCATCCTTATACCCTAATGTCTGTCTTACAGTAGGTACTAAAATTTGCATGTAAGGACAATGATATGTCAACCTGGAATATCCCATTTAACTGGACTGTGGTTTATTGAAAGTTAACTTCTAATGAAATGGCCAGGGTTAGTTTCCTGCCGGGGACTGTGGAACTCCATCTACCCAGGGAAACTCATTTTTATCTACATTCTTGCATCCATAGTCTTACAGAGAGCAAACTCTTCAGTCATAAATCTTCTACTTAGAAACCTGACCAGTAGATGCAGTATTGGTAAATTTTCAATGAGGCCATAAGAATGCATTTACAAAAAGTACAAAGTTAAGGTTGCTTGTGATGATTTTAGCTAATCAGCACAATTTTAGCAGGAAGCAGATACATCTGTCCTTTCCCTCAAACTTCATATAGCTATAAAATATTCAATTTCCTGAAGGAGTTACTCAACACACAAACTTGGAGATTAATTTAGAGGCCAGATCCCCACAAGCATTTGTCTAGCCTTAGACTGAACAACTTCTGTTGCCGGGAGCTTGCCATGTCTAGTGGGAATGGGTCTGTTCTGTAGTTGTTGGATGGAAAAATTGTTAGCAGAGTCTTTTTTATGTTAAGATGAAAAGTGCCTCCCACAGAGTCAACAAAAAGGTTCTGGTGTGTGGAATTTTTTAAGGATGCTAAAGTATGAATAATTGGAAACTTTAGTAATTTGAGGCTTCTGTGATTTCTCTAATTCTTTGTAGTCAATCCATTTATCCGATCCCCTTTAATGCTAACATTATTTACTTGATTTTAGTTCTGTGAAGCTTTGGCTCTTATAAATGACACATCTAACCAAGGGAATGGTTAAGCCTTAGAGCAACTTGTGGAAAGTTTTCATTCCTCAAAACAGGAATGAATAACAATGGCCTCGATATGACTAACATTATTAATGTATTTATATGGGTACATAATTACTAGCAATATCTAGAGCATTATGAAAATGATTTGCATAGCCACTTCTTAAAATTTAGGGCAGGGAGGCCGAGGCGGGCGGATCACAAGGTCAGGAGATCAAGACCATCCTGGCTAACACGGTGAAACCCCATCTCTACTAAAAATACAAAAAGTTAGCCAGGCATGGTGGCACGTGCCTGTAGTCCCAGCTACTTGGGAGGCTGAGGCAGGAGAATCACTTGAACACGGGGGGCGGAGGTTGCAGTGAGCCAAGATCATGCCACTGCACTCCAGCCTGGGCAACAGAGCAAGACTCCGTCTCAAAAAAAGAAAAAAAAAATCTCTATCCTATATCTCTCAAGCCTTGAAAATAATATATTGGCTTCTTCATGATTTAATCCAGGGCTTCCTCATGAAACTTATTGCTCAATGCCACTGGAATGCAAATATTCCAACTGACCATGCTGCTCAGTTCCTTGCAATAGAATTGAATAAAAACTTGGATTAAAAGGTCAACTTTAAAATATGCCTAATAAATTCACTGACTAAAAGCTATCCCAACAACTTTCTGCATCATTTCTCTTCATCTCATTATTCATGTAGGCTTCCCTGAATTTTAAGGAATGCAAATAAAAGAGCAGAATGTGTGGAGCACTGGGGCCTAGGACATTCTTTTCATGAATATGGAACTAAAGGTAGAGTGAAAGGTATTTCTTAAATAAATTACGTTGATATGGTGGAGAGAGTATTGATGGATGCTTATGTATTTTCTATAGCACAAAAAAGTAAAACTCATATATTATTCTAAGAATCCCTTATTTTATGTCCTTCATATATTTGGTCCCATAGCTATAATATTGGGAGCCTCATTACTTCAAAATGATTATTTTTAAAATTTCCTAACCTATGATACTAAAATTATTGGGGTTATTCAGCAAGTTGTCGTGGGACAAAGCATGGGAATTTCTATAAGGGAGAGGTGAGCAGAATGTCATAATATTACATAAAAAGCTTTCTCATGCATTCTACAAATAGTTGCTGAGTAACCACGTGTTAATAAAAAAAGTGATATAAAGGTAACACTTTTGGAAGGAATGAGATCATGTCCTTTTCAGGGACCTGGATGGAGCTGGAAGCCATCATCCTCAGCAAACTAACATAGGAATAGAAAACCAAACACTGCATGTTCTCTCTCATAAGTGGGAGTTAACAGTGAGAACACATGGACACAGGGAGGGGAACATCACACACCAGGGCCTGCTGGGGGTTGGTGGGCAATGGGAGGGAGACCATTAGGGCAATTACCTAATGCATACAGGGCTTAAAGCCTAGATGACAGGTTGATGGGTGCAGCAAACCACCATGGCACATGTATACCTATGTAACAAACCTGCACGTTCTGCACGTGTATCCCAAAACTTAAAAAAAAAAGAATAACTATAAAATAAGAATTCTAACTCAAAAACAAACAAAAAAGAATTATTATGAAATAAAGAAGAATTCTAACTCAAAAACAAAACAAAAGATAACTTTTTCGGGAGGCTGAGGCAGGCAGATCGCTTGAACTTAGGAGTTCAGGACCAGCCTGGGCAACATGGAGAGACCCCATCTCTACAAAAAAAAAAAAAAAAAAAAATTAGCCAGGCATGGAGGCTCATGCCTGTAGTCCCAGCTACTTGGGAGACTGAGGCATGAGAATCATTTGAACCCAGGAGATGGATGTTGCAGTGAGCTGAGATCGCACCACCGCACTCCAGCCTGGGTGACAGTGAGACCACTGTATAAAAAAAAAAAAAAAGAGCCCATAATCCCAGCACTTTGGGAGGCTGAGGCAGGCGGATCACCTGAGGTCAGCAGTTCGAGATCAGCCTGGCCAACATGGTGAAACCCTGTCTCTACTAAGGATACAAAAATTAGCTGGGTGTGCTGCCAGGTGCCTGTAATCCCAGCTACTCGGGAGGCTGAGGCAGGAGAATCTCTTGAACCCTGGAGGTGGAGGCTGCAGTGAGCTGAGATCGCACCACTGCACTGCAGCCTGGGGGACAAGAGCATCTGAGACTTTGTCTCAAAAAAAAAAAAAAAAAAAAGAAAGAAAAGAAAAAGAGAAAGAAAAAAAACATTAGCTGGGCATGGTGCCAGGTGCCTGTAATCCCAGCTACTCGGAAGGCTGAGGCAGGAGAATCGCTTGAATCTGGGAGGCACAGGTTGCGTTGAGCCGAGATCCCGCCACTGCACTCCAGCCTGGGCAACAAGAGTGAGACTCTGTCTCAAAACAAAACAAAACAAAACAAAAAAGCACTGAATCCAAATCACAAATAATGAGATTTAGCATAGGGAATTCAGTTGCAGACAGCATAGCGTTTATTTTTTATGGTTTTAGACTCCTCAGGCTAATTTCATATGCATGTTAAAGGTTTAATTTGTAGAATAAGTAAATTTAAACACAAGTAAAATATTAGAATTGAATGCCAAGGTCTCATAGTATTTGAAAATCACATGTACTCTTGTCTGGAATCCACCTCAACTCTTGACAGCCATGGTCATGTCTTGAACTTCCAAATCGAGAAACCACTCCAGCTACAAGATTTCTAACTGAAAATTTTCTCTTAACCTTTTACTTCTTCTATTTTTCCTGTTAAATGAGGTCAATTAAACATGCTCTTCACTTGCTGGGCGTGGTGGCACATGGCTGTAATCCTAGTTACTTGGGAGACTGAGGCAAGAGCATCCCTTGAGTCCAGGAGTTTGAATCCAATTGGGGCAACACAGGAAGAACCCGTATATTAAAAAAATAAAAAAATAAATGTCTTCATATTTACTTTGACTTTGACTCTTTTAGCTTACACTAATATTCTAAGCCTATGATGATTACTTGTCTCATGGCTTTCATGTTCCCATGAACATGCTAGCCATTTTGAGCAACTGAAAATTGCTTGGCCTTTTGATTTTCCTTTGTTACTAGCTGAATGTTTTGCCCTGGCCTTGGCCTTGGAACATCACTTTCTTCTTCAGATATGTGAACAAGGACGGATACAACCAGATCTAACCAGACTAGGTTTAGGATATGTATCTTTCAGATTGAGGAACCCACTCAAGGGCAACATTAACATACAGAGGCTTCTTGACTTATGATGTGGTTACATCCCAATAAACCCATCATAAGTTGAAAATATCATAAGGCAAAAATGCGCTTAGTACAGCTAACCTACCAAACATCATAGCTTAGCCTAGCCTACCTTGAACATGCTCAGAACACTTACATTATCCTACAGTTGGGCAAAATCATCTAACCCCAAACCTATCATAATAAAGTTATTTTAAAGAATTTTACATCAAAAGTCAAAATTCGAAGTAAGGTTTCTACTGAATTCTAGCTTTTACACTACTGTAAAGTTGGAAAATCCTAAGTCACACCATTGTGAGTCAGGGACTGTCTGTATCTACTTTAAATCTTGGTTAGTTAGGGAACAAGGAAAGAAAAGAACAATAGTTGTCAGGGACTAGAGAAGCGGTACAGTATGTTCCCTCAGCACGGATACAAGCAGGGACTTCGGTTACTGCACTAGTGGTGCTGCACAAATATTACTGCTCACTTGCTACAGACAAGGCCCTACTCTAGGAATAGGACATACAGCAGATGACAGTCAAGGACCTCAAGGGGTTCATATTCTAGTAGAAGGTTCATACTGTTTAATGGTTAACAAAATTATGCCATTCAGATAAAACTGCTCAATTCTTGCATAATTTTATTCTCATCATTTCCCATGTTTATTGTTCAAAAATACAATGGGCTATTAAATATTCACTATTCTTTAGGTTTTAAAAATATAAGGGTTATGGTATGATTTGCCATCCTACATTTATCAGTTCCTTTGACTATTAGTTAAAAACACTTTTCTACCTCTGGACTCTGTATACATCTCAGATTTCTTGGTTCTCGGGCACCAGCTATGGGTCCATTGTGAGAAATTTCCTACTTTTCAACTGTGAGCGCTCTCGGGGCCTTGCTTACATTTTTCAAGTTATCTGCAGGGATGGAATTAGTTTTTATTTGTTGTGTACAAAGTCCTTGCTTTCGGTGGTAGAATGAAATACTTAGAGAACAGTCCATGGATCTATTTACTTCCCATGACCTGTGAAGAGGAGTGATGTTGCCAGGACCTCTTTCCTGGGTTGTACCCAGAGCTGTTTTCTGCACGCTCTGAGCCTCCAGGGATGCCATCCCAATGGAGGCTAATTGATCAAGGCTGCCTGGAGAATTGTTTTGAGATAGATTCTGAGGCTTAGGCTGGGGATCATCAGAAAAGAAAATTATGATTGATAAGTGAAATCTGCTGTGGGCAAGGAAGGGTAAACTTGTACTTTACATGCCAGGAATTTTCGAATCTGTATGTGACTCCCAAGAAAGGCTTGACCTTGTAGCTTCGATTTTAATCTCCGCAGGTATAAGGATAATTCATTTTATGTTGAATAGACTGCTCTAAAGACAATTTAAATAATCTAATACCCCTGCCCATTTCCTAAGAGAGTTGTGTTGACTGTTTTATTCCCAAATAGGATCAAATTCAACCTGCTGTCATTGGTAGATCATTCTTCTTAACACACATGTAAGAATAAAAACTATTATTAGTTTGGTGATAAAGGCAGTGAAACAAACACCGAGAATAGGAGTAGAAAAATGTTCTGTGTGACCTTGGTTAAATTATGAGGCAAATAAGTTGAAATATCTCCAGATACATTCTCGCTCAAATATGCCAGTTTTCAATAATTTATTGAAATCATATAAATTCTGAAACAGATTTTTAAAATACTTTAATAATGGGATATCTTAATTATTTGATGGGAAGTATTTTTTAAAATTACACTCCTATTGTCCTAAATTTATGAAAAAAAATGAATGTTCAATGCAGAACACTTGCATAAATACACACACTTTTTAAAAAAGGTACCTTTATGCATTTTGCTCTGCCCTTAGGCACTCTTTTTCCAATCTAGAATATATTTCTGGATGTTTTTCAATTGACAATAAAATTACTGGAGTACACGCATGTTTTATTGTGTTTGTGTGTGTCTATGGACTGGATCACAAGGTATACCAGATGTATTTCTAGTGGGCCATGGTAAATATAGTCTGAAAGTCACCATTCTGACCATACCCCTCTCAAAATCACAGAGCCTTGGAGAAGAGAAGAACAGTTTCTTGCTGCGTACTGACTTGGCACATACCATCAGTCGCAATCAGGCCAGATCTATGTGCTGCTTTATTTTCACAGTTCAAGTAAAGCTGTGGAAAAAGTCTGAGCAGCAGTAGTAGGCAAGGTCTGTGCCACACACGGAAGCAGAACGCAAAATGCATTCCACACACATAGAAGTGTGACACAAAAGTTTGAGCATTTACCTGTATGAATGCCCCAGTCTGTGTCCACCGCTTCTTTGCTCTGAGTGATGCTCACCCATGCCCCCCTAGTCCCAATTCCTTGAACCACACATATAACTTATTACATGTCATGGTCATGTGTGACTCCAACCAGGTTGCAATAGCTGCAGTGATTTTCAGATTTTCCCTGCTTTCTAAAGAGAAGTGAGATCATAGCATGTTTTCACTAATCAGTGATTTAGGTAGACAGATGACATTTGGGGGTGACAATAACTAGATTTATAAATGCTACAAATCCGACCCATAGAAATAAGAAAGTGACTGGAGTCAGAAGGTCAAGGAGCACCTGTCACTTTCCCAGCAGGGCCCAACCTGCAGTCTCTTTTATGGCTACAAGCTGGAGGTCAGGATCTGAACTGAACAGGAGTAAGAGAAGAGGGACTTCCCAGGGGGGCTCAGATAGTTCACTGGGTGTACCTGAGATCTCACTATCTGCAGACTTGTATTGTTATAAAAATAAGTGAATACTTAACTGCCACGGTGGGATAGCACATAAAGAGAAAAACATACTTAGGTAGTTTTAAGGAATGGGAAGGGGTGAAATATAGTCATCCCCTGATATCTGCAAGGACTGGTTCCAGGACAACTTCTCCAACCCCCAACCTGCAGATACCAAAATCTGTGGATGGTATACTTAAGTCCCTGATATAAAATGATGTGGTATTTGCATATAACCTATGTACATCCTCCCGTATATGTTACATCATCTTTAGATTACTTAAAATCCCCAATACAATATAAATGCTAAGTAAACAGTTGTTGTACTGTATCGTTTAGGAAATAATGACAAGAAAAATGTCTGTCTGTGTTCAGTACAGATGCAACCATTCTTTTCTTTACAAATATTTTCAATCCATGATTGATTGACTGAATGTATGGATGTGGAACCCACTGATACAGAGGGCTGACTGTAATAAAACCAGCACCTAGCGCTGTATGAAAGGTTAGCACTCCCCTTGACAAGAATGGAAGAGGCCCTCGGGCCTGACAACACACATATGGTTAAAACTAGCACCTAACTCCTCAGTAGCCTGGCAGGAACTGGGAATGGTGGCCTATGTTTTAAGAGAACCCCTTCTGTGGGCCCCCAATGGCTACAGCCTGATACTCAGGTGATGGTGTGAGATAAGCCTCAGTGCTTTTTTTTATCCCCTGTCCCCCAATATTTACTAAGCTTCAGGAAACTATATTCTTTTTTGATAAGTATCCATTTATTAACACTGGTAACATTTTCAGGGCACACAGAACATGCATTCTTTGGTAGCAAAATTTTAAAATCACAGATATATTTCTTTTATATATTATGAATATATTTCTAGTAAGGAATATATAACTAGTCTTCAGAAACTGAAGATGGAAACATAGCTAAGCCTCAACTTCCGGTCAAGCAGAAAGTAATGAAAAGTGCCGAAAATGCCACAGTCACATGGGCCACTGCTCCTTAAATGCCACAATCACGCGGGCCACTGCTCCTTTCATTCTCTACAGACAACCTGAGTCTCACACTGTCATAGCACCAAGAAGAAAACAGTTACTTTCACTTTTCTTATAGCAACATAGGGATTTGTGTACATAAAACATGTTGGACAGGTTCTCCTTCAATCATGGTTTGTATGTCAACAGTTGGTTTCATAAAACAGAGAAAGGTGGAAAGAAGATAGAAGATGGTCTCTTTACAAAAGAAAGGTGAATACATTTCGATGCACCAGGTTGTTTAGGCTAAGTCAGTAACTGTGTGTATTATCAGCCCTATGACTGCTAAGTGTCAATATTTAGAATTTCAGTGTGGGAAAGAACCTCAGACACCATCAGTCCAACCGCTTCCATTTTACAGCTAAGGAAAAGGGTCCGGAAACTTAGGTGAATATCAGACTGGGATGAGAACGCAGGCTTTGGAGTTAGGCTCCTTAGTATATGAAGTTCATGTATCCCCATAGACAAACTCATTTTCTGGTAATATGAATACACTTCTGGATGAACCAACAGTTTTTCAGTCTAAGGTATGTCAGAAACGAATTCAATTTTTATGCTTAAGTTTCCTCTGCACAGCTTTCTCCATTTAGGTTGTGATGATGATGCAGACTGTTACCCCCTCTAGACTTTTGCATTCTTACTTTTGAATTTGGGGGTTAATGTGTGAGTAGGGCTCCACGAATCATCATTTATCTTTCACATCATTTCTCTTTCCACCTATTGCTAACTACCTATTTTTAAATTTAACAATTAGGTCAATGATTCTTGATTTATTTAAGACAATACCAAAGACAGTAATAAGGTCAGAGTGACCTGGTGCACTTCTAACACCCCAATCTGAAAGGAATTTTTTTTCAGTATAAGATAATATATATCATATACAGAAAACTAATACTAAAAGGTACTCAGAGGTAGCCCTTGTTGTTAGACATTTAAGGATGTTCTAGACTCCAAGAGGAACCTCAACAGTTTTCTCTGATTCAAATTAAAAACAATTTTCTAGGATAAATGGAATGATTAATAATGTAAGAAGAATAATCAGTACTGAATTGTATAGTGGAATGATTCCCATTAGGTTCCAACCGAATATAATAGAGCTTATTTGCTTTCTTAGCATGTATCTTTCCCACTACTATAAAATTGAGATCTGTCATTTATAATGTTACCTGTATTATCTAAACACTAACATCTTTAAACCCAGTGGGCTTCCCCTAGAGAGGTTTAGATTCTTGCAAACCCAGGTGAATCGTTCTTGTTGAGCAATGAACTGTTGAGAAATGAGATAAGGCAGAGGCACACTTATGGATGCCAGTCAACAGGTTAGCTTTTGATGGCCATGGTCCAGAGGAGTGGGTGGTCAGTTTCCACAGTCACAACACCAGACCCGTCGTAGGTATTGGAAGTACTGACCAATGTTCCAAAAGCAAGCACATCATTTGCTGTAAGAAAATAAGGGAAAAAAATTAGTAACTATTTTTTTTCTTCCTCCAGTGTAGATTAACTTTGTCACTTACCAAAAAGCAAGTACACACTTTGATAAAAATATATATAAATGTGGGATAGGTGAAATATATGATGTATGGCTTTAAAATGGGTAAGTTCTATAACTTGCTGTAAACATTCTTCCTGGAATTGGTTATTGACCATTTTGGGTTATATATCATTCTCAATATTAAATTTTATTAGAATCTTTTCTTTTTCTTTACTAATTATAAAACCAAAACCTGTATTTGTAATGTGCTACTTACTTCCTTCCCTGGGTACAATTTTAGTTTCTCTTGATAATTCAGAATTAAAATTTAATATGTTATTACACTCTACAGAATGTAGTTTTAGCTTCAAGTAGAAATGATATGAGACAGATAGAAAATTACCTAAAAAAATGCATGTGATTTTGGTTACTGTTTTCTCATAAAGTAAGAAAAGCCAAAGTGAATACAGCTTACATTCTGTAAAATTAATAGAAACTCAAAGGTCAAAGCCGACTTTCAAATGTGTAATCTTGAGCAAGTCACTTAAGCTCAGCCATAAAGTGAAGGCAAGAGATGATAAGATAATCCTTTAAACTACTTATCAAAGTAAAAGGCTTATGAATTAAGATTAGAATTCATATATTTATACATTTCATAAATATATAGCTATAAATATATTTTTTATTTTCTAACAAGTTAATGCCTAAGCACAGATTGGTAACGTCAACCTCTCTTTGCTGATACAGGAGCAATTCACTTCATCAACATGACTCTAAACTCACAGCTGTCCTATAAGCATCCCTTGGTAACCAATATTATTTTCTTTACCAAAATTCAGAGAGAAAAATGAACAAATGTTATGGAGCCCAAACTATCAGAGTCAGAAGAGGCCCCTTTTCCTTCAAACAACACCTATGAAGTTATACACACTGCTTTGGGGGAAATCAATCAATTACAATGCTCACTTCCCACTAGAGGGAGCCTCCTATCTTTCTGAGGAAATCTTGAAAAGGCAATTTAAAAATTCAGGAACAGTACTGCAAGATAATCTATTGTCAGTATTACCAGTTCACACAGCTTATTTATTAAAACTCAAATTATTTTTCATAGTTCTTTATGTTTTTACTAGTGCAAACACAAAAGTAAAACTACACAGTAATACAGAGTGAATCTCATGTGAATATTGCCCTGATACGAACTTCAATATAGGAAGCTCTTAACTCTTGAGTCATTTGGGACTTGGGACTTCTGTGAGATGATGTTTCTGAACACTGGTGATATACACAAAAATATGTATCGATCTAGACACTGTTACATAGTTGGTAGATCAGGGTGGTGATCTTTGAGGGATTCACAGCAAAGTCAATTGAAATCTCTACCTCTCCTGAATAGTGGTCTTGCCTGGAACCTGGGTGCTTACCAAGTAGCTTACTGAGACCTATCCCAGGCCTACGGTTTCAAGGTTTTCCCAATAGCCAAGAGGGAGGCAATCAGGGAGCACTTCACACCACTTCATTGCGAAGGCAATTTAGAGTGCTTCAGCAGGCCTGCCAACTTTAAAGTGGAAACTCCCTCGTGAAGACCCATGCATGCACAACCGACTTGGATTTGACACACACATTATATGATTCGAGAAAATGGATTAAAATCCTAGTTTTTACTTAGGCCCAAAGAACAGGAGTACAAAATTGTGCTTCAAGTTTATAGCTGCATATAAATTCCTTTCTGATTTTTGAAGCCAGACTATGGATTTCAGAATTTCAGGGGTAAATACCTGGATTATACATACTGGGTTTGGAAGACACTGTTGTAGCCTAATTAATTTTCAAATGGGAAAATAATCAAAGTGGTTTATTTGGGCATAAGAAGATGAAATTTTTTTTTGGAAGGAAATATTTCTTTGAGTTAAGCAAGGCCACTGTTAGCCATACTTGTAAATTATGTTTTTATTTTATTTTATAATATTTAAAGTTCCAACAAGACCAGTTATATAGTTACAATTAATTAAAGATAACAATTGGTTTTGATTATCTCTAACTTTATGGAAAGTACAATAAAAATGATAGAAAACTAAGATGAATAAGTTGAGAGACAAAGTCATGAATTTTAATTTACTATGTCATTACAATTATTTTGGAATATATTTTCTTCAAGTCACAGAATCATATTTTTGGACAAAACCTTAGAAAAATAAAAAAATTTTAAGGAAAATATTTGGAATTATGATGAACTTCCTCTACCCCAAATATCTGAAGGCCAATCATGACATAAGTACATGAAACTAGTAAAGAGACAGCTGTGTACAGATAGTAGAAAAACAAATTACCTCTTCGTTTCTACCCTAGAGGATTTGTCCAACACTTTAGCTGGCTGAATTATAGAAAATCTGACTTGGATTTTTCCCCCCATTGTTTGCAGAGTAGACTACAGCCAACCGTAGTTGCTCAAAGACAACCAGTCATCAGATCAAGACCCGTTTTTAACAAAAGGCAAAAATAAAAGTTACAGATCTATGTGCAAGCTTATAAGCAACGATATTTTGTGTGATAAACACATTAACATAGATTTTACAATTTTCATCCATTATCTCAGGCTGTTTTATTTCCCAAAGGTAAGGACGAGAATTAGCACTCCGTGTTCTATTGTTTTCAGTGATGTCCTCCCAGCTTTTCTCTAAAGCTGGAAAAACAGGGGACTACAAAGCAAGAGCTGGCAAATCGGTGGAAACCAATTATTCAACTCTTTTCAGTTAGTGGGGCCATTTGTCCCTGGTTTCTTGCCCATCTTTCCTCCACAAGCTACATTAGTGAACTGTGGCTCCTTGGTTGGAGCTGGAAGCATGAAGGAGTACTCTGCAAGGCCTTGGATGCTTTTGGCACTGAAAAGCAACAGTGGGAGGCATTCATTCTCTGTGTACCTGCATGACTTTTCTGATCAGGTGCTTTTATAGAAAAGGCATCTCTCTATCAAAGAGCATGACTCCATCATGATGAAGTTAATAAGTTAGATCTAGGTTCAAACCCTGGCTCTACCATTCACCAGCTTTACAAACTCAGTTATTTAAACTCTTTGGCCTTGTGTCATCAACAGTAAATATGTAGAAAGTATCTACTTCACAGGGAAGTTGTATGGATTATGTGGCCAATCTTACATATGATACATATTCAAGTAATTTCCATCTTCTTTGCTTTCTCCTGTTATCCTGCTGATAAAACAGATCAGGTTTTTCTTTTAAAATTAACAAAAAGAGAGATGTCATGAGCTGAACAATTAGCAAAGGCCTGAATTCAAGTGATTAGTTTATAGCCAGCTGAGAAGTAGAATGAGGTACACTCGTAACTTTTCCAGGCTAGCTTTTGTGAAATACTTAACATCATTTCAGGTGATTCCTTGGCCTGCATGTATGTATGCATTTATTTAATAGATATTAAAGCCTCATTCTGTGCCAGGCACTAGGGTTTAAGGATGAGTATCTCTGCCCTCACTAAAATGAGGACTCACATTTTAGTAAAAGGGAAAGATATACAATCAAACCCAGCAGACAGGAGAGAAGCATGAGGTGGGCCAAGGAGGGCAGAGGTGCCTTCCTGGCAGCCAAGATGGGTTGTGTATTCAAGAGGGAGGTGAAGCCTTTGACAGTGGGGGGCTACTGGCATCCCTAGAGGCCTGCCCGCTGGCCTGGCTTCCCAAGAATCTGTAGATCGACGCTGGTTCTTTTGTAAAAATAAATACATTATTTAAAAAGGCAATGGAAACATTTCTAAAATCAATAAATCCTGAGGGCAAAATGGAGGTGCTATTTGAGATGGGCATAATCCTTATTCATTCAAGACGTGATCTGAGTCCTTACAGTACACCAGCCACTCAAGGCATAGCCAGGTTTTATCTTCCATTTAGAGATGAGGAAAATGAAGCTCAGAGAGGCTAAAATCACAGGCTATGATGATAATAAAAGTTGTCAGACACTAACAAGTTAGTAAGGGAGGTTAAGGCGATGCTTTGAAGAGCTCTAAAGAAGAGAACTGTTGCTGGTCTGTTCTCCTGAAGTACAGAGCTGTCTTTTGGCAGCCTGATGGAGACTTAAGGAGATGCATTAGTGAGAGCCTAAAAATCACTCTAAGACTTAATGAATACTTTACATCTCATATAGACAAATGCTTAATGAACCCATTATGATGAATCTTAAGGCTCCCTACCATTCTGGAACATTAGGTTAAGTTCGGAGAGTTAAGTTAGACATATTAGACATCACTAACTATTTAAAACATAATGGGACCACTGTCTACACTCACCATTTACTCTCTGAGGATTCTTAGCCTATGTGGAGAAATGGCAACACATTAAGAAAATATGACTCAGATTTCATTACCAGGAAAAGAAAACTATACTGTCTGTAACATCAGTTCACTATTATAGGTCTTTACAATTTTAATTTTTGACAAATATATTTTTTAAAAAAAGGTCTTTTATGTACACACATGAGGCAAAAGATTATATTTTAAAAATTGCCAATTTATACTGTAAAATATGAATTCTGGGAAGGGTTATTAGTGAATTTGTTTCTTATAAAATGGCATTTATACTTATGGTTGCTCTTGAAAATTTTCAAAAATAAAATCAATATGTTGTGTTTTCACTTTCTTGAAGTAAAAAACTCAAAGTAGTCCTAATGTAAAGCTGTGGAGTACATGTCTTTTGTGTACTTATATTTCTATTAGAATCTTAGAAAATACAAGTTTGAGACCATCTATAAAATAAATATATTTATTTATCTCAGCACTGCCAAATAAAAATAAGTGATCACAAATCTAAATTTTCTAATAGCCACCTTAAAAAAGTAAAAATAGGAAAAATGTTAATATCTTTTTTATTTAGCCCAATATATCCAAAATCATTTTAACATAATCAATATATAAAATTTGGGGTCTTTTACATTCCTTTTTCATACTAAGTCTCTGAAATCCATTTACAGCATGTCTTAACTTGGACAAGGCTCATTTTAAGTATTCAGTGGCCATACGTAGCTAGTGGTTACTATATAGATTGAACAGTGCAGTTCTAGGTTGTTGAAGCAGGAACTATATTTATGATTCAATTATCTGCTTTTTTCAGAAGAACATTATTTTTTGGTTTGATTATATAGATAGTAATTTTCATTTCATATGTAGCTATGCGGTCACAGAGTCCGAGGTTATAAAGAGAACATTAAATTCAAAGTGTGCATATACAATCATTTTGAGTGATTTGAACTTACGATGTGAGTGGATCAACAAACACTTAAATACTTAACATGTGTTCAGCAGCAAGACAGACTCAGTCCTCTGCCCTTCAACTTGAAGGCTGAGAACTATCTAGCAGGAACTGTAGAAAGGACAACCAAAAATCCAAAATCCAAGCAAACCTAATGTGAAATTACCAAGAGAATATATACTACATTCTATAAGGTATAGAATAAATAAATGCCTGCTTGGACATGTGGCAAATAATCTTCCTTTTTTTTGAAGGGGGGAGGGAGTTATTTATTTTTATTTTATTTTATTTATTCATTTATTTCCATAGGTTTTTGGGGAACAGGTGGTGTTTGGTTACATGAGTAAGTTCTTTAGTAGTGATCTGTGAGATTTTGGTGTACCCAACACCCAAACAGTGTACACTGTACCCAATTTGAAGTCTTTTATCCCTCACTCACCTCCCACCCTTTCCCCCAAGACCCTCAAGTCCCCAAAGTCCACTGTATCATTCTTATGCATTTGTATCCTCATAGTGTGGCTCCCACTTATAAGTGAGAACATATGATGTTCGGTTTTCCATTTCTGAGTTACTTCACTTAGAATAATGATCTCCAATTCCACTATTGGGTATCTACTCAGAGGAAAAGAAGTCATTATACAAAAAAGATACTTACAATCTTCTAATTGTACCTGCAAATAATCTTCTAATTTTTCTTCTAATAATTGCAAATAATCTTCTAATTGTACTCTTTTCTCCCAATTATTACCTTCTCTTCCCACTCCTCTAACACTTGTGAAAGAATAACTGGAGGACCCTAATTGCCTATAATGAAATGTTCAAAACAAACACATTCCCTCTTCCCGGCCCAAACATCCTGGCATGGCACTTAAGGCCCTTTGTTATCTGGCTACTTCCTACCTGCTTGCCAGCCACTCTCTGCTACTTGCTGTTCCTTGAATAGATCGGGAATTTCCTGCTTCTACGAAAATTTTTGACGTGTTCCCTCCGAGAACAAATTGACTTTTCTCTGCATATTTTATCCTTCAAGTCTAAACTCAATGTCACTTGCTACCCTGTACCGCTCTTTGATTCTCCAACTGCTACAGGACAAATTAAAAATTCTCTTTTCTATTTACAAAGGACTTGATTGCTTCCCTGGAACACACTTTGTATTTAAAGCTGACTGTTTAGATGCCTCGTCTCAAGCAGGCAAAGTACAGAGTGAGCTTGAAACATCTTGCTCCAGAAAGCAAGAGGGTGCTCAAAAACAGATGTAGACCTGTGAAAAGGACACAACGACTGGAACTAATTTGGGGCATTAGAAAAGAATCCTGAGAGAGAGAGGCATTATAATATATTGAATAATGAATTGCCAAAAGCAGGTGGAGAGAAGAAAACCTATTATTTACAGAAGAATGCCAACTACTAAAGGAAGGAATGGCAGAATTAGAGAATTAGAAAGGCACCATTTGCAGCCACCAGTGTAATAACTAGTTTAGGCAAGAACCATCAATGGATGGATGCTTAAACTACTGGATAAAATGTGGAGAAGAAGGATAGCACCCAGTTCCAAAGCAGTACTCCACGTATTGCTTTTAACTTCAAAGGAAAAAAAGGTAGCAGAGTGATCTCATGAGTCCGATCTTAGCTAAATGATCAACCTTAGCATCACCAATAAAAGGCCATACTGATATCATGTGCCTCCTGCTATGATGCTAGGGATGAATACAATATCACCCATTAATACTTTTGGCCAAAAATGCCTGACCTGAATTGAATCATGGGGAAACCGTAGACAAATGCAGAATGGGGGCAGATGACAGGTTAGTGGGCCTGAACTCTTAAAAGCTGTCAGTGTCATGAAAGACCAAAAAAGTGAAGGGACTTTTCTAGATTAAAACAGACTAGGCTGGGCGCGGTGGCTCACGCCTGTAATCCCAGCACTTTGGGAGGCCGAGGCGGGCGGATCACGAGGTCAGGAGATCGAGACCATCCTGGCTAACACGGTGAAACCCCGTCTCTACTAAAAATACAAAAAATTAGCCGGGCGTGGTAGCGGGCGCCTGTAGTCCCAGCTACTCGGGAGGCTGAGGCAGGAGAATGGCGTGAACCCGGGAGGCGGAGCTTGCAGTGAGCCGAGATCGCGCCACTGCACTCCAGCCTGGGCGACAGAGCGAGACTCCGTCTCAAAAAAAAAAAAAAAAAAAAAAACAGACTAAACAGATATGACAACTAAATACAATGCATGTTTTTTTAGTAGACTCCAGATTTTAGAAAGTTATAAAGAGCACTACTGGGACACTTGGGGAGTAAGCATATGGACTGTACACTATTATTCCATCAATGTTACATTTTGGGGGTAGATATTAGCACTGTAGTTATGCAAGAGAATGACCTCGTTCCTAGGAGATACAAGCTGAGGAATTTCAGGTGTTTATTATTATCATGCCTTCAACTTATTTTCAAATAGTTCAGAATGTAATGCACATACACTCATACTCACATATTATATTGTTTGGAGATTTGTCCCTGCCCAAATCTCATGTTGAATTGTAATCTCTGATGCTGGAGGAAGGGCCTGGTGGGAGGTGTTTGGGTTATGAGGGTGGATCCCTCGTGGCTTGGTGCTGTCTTTGAGATAGTGAGTTCTCTCAAGATCTGGTCATTTAAAAGTGCATGGCACCTTCCCCACAATCTCTCTCTTGCTCCTGATTTCCCTGTGGTGAGTGCCTGCTTCTGCCTTGCCTTCTGCCATGGGTAAAAGCTTCCCGAGGCCTTCCCAGAAGCAGATGCTGACATGATGCTTCCTGTACCGCCTGCAGAACCATAAGCCCAATTCAACCTCTTTTCTTTGTAAATTACCCAGCCTCAGCAATGCAAGAATGGCCTAGTACACATACAAAGAAATAAATGCAAATGTAGAAAAAAAATGTTAGCACTTGGTGAATCTCAGTGAAAGGTATACAGATTTTGCTGTACTGTCCCTTCAGTTTTTTTGTAGGTTTGAAGTTATTCAACATTAAAATTCCACAATACAATTTGGGGAAAAAATTTGGGAAGAAAGGCTAGCAACTTAGGAAGGGAAGTGTTTCCCTCTTGGTTCACCTTTGGTTTCCCTGAAAGCTGAAGTAATGCCATTGCAAAGCATTAAGAAATGTTTATTGATTTAACGTGCATCAAAATAAATCCAAGTTGAAAAAAAGTGTGCCAAATTTAGGAAGAAATTATCTAGTCTATGATATATCTGCATTGCAGCTTCTTGGAAAAGTATAGAGAGAGATGCTGAGCACACAGACTGTGTGTGGTGAGGCCCCTTCCTTTGTCAACTCATTGAAGCTCACCAAGGACAGCCTTTACTTCCACTCATTGATGCAGGAGGCCCTGGAAATTAACTTGCAGTGTCTACCAGAACTTCTTAGTGCTTGTGAAAATGGTAAGAGCAAGACTTATTGTTATGCATGTCTCTGATAACAAGCCATCAGCTGTGCTTTCTTTTTGAGCCTTATCTCTCAAAACCCTGATCTACTAAGACTCTTCCCAAGGTGAACACTCATCACCTCCCTCTCCTGACAACTAATCCTTCCTTGAACTCAAATGTCCAAGGAAGGGCTATTATAATTCTATTTGAAACTGGCTGCATTTATCTTCTTCTCTCTCAGAAGTCACATTTCCCTTGCCCTTGGATGAGGACTGGAATGCATTAGAAGGCTTCTGATGTTCAATTATTCTTCCTTCTCCACATTTTCTGTGTTATGACTCGGCCTGTTGATCGAAAAACAATTAGGCCAGGAAAATGCTGCTGCTTGGAGGAATCAAAACTAATTATGCCAGTTAGAAAATGTTTACAAAGATCATCAGTTTCAAACATTTAGCCCTTTCTAAAATAAACAAAATCGTTATTTTTATTTGTTAAAGAGAATTCCCTAATGTATTATGTCATCAGCATGTTCTACTCATAAAAGGCCCCATGTTCCAGTTAAAGAGCCAATCAGAGCTGCTTTAAGAAAAAAGAAAAGCTTACTGGGCTTATAAAATAAGAACCACAGTCCAAATCCACAAAATGTGACCTTTTTGCATTAATTATTAGTGGTAAAGTGAATGAACTGTGTAGAACTCTGTGAAAATTTTCAGTGTGGAAAATCAGTATCAGATTTAAACGTTTGTTCAAAGAGAAAGGCTGTCCACAGGCTGTTCTGAACTGATTTATTTTGCTCTGTTGCCTTCAAATCCTGTGTCTTGGTGTTGCCTCCTGTGGACACTGGCCTGCCCCAAAACCATCCCACAGGGGTGAGAATTATGACCTGCAGATGCCAAAGATGACTGAGTCGCAGCCATCCTAATCTCTTGCTGCCCGGCTGTAGAGCAAGGCAAGTCATTTTGTACTGCTGGGCCTCAGTGCCATCCCTGAAAACAGAGAGTTGATCTTTTCACTGTAATATTTTATGACTTTTGTTAAAAGTCCCTCAGGTGACCTCAGCATCCATTTGTAAAATGCCAATAATACTTGTCCCCAGTTACCTCTAATACTGCTATCGTGAAGATGAATGAGTTAATGTCTGTGAAGAGCTTTGACTTCTCCAGAAAAGTGTTGAAAATGTGTTGTATTATTATCATCATTTCATCTGCACTGAGGAAGCTTTAAAGTGGCATTTGCTTCTATCCTTCAAATGTCAACAGAGATTATTACAGGTACATCAAACAAACAGAAATGTCATAGAAAAGTGAAAAAAGAGAGGAACATGTGCAGTAGCATGGTATGATTACTTAACATCAATCTCAAACCTGCAGGTGGTATTTATACAAATAAGCTAAAGAGACATAATCCAGGCCCTTTTAGAATTTACCAGTCAAGAGGGTCTCTGTGAATCTGCTGTGATTCTGGGGGCTGCCGGATTTGCAAATCGTTCACTGCTCAATTGAACTCTTTTAAATTTAATTCGGCTGAAGTTTTTCTTTTATCAGATGGTGTCAGAAGTGGGATCCAAAATGGAGCTTCTAGCATCCCCCAGCAGTGCTGAGTGAATATGCAAGGTACCTGCAGGACCCACTTGTGTCCACTCATCTCTTAGAGCTGCTGGGGATCATGGGTAAGCTCCTTCTTGGATTTCGGAGCTCCGCTGATCTCTCACAGCCACTGGGGATCATGGGTAAGCTCCCTCTTGGATTTCCGAGCTCCACTGATCTCTCACAGCCACTGGGGATCATGGTTAAGCTCCCTCTTGGATTTCCCAGCTCCACAGATTTGTGTTTTGAGCTCTCTGAGTTTCTTTGAGCAAATTTCTGATCCAAACTGGGTTTGGAGTTGTGACAGAAACTGGACTGGGTACAGGAATGGATTTGATCTGGGAATTAACTGGCTTGGATCCAGTTAGAAGCCTCTTACATCTGACTGGGTCAGAAAGGAACTGGTAGTAAGCAGTAATATTGCAGGAGTTATAAAATTTGGCTTTTGAAAAATCAGATTTTTGTGTTATACCCCTTTGTTTCATTTTTCTTACACTTGGGTAGGAAAAAAAAATCACTGGCTAAGTTAATCAAGAGAAGCTGAGCGTAAGGCCAATATTTTAGGTAAAAATGGGATCCTTAGTTTCTGGAAAACTGAGTTCTTTCTGGCTTACACTTCAGGCCTGGGAGGCAGCGAAGTCTTACAGAAACAGCAAAATGTTACTAAAGATAACACAGTGGAATGTTCCGAATGAACAACAATGCATTTGAAGTACATTTTTAAAATGAGGGCTCTAAGTAAAGTCCCTTTTGTCTAAGAATGGGTTTGGCACTACAGCATGTCAACTGCTATTCTCTTTGGAATAATCTGCCTTGCACTCTTTGCTGACAACTGTGGGTGACAGGATTAGGCATGTACAGGATCGTGGGACATGGGGAGCTTTTTCCTCCCTAAAAGGGGAAACTTGAGAGATGATGGGCCTGCTGGAAAAGATCCCTTCGCTACCTAGAAGCAGCCGCCTGAACTTTTTTTTCAGTGTCGCTGCAATGGGTGGGTCTTTCTCTGGCCTCCCAGATCATTTCACCTTCCCCACCCTGCCTCAGGCAATGCTTTTCTCTTTCTCCTTTCTCTTTCTTATCTTTTCTATTACTCAGGGCAACCATCTTGCCCAGAGACCACAGGTTGAAACTCCTGGTTGGAGGTTGGATTAATGATGATGGAGCCCAACCAGGTGCAAATTTGAGCCTTGCCAGTTTGATACTGGGTGCTAATCAGAGCAGCTAATGTCTATGTTTTTGTCACATGTATTTTACTCTGGCCAGAACAGAAAAAGATAATTTTCTTTTCTGATGTGGCTTTGCCCCAGCGCGATGGTGTGGCAAGCTCAGTCATGGAGGCCGCTCAGGCAAAGAGAACCCAGAAGCCTGGCATGCCGGCAAAAGGGTAAGAATTTCTTACCAGTCAGACTTCTGGCTTCTCTCTTTCTGTGCAAATGGTTGACTGAATGGTAAAAATCACTGTTTATCTCCATCTTGTTTTATGTCCTTGGGAGCTTGACCTTGTTACCACGTGGCAGTACTTTCTCTTGGTCTCCTCCTTCCAGGGAACAGGAATTTTAGGGTTTATGTCATAATTAGCTCTAAAAATTATCTTGAGTAGTTAAAAGCCTGTGTAAGCTCACAATTAACTATTCTAGATGCTTTCTGGGAAGAACAGTGAAGACTGCCCTATGCTGTAGCTCAGTTGCTAAGGCTTTGCCCTTTCTTACTGGTGGTCTGGTTTCGATTCCCTGCTTGTGAAATAAAAGCCTTTTCATTTAATTTCTGCATGACCTTGTCTAGTCTCTTCTCCTTCATGTACTATCTTAAATTTTCCTTTCGCTGAGCACCTGGGAGGTTACCTTTGGTAAAGTTCAAAAGCCGGAAATATCGGAGTGAAGGTTAGGTACTATTAGAAGTCAATTTTCCATTTATTTGTGCTTGGGAAGATCTAGTCAAATTAACCAGATGACTGAATCCTTGAATTTACAGAAAGCCCTTGAAGTTCTGAAAGATTTGCCATGTAAATCCCTCTAAGATTCTGGCTCAATCTTGATCAATTCAGCCAGACCAACTGGTCCACTCAGGCCACCTCTTGCTGGTGAAATTCCCGCTCCTCTCACAAAGGCATCTTCCCTGCTGCCTGTGTCCCTACGCGGTGCCCTGCTTTCCTCTTTGGCTCCACTGCCCACTCGAGATTCCCTGTTACAGTGAGTACCTGCCACTCTAGCTCCTCCAGATCTCCTGCCACCCTCCTGCACCAGCCCCTCCCCGACCCCTGCTTTACCCTACGAGGGCCACCGGCATGACTTGACCTCTGCTCCTTTAATAATAGATGGTTCTTTCTTATATCTCAGCCTGAAACTGTGACAGTCCCGAAAATGAAATCTCAGTGGTCATGGTGGCTTTTCATTGTCTTGTGGAAAAATATTTACAACACAGAAATAGGGGATGAGTGTTTACCATCAAGCAGAATCCATTCAATCATATGGCTGTTTTTAGAATAGAATTTCATTTAGTGAGAGTCTGACCGCTGCCTTTTGGGGAAAACATCATTTGATTTAAGTTCAGATGGTCTAATATTAACAGATATGATTTGTTATAGCAAAGGTAATGAAGCAATGTCTTAGACTTTGTCCATAAACCTATAAATATACAAGCTTGCTCCTAATATATTTCATCATGACCTATTTTCATTTTTAATTTCCCCTTGCTGATATACAATAACATTATTTCAATTTAGGAATAGCTGTCATCTTCTTATATGAATATTCTAACAAGTCTGAAAATATTAGCCATTCTTAGAAACAAGCTACTTTAATTCACAATTAATATATTCTCTTTCTCGTTCTCGTTATAATAATCAATTTTTTAATACTCATACCATGGACTTTTTCCTGATGACAGGCTGAACTTCTCTTTTTTTGATGAACCTTCTTTGCATTAACTATCTGCATGCAAAGTTGCATATTATCCCAGCCTCAAATTTATAACCTTCTACTTAGCATTTTACTATATCATTGTGGAGTGCTGACATGTGTAACACTATCTTACACATTAAATGTTCAAGTATTTTTTTCTACCAATTAGATTATAAGCTCCTTGTGGGCAGAAATATGACTTGGTCTAACTTCCTTTATTATAGAATGTCTAATCTGCAAGAAACCTTATCTATTATTTAGTTCAGTGGTTTAATACAGATAAAAGTGAGGCTGCTCCTACTTTAACCAATTTAAAGTGCTAGGCTCAAAGTTCTCTTCACTTGACTTTACCTCATAACCAAACCAAGTTGGCCTTAGGGAACTGGCTAGGTCTTCAGTACTTCAGAGAATGTATTTAAAGAGCCACTGATATAATATCCAAACACTTTATTTCAAGACAGGGAAACGAATTAAAGATACCTTATTGACCTAGGATGCCCAGCACTGAAATTCAAGTCTGTTGACTTGTAGCTCAGTGTATTCTCTCTTATAACAAAATCAAACTATGGGCCAGCCACAGTGCCTCCTGTCTATAATCCTAGCACTTTGGAGGCTGAGGTGGGAGGATCACTTGAGGCCGGGAGTTTGAGGCCAGCCTGGCAACATAGTGAGACCCCATCTCTATATATATAAAAAAATAATAAATTTTAAAAACCCAAAGTCAAATTACGGGCTTTAACAAATTGGTTGGCTCCTCAGAAGTATTTTTGGATTAGCTAAGCAAAGTTAAATGATTAAAACTACATACTGAATATCTGAATTGCTTGAACATGTGGCTATGTTACCTATTTTTTCCTAAAGCTTAGTGATTCATGTAGATTGACTAAAGTCACAGGCTTCAAGCCGGTGGCAAAATGGATTCAGAAGTTTCTCATCCTTGATTTTTGTGTAAGCTACAGACCACAGGACACAATGTACTTAACTGAAACACTCTGTACTGCATTTTCTTATTTAGAAAATGCACCAATTCCATTTATAAACCACTATCTATAGAAGTGTTTCTTTTGTTGTGTCAGCCATTATTTAATTAAGTAGTATTAACAGTCTAGACAAGGAGGAATGAGGAAATGGTCACACAGGCTTAGCTGCTAAGACATGGTTCAATATTTGGCTTTTAGTAAAAACATTTTGCTGTATCTGTAGTAAACACATTAGATAAAAATTAAAGGTGAAATTTCAGTTAATCCACTTTCACTGCTGATATGGCAAGATTATTAGAAGAAAGGCTAACTACAGAGCCTTTATTTATGATTTAGGAAAATAGACCTATATTGTTAGAGAAGAAAAAAATTCACTTGTTATAAATGGCTGTATTTGCAACTGAAAGAATATCAATATATCAGACATCAATTACACCAAAGATAAGATGATTACAAACCTTCTATGTAGAAAAAACATTCATTTTGAAGTATTTGGAGACAGGGATGGAGAGTGGCAATTTTGTTTTTGTACTAAAAAAATCATTCCTCAAAAGCTGAGTTATGAAGTTTGTACAAACTAAGATTATATTATATCAAAGCTGCAGGTTAGGAAGTCATATTTACTTGGTATGTATAGACAAATTTACAACTCTAATCAATTTGGTAGAAAGTCTACTAAAATTGAACTAATTTTTTAAAAAGCCTGTCAAATCACAACTAGTATGTATGTGTAGAAATGGCCTGAGATAGCTTTTCTGTATTCTTAATTAAGAAATAAACAATCCCATATATTCCTTGCAAGTATCTAGCCTGGAAGGCATGAAAGAACCCTGGCTCCTCCCTGTTCCTTTGATGCCATCAGTGGTATCTAGTTGTTGGGGGTTTCGGGGCAACCTCTGATTCAGACCCTTGTGGCACCTTGTTGATGACCAGGATCTTACCTACTCATTGTGGTCCAATCAATATTGGGTGGAACCCTCTTGATGGCTACCATTTTGACCTCTCACCTTTCTTCTTAATCCATGACACTCTTTGCAAAAAGCAATCTAGGAAAGCAGATATCCTCCCCCTTATTCTTCCTAAAACATCAGCGCCATCGGAGAAATGTGATGAATAATTACCAATATGCCTTTTTAGTGTTGTGCCTGCTGAGTGTTGGTGAACCTCTTCCTCCAGAGATGATGGACATAGTTGTGATGTCTCACTGTTCTATACTTTGCTTGGAGGTAACTACAGACTGGCCTCTACTTGGGCACTTGAGGCCATCTGATGTGTCTGGAGTAACAGCTGCCTCTGATCTTAGGCTTGGGGCAGCTTCACTTATGAGTACTGGCTGTGAGCCTCTGAGGCTTCATTCTGTTAGTGCTGGGGTATCTCATTTTCCACTCATTGATGGAGTGGCAGTGATGTGTGTCTCCTCTTCTCTGAGTCAAAGAGGCATCTCCTACAGGACATGCTGCAGGCCTGTGGATTGGTGCTGAGGTGTTGTAGGTATTTTTGTTCTAAGCATTAACAGGACTGACACTATCTATTTTGGCCCTTATTCCATAGAGGTCTTTTCCTTCCAAAGAAATCCAAAGGCATACACAACCTATCCCATATTTCATTTCCCTGTTGAGGGATGAAGAAATCATCTCAGCAGATTGTTTCTTTCCTTCTCATCTAAGAGATATGTTTATATGTGTACATGGCAACAGGGATGAGGAACCTCCAGATTCTTGGCATGATTTCAGGCATCTGGACACAGCCCTGCCTCTGGTATAGGGCCTGCTGTACTTTCTTCCTTGTATCCTCCCAGGCACTTCACTGGAGAGTGACTGATCTCTTCTTGAGTCAAGATTTAAATATACTTCAACATACTAATGACTTTTATTTACTAGATTTGCCATTTAAGCAGTCTTTATCTTCTGCTGTTGCCCTAGTATTTATAATATCTGAATCAAAGAGGAATAGATTCTTGAAAAACTGTGCCACACACTCTAGCCTGGGTGACAGAATGAGACTCCATCTCAAACAAAACAAAACAAACAAAAAACTGTGCTACAAATTCAGACTGCTTTTTTAAACAGTAGTCTTATATGGGTCTTTTAATGTGCAATGCAAGAATAGTGCTGTGTTTTAGCATGAGATGACGTTGCTTATATAAATGATTTTATATCTCACGAAAAAAATCTATAAAATCAAAGTAAAAAGTTATCTTTACTCTTTTAAAAAAGAGGCTCATATATTAAACATATTGAACCTTATTAGACAGATATCTACCAGGCTTAGTGATGTAAGCTCATGACTCTCAAATGCAAAACTTTAAGGCACCACTGAATTAATATACTGGCACATTCTGCAGGCAAAAGCATTAAATTTTTAACAGTACAATTGACTGTATGTGGTTCAACCTTCAAACATGTTGCTTGTGAATAATTGCAAAAGATACACTCTGGTATGTGATATGTGTTACTCATTTCTAAAATGCAAAGATAGAAGGATCTACTTTCTGTTTTGATTTAGCCACAAATCCAGTGTACAAAGAATTTACTCAGCCTGGAAAATAGTTAAGAGGATAATAAGAAAATAGAAAAGTAACAGACTAACTTCAGGCCTAGGTTCCTCCAGTATAGCTAATTTATGACATTTGAGGCTTAAGAGATGATAATAATTACCATGAGAAAGAAAAATATTACATTTTAAAATCCTGTCTCATTTTCAAAGACTACAGAAAATTTCTACTTGGTGCTTTAATTGCCATTTTAGGATGCTTGAAATCTCTGTCCCTTTCTACTCCCTGGAAATGTTTTAACACTTTGTAAATACGATGAAAAAGGCCAAGTTTCTATAATCTACAAAGACATTCAAATGCTTTATTATGTACAAGAGTAATTCTTAAGAGTAGGGAGTTGTATATATAGTTTGAAAAAAAATCCTAAAATTATAATTGTGTTACTTTCTAAGTACGAAATTTATTGTGAACATTCTGATATTACGTGTGATCTTACGTTTAGTAAAAAAGAAAAAAAAGATTCATGGGTTTAATAAAGGTAAGAAACATTGGAATAAGCAAGCATTCAATAAGAATGCTAAAATGTGCTACCCCAATCATTTTGGTACTAATTCATTATGGTAACAGATTTGCCAAGTTCCATAGTTCAAGACTTTGGCATTATAACAACTACCAGCAGGGCTCCTAGGCAGAATTAAGGGTTCAGTGTGTGTGTGCAAAATTAGGGCCTTGGTGTTATTAGTAAAGAACTGTATTAAAAAGAATGAGGGCAACTGCAATTCTGTTCTACCAAATAAAACATTTTGTTTAGAGATTAAAAAAACAAAAAACAATGAAGGCTATGTTACAGTTATGCAAGGGGTGTTCTCAATTAGTAGAAAACAGTATGCCAATTTGAGAAATTCCATTAAAAACAGAGAATTCCATAAAGGTAGCACCCTAGTTATTACATTAAACAAAAGTATTAATATTGAGTATTATTGCTACAGTTTGTTCATTACTCAGAATCATGTGAGCCCAGGAGAGACCAGGTTTGCTCTGTTCTCTATTATTCCTGTATATTTAGCATACTCAAAGAAAATATCCTAATTATAGATTACAATTACTACATAGCAGACTTACTGTAAATATTTATTGAATGAATAAGTGTGTATCCAAATAAAGATGTCTGCTCTGCAAACCTTCATCCAGGCCCTGGGTCTACATCTCAGATAATTCACCCAGACAGCCAAGACATAAAAAAACCCAAACTCCTTTGGTATTTATTCTCCCTAAGCTCCCTGGTCAAGGGTCTCTAAATGACTTCAAAGGAGGCCCCTTTCCTAGAACTCAGCATTTCCTTAACTGGTGATTGCTGATTGAAGCACACCACTCCCAGGCTTTCCAGAATTATTTAATATTGCTTCTAGGGCACCTTATATGGGTGTGTTCAGAAGCACTGGGGGGAAAAGGAACACTGGGTTCAATGGCTAGATCCTTGTTTCCCACTTGTTCCCTTTTCATAGGTCTCCCTGCCCTTTGAGATCATGAGCAACTTCAGATTACCTCTCACCCTTAGAATACAATGCATCCATGGATGGAGCTTTGGAAAATGCTACTGTGTTTCTGATAAACTAAGTGCTTGTTAAGCTTTCACTTTAGCACAACTTTAATGTGGAAGTAATGACTCTTTCCAGCTGATATCAAGGTATTTCCCACACTTTGGGAAAGATGCAAAAACCACTTTCTATATGGCTCAGTGGTTTTATTACTGATGGAAGCATCCCATTAAATTTTCTTATCAGGCTGTAAGGAAAAAAGAAATTCATTATGTGAAGAGAGACAAGGTAAGGGTTTACTATATAATCAATCAATGGTAATACACCCTTGTTTCTCTTATCAGGTAAATTGCCCCTCAAATATTTTATAGTAACGGGAATTTCTCCAATCTCAACATAGAATCCTAAAAATATGCACACTCTGACATACCATTAATCCTAACATTTATCATCCCTTATGGTTAAACATTTATAAGGTTACATTCTCCTTAAACTTTCTTAAGCCTGTAAACAGCTACAATGAACAACAGGTAAGTTTATTATGGTTTTAGACAGCTCTGTGGAGTAATTAATGAAGCGTTTAGGTCGATGTTTTGCATTACTCAAACTTTCCAATTCCAAATTTGATAAAGAAATTTTCAACATGATTGATGTAATGGTTACTTCTCAGGTCAATGAAAATGAATGAGCACTGGGTTCAAGTCCAAGCCCAAGCAAGTCACTTATTTCTTAAGTCTCTATCTTCTAGTCCATTGGTCTGAGAGATCTGGCCTGAAGTTCCACTTTCAAGTATATTGGTCCATTCTCACATTGCTATAAAGAACTACCTGAGACTGGGTAGTTTATAAAGAAAAGAGGTTTAATTGACTCAAAGTTCTGCAGGATATATAGGAAACATGGCTGGGAGGCCTCAGGAAATGTACAATCATGGCAGAAGGGCAAACGGGAAGCAAGCACCTTTGTCACATGGCAGTAACAGAGAGAACAAAGGGGGAAGTGCTACACACTTTCAAACAACCAGATCTTGTGAGAACTCTATGTGGAGAACACTAAGGGGGAAGTTCGCCCCCATGATTCAATCACCTCCCACCAGGCCCCTCCCCTGATACGTGGGGTTACAAATTTACAGGAGATTTGGATGGGGACACAGAGCCAAACCATATCACATAGCTTGGGTTTACCTTGACCAAGGCTCAAAACAAGGTGATGCAGTTTCTTAAATTTTTCCTTTACTGCGCAGGTTAAAATTACATGTTAATTTCTTGAATGGTATTCCCACAAATTCCCTTACTTCCATTCCATTACTGATTATTTCCTGAGTCTCATCTGTCTCTCAGATTCTATATTCTTTTAACTAAAGGAACAAGGGTTTCTAAACAGAAGGTCATTTCAAGTTTCAATAATAATAATAAAAGTGGTAGGAAACTTTATCTGGACAATTTTATATGATCTTGCCAAATGGACAATGGCAAGATCATATAAAAAATAGAATTCTGACCCCAAAACTGTAGAAACGTGCCCAGGAAACCAATCCCTTATCTACAACAACTAGCCTGGGAAATCAGCCCACGATAAGTCAGACTTGCAGGGATTCAGAACACAGAAAACCAAACAATAATTTCTGCAACAATTTGCCCCAAATGGCCATGACTTAACTGAAAGCTGACAACTTCCCTAATTTTTGGCTCCACTGCTAACTTTAGCACCAACCAGAGAAAGCCAAATATGCTCCTCTAACCTATCGCGTAGGATGCTTGCTTCCAGTCAGCCTGCCTGCAGCTTCTTTGGGCCAACAGACTCCAATTAGGGTACATCAGAAGCCATCCCTTTCTCCACTACACAGCATTCCCATTTCTTTCCCTGCCTTTGAATCTCCGCTGAAATGAGTTACTCTGCAAGAAACTGAATAAATAGCCTTGATTTATTCTCTTTTGGTTTGTCTTTATTTATCACCACTGTGCGTATAAAAAAGGATACAGAGAGTGCACTCAGCTTCATCTAGATCCACAGTTGGGTCAATCTTTCTGCTTTCCTAGTTAATTATTAAGTTCTTGCTAGCTACTATTTAAAAACCTACACACTAAAACCTCCTACCTTTCCAAATGCCTAATGCCTATCTACTTTGAGCATATGACTTTACCCCATCTTCTCAGGGAAAACAAGCCCAATAAGAACTTGCTCCACATCTTCTCAGCATTCACGCCAGTATCTACAGCCTCATCCAGTCAATTCCTCCCTTCTTGTGGTTGTAATAGAAATGTAGACATCTCCTCTGTCCAGGGTTCTGGATCTCACTTCCCTTACTGTCTCACAGCTTTGATCTACAGATTATCATCACTCTCTCCTGTTCCTTCAAACAGTTCTCATCATCTTATTTATTTCTATGAACACTTAGATGTGTTCAAGGCTGTTCCATTTTACTCTCTCTCCCACTCCAAGTCCCTTTCAGTTATCAATCTCTCTCTCTTCCCCACTTCAGAGCCCAAACACTGGAATTACTTATCTACCCTTCAATTTCCATTCATTTCATAACCTGCTGCAGTGTAGGTTCCACCTCTATTACTGCACTAAAACTACTAAGATCATCAGTGACTTCATTTTCCCTCAGTGCAATGTGTATTCTCAGTGCCTACAACTGTGACTGATATGGAGTAGAGCCTCACTTCTCTGGATTTCCTAATTTTAAAAATAGTTCTGCATTGGCTTATAGCTTTACCTGAATTACGTCATCTATTACAACAACCTGATAAAGTAGGTATTATTAATGTGATTCATATTTGGAAACTGGAGCTCACAGAGGTTAAATCTCCCCCTGAAGGACAGACATCTGTTCTGCCACCTAAGATTCATCCTTGCTTCTTCCCTCTGAAATAATAATAGTATTAGATAGGAAAGTATCCTGAAAAATCCTTAGCAGATTTCCTGGTATAAGAAAAAGAGTTCAATATATGTTGAGTATTATCATTTTTCTACCACCTAAACCAGTGCCTGGCACATGAAATATACTCCATAAATACTGACTGATTAAATGTGCCCAGAGAGGTCATAACAGTGATGCCCAAATAATTATTTTTGCTGGTAACTGTGGCCTAGCTGGGGCTTTAAAGCAGGTAGGGGCATTTTTCCTAGATCTGAAGGCCTCTAGAGGGCTTTACCTCGTCATACTAACTGTAGGGAAGAATAAGAAAAAAATATTTTTACTTCCTCTTTCTCAAAAATGTTCACTCATCCATTTCTGAAAAGGTAAAATTATAGACAATGTTACTTGGTAATCCCTATCACCTTTTTCAGAAAAGGATTTGCCTTTATCTTATTATAGCAAATATTAGTTTGTAGGTGTGAATTGAGAGGGAGAGCAGTTAAGTCCTTTTTCCTATTACGTACATGTATAAATATTGAAATTCATGAGATTTAAATTTGAAAATCTGCTGCTTTACAAAAATGAAGTATAATTATAGAGTTGAACAGAACAAAAGGGGAAGTAAAAGCATAGATGCACTGATTTACTATCTTGCCTTCTCTCCCACTGGAATCAATTTATGCTGGAAAGAGGAGCTAAAGACAGCTGGAGGAACAATAGGTTGTTAACACAAATTATAAGGAAAGGAACTCCCTTTAATTTTTGGGAACTGAGCCAAGGGAGAAAATTGAAGTGAGATACTGTATTTATACTACACTATAACAGTACTCATGTAATTTTCTGAGCTCCTCAAAAATCTCTACTAAAATAAAAGCATTAGTATCTATTTCTCATTATGCCTAAATATTGGTAAATGCATAGGAAAAAATCCCCAGAAGGTAGCTGCCAGTTTGCCAACATATCCTATTAAAAACTTTTTTACCAACTAGGAGACATCTTTCCTTAGTGTAAGAACAGAGATACAACAGGATGCATGGACACTGCGTTACTTTAATGATGTTGCCTTTAAGAAAAGATAATTATGCTGGAATGCAAGATGCAAAAAGAGACTACATAGGAAACAAAGAGTTCACTAAGTGCAGACTCAGTTGGGTTTCTGGCTTGAAATGCAATACAAGTAAAATATTTGGCAAGAAACCTGTAAACTACATAAAAGAGGCTTAAAAATCAAATTTGGAAGTTAAAGAAAAAAATCACCCAGATAAACTATAAAATGCAGGTAACATAGATGGATGTGATATATTTCTGGTTGTCACAATGAGGTCATGAGGATATTCTGGCATTCTCATGAAGGCTAGCTCAGAGCACTCCCAACCAATGAGGTCCTCTATTACCAACAAAGAGCATGTTAAAATTCCAAACAACAGGGTTCTACATTTTATAACAGATGAAATATTGCTATTACATAGTCAGAACTCTGAGGACGGGCTCACCATTGGAAAATAGAAATGGAAGGGTTTCCTTAGTTCAAGTGAATATGTTAAAAGATGGGAAAAACAGGAAAGCTAAAGATCTGGAAGGTCAAAGTATCAAAATGTGCCAAATTCAATAACAAAAAGGGGCTTCAAAGCTATGCTGGAAGCAAAGGCGTTGATTTCTGCCTGAAGAAGATGCTGTGACATCAACTCCAGGACACTTACTTGGCACTCACATTCTCCATCACAGAAAATGATCTCACGTGTTGTACACTGGAAGTTGAACTCAAGATACGTGATATGATATTAAAGTTCTGTTTACTCGGCCAGGCACGGTGGCTCACATCTGTAATCCCAGCACTTTGGGAGGCTGAGGCGGGTGGATCATGAGGTCAGGAGTTCAAGACCATCCTGGCCAAGATTATGAAACCCCATCTCTACTAAAAACACACAAAAAATTAGCCGGGCATGGTGGCAGGTGCCTGTAATCCCAGCTACTCGGGAGGCTGAGGCAGAGAATTGCTTGAACCTGGGAGGCAGAGGTTGCAGTGAGCCAAGGAGGTTGCAGTGGGCCGAGATTGCACCACTGCACTCCAGCCTGGGTGACAGAGCAAGACTCCATCTCAAAAATAAATAAAGTTCTGTTTCCTCAACTCAGATTACTGAAAATAATTTCCAGCTATTACTCTCGAGTGATGATATGCCTTTCAGAGACTATTTTGTATATTACCAAGAATAACACGGTGAAGTATGGGCTAAATGATTATACAGACATATGAATTTTGAGATATCAAATACCTTTCCTAAAGAGTACTCGTTAGTGGCTCTTTGGAATGGCCTTGAATGGGGCAAGAGTCTGTCCTTAGACTACCTCATTCAACTACCTATCACTGTCTCGGAAGAACACCAGTAAAGTTAATCTGATCTTCAATAGAAAAACACTGGGGAGGGTCGGGGGTAGGGAGAGCATCAAGAAAAACAGCTAACGCATGCTGGGCTTCCTACCTAGGTGATGAGTTGATAGGTGCAGCAAACCACCATGGCACACATTTACCTATGTAACAAGCCTGCACATCCTGTACATGTACCCTGGAACTTAAAAAAAAAAAAGTACTAGGAGAGAGAAACTAAACAAAGAATCAAGATTCAAGTATTGTACACTTTAAAAGAAATAATTTTATGGTTTCTGAATTATGTCTTAATAAAGCTGTTATATATTTTTAAAAAGTAACAGGAGAATGTTTAACTGGAAAATGTAAAGCCTCATATATTTGAGTTAAAAAATGTACTGAGCAGAGAAAGCTTCCCTGTTGATAGGCTGAGGCCTGCAGTAGACTGTGGGCTCAGGAGCAGGTGACAGTCTGCTGGAGTCTTGGCTTCCTCAGCAGCAGCCTCCCCCTAGACCCTCAGTACCTGACATCATGTCTGCCACAAAGGAATGCATAGTAAATACCTGCTGAATAATTATGCTCCTTAAAAACAAAACAACAAAGAAAAGCCAAGAACACAAACTTAAACGTTATGAAATTAAAAATAGGAGTTTCTTCTCTAAGAAATCTAACATATATAGAGAAAAAAGACTGGACTAAACACCAAAATACTAGCAGTAGTTGTCTTTGGGTCAGAAGATTTTGGGCAAATTATGATCATTTAATTTCATATTTCTGTCTATTTTCCTGTGTGTTCCAATTTTGTAGGATAGAGAAAAGTATATCCTCTGTTACCCCTCATCCCTACCCCAAGTCTGTTTGAATGACAATGAGTATGCTGAAACATTGAGCTGCTTGAAAACTATTTTTATATATGTTACTTTGAATTATTTATATTTGTATGTCTTTTCTTTCCACTTGAACTGTAGATACTCAGATTGCAGCAGTGATATGTTATTATCCTTGTATATAGTCTGATGCTAAGGATGGCAGCAAATTCAACCACCTTCTCTTGCAAACGTTATTACAACTGAACCGGGAAAAAGACTAGAATTTTATCCACATGGCTGCTCTAATGTCATCCTAATATGATATAATTTCTCTAAGAAAAGGCACTTGACTCAAACTAAAACAAAAGTTAACACTGTGACTCAAAGTTTAGGCTAGATGACAATTCTGAAGATCTTTTTATTTCTTGGTGGTGAAGAAAAAAAAACACTCAGATATTACCTTTTTTTTCAGCGCATGGGATCGGCAGTAATTTATCTGACATTATCCCAATACTCCTGATGGAGGACTGTCATTTCAAGTTCTACTTCGCAGGAGGATTTTATCGCCCTCTCAATCAATGTTAGGAGTCATTAGAGCAATAACAGAGAAGAAAAATCAAGGCCACCTATTTAGGCAGGGTGCTTGCCACAAGGTAGTGAAACACAAACCCTAAGATCTTTATGTCTGTACAAACGTACAAGGGAGTTGGCCATTTAGCTCCCATAGTTGTGGGGAGCACTAGGCCAGACTGCCTGGATGGGGCAATTCCCTGGGGCCTCAGAAATTAGTATTGGTAACAGCTTATATTTCTACCACTTCTCATGAAAGAAACCCAGAAATTAGCAACTACCCTTGAATACCCTGTAGAAGTTTGCAGGCTTGTCTAGAAAGGCATTAAAAATAATCACAAAATAACACAAATCCACAACCAAGCAATCAACCCTATTCACTTTCCAAGCCCCATTTCATCTCTCTAATTTTTCCATTATTTAAGACCGCAGCCAGAAAAACTTCAGTGGGAGAAGGAGAGGTGAATCCAATGCAACATGAACCAAATCTCTATCATCTTCGTGTCACCAACAGAAATGTTTTAGCTAAACAAATTTGATCGTTTGTGATATGTGCACAAATTGATTTAGATTATCTTGACAAGTCCAGTTAGTCCATCCAACCAAATCAACTCAGAAAAAGGAATCTAAGGAGTCAAAATAGATAATTCAAATCAGGTTGCATGCACAGGCACAGCCACAATGCATCTTAGCCCAAATGACCTGAATCTCATTACTAATAATTCTTAATTATTCAGTACTGAAAATACAAAATGTTTAGTCAGAACATGGTTTGGGATTTAAAAACAGAGAAAAATAAGTGAATACCAATTTTTGGTATGTGGAGCTGAGCTACAGAAAGCTATAACAAATTAATTTGAATAATTATCAATAAATTTAAGAAAGTAAATGTGCCCTAAAATTCTTTCAGATAATTTGTTTATCCAAATAGTTTAAATGACCTATTGTTTATCCTGCTATACAAATCCTTTTTCTTTAGATAATATAAGATTTAATGAATAAACACACATTACAAGTTAGTGACATTTACATAAAGAATCATTAATCATACCACCTTCAAATATATTTGCATAAATATTAGCAGTTACCAAGTCCTTTATCATGTACGGCCTCCATGACTTAGTCTAGATGAGAATACCACCTTTTGCAATTATGGGTAATACATTCTTTTTCAATCTACTTTTGAATTTGAGGATTGGAACCAAAGTTTATCGTAAGCAACGGTGACTTACTCAAGTTTGTCTATACATCTGACTGTCACATATGTAATCTTCCCAATTTTTTTTCTTGCCTCTGGCTATTCTAGTCTTTCCCTAAAACCTACTAAAAGTTACTCATTTTAAAGCAATTGCTATTTACTGTGTACTACTAACTGCTTTCTGTGAAAAATGTGTATTCTTGGATGTTGAAATACAGGGAGAAGAGATGCTCCACCAATAGCTTTGTAAACTTTTCCCATTAAAGTAGTATTCCACAACATGCATTCAAATGTCACCACGAATACTGATGATCCTGTAAAGTGGCACTGTCTTTCAAGAGACAAGATTGATGAGGATAGAAAGAACCAGATAAAGAAGTCTTTGAATTCTAGACTATTAAGCAGTAGAGAGTCACTGCATAACATTTTTATAAGGAGTGGTTGGATTAAACAATATTTTGGGAATATTCAACAAATATGATACAGCATACTAGTAGGAATTGAAATAAAATGCTTTTTGCATCGAGCATTCAATAGGCTGTTGCCCTACTAAGATGATAACTACTAATCCTTTGCTAGTGAAAACCCAGACTTTAAATTTTTTTTTTGAAAGCATTTAACTATTTATGTTGGTTGATGAAGTCAACTGCTCAAGTGAGACTGATACCTTGGAAATGTCTAGCTGGTGTTAATGGTTCAGTTTGGGAGCTCTTGGTTGGGAAAGCACTGAGCTCAGCTCTTGTGACTAAGATAGCTTGATTCACTCATGTCTCCAACAAATATTTTCAAATATCTACAGCTATATGTGAAAGCTGACAAATTTAAGAAAAGAATAAAAGTAATGTGGTTTCCACAAGTTGATCACTTTTTGAGTATAAAAATTAGGGAATGGAGTGTAGAGGGTAAAAGCTAGAATATCCATTCCTTCGGTTGAGATTTCTGATGCATTATTATTGAAGTTTATTGAAGACCTAGAGTTTCAAGAATTTCACTTAAATAAGAATATCAATTTAACTATATTATCCTTCTTTCGTGGAGGCTTTCTTAGGTACAACGTTAGGTCCAATTTCTCAGGAGTTCTCTTTGTGAGCAGCGTGTACTCCTCTGTCTCTTGATGTGGGGCCGGCCATATGACTGATTTGGGTATATGACCAAAGAGGATAGATTGCCAGGTCAGAAGCCAGGCCTTTGGGGACTTTGTATGTTTCTGCTTGCTGTCTTAAGTGTTTGCCACTGCCTTGAGAAGAAGTTAGCTCCAAGTCCAAACAGAGACTTAAAGAGCATGGCCAGTCAGACACCCAAACATCTATTTTAAGAGGCAGAGCAATGACGCACCAGGTGCTGTGTACAGAAGTTCAGCTTTAGATGAACCAAATCTTACCTGCACTGCCCTGCAGTCAAGTAAATGACTGTTATGGACCACAGAGCTTTGAGGAAGTATGAAACACAGTATCTTTGTAGCAACAGCTAATGGATACAGTGGCAAAACAGGGATTAGAACTGAGGCTTGGAGGCTCTTATTTGAATGTAGATTTTATCTATCACTTTTTTTTCCTGTTGCACTAGGCATGACACCGTCATATGTAGAACTTAATCTGTTCTATTTTTGTGCCCTTTCCATTGCCTTTTTCAGTAACCTTTTAACTACCTTGCCTTTCCATTTTTTGTTTTGTTTTGTTTTTCTTCTTTGTTTTTTTGAGACAGAGTTTTGGCCTGTTGCCCAGGCTACAGTCCAGTGGCACAGTCTCGGCTCACTGCTGGGCTCAAGTGATCCTCCCACCTCAGCCTCCGGGGTAGCTGGGACTATAGGTGTGCACCACCACACCCAGCTAATTTTTGTAGAGATGGAGTTTTGCCATGTTGTCCAGGCTGGTCTTGAACTCCTGAGCTCAAGTGATCCAACTGTCTTGGCCTCCCAAAGTGCTGGGATTACAGGCGTGAGCCACTGTGCCTGGCCTGTTTTGTTAATATGTATGTATTTCCCTGTGCTTTGGAACCAATTTTTCCACTTTACTGACATTTTGTTTTCTTTCCTTGGAAACTTAAGTCTTTCAAATAATGGCCAGTTTCTCTAACATTTCTTTCCACCTTAAGATCCTTACAGACTTTGAAAAGAAAAAAAAAATACACTCATAATAATCATTCTTATTATCTTATTATCATTTTTACCTTAGTTTAATCTTATCCAAACTAGGTCGTGACAATTTAGGGAATACTTCCGAAGACTTGCTCTGGTATTTTATTTTTTAAAGAGAAGTCCATATATTGGAATGCATGAACAAGAAATGCAAAGTTAGAAACATATCCCATGAAGCACTGTGAACACTCTGACAGCTGCAATTTATCAACATAAATTACTGTGCTTAGCTGCAAAGCTTTTGTCACAGGGAGACAGGGCACTTCCTAAATGGCTTGCTGCCCTCTTTAATAATAATCTTAGTTTTTACAATCCAGACAACCTAGGGCAAGAGACAGCCTGATGCACATAGAAACAGAAAAATTCAGGTTTTTATGTACATCACCGGGAGCACTGACATGCTACTCTATTCATTTTTAGATTAGAGTCTTTTCCCCCTTCTGTCTACATGTGGCAATAGATGACTTAGAAAAGAAAATGTGGGCAGGAGAGCCAGGATAGGAAGCTTAGCAGTAAACAAGTCAGCCTGTCTGCTGTCTCACTTTCCTTTTAATCAAGGAAAAGGCCTAACAGAATTCACTGTCATCGTCTTAGTGGTGGCTTCTAACAGCACTGGATAGGGAGAATCCTTTTATTTCCAGCATCACATGAACAAATTGATTTTTAAATTCATGCATCTAACATGTGTTCCTAAAGCCATTACCATTTAGTAAACAGCATAACTAAATGTCTTTAAACTACTTTAGACATTTTAAGCACTAATTTTTCTCATTTTAAAAAAGTTTCAATCTGTGTGTTAGAGATATTCGAGATATGCTACTACATAAAGTTTTGTACCTATTCATGAAAATCTAATTTTGGGGGGATGTGGTTGAATTCTGTATCTCAATATTGGACTTTTCTAATACGGTGGATGAGCTGAAACCTGTTCCCTGGTCCCCTTAACTCCAAAGCCTCTGCTCACTCTACTGTACATGCTGCCTTTACAGAAAGCCCCTGTCCGTAAGCTCCATTTTAAGAAAAGGAGTTTTAAGACTGCTATCCATAATGCCAAATTTCTAAGCTGCTTTCTTCTAGTATTGGAAAAACAGAAACGTCTAGTTTAGCCATTATAATCAGGAATCAATAACATGCATATCTGCTAATTTCCCTGCCTTTATGGTCTGTGCTCCTATCCAAAAAGGGTTGTAAAGGCAAGAACAAAGTTACCTATAGTCTCTCTCTCTTTTTGAGTACTTTCAAATTCATCATTTGTCAACAGATGTACTGCAGTCCCTAGCTTCAGTACAACAGGACACCAGTAAAGTCACCTGTGGTACACAGAATAAGAGCTGCCCAAAGATGTCTACCTTCTAATCCCTGGAACCCGTGAATATATATGTTACATGGCACATGGGGAATTAAGGTTGCAGATGAAATTAAGTTTCCTAATCAGCTGACCTTAAAATAGGGAGAGTATCCTGGACTATCCAGGTGGGCCCAATGTAATCAGAAGGGTCCTTAAAAGTCAAAGAGGGAGGCAGAAGAGGAAGTGAGAGTGATGTAATATGACAAATACTTGGCCCAACATTGCTGGCTTCCAAGATAGAGGAGAAGAACCAAAAGCCAAGAAATGTGGGTGGCCTAGAGGCTGGAAAACGCTGGGAAACAGATTGTCCCCTAGAGCCTCCAGAAAGGATCAAAGGTCTGCTGACATCTTGTTTTAGCCCAGCAAGACCCATTTCAGACTTCTGAACTACAGAACTGTAGGAGGAGAAATTTGTGTTGTTTTAAGCCACTAAGTTTGTGGTAATTTGTTGTAGCAGCCACAGGAAACGAATACATCATTTATTTTTAAGACAGGTTACCAGGAAGGCTATCTACATTACAGATAACTGGGAGACAATTTGACAAATATTTGACAAATTATCAGAAATGTTTTTGTTGTTTAATGGCAAAAGTAAAAGAATAATATGCTTTTGTTTTCTTTTAATTTATTTTTCCTTGCTGAATTGTGTCCTTTAATTTATAACTACAATTGCTTTGGCTGTTATTTGGCACTCCAAATGGATCAGAAGTAAATTGAGACTGATAAATAATTTTTGTAATTAAATACAATATTATAGCAAAGAAGAATTTAAAATATAAACAGCATCTTACTTCAATAAAAATGTGTTATAAAAGAATAGAAAATCACAAGTAACTAAATAAAAAAATAAATAAATTTGACTTTATCACAAGTAAAAACTTCTGTGCATCAAAGGACAATATCAAATATGTGAAAAGACAGTCCACATTAAAAAATTTTGAAATCATATGTCTGATAAAGGTCTAGTATCTAGAACATACAAAGAACTCTTGGAAGCCAACAATACAAAAGGCAAATAACCTACTTTTAAAAAGGGCAAAGAATATGGGTAGGTATTTTTCCAAAAAACCTCAAAACAATTGACCAATAAGCACGTGAAAAGACGCTCAACATCATTAATCATTAGGGAAGTGCAAATCAAAACCACTATGAGATACTAATTCACACTCATTATGATGGCTATTTAAAAAAAAGGAAAATGGTGAGGATGTAGAGAAAATGGAACTATAATACATAACTAGTGGGAATGTAAAATGACACAGCCCCTGTGGAGAACAATTTGGCAATTCCTTGAAAAGTTAAATATAGAATTTCCATATGACCCCGCAATTCCACTCCTAGGTATACACCTAAGAGCACTGAAAACATGCTCATGCAAAAACCTGTACACAAATGTTCCTAGCAGAATTATTCGTAATAGCCAAAGAGTGAAAACACCACCAATGTCCATAAATTGATACATGAATAGACAAAGTGTAGTATGTCTATACAATGGAATATTATACAGCCAGAAAAAGGAATGCATAGGTGAACCTTGAAAATTTTATGCTAAGTGGCAACAGCCAGACACAAAAGGCCACATATTCCATTTGTATGATATGTTCAGAATAGTCAAATCCATAGAGACAGAAAAATTATTTCATTGACACATAAATGAGGGATATGAAATCTATTCACAATAGGAACTCATGGTAGGTATCATTTATATAGCTGAGAAAGCTCTCAGGCAATCACACACAGGAAAATGTGTCAAAAATATCTGCAGAAAATGTTATGTGAATGTCTTCATACATCCATTATATCCTTATTCCTCCCTCTGTTCCAAATTTGAGCTTTACTGAATAGAGTGTGAGCACCTGCAGGCAGGGGCTAAATCTTATTTATCTTTGCATTCTCAGTGCTGAACATAATAGGCACACAATAAATTTGTTCTATAATGGGATGAAGAGATCAAAGCAAAGAGTAATGGCCCTCAGTAATGGCTCCTGACAATAAGAAAGCCCTTGTAGTTAGGAAATATTCTTAAATCCCTCAAATGCTTATTTAAGATACAGAGAGTGAAGTATTACCTTATGTAGGAATGTTCAGTGACCAAAATGGGAAAATTACAAATATCTGTTGCTTTAAATTCTTTAATTTTTGGCAAATTGAATATTATGCACTTTTTGTATTTTTATTATAAATAATTTGTTTCAGTACTATGACTTATTTCAGTATAAATGAAATAAGTTGAGGAGGGTTATTTAAAATGGTAAACATTTAACCATCTAATGGTTAATTAAAATGAGGAATTCAAGTTTGAACATAACCATTAAAGTCTTTTTTTTTTTTTTTTTTTTTGACAGAGTCTCGCTCTGTCACCAGGCTGGAGTGCAGTGGTGCGATCTTGGCTCACTGCAACCTCTGCCTCCCAGGTTCAAGTGATTCTCCTGCCTCAGCCTCCTGAGTAGCTTGGATGACAGGCAGGTACCACCATGCCTGGCCAAGTTTTGTATTTTTAGTAGAGACGGGATTTCAGCATGTTGGTCAGGCTGGTCTCGAACTCCTGACCTCGTGATCTACCTGCCTCGGCCTCCCAAAGTGCTGGGATTACAGGCATGAGCCACTGCGCCTGGCCCCATTAAAGTCTTTTAATTCAATGAAGGGTTCACTCAGCCTTATTTGAAAACATATTTGCTTACAGATAATTCTATTGTAATATTTTAATCCTCCAATATGTGCTTATAAGGAAATTACAAAATAACAATACATCATTTTAATTTTATCTTTACTAAAAGTAATGTAGAGATTAAGGCCTTCTGCTTCTCTGTCAAAAAATAAAAAAGATCAAACAATACCGGCTGTGATAAGCATACAACTTGTGATTATATTGTGCTAATAGGTCCAAGGATCTATGGAGATAAAATCTGATTAATATATTTATCATCTTTTTATGTTTGTTTTATAAAAGAGGATTCATGTTTCTATTTCATAAAGAGACATTTAACTTCTTCATCGGGTCATTCTAAAGTTACCTTTAAAACCTAAGAAGCACCTTCTACCTCTTAACCAAAGAAAAGTCAAATATACGCAGAATACAGAGGGATACAGAACCAGCTAAGTGTCGCAAAGTCACAAGCCTTCTTTCCCCCAGGAAAATAAAGATCAGAATGCTATGCTAGAGTACATGTTCAGGTTTTTGAAAGGGATGTAAGGATATGCAGGTAATGAGCAAGGCCTCATTTCTTTTCTGCATATATATTAGCATGGATTTTAGCCTATTTATATAAAAAAGTCAGAAATATAAAGCAGAGGAGTTTTTACTGGAACTATGATGACTCCATGTTTCGTATTTGATTTTCTCTGCTGTTCACATATGTTTTCTTGATTCCTTGAGAATTGTCTTTTTAAAAAATTTGTGAGTGTATCATTTACATGAACTAAATGACCAACACTACTTGCCCTGCCTAATAAGGAGTAATCTCTGATTCACTCAGGATACGTGGAGGCCTTAAAGTTTGGGAGTCCTTAATTGCGTTTATGGCTATATCTTGCTATTTGGCACCTGAGTGTGTTTATCACACTGTCTTACGTATGGTAGGTGCTTAACCAATCATGACTAGTTTTAGATATGTTTACTTGGTGTCCCAAATAGATTCTAAGTACCTTGAGTGCAGACATTATGTATTACATGTTTTTAGAGTATTTCACAACCTTTAGCTTGGTGCTGAGCACATGGGAGGTGCCAGTTAGCCAAGGTAGTGTAGACCCTTCTTTTCATTCTTGTTATGAGAAGAGTATAGATGATATTGGGACTCCTTAACTCCTTACCCATTTACCAAGACACATACACATGCGCACGTGTGCGTGTGCACACACAATCTGTATTTGATGAAGCAGATGCAGATTAATGGAGACACATTTGATCACAGGGAGTTTTATTTTTACTCTCTGTGTCATCAGCAGTTTTTGCATATTACCTCTAGAAAATGTTCAGAAAAGTTGTACTGGTAAATAGAATTCCAATTCTTTGTGATGGAAAAAGTACTTGAGCAATAGCGAGCCTATGGAGACAGCTAAATCAGCAGCTGGCAGGGCCCTCTCTCCATTCTCCCCTCTACGGATCAGCAGTCCTTGGTATTCAGAAAGTAGATTGTAAGCAAATATTTTTTTCTAGTGAGGCCGGAAGATTTACTGTGTAGTATTTTACAGAAAATATAAAGTCTTTGATAAAATGTAAAAGTCAGTTGTTGAGATAAAATATGACTACAATGAAGACCACTATAAATTTGAGTAGATTTTTCAAAGTAGCATTATAATTAAGACCTAATTTCTCTCTCCTAGCAGTGTAGAAGGTGGAGAGGAAAGAGTATTATGTGACAGGTAAGGAAACGGAGGCAGATAAAGTCTACATGATTTACTATTGATTGGGAGCCAGAAGCCAGAACTCAGGATTCCTGGCTAAATCAATCAAAAAATTATTAATGACTTCTACTACTTATAAGATATTATACTAAAACTTTCTTTTTGAGATAACTGTAGAAGAGTTAAAAAGACAATATATAAAGATGTGGTAAGTTAAATTACAACAGAAGCATTATAGATTTCCAAAGTAAATGATACCTATACCAAAGGGGGAAAAAAGAACAGAAAAAAGACACCTCAGGAGATTGTTTTGGGCTGTGGTGTTTTGTAGATAGTAATTTCCCACTCTAAGTTTTTTCTCCTTCCATATTGAACACTGGGACTGGAAGATAAAACCATATTGATTTTCTGTCCTTCACCATCTTGCCCAAACTTCTGTTTTTTAATCTTTCTTTTAGATATTGGAGGAAAACGTTTGTTGTTTCTCATCTAGAGTTAATCCCTTTTCTTACGTTCCATGGCTCCTCATTGCCCATTTATTCTATGCCCTTACTCCTCAGAGTGCAATCTGTGAGCCAGCAGCAGCAGCATCCCTGGGGAGCTTGTTAGAAAGGCAGGATCTCAGTCCTCACCACAGCTCTAGAGAGGAGAATCTGCATTTTAACAAGACACATTCCAGTGGGAGACCTGCTGATCTCGGCCATTCTTTCAAAAATCAGCCCCTCCATTTCTAGCACCATTAGTCTCTCTTTTTCCCTCACTATCTCCTTTTCCCTTCTTGAACAATCCAGGGGTCTTTATTAAGAAACAAACCAAGAAACATCCCTCCCTACTCCCCATCTCCAATGACTGATATCCCTTTCAGCTTTCAGAGCACCTCACTTCTGTTTCTGTGGTTACCACGTTCCTGGAATGAATTTTATGCCCCTGCTCTCTTTATTTTTAATTCAGTCAGTTTCTTCTTAAAACTTGGAAACTTTCACTCTGAAGCAGTTTGAACACATAGGCCACATGAACTCACACACGTGCACGTAGAGGCACACACATGGGTGCACCCACATGCACACACACACGTGCACGTAGAGGCACACACATGGGTGCACCCACATGCACACACACACGTGCACGTGGAGGCACACACATGGGTGCACCCACATGCACACACACACGTGCACGTGGAGGCACACACATGGGTGCACCCACATGCACACACACACGTGCACGTGGAGGCACACACATGGGTGCACCCACATGCACACACACACGTGCACGTGGAGGCACACACATGGGTGCACCCACATGCACACACACACGTGCACGTGGAGGCACACACATGGGTGCACCCACATGCACACACACACGTGCACGTGGAGGCACACACATGGGTGCACCCACATGCACACACACACGTGCACGTGGAGGCACACACATGGGTGCACCCACATGCACACACGTGCAGGTAGAGGCACACACATGGGTGCACCCACATGCACACACACACGTGCACGTGGAGGCACACACATGGGTGCACCCACATGCACACACACACGTGCACGTGGAGGTACACACATGGGTGCACCCACATGCACACACACACGTGCATGTAGAGGCACACACATGGGTGCACCCACATGCACACACACACGTGCACGTGGAGGCACACACATGGGTGCACCCACATGCACACACACAGATGCAGATGATTAACTCTGATGAGGTTAGATCAACTTTTAAAATGACCATAGTTCCTATACTGATGGGAACATTAATTATCTGAGCCACATTTGGTTCCTGATGATTTTGGTGTGCCCACTCCTATCATGAATCTATTCAGGATCATCTACTTGTCTGTGATCCTGCTTAGGTGGCTGGACTGACCTACACCAGGCCAAATTTACTGAATGCCCCTGCGGTACAACTGTCCCAATCTTGAAAGGGAAATCTTGTATCTCTGCATAAATATCCCAGCAGTATACACAGATGCAGGTTCACGAAAGTGAAACAAAATGAGACCTTGTACTTAAGGCCTATCTAAGTTAGGTTTTCTTCCTGAATCCTTCTGCTGGGTAAGTCCTAGACGACAGAGGTCCATCTGTAGTCTTGTGTTAGACGTGAAGAAAAGGAGGAGGTTGCCAATAGATTCCCCACCATCAAGTGTCATAGGAAAAAGCTTATACCAATGAGGAACCAAAAAATAAAAACAATCTTCTTCTTAATTCCAATGACTTTCTGAAGTCATTTCATACAACAAGGTTGGAAGGTTGAGATGTTTTAAAATTTACTGGGTACCATCACCCACTCACCTTCTACGGGTTTTGAGCAATCTGCTCACTAGTGATTGGATGTTGTGTTATTCATCAGGCCTGGCTCTTATGAAGAAAAATGAAGAGCATAAAAGAAAAGAACCACCACAGTGAAAATGGGGCTGTGCTGAAAGGTTAATGTGCTCTTCAGCCTAGGACTTCAGACAGAACACGGAGCGGCCACACAATCTGTTTATCTGATGCATGCAGACAGTACTGTCATGCTTCACCTTTGGAAATGGGCCATTACTTCTGGTGACAGATTATGAATTGTGGAATATGGCTGGCACGTGGCCAGACAATGGAGAGTTCATAAATCAGACTCAAAATGGAAATACCTGAGTAAAATTCTTGAGTTATTTGAGGGGTTGGAAAAGGATATGTAATGAGAGAATTCGTTAAACCCATGTGCGTGGATGTGTAGGTGGGCACGCTGTGTATGTGTATGTGTGTATGGGGCAGGTGTTGATTTTTAAAAGTCCTTTGTTAAGGTTCTACAAAGAAGTATTTTTTGTTTTGTTATTTTCTGGTTGGCTGAAGAATTTTGCTTCAGCATGGAATAGAGTGGTAGTTGGGGATCAGGGTAAAGGATGGTTGGGATAAAGATTTTGGTTTTTAACAGGAAATTGGTTTGAGCCTTCCAAAAAAAAGAGAGAATCAATCAACTCTGAACAAAAGGAGTAAATAGTTGGTCTACAGGGATTAATGTTTCTTTATTTTACAAATAATCTGAAAAACAGGCCCATAGATCTGGAAAACAGCCACAACTGCGTAGATAATACTACACAAATTGGTAAACGGATGAGAGTAAATTAAAATACAGGTTTATAAGCATGTGAAAATAGCCAGAAAAATATCAACTAAAATAAAGTGTTGATGCATAAATGCCCTTGAGGAAAAATAACCTAAACTCCTTGTAAGAAGACGGGCTCTAAAGTTTTGTTTTGTGATGAAGGAATGAAACCTAAAAGTGATTTTTAAAACTACTATCTGAAAATATGCTCCAATGTGTCCCCAAAGACCAGCACAGGTAGGTAATCCTCTAGAAAGGTACTAGTAACACACAAAAGGTAGGATTCCAATATTGGCAACTCATGCTAGGTTGATTAAGTGCTTATGACCAAGGAGTTGAGAGTGGTTGTTTAGTTTTCCTCGTACTCAACCTCAGACAACAGCCATCAGGCTGAGGGTAATTCTTCATCAGGATAGGACCACAAGAGCTTGTTCTTTCTTGAGAAGAAAAACAAGGATAGGTAAATATATAGATCATTACTATAATGTCACCAGCAAATTTTTAAGTAGTTCTATTTGAAAAAAAATCACTATTTAGGCATTTAAAAAATGTAATATATAATACCATGTACAAAAAGTAGAGAAAACTTTTATAAGAATAAAAGCTATAATCAAGTCTTTTAGTACCATCTCTAATAATATACTTAGTACCACCTCTAATATTATACTTTGTACCATCTCTAATAATATATACTCTGTTTATCTAAAGGCTACCTCATGGATTTTTAGAGTTCTGATAAATGTATCAATTATTTTCAGCTACGAAGTACTATCCTTTTTTTTTTTTTTTTCTGTTTATTACGAATATCAACGACTTAAGTTCTCTGGCCAAATTAGTTTCTCCAGTGTGGAACTAACTTCTATAGAAACCCTCTAGTCTTTTTGTACAGTTGTGACATTGACTAACATTTTTACATCAGTGGCCAGACTAATCCTCAGGCCTGGAGTCCCACATTTTAGGCCACCAGCAAACTCCCTGTCAGGTGCTGCCTTTGCTTGTTGCTGGCAGGAGAGTCCAGTGCAACCGGTAGGAAAAGATCCTTCATTAGCAGGTGCTAAAATGACGGGAAGCCCCTTACAGAGATAACACATCCTACCTTTCTGCTTTCTTTTTCTGCTTAAAATGTGCCTTCAATCTTCCTTTTAAATGGATTTCCTCAGTTTAGAGATGTGTAATACGAAGGCATGCATCTTACCTATGTGGCTTCTGATCCCTCTGGGCACCTGTGTCTGGATACAGACCTGTGCCCACCTGCATCCCAACCCCTGACGAGGCACATCTCTGCTGGTGGGGGCCTGTGTCAACCCTGAACAGCTCCCCAAGGAAGCTGCTTTTCTGGGTGTCTGTCTAGCCAGCTAACCTATCATGTTCATTTTTCTGGCCCTTAGTTAAAAATGCTCTATTAGGCAGGGCACAGTAAGTCACACCTGTAATCCCAGAACTTTAGGAGACAGGCAGGTGGATCACTTGAAACCAGGAGTTCGAGACCAGCCTGGCCAACATGGCAAAACCCTGTCTCTACTAAAAATACAAAAAATTAGGCGTGGTGGCACCTGCCTGTAATCCCAGCTACTTGGAAGACAGAGGCACCAGAATTGCTTGAACTCAGGAAGTGGAGGTTTCAGTGAGCCAAGATCACACCACCGTACTCCAGCCTGGGTAGCAGAGTGAAACTCTGTCTCAAACAAAACAAAACAAAACAAAACAAAACAAAAAAACAAAACTGCTTTATTATCCAAGTGTTAAAAAAAGGTATAGGCTTTCTTTGTCAAGATACTTTCTCGAAGTCAAAGTCTTTTATCAGTCTTCTACTGTTTTTCAGTAGGGTCCCGGTTTATTCCTCTGTCAGGAGCAATATACATTCCAGTATCACACACACCAAAACTTTAAATACGTTGGTCAATTTTAGGTTATATACATTATCTATGTGAAGTGAATAATGTGCATTTTTTCTGTGTTTCATTGCACCTGGTACAAGTTTAAAGCATAATAATACATTTCCAGGCCGGGCGTGGTGGCTCATGCCTGTAATCCCAGCACTTTGGGAGGCCGAGGTGGGCCGATCACGAGGTCAGGAGATTGAGACCATCCTGGCTAACACGGTGAAACCCAGTCTCTACTTAAAAAAAAAAAAAAAAAAAAAATTAGCCGGGCGCGATGATGGGCGCCTGTAGTCCCAGCTACCTGGGAGGCTGAGGCTGGAGAATGGCGTGAACCCGGGAGACGGAGCTTGCAGTGAGCCGGGATTGCGCCACTGCACTCCAGCCTGGGCGACAGAGCGAGACTACGTCTCGAAAATAATAATAATAATACATTTCGGTCTACTTTGTATTTATTCTGTTGAAAGAGAATGTTAACAGTCTGTCTTGCCCTGATTTTTCATTCTGATATTATTTCACTATTTCCTTCTAACATGTCTCCAAAAGAAATTACTGCCAGACATGTGTCTTAGAGAAATAGTGATTCAATAATTATCAGTAAATTGCCAGATAATCTTTAAACTAGCCAGGAGTATTACAAGCAATATTTATGCTAAAAATCAATTTCCCTACCTCAGAAGAATAATTGTATTTTAAGGTTTCTGATGGAAACCAGTCTTTGAACATCCAAGCATTAGACCCAGTTCCTTACCCTCTGCATAAGGCATCCTGTTAGGGGCTCTAAAGAAAATCCTCAAGAGGTATGAAATTTATATAGAAGGTGACACAAGCTTAACTTCATAGTAAGTTTAACTGCATTCAATAAGTAATTCAATATAAATATATAAAGAATGGTAGGAGTTAGCATGCTTTCCAAATGAATTATAGAAAGAATAATTGCTACAAAATTTACTACACTGGCACTGTATAGAAAAGTTGGATGTAGAAAGAGAGATAAAAGTTGCCTTTCAAATAAATGGGTAGCCTTTGATTAAGAAGTAAGGAGGAAAGCATTTTGAGTACAAAAGCTCCATTTGTTAATTCCTCTAAATCTTCAACAAACAGAGTACAAAGACAGAGAAAATGCTCTTCAATTACTTTTTTTGATGTGAGCTAATACAGCATTAATAACAAAGCCTGTAAAACCTGGTTATTTAAGATAACTTTAATAAATACGAAGTAACTGGTGATAAATTTGACAAAAGATGTGCAGGAGCTATAAACTAAGAATTATAAAACATCGCTGAAAGAAATTAAGTCCCAGGGAAATGGAACAATATTGTGTTCATGGGCCAGAAGATTCAATATTGTGAAAAAGATCAAAACTAGAGGATTTACACTATCTGATGTCAAGACTTATTATAAAGCTACAGTAACCAAGACGCCGTGGTATTAGGATATGAATAGTCATACAACAATGGCACAGAAAGTCTAGAAATACACATACACATATATGAACAATTTTAACAAAAATTTCAAGGCAATTCGGTAGGCAAGGGAAAAAATTTCAACAAATGCTGTTGCAACTATAATATATCCACATGCAAAAACATGGACTTCAAACCTTAACTCATCATTTATAAAAATAAATTCAAGATGTATCATGGATCTACATGTAAGAGCAAAAACTATAACATTTCCAGAAGAAACATAAGAAAAAAAGGGCTGGCCACAGTGGCTCAAGCCTGTAATCTCAGCACTTTGAGAGGCTGAGGCAAGAGGATTGCTTGAGTCCAGAAGTTTGAGACCAGCTTGGGCAACACAGTGAGAACCCATCTCTTAAAAAAAAAAAAAAAAAAAGTAAAAATACATAAAAAAGGAATATACAAGATGATGTTTTAGAGACCTTGTGTTAGACAAAGATTTCTGAAATAACACACAAAAAGCATGAATTATGAAAGAAGAAAGTCAGCAAATTAAATTTGATCAAAATTGAAACCTTTTGCTCTTTAAAGGAAACTATTAAGAAAATGAAAAGGTAGCCTGGGAAAAATATTTGCAAAACATATTTTAAAAGGCACTTGTATCCAGAGTATATAAAGAACTCTTACAACTCATCAACAATCCAATAAAAATGGGCAAAATATTTGAACCATGGTTTTTCAACTATGCTATCAGAGACACTGGGGATGGATAATTTTTTCATTGTGGGGAGGCTGTCCTGTGAACTGCAGGTTGTTTAGCAGCCTCCCAACATCCACCCAGAGATGCCAGTAGGATCTGAAGTAGTGACATCAAAAAATGCCTTGAGATATTTGCCAAAGGTCCCATGGGAAGCAAAATTGCCTCAGATGAGAACTACTGATTTGGATAACATGTTAATCAGAGAGGAGGTACAGATGACAAACCTACAGAACCTATGATAATCAACTAGAAACTATGGAAAACAACACAGTTTGATAAAGTTATTTAATATGCAAATATTAGCAAGATGAAAATGCAATACTGTTTTTATGCCTGTACTGTGCCGTTTAAATTACTAGAGCTTTGTAGTAAATGTTTTCAAATCAGTAATTGTGATGCCTCTAGCTTTGTTCTTTTTGCTCAACATTATTTTGGTTATTCAGGGTCTTTTGTGGTTCCATATGAATTTTAGGAATGTTTTTTCTATTTCTGTGGGAAAAAAAAGTCATTGCATTTCGATAGGGACTGCATTGTTTCTGTAGATTGCTTTGGGTGGGATGGACCTTTTAGCAATATTAATTCTTCCAATACGTTAACATGAATATCTTTCCATTTATTTGTGTTGTATCCAATTTCTTTAATCAGTGTCTTATATTTTTCAGTGTATAGATCTTTCCTCCTTGGTTAAATTTGTTCCTAAATATTTTATTATTTTTTTGTAGCTATTGTAAATGGGATTGTTTCCTTGATTTCTTTTTCAAACACTTTGTTATTAGGGTGCAGAAATGCTACTGATTTTCATATGTTGATTTTGTATCCTGCAACTTTACTGAATTCATTTATTTTAACAGTTTTTTGGAGGAGTTTTTATGTTTTCTATTTATAAAAAACATAAAACATTAAATTGTCTATACAGATGACATGGTCTTATAATGAGATCAATTTAATTTCAGAGACAATTTAATTTCTTCTCTTCTGATTTGGATGTCATTTATTTCATTCTCTTGCCTAACTACACTGGCTAGGACTTCCAGTACTATGCTGAACAGAAGTGTTAAGAGTGGGCAACCTTGTATTGTTCCTGATCTTAGAGGAAGCTTTTAGCTTTTCACCACTGAGTATGATGTTAGTTGTGGGTTTTTCATATATGGCCTTTATTGTGTTGAGGTACATACTTTCTATACCTAATTTGTTGAGAGTTTTTATAATGAAAGGATGTCAAATTTTGTGAAATACCTTTTCTGCATCTATTGACAGGATTACATGGTTTTTGTCCTTCATTCTGTTAATGTGGCATATCATAATTACTGATTTACTTAGCTTGAATTATCTTTGCATCCCAGGGATAGATCCCACTTGATCATGGTGAATAATCCTTTTAATGTGCTGGTGAAATCAGTTTGCTATGTTTTTTCATGGAGGATTTTTGTATCTATGTTCATTGGTGATATTGGCCTGTAGTTTTCTTTTCTTGAAGTGTCCTTATCTGGCTTTGGTATCAATGTATTACATGTTTCATTTATTTAAGTTAAATAAAAGGACTAGAAACAAAAACAAGAAATTGCTAACTCTGAATGATAGAAATATAAATGAGAACTATATTATTTTTCTAAACTTGGCATTTCAAGAAATTATCAAAAGAATTCAAAGTTTCTAGAAGGTAAAATAAATAAGCACGTGTTTACCATGTCAGAAGACAAAGTACAAATTCATTTACAATACATACAGTTCAATAAATGATAGAAAAGAATTTGTTCAATAAATGGGAAGATGAATGAGCCTACTGAAAAATGAGCAAAGACAAAGAGTGGTCAATTGAAAAACACAAATTTACAAAGCCTATAACAATTAAGTAATTATATTAACAATTAAATTGCAAGGAAATTTTCTACACTAGATTGACCAAAAAAACTAAGTTTGAGGATATATATATATCTTCACCTCCACCCCATGATCCAGCTGTCCTACATCTGGACATTGGGTCCTCTTGACTATTTATATTAAATACAAGTACAAGTGCAAGGATTTTGATTGCAACACTGTAATAAAAAACCTAGATAATCCATATAGAAATCATATTGGAACTAGTTAAATAAGTCACCGTAGCTCTATACAACATAATTCTATGCACATATTAAATGAATTAGTTAGATCTCATTTGTAAGATAAGACTGTATATTTAAAAGACAGAAAATATGTTCTTAAGTGGAAAAAGCAAGTGTGGAAGATTATGTTCATTATTACTTTTTGGTTAAAAATATACATATATAGACATAGGAAAAGTTCTAGGAAGAAAAATGTCAAATGTTAGAAGTGGTAACCTATGTGGTTAGATTGTGATAGGACCTCCATTTTGTATGTTTTATGTGTCTGTACTGTTTCATTACCTCAACAATGTAATTTTTATACAAATTGATAAATTTTTATTTTAAAATGTATTTAGTTTTCAAGCAGCTCTTTATCAAAGACATGGTTCTATAAGTGGCTTGGGATCCTCAGTAGAATTTCTGAAGATTTTATTTAAAGGGAGTGAGAAAGTAATAGAATAGTATGTGTTTCTTTAGGCAATGTGCTGTATAATATTTTATTGTAATCTAGAGACTTTGTGGTAATTACTAAAGTTAAAGCAGTATTACCTTAAGCTGTTGACTCCCCTCCTAAGTAAAAATAATTTTAAAGAAACAAAATAATCTATGCTTTTCCACATGAATACAGTGTTTGAAATATTTATATATACATAAAGTAGGTCATATTTCACCCTAGTTGTCATCAATTCATCTAATTCTTGACATGATATATAATTTTTAATGACTTGCAAAAAATTCTGGAAGAACTCTCTCCAAAATCATCTAAGCATTAAGATCAAAAGTTTTAGTGACACTAAACAGAGGCAAAACTTAAGACAATACTTCCTCCTTTTCTATCATAAAATAGATAAGTTTAGCTCACAAAAACACAGTACAGGCAGCAATGGAGATTTTCCATAGCATCTTTTGATACATAGTACCGCTGCAAACTTCAACAAATTCCTAAGACATTTTAAAATTAGCAATTCAGTTACTAGCTCCAAAATAAATCATTGTATTTATGCAATGGCTGAGACAGTCTTAGGAACATGGTAGGAAGTCTCTCTGTGTCTGAGTGACTCAACAGTCTGACAGCCACCCCAAGTAATCCCCTTGAAGGTCCAAAGTCAGAATCATTTCTAAGATTTGTCATCTCTAGTAGAGTAGCTAATGTGCTCTCTTGGTCCCTTTTACTTAAGTGAATTCAATAAATGATGCTGGAAGTACTTCACTAGGTAGAGTCTGTTAATTTACTAAGAAAGGTGTTTGACTTCCCATAGAATGTACAAACTGAGTTTGTACTGAAGATTTCTCTAAGAACTGTCGTAATGCTTGGTATTTAAAGAATAACAACCAAAAAGAATACATTCAGCTGAGAGAATGGTTCATTTTAGGTGGCTTAATGAAGAAATAATTGGATACAATTTGACATTTACAATTTGATAATGATAGGTAGACTGTACTTGTCCCTTTACCAGGAGAACAACTATAGAACAGCTTAGGTTCATATGCAGAAGACACCTTATTTTTTTTCTGCCTTTTTTTATTTTTTTGAGATGCAGTGTCACTCTGTCATTGCCCAGGCTGGAGTGCAGTGGTGCCATCTCGGCTCACTGCAACCTCCACCTCCCGGGTTCAAGTGATTCTCCTGCCTCAGCCTCCTGAGTAGCTGGGATTACAGGTATGCACCACCATGGCCGGCTAATTTTTGTATTTGTAGTAGAGACGGGATTTCACCACGTTGGTCAGGCTGGTCTCGATCTGACCTCAGGTGATCCACCCGCCTCAGCCTCCCAAAGTGCAGGGATTACAGGCACGATCCATCGTGCCTGGCCTGTTCTGCATTTTTATTATTACATAAACAGTATTCTGGAAAGGCTGGAAAATTTAAAAATTGCCTCTCATCTTATTATGTTTTCCCACTTTCTGCCTTTATGCACATAAGTGATTATTTTACACAGTTTAATCACAACATATGCAATTTTATATGATTTTTGAATTCATTTTCCTAATGAAAAAGTGTTTCTCAATAAGCAACTTTCTTCTTAAAAATGACACAGCCATTTCAAGAGGGAAGGGTAGAAAAATATTTTAATTGAATCAGCTACTTATGAATATAGTATTTTATATTCCTTTTTGTAATATTTTGGAATCTCAGCAAAGTCGTAGATCTTTTCCTAATTCTGCTCTCATTAAGTTACTCTGAATCAAACCCATAAGTCTGAGTCTACTCCGTAGTGCAGTATTCCTGCTGAAATACTTAGAGATTGAAGTGCATTTGTTAGACACTTGCAAATTATCATTCGCTTAATCTGTAATGTAAATGTTCGCTCTTTTTCATTTCTAATTTTACTTGCTTGTGATTTCTCCTTTTTTTTGTTTCTTGATGGCTCACTGTCCAGTAGTGTCTCTTTTTAACAAATGTTTTTTGACTGCTTAACAATTTTGTGATTTACAATTTCTCCTTTGATCATCTTTGTGTCTTTCATTTGACTTCCTTATATTCACTGTATTATTCCATTTATGCCTTCTTGACTTAAAAACTGATCCTTTTTCTTTTAAAAATATAAGTATTAAAAGCTACATATACTGTATCCTGAGGTGTGCGGGGATTATTTTTCAATTCTTAAAATGTGCAAATATGCCTTTTGATTTAAAAGTTGCTTAAAGGTACATTTTTTAATTTTGAGGATATGTTAGTTATGAATTTGTTAATGATTATATTTTGTATTTTATTGCATTGGGTCAGACTGTAGAATGTATTTATATTTCAGGGCTAAAACAATGTTTTTGTCACTTAGTAGTCCATTTTGTAAATTTCTAAGCAAGTTTAAAAATGGTTTCTGTTATACAGGTTTTAATCATATGCATATATATGTTGTATTTATGTATATTTCACATATACATATATGTATAAACATATATATGTATATATATATTTATCCATATTATGTAATCCTTACTAATAATTCACATCTTTCATATCTTTTTGTTTACTTACTTTTCTTCCTTTCACATCTTTTGGTTACTTACTTATTTTTTTTTTTTTTTTGAGACGGAGTCTTGCTCTGTCACCCAGGCTGGAGTGCAGTGGCACTATCACGGCTCACTGCAACCTCTGCCTCCCGGATTAATGCCATTCTCCTGCCTCAGCCTCCCGAGTAGCTGGGACTACAGGCGTCCGCCACCACGCCTGGCTAATTTTTTTGTATTTTTAGTAGAGATGGGGTTTCACCATGTTAGCCAGGATGGTCTCGATCTCCTGACCTCGTAATCTGCCTGCTTCGGCCTCCCAAAGTGCTGGGATTACAGGTGTGAGCTACCATGCTCAGCCAAGGTTGCTTACTTTCTTAATCTGTCTTGGGCGGGGGGTTGACAGAGGTTAATTAAAGCCTATAATCACCATTGTGTTTGTCAGTTTCTTTTTTTAACCTTCCTTTAATTTATGCTATATGGGTTTTTGTGCAATAGAATTTGGGTATACATACTTATACCCTCATTATGACCTTTAATATTTACTACAAATTTCTTATTTATATCTCTGTTGACATAGTTTATCTTGAATCTAGCTTTGTACAATAAAAATCAACAGCAGCTTTGTTCTTGTTAGTACTTCTAGTATATTTAACCTTTCTAAATCTAAGTTAGAACCTTTCTAATTCTTATTCTAATTCTTCTAAATTAGAATCTTCTAATTCTAATAAGAACCTGTTCTTATGTTTGGTTTGAAGAAATCACACAACATACATTCTTATACACGAAAGTGTCTGTCCATCATCTAGATTCAAACTTCCTGGAGAGCTCCATATTTATTAATTTTTGAATCCTTTAAAATTCCCAGGGCCATGCATAAAGATTGGATTTAAAATATATTTGTTAGCTGACTTGAAATGTCAAAAAGAGTGAATCATCAGCAATAGAGCTGAAAAATAATCGACAATCCAGTGGTGATAAATTTGGGGCAGGAATTTTCCTGGCCTCCCTGGAAGCACAAAACCTCAGTTGCTACATCCTTCAACAATGTGCACCTGCTATTTCTGTACTTGGCACAGACTAATCGGACAGACACACTTCTAGTCAATAAGAAAGAAAGCACAGTCCCTTTTCAGTCACCTTGCCTTTACTACCAATCAATCCACAGGCAGTTCTACTTTGGAACGAGAGTTTAACTGCCCTGCTTGCTTCTCCGAGATCAATGTAATGGCTGAGAACAGCAATAAAGGAATAATTCAAACAAGTTTAAAATTCAAAGAAATACAGACAATTCACAGGCCTGAGAAAGAACCGCATCCAATGTAAGACGTTCTCTCTTTCCTCATTTCACTTAAGCCTCTTGTTATCTCTGCATCCTTGTAAGTTATGCTTCACTTACTTTAAAAGTTAGTCTTCCCAAATATCCTTTGATAGACATATTTCTGAATTCTTTACAACAACTTTTGAAAGAATAAGGCTGCAGTCACTGCATTTTTCTTCCTATGCTAGGCTCAAGTAGAAACTTAAAAAACATTTAAAAAGCAACTCCAAGGGTCAGTTGGTCTATCTGTTCTACCCACAGTAAAAAGAGTTTTGCCTTGAGAACCCCGAAAAACGTGAGATGTGGTGGAGAAATGTGGATAGGTTTGTTTTGTAGAAAAAAGGATTATATTTTTTAAAACAGCCATGTATGCTTAGAAGATAATCTACTAAGTGTTGTATTTCTGGATACAAATGGAAAAAAAAAACAATCACAGCTAGATAAAAACCAAACACTCGACTGATAGGAAGCTACGCTGAATGAATGCTTATCAGATTACCAGAACAGGTACTCTAAGTATGAAAATGCATGGTGTCTGGTATTTGAAAAAATTCAAAAAATCTCAAGAGCGCCTATGGCTTAGGGAAAGGAATACCTCTTCTCCTCTCTCCTTCTTTTGGTAAAGAGGAAAACTAATTTTGAAAGGTCATGTTCTTTGAGTATTAGTCAGTATAGTTTTCAATACTATAAGGTATTTTTTTTCACAATATATCAAACTAATGACATTGTTTTCTGAAATCGTATCAGTCAAGCTTTGTATACTCTGGTATGAAGTAATCATGATAATAAGCTGAAGTTAAAAACAAAAATAAATGAAAAGGATGGTAGTTGGGGGAAATAGAAATGTAGCAAATAGCAAAATATAGAAATGTTTAGATTTATTATTCACTCCACTTTTTATTTATTTTTATTTATTTTTTATTTTTTTTTCTTTTTTCTTTTTTTTTTCCACTCCACTTCTTAAATGGTTGTAACAGTAACAGGTGGAAGATAGAAAATGTTCTTTATTTCTAAAACCTTATTAGGGTTGTGAATTTTGCTCTTACAGCTTTGAAAGAAAAATTGGAAAGAAATTGAGCAATATGGTTCTCTAGTATGATATACATATATATTTGACAGAAACTAAATACATTCAAATCCAGGCAAATGAGTATCTTTTCTTTGTAAGTGTCAAAAAATATAATTTGGTTTCCAATTCATTTATATACTTCAGGTTTCTGTATTCTTTATCACTCTTCCCAAGTTAAATTTACAAACTTTGTGTCAGGTCACTCACTGCAGATGACTGAACAGGTGAGGAGCACTCTGGTACCAAGCACCCTTGTACATGTGTTGAAACCGCTGAGCAAGCTACAGTCTCATTTGTCAAAGTTTTCACATTCTGACAAAACTGACATTTTTATTCCAGGGATGAGAAATCTGCCCCTGGTCTTTTCTTCGTATTTAAATTTAAAGGGGGTAGAAAGCAAATAATCTTTTTAAAAAGTGTGAACACACATCTGACAAACATTCATGCCTTTGAATAATGGACGGGTAATTTTAAATACCCACTTAGATTCTTAGGCTCTTTAAGTCAAATGGCCCAATTGTTTCTTTTTCTTCTTCTTTCTTGAGACAAGGTCTTGCTCTGCCACTCAGGGTAAGTGCAGTGGTGCAATCACAGCTCACTACAGCCTCAACCTCTCAGGCTCAAGGGATCCCCCTACCTCAGTCTCCTGAGTAGCTGGGACTACAGGCACGTGCCACAACACCCAGTTAGTTTTTTGATTTTGTAATTTTTTTTAGAGATGGGATCTTGCTATGTTGCCCAGGCTGGTCTCGAACTCCTGAACTCAAGCAATCCTCCCACCTTGGCCTCCCAAAGTGCTGGGATTGCAGGAGTGAGTCACCACACCTGGCCTCCCAATTTCTTATTTATCTTTTGTTTGTATAAAACCTACTGAAAATGATGACTCTAATTCAATTCAGTGGGGCTCTCCCTAGCTTCCATGTTTTGGAGAACATCACTTTTCTACTTTTGTGCTACATACACATATACACAATAACTCTGTATACATTTTTAATTCACAATGCTTTCTAAACAAACTTCCTCTGTGGTGGTAGATCTCATATGGAACAGAATACAAACCCCACAGTTTATAGATTTGGGCTGCAGCAATACTGGCTAAAAACAGTTGTCTGGTGCTGAGTTGTATCTTCTCTGAATTCCATCAGAATTTAAGTTACAGGATGGATTTAGAAATAAATGGCTCAAGTGGCATAATGAAAGTTGTGACTGGTGGGAAAATGCACCTAAAAGAACTGCAAATTCAATTCAAAAAATATTCAGAAATCTTACACATTTTGTGTTTTTGACCTAGGTCTTTAGGTCCTGAGGTTTTGAGGTTAAAAACAGAAAGAAACACCATCTATTCTCCATGGCAAAAACGGCTTGTAATCCCCCAATATCCATTTTTCTCTTCATCCAGAAGAAGAGAACCACTGATTTTTAGCCAGATATATAGTTCCTGAGAATAGAGATAATACTTCTCAGCCTCCTTTGAAGCTAGGTAAATCCGAGAAAGTTTCGGCTAAAAAGATATATGCAGAATTTGTGTAGCAATTAAAGGAATTTTCCTTAAAGAGACAGCTGAAGCTTTTGCTTCTTTATATCTACACTGCCCCCTGGAATGTTGATGGGATGGAACTCTAGCTTCCATCTCTGACCATGAGCATGAAGGTCCCACCCAGGAATGCTCCAGGAACGCTGGAGCAGCAAGGCAGAAGAAGCATGTCCCTGACAGCTGTGTGAAGTGGAACCACGAGATCATCCCTAGACTGACCTGAATGGGCTTTCACAGGAGAAAGAAACCCTTCCTGTGTTTAAACCATTGTGATCCTGGGCCTTTGTTCTTTCAATTGGACTGAATCCTAATGGATACGCTCTCAATGAAGGCGCATATTGAAGAAGTAATTACATGTGTAATGAAAATAGAAGTAAAGAGTGTTTTAGAGGCTAAGCATATTGTCTATGCATTGTCTGTCTCCACACTTACTACTAATTAAGTGGTAGAAATGACATTTTTAGAATTCATTTTCTTTGGCTCAGTAATTTCTTTTCTGAGCATTTATCCTAAGAGGACAAATCTTAAACACAGATAAAACTTCTTGCATGATGATGTCTATTACAGCGTTATTTATAATAGTAAAAGCACGCTCACTGTTCAAAGGAAACAAACACAAATTTACATTGCATTGAATATTGTGTAGGTAATAAATATATAACCATGAGGACTATATAGCAGCATATGATATGCTTCTAAGTCTGTTTTAAAACAGCATTAAAAGCTGTATATATAGCATAACTATACACATAGGAAGAATGAGAATATATAAAAACTGCTGTTATTAGTTATATTTGAATGATATAATTACTGATATTAAATTTTAATTTTGAAGATACATCATATTTAATTTTTTAACATTCTAAATTTTCTTTAATGAGCATGTGCCAGCTAACATAAAAATCACGTCAAAACAAACTTAAAAAAAATTTCCCTGGCTCTAGGAAACTATCAAGATAAAATGAAATAGGGACAGTAATAAGGTCTTGCAATTACATTTAAAATAGTAACACAAGGTTAGGGTGTCTGACTTACAGTATCTCAGAGGCCTGACCTACAGTATCTCATATGAAAGAAACACAAGAGTTTTAGTTGACTGTAAGCTCAGTATGAGTTGATAGTGGTGTGATGTGACTATTAAAAAAGCTATTCTTAAGTGATATGGAAGAATAACCGTAAGGTTCAAAAAAGGATAGTAACAACCTATTGATCTATGTACTCATCAATCCAGTTTTAGAGCACCATTATCAGTTCTTGGCAACACATTTTAAGAGAGACTTTGACTACTGCCACATGTCCACAGGAGAGTGTGTTGAAGGTATCTGGAGAAAATATTATATGAAGAGTCATTAAAGAAATTAGGGATATTTACCTTAAATACATGTTCACAACCAAGGCACGTTAATTGACTTCAAACATGTGGCGTGTGCTAGAAAGATCAGATTTAGACTCCATAGTTTGAGGGATAGAATCAGATCCAATATGAAGCAAATTATGAGGCTTTTATGAGACATGAAGAATTTAAGACATATATTGTTTAAAATCTTATTTTTAATTCTGTCTTCTTTCTATGACCCTTTGGGCACATATAGTCCATTTCCTCCTTGTCTATTAATGAATATTTGAATTTTTACTAAAATCAAAATCCTATTTTGACAAGAAGGCATTAGTTAATACTTTTATTTATGAAACAATATAAACCGAACCAAACCTTGTAAATAGTAAGAGTCTTATTCAGCTCCAAGATTTTGTTGCTGAATCTGTATCTATCTGAAATACCACCCAGTCAATACCTTTAAAGTATAAACTTCTTTCAATATATTATCTTTTTTGAACTTAGCAACAACCCTGCATCATAAAGATTATTTGATTTTTGTCCTACATATTTGTGGTCGGATTTTTCACCATGGTTTTGACTTCTTTCTCCATTTTGGTATTCTATTTCAATTGACTTAATGCAAATTCTGCCAATCTCTTTGTGGAACAAAGGAGGCCACGGGAGTGCAGGGGAAAAGACTCTCATATTAGTAAATCAGGAAATATAGGTTTCTTCAAGGCCATATAACTCAACTATGAAGCAGATGTGACTAGAACTGAGAGCCTCTGATTCCAGGCCGATTTCTGCTCTCTCACGGCTGCCCCTCCAAACTCCTATTTCTCTCCTTCTCTAGTCTAGGGTTATCACTATGAACTAGCAGATAACACAGTAAATAGTGATATGGACAGGAGGCAAGGAAATTCTGGGTAGAAGAGGGTGCTTCCCCGGCAAAGGCCCCCACCTCAAGCCTGGAAACCTGGTGGCCCTAAGTGGGAATAGGCATTCCTGTTTTCATGCTCAAATGTTGCCTTTTCCAAGACCACTCTGGCCTGCCACACCCCTATCCTGTGCTCATATAAACCCTAAGCTCCACAAGCAGAGGAACAGAACAGCAGCAGAAAGGTACAGCAGAGAAGGAGAAAAGAGAAGGAGCATTTGAACATCAGGAGGTGTTTGGCTGGGGACAGTCAGAGAGGAGATTGGCTGTGGGATGGCCAAGCTCCAGGGGAAGATCATCTTCCCACTCCATCCCCTTTCCAGCTCCCCATCCATTCTGCTGAGAGCCACCTCCATCACTCAGTAAAATCCCCACGTTCACTATCCTTCAAGTCCATATGACCTGATTCTTCCTGGATGCCAGACAAGGACCCGGGTACCAAGAGGGCAGGGTGTAAAAGGATGTCACCCTAACTCTCCACTGAGCTGGTTTAACACTTAGCCATCCATGGATAGCAACTGCTAAAAGAGCACTAATTGTAACACACCTCCAGATGCTACTGTGGGGCCAGAGCCCAGAAGCACTTGGCCCAGCTCCTGCACCGGCCCATCTGCATGCCCCATGTCCTGTAAGGGGGTGTGGGCCAAGCAAATGAGCCACGCCCCTGTCACAAGTCCTGTGAGGGGGTCAGGGAACGCTCCCATTTCATAAATAGATCTCCAGTAACCTCATTTAATACATCAATTTCTTGGCATTCTTAAATTCTAAGTAATTTTTCATCATGTTTATGTTTGTCTTAACAACCTCACTTCAACTGGAATCTACAAGGTATGACTAAAGTTCAAAAAGATGGGCCAACTAGATAGGACTAAGTTTTCTGGATGCAGAGAAGAAAATTACCACCCCCATATATATGTTGTTCATGTCTGTTCTTCAGGAAGTCAAATGTAGTCAATAAACGTGACCAAGATATGTCTGCCCTTCCCCCGACACACACACAACTTTAGAAGGATGCTGAGACATCACGTTATCTAAAGAGCATTAGATAATCTATATAAGCAGTTGTAAAACTTTAGGAAATGCAGTACTACTGAAGTATTTGTTTTTTTGTAATGTAGGTCAAATGATTCTTCAACCCAGAGGTGTAGGCTCCCTATCCACCCCTAGGCTGCCTAGCTTTCCAGTTCAGGTACTTTTATTTGAGAAACCAGCCATATTTGACTGAATTACCATGCTGAAATCCTAGATTCTTTTCCTAGCCCTCTCACTCTAACTAGCAATTCTCTGAGACAGAAAGTAAAAAGACTTGGGGAAAGGCACAGGCCAGAAAAGACAGCCTCAATGTTCCAAAGACATGCCATATCCCCCAACCCTACCCAGCCACCCCGAGAAAACAAGCTAGAGCCTATAGTTTACATTAATTGCTCTCTGGTTAGAGGTTACTTTTCTGGTAGGCCAGAGGCTGTTTCCAGGAGTACAGAATAAAGCCATCATCAATCATTCATCAGTTACAATTACCATTTGCATCCATTTAATGACAGCCTGCAGTAGCTACCACCCATGAACAGTCCAAAATCAGAAACACAGAAACATTGAGAGTGATTATAATATAATTGCCTACAAATTCTCTAACACTATCAAAGATATATGTCTCGCCCGTTCATGTTTCATTTAATGAGTAATACATGTTCTCTCCCCCGCATATCACATGCCTATAGAGGGGTAAAGGAGGGTAGAATAGCGCATGGCAACCAGAATATATGGGCCATCATATGCCAAATTTCTTCAGACTAGAAAAGGCACAAATCCTTTGGGGTGCTCATTCCTGGGACTGTGGTTTTAAGCATGGTCTCTTTTTATGTATATAACCACATGAAGTGCATAATTATGCAAAGCTGCCTTATATTTCCATTCATCTTCCACTCTGCTCTTGCTCATGTATCTCCCCAATCATCATCTTCCTATTGCTGTTTTTTCTTTCTTTTTTTTTTTTCAACCGGGCTTTATCTCGGCAGTTTTTACATCAGGTTCTTTTCAAAATTACACTTAGCTTTGACATTTCTACATGTTCACTTTATCCATGACACCTTTTGGGTGTCATCACAAATACTAAAGCTCTAAAGATGGTCACTGACAGGAAACTAAATGACCTTCCTTTTTTCCTGTATTCCGAAATGTCTCCTGCCTCTTTTCATAATCGTGCACACATGTGTGCATGTGTGTGTGTATGTGTGTGTGGACTCAGAATCATACCTCATTGGCCAGACATATACTGAATTGGTTTCTGTTTACTTCTTGTTGTATCATTCACATGCTTATATACTTTCTACTCTATATGGCCTAGTTTAAAGGACTTGAACCGTCTAAACGTTTGTTTTCCAATCTCTAATTTGAAAATGCTAATAGCTATTTTATAGGGTTTTTATGATGAGTAAATAATGCCTAAGACTGCACAAGGCATTTAAATCTGCATTTAATAAAGGTTTCTTCCTCTTCCCCTTTCTCACGTGCTCAAATAAGTCAAAGCTTTCTTTTATCATTTTTTATTTTCTAGAGACAGGGTCTCATTCTGACGTGCAGTGGTGCAATCATAGCTCATTGTATCCTCAAACTCGTGGGCTCAAGCTACACCGGCACCTCAGTCTCTCGAGTAGCTAGGACTACAGGCACACATCACCACATTCAGCTACATTTTTTAAAACAGATGGGGTCTTGCTATGTTGCCCAGGTTGGTCTTGAACTCCTGGCCTCACAAAGTGTTGGGATTATAGGCATGAGCCACCACATCCAGCTAAAATGGTAAACCTTTACCTGAATATTTATGTATAACACAATTTATTTTGAAAAGATATATTTAAATAATATAACACCTAGGTGATAGCAACATTATTTTGTTGTTAAAGGATACAATTCTAGCAAGACTTAAATTGTATTAATTCACTGTAATAAGGTACAAAGACCTAGGAAAATAAGAATTTCTCTAGTTAAATGATGCCTATGTCACATAGGCTGGCCTTGCTATTGGATGTATAAATATAGCTAAAAAACTTTGTAAGAAACTTCATGTTTTGTTACACTTCATGCTTGCCATTTTAAAATCTTAACACATTAAATTGAAGGATGGCATGGGAGGGAGAAAAGGGGAGCAAAAAAAAAATTAACTGTCGAGTTACCTCAGATGGATTTAACATAATTTCTTTTGTTTTTATGGTAAAAGAATCAGTTGCTGTTTGCATCTTAGTTGAAAATACCCTCAAGGAACTTGAAAACTTTGGTCGAGACAAAGTACTATTTTCGGTTCACTATCTCCTCCCCTTTCTCAGCCCACACTCAGATCTGTTCTTTCCCTACAACGGGTGCTGAAACCTCTGTACTCCTCAGTCCTGTTATATATGAAGCAGCATAAAAATTGCCTTCACTGGGGTGTATGACAGGCCTATCTTTAGCCTGTAATAATATGATAATTAGGTTCCAGGATATTTTAAGTGGAAGGAGAAGGTGGGTTGCTCAGTTGCCAGGATGCTCATTCCTGCTTCCGCATGTAGATCTATATTCTCCCTCCTGCCTGGAATGTTCGTTTTCCATCTCTCTCACTTGCCTCTTTCACTTTTTCGCCTATTTATCTTAGACAATTGCTAAGGCTCAACTCAAAGGCCTTCCCAGAGCATGACCGTGATTTCTCCTATACTTATACTTCTTGCTACCTATTTTCTGAAATACATACATAACTGTATTTTGCTACATACTGTCTTCTTCATCTATGTAGATCTTATGTCTTCCAAGTGACTATGATGCTCTTCAGATCAAACAGGATGCATGAGCACTGTGCTTGCTAGGCTTACAGGGATGAGTAATATTTATATTGATGTTTCTTAGAACTTGCAATTTTATTTGACAGGGAAAGATGATCTCTCATGCCTTCAATGTTCAGCAATTGGATGTTTTTAGACTGTTGCAAAACTAAATAATGAACAAGTAATGTTAAAGCCAATTAAAATGGAGCTCAAATGCCTATGTGTAAGATCTAACTTGAATCAATTTACTGTTGTGTATTTTAGTTTTTTTTTTTTTTTTTTTTTTTTTTTTTTTGAGACAGTCTTCGCTCTGTCGCCCAGACTGGAGTGAGGTGGTGCGATCTCGGCTCACTGCAAGCTCCACCTCCCAGGTTCACGCCACTCTCCTGCCTCAGTCTCCTGAGTAGCTGGGACTACAGGCGCCCGCCACCATGCTCGGCTAATTTTTTTGTATTTTTAGTAGAGATGGGGTTTCACCGTGTTAGCCAAGATGGTCTTGATCTCCTGACCTCATGATCCGCCCGTCTTGGCTTTCCAAAGTGCTGGGATTACAGGCATGAGCCACCGCACCCAGCCTCAAATTAGTTTTTATGAACATTATCTTTACAGACTTTAAAATGCTTTGACCATGGGTATGTTATAAAACTAGAAGCCATTTAAAGATGTTTTATATAGTAAAAATGGGTTAATACACTCATCAGCAGTTATGCATGATTATCTAAAGGAGTAATGGGATTTATGGTACATCAATTCTATAAATATATCCAACTGTTTATACAGCATTTCTTAGAGGTAACATGCAAAATGAAATATGCAGAAAAGAACTTGAAAAAATACCCCTTGTTCACATATTTTGAGATGCGACATTAGAGTTATTTATTCATAAGAATTTCATAATACATTAGTAAGCATGCCGCAGGATATTTTGGAAAAGTAATGAAGGCTTAATAATGCAAAATTTTTCTCCAGCCTTCTTTTCTAAGAAACAAATGAGGTGAGACTTTCATTTAAGGCTAAGACTTTAGCTCTTCCTGTTCATAATCTCATTTATCACTTCGTCCTGTGCATTTGTATATCTGCTTGTTCTTTTATGAATCTGCTCCCGCTCCTCTGCTAGACTCTAAGCCCTCTAGAGACAGATCCAGGATTTGACCCCTTTTTGCAAGGCCTAGTGGCAGAGTGTCCATTGTAAAGTACTTGCACATGATAAGAGGAATAAAAGCTTGCCAGACAGACAAGGGGAAAGGAAGGAGAATGAATGTGAATGATGATCTAGTTAGCACCTACTGTCTACTCAAGACTGTGCCACTATTCTACCTTGGCATTTGATCAAACTTATTAATCCGCACAGCTACGTTTACCCAAAATCTTCATGCAACATTTACTGAAAGCATCTTCACTCCTTGGCAGTTTTCTCCGCATGTCCCCAGGGAAACTCATAAACAGATGAGGACATTAAATATGCATGTGGTACTGTGAGTTCTGGATTGTAATGGTCGGGGTAGGAGTACAAGGGAGAAAGGCTCTTTGAAAAAGCGAGGAGCTGGCCTTAGCGAGAGCATATTGGCAGGTAGAGGAGCAGAAATATCAGCAGGAAGGTGGGAACAATTTGGGAGGTGCTGGAGTCTGAAGGCAGTTTGCTGTTGCTGGACTGAAAAGGGCAAGGCACAAAATAGTGAGGAATGAGTATTTAACAACAGACCATGTCCTAAAGGACTTGATGACCTAGTAAATGGGCTTGAGCTTCGTCTTCTGGGTAGGCAATGAGCATCCATCAGCTATTTAGGGAGGAGAGTAACAAGATGTTTTGGATAGTTTACTCTGGCGTCACTCCCTGGTTAAAACCCTTAGATGATTCCCTAATGCTCTTCGAATAAAACACACACCTCCTGCGATGGCCTACCAGTTTTCCCTCCTGCCTACCTTTTTCTCTCATATCCACACCAAATTCAGCCACTATTCCCTGTCCTAGGTCTCTTTACTGGTCTTCAGAAGCGCCAAGGCCTTTGCATTTTACATTTGTTCCCCCTCTGCCCAGATTCCCTTTCCTCAGCTCTTCTTGCGGTGGGTTCTTTCTCATTCTGTAGATCTTACCTCTTCAAAGGGATCTTTCACAGAAACATTATTAATGGGACCTTCCTCCATTATTCTATGTGTTTTGAATTTGCTAATTTACTCTATAGCACTTATCATACTGTCTATCTTGATAGTTACACTTTTGTTATACTTGGTATATTATCACTTCCCTCCCAGAATGTCATAGGAGCCCTTGAATTCTTGAATTTGATTTATCACAGGCACGTTAGCACAGTGGTACCTGGTACATGGACACCACTTAAATAAATGTCTGTGTGTGTGTGTGTGTGTGTGTGTGTGTGTGTGAATATATGAATATAATGAATATACTTAGAAGGTGAGTTAGAGGAAGACGCCCAGTGGTAGGGTCAGAATTTGCATCTAAGGCTTATCTGACTCTAAATTTCACCTTTATCCACTATCCAAAATATTCCTCTTTGTTTTAGAGTAAATATATATTCCATTCATTCATATTGTGAAGCAAATGCTATAGATGATGACTCAGCCTACAGACACTGTTCTCAAGACAAAACCAAATATAAAATAAGTAAAAATGCATTTAACTTGCCTAAGAGATACTTTTGTGCTATGAAAGCATATATCTATCTATAGAACTATTATAACACAAAGAATGTTTTAATTCTTACATGGTTAATTAGCAAATCTGGGGAAAGATACGGTGTTTCCCCATTTATTTCTCAGAAAAGCCTTAAGAAAGACAATAGAGAAATAACCTCCGTGCAAAAAAGCTATTTTTATAATATGTCAAAGCACATTAATATCCTCTACAGCATTTTAGCACCAAAATTAACAAGTGGAATTTCTTAAATAAAATTAAAGTCTGTCTTATACAAACTTAGGCTGGTTTTCTTTTGCTTCCTTTTTATATTGCTTCATATAGTATTTGTACCCTACCTTGGGAAATATATGCAAATTCTCTAAAATAAATTTGATATACTAAAATGATCTTAATTTACTACATACGTCTAGATCCTTTTATTCTATTTTTTTAAGTCAGGTAATACTCTATACCATAAGCTAAATAATATACAGCAATTAAAATATTATGTATTTCCCTTAAGACAAAGAAATATATCCAGTCAGAAATAACTTCCTATCAGGAATAATGGGTGAGGATAATATTAAAGGTGTAACTTCCATTTTGAATTCAATTCAATTTCAACCCCTTTTTAATGATATAAGTTCTCAAATATTATAATAGCATGCTTCAGGATCATCTGAGATTCTTAATAAACATGAACACTGGCAGGCCCCAACCTATGTGATGTGGCGCTCAGATATATACATTTTAAAAGTACTTCAGGAAATTATGGGGGGAAATGGGGGTGATGTTTTACATTTTCTAAATTTCTGGAGCTCTACCAAAAGAAAAAAAAAGATTCTTGGGAAAATACCTAAATTTTATAGTACCTATAGTTTATAGCACTTTTCCATCCATTATTTCACGTAATTTTCAGTACAACAGTAATATAGGAAGAAGAGGTATAGGTGTGCCCATTTTAAAAATACAAACCAAAATTCAACTGACTATCTTTCCACATTTGTTCTACTTACTAGCAAAGTACAGTTATATTTATTCAGTCAAATAACAAATATTTGAAGACCTGCTTTTGTGCCAGGCATTGTTCTAAATACTTGGAATAAATCAGTGAACAAAATAGATAAAAATCTTTCCCTCATGGTGATTATGTTCTGGCAGTTGGAGACAGATATGAGCAGTAGAGATAATAAATACATAAATAATGAAACTAATATTCATTCCAATACGATCTATTCAAGGTAACCAGAAAGTCATCTTACACAGATTATCAAACAAATTTTTGAAACAAATGGGCTATCCAGTTCATCAATTTAATAGGAAACACAACACTCCTTTGCCTTAGGAGTCTAGGTAATAGAGCCTTAAGTACAGCAACAGCATTTTGCAAATATGCAACCATTTTTCTATGTAGCAACAAAGCCTTACTGTATGTACACAGCTAATTCTAAACACATACACATCTTATTTCCCTTGTGGCTACATTATCTGAAGTGCAGAAGAGAAACAGAATCCACATTATCCAATCTATTCTGTAGATGGCACTGCAGGTCCAACAGTGGGCTTGGCTCATAAGTCTTGCTATCACTGTCGGGCTCAGATAAGTGTCACATTGAACTGCAGGAAAACCACATTCATTCTAAAAGCAGAAATCACTTTGCAATGGCAACCGTCTTATACAATTGCAGGACACAACTCCAATTTGTAATTTATTTGAAATTTTTCTTATAATGTATTAGGTCCCACAAAGGCTGAACTGGTGAAATCATTCTGTTTATCTTGTAGCATCTATTTTAGTTTATTGCCAGGAATAGAATAATGTCTGTTCCCTAAAGTGGAAAAATGTTTCATTGATAAACCTATACATTATAAATCATTCCTGTGGGCTCTAGGTCTGACTAAACCAAAGGCATGCTTTTTATGGCATTTGAGTTTCACTTCCTACCCCAGGAAGTTAAGTAATATTCTGCAGGGAGGCAGATTAATGTCCGCTGAAGGTAAAGGATGAAGGGATAAAGTCAGAGGTACTGCACCACAGTTGGACTCTAATGCCAAGGAGGGTGAGCCTCTCATCTTGAGCCAGAGCAAGAGCTGCTGGAAGTCAGCTGAAGTATCTAAGAAAGAGAAAAGTCAGGCTTTGGGTCCTGAAACCCAGACTTCTATTTTATCTTGTATTGACTGATGGATTGATTAACCTTTCTGCAGGGGTCACTAATGGCGAACGTAATGCAACTATAGAAGAAGGAACAAAACAATTCAAACTATGCCATAGGAATTGGACTAGTATCTTTTCCCATACACTTGAATTACACTTATTTTTTTTTTTTCTGGCAAAAAACAAGTTCTAGCCCAGAAAACAAGTCATGGTTGATCAGACATTCAATCGCATATTCATCAGACTGGCTTTTCTTTACAGGTACATCCTGAAACATATATAGTTGGGACGGCAATTCTAAGCAGTTTATTATCATGGCAAGTCGAGTGTCAAGTTGAAGTTTCTCAATTAAAAAAAAAAAATTCTAGCCAGGCACGGTGGCTCATGCCTGTAATCCCAGCACTTTGGGAGGCCAAGGTGGATGGACCACTTGAGATCAGGAGTTCCAGACCTGCCTGGGCAACATGGTGAAATCCCATCTCTACCAAAAATACAAAACAATTAGCTAGGCATAGTGGCTCATGCTTGTGGTCCCAGCTACTCAGGAGGCTGAGGTGAGAGGATCGCTTAAGCCTGGGAGGCAGAGGTTGCAGTGAGTTGAGATGGCTCCACGTCACTCCAAGCTGGGTGACAGACTGAGACTCCATCTCAGAAAAAAAAAAAAAAAATCTTAGATAGCTGAGAAAACCCAGTCCTCCTACAGTCCTCACCCTCTTGGCTGTTTCTGCTCTGTGTGAAACTGTGCCATGCAGGCTGTACTGAGCTCTTGCAGCTGATGAACACTGGGTCGCCCAGGCCAAGGCAATAGCTACTGCCATGGCTACTCTCTCTTGCCTTTTGTCTGAGTCAGTTACTTTAAGAGACTGACAGGAGAAGATGAGGTGTTCTCTTTCTCTCCCTTCCTTAGCGTGTGTTGCTTCAAGCAGTCACTCATATTTCCCACTCATATGGCCAACTGAACCTTAGTGACTTTTACCAAGAGTGTGGAATAATACAGAGACAGATGCTTCAGATCCAGACGCAGTCTGAGGGTGCTAGAATGATGAGAAAGCCAGGTGGCAATCTGGGCACACAGAGAAAGAAAGGATGTAATACATCAGTCCTGACCCACAGTTCCTCAGCTCACCACAATTATTTTATTTTTCAATTATCGAGGAATTGAGGTACTGAAAGGAATCTGACAAAGACCCAGGGCTCTTAGAGTCCTGGGGGGCAACAGCATGGATCAGAAAACCAACAGACTGTCAATGCAATGCCATTACTCTTCTTTTTCTATAGCTCAGGTTTCAGTGCACGGCTGAGTGGTTTGCCTTAAAGAAGTCACAAAATTTACTACAAGGTCAATGCATCATTTGGCATAATAATTTCAGTAACTCTAATATCACACATGATGTATTTTAATTGAGAAAAAATCAAAATGACAACTTTTTAGTGAGGCCCTGATTCAGCACTCATTGTTCTGTGCATTCACAGTTGGCGGTTACCAAGGGGGGGAGCTGTCCAAGAGGATTCTGCTCTCTGCCCTCCAGCTAAAAACAATCCTATAGGCTACTGGTACAAATTAACTTAGACCTCAAGCATATCAATTATTATTTGTCTCAATTCGTGTCTTTTGTAGGCAATTATTTGTCTTCATGCTTCCAAGGATTCTGTTAATCCATGTTGTAACACAATTCTCAGAAAAAAGAAAACTTACCTACAGGACATAGGAAGTTATGCAGAAAATAATTACAAATGTAATCTGGATGTAGAAAGAAAAAAAAGGAAGCAGGAAGCCAAAACATAAATTCTAATTTGTAATTTAAAAAAGGAATACCCTTAATATGACAGCATAGTGAACTTAGAACTAAATAATCATGATTTTTAAAAGTCACGAGACACCAAAATTAGATTGGGGGAGGAGGAACTTACGGATTTTTTGAGGGTGGGGTGGGGAATGTTGTACCACTAAACAGCTATTTGTTTTCTGCAGTGAAAATCATGTGATGGTATATAATCTATTTTGTTTCCAAGAAAACAAGTGAATAGTTAATTACTCTAGACAGAAACATAATTGCATGCACATGCAATCACAGAAAACAGCTCATCTACTTGCCACTCCTTGGCTAATAATAATTTAGTGATGGGCATGTAAGTTATTATGGTCTTTATTTATTTATATTTTGCTAGGGCTGTGGCTCCCTTCCTGGACACTAGCCATTTTGCTCTGTCACAGTCATAAGGAAGGGGTTACATATGACATGTCCTCCGGCTAAAAGCTGTAGTGTGGGTTACTAAAGAAATATTAAGAGCTCCATGTAAAGAATAGGTTTCTTTTACCACTGCAGTTAATTGACATAAACAAATGTTTCCTTTCAACAGAACTTGTCCATTTTCAGTCCCATGTTCTATGCTCCAGTGCTTTTCCAGACTTTGAGACGGTATTGCCTCTCAAATCACAAACATGTTATAAGGCCAGGGGTCATAAAACATATATACGATGAACGGGACCACCTAGACTGTTGTTCAAGAATCCATTTGTGAATTCTTAGGGAATTACTGGGTTCTGTGGAGTGATATGAAGATATTAAACGCTCAGGATTACTAAGAGATCCTGTTACACGAAAACAGAATGATTTCATTTTTGTGGCCCACCTTACTCTGCCAGTTGCACCTATGTAGCTGCACACCTTATGTAGGCCAATGCATGAGCACAGCAGCTCAGCTTTCAGAGCAGCCCTCTCAACCTTGGCTGCACAGGAAACACCTAGGGAGCTTTTCAACAAACAAAACAAAACAAAAACCCAGCATCTAGGCTACACCTGAGACCAATTACCTTGACCCTCAACATGTGGCACCAAGGCAGCAGTACTTTCTATAGACTCCCAGGTGATCCCGGTGCACAGCCAGGGTTGAGAATCCAGCTCTAACTGCATTTGCTTCAGCAATTCGTGAGGAGGTATCAAAGAAGGTAATAAGAAAAAACAAACAAACAAACAAAAAAAACCCCTGGCCCTTGGGCTTATTAGAAAGTCATCAGGCAACTAATGCTCTGCAAAATTCTCTTCAAGCATGTCTGAAAAGAAGAATCTCTCCATAGCAGACTTGTGAATTCTGAGATGCTGGTCAAAGATCCTAACTCTACAGTAAGTAGGAGTGTATGAGTGGTAAGCACATGGGCTTTGGCAGCAGATGGCCAGAGGAAAAAATAAATCCCAACTCCATTGCTTATAGGCTTTGTGATCCTGGGCAACAAAGCTAATATTTCTAAGCTTCTGTTTCCCCACCTGTAAAATAGTACTTGACACTATTAGATTACAGGAGACAAATTCACAGAAAGCAGTTGGAAGAGTTGCTGACACAAAAGGAAGCACTCAGTATTCACTTCATTTTTATGAGCTATTATTTTTTGCAGGAAAAAATAGTCCATAAATAAAGTGTGAAATTCATGTACAATGTTATGAACTTATTTCAGTGATTTTAAAAATCTTACGTGATAAAACACCCTATGTGATAGCATTTGTATTATACTTCAGACGGAACAGTTGCTTATCTATCTTTATGCTTTAAGATTCTAAGTAAAGTTTGGTAAGCAAAGCCTTCTGCAGTTTAAGAAGGAGTTTAAAATCCTTTGGCTTAACATCATTAATTTACTCTTATTGCATAGATTTAAAACACATCATTAGAAATATTTTGGGGCAACGGAATTTTCTACATGAGGCCTCTCTGACAATGTGAATTAGATGGATGCCTGCTATAAATGCAGGTAAAGCTACATGGCCAAGTTTTTGGCTTTCATGTGGTTTATGAGGCAGTTTTGTTTGGCACTGCACTGAGGAAACTCTGCTGACAGTGATAGTGATGCTGATAAGACTAAGGCACAGATTTTAACTGAATTAAAACCACTGGGAACATGATAAGCCTTGACTAGCACAGCGCTAAACGTGGCCTTGAATGTTCAGAAACTTTACAAGGCTTTAATATTTAGGGGAAAAGTTTGATATTCAGTTCCAGTGGAAATATCCTAATTCAGCTGTCCATCACACTCTCAATGAAGATAGAAGTATAATTTATTATTGTTATTACATTAGCTGGTGACTGGAAACACATTACCAATGTACAAATTAGAGTCTCTAATCCTAAGGTAATTATCAGCCAATTTCAGAGTTGTTAACAGGATTAAAATTATGAATACATTAGCTGATTCACCCTTGCAAATCAAATTTTGATTAGATAATACTACATGCTAATATGTATAACATTCAAATGTCATAAAAGGCTTTTTAGTATAAAAACTTTGATAAAATTTTTCAATAATGTATGCAAAGCCAGGGAGAGGGAATGAATGATTGATGGTTTTTCCTTATAAGCCTTATTAAAGGTCCTGATTTGGTTGGTCTCCAACTGTTTTGGCTCAGAATTAGGAATTCTAGTTTTGATGACAGCTCGTGTGCACTGATTAGAAAAACATCTCACAGAGCTATTAATAAGGCAAGTTAATCACTAGAAGCATAACAGTGGATGGAAAATATTTCATACTGAAAGTTCTTGAAGATCCTGCTTTTCAGTTTATTACAGGATATATCTTCTTAAAGAAGCATCATTGAACAGTTAGTACCTACATAAGTACATACTAACTCATTTCACGTAGGTGCTCTGTGAATTCTACCTGTAAGCATAATCCTTCTAGCAACAGTAACAGGCAGTGTAAAATGCAGTCAGGTGGGTGAGTAGTTGGTGAGTATGTAATTGTGACATTTTTCTAATGTCTAAAGAACTTCATTTGTGGTACATCTGGACTTTAAAATACATCACTTCACCTTAAACAAAAGATCGTTGGGTCATCAGGTTTGGTCAGAACAACAGCACAGAATATATTACAGAAATGAAGTCTTACCACATCCCACAAGGAGAAGAGACGTTTGCAATTTTGTTTGTTGGGAACAACCAAGTAATTCCACAAATCATAACCCTGAAGACAGAACATCCTTATACTCCCTTCCATGTAAGCAGACACAGAAGGTGAATTTGGAATTTCAAAGGTAAATGATACATATTGAAAAAGATGATAATACATTTAATGTAGCCAAAAGTTTTAAAAATTGTGCTCAATAGATTTTTCTTTTTAGAATGAGTAAGAAATGCTTTTTTTGAGTGTTTATTCAGGTAACTGAGATAAGGTTCTAGTTTACTATATGGTCTGATTTTAAAAAGGAACAAAAAATCTATTTACTGTATCTTTCTGTAATACAACTTGTACCTGATTCCAGAGGCATCTTTGTTAAACGCAAAGGTGAGCATTTCCCCACACCCCGGCTTAAAATCTTTCCCCATTACCTAAAGAGTAAATCCAAACATCGTGTTACGGTATGCAGGGTCCTACATGAGCTGATCCCGCCAATACTTCTAGCATGCCTCTCACCTTTCCACCACCTCTACTTGCTATGCCAGTGATGTACATATCCCTTACCCATCAGGACATACTCTGCAAATGCTGCACCACGTTCCCAGAACGTGCTCCTGTTTCTTTCTACAGTGCTCCAAAAGATTTCTAAGATTATTTAATTGTGACATATCACTGCATCCCAAAAGAAAAAAATAATGAACTTTTGGCATCAATGGAAATATTCAACTATGGGGATATATGCATTTATACATAAGTTACACATATTTAAATCCTGTGTGAGCAAGCATGTGTTTTTCCAGACTTAACAAACAACAACAAAACTTATCTGTCTTGATCCTATTCATAGACCTAAGGCAAAATAGAAATTACTGTAATAACAAACTCATAGAAATACATGAGCATAATAACAGACTGCGAATAGATTTAGTATTTTTCCATGTTCAGAAAACCAAGTCAGTGTAGCTCATATCCCTACCCTTTTTGTTTTATGGTTCTTGGCAATTCTTTTGATTATTTCTGTTCTCAGGCAGGGCTGCCAAATCCTTTTCTCAGCTCCATCTACTCCACAGTTGAGGTCTCTTCGGTTCCAGCTCTTGCTCTGCTGCCAAGCTCCCCTTCACTGCCTTGGCATCAAAGACGAAATGTGGCCAAGGAAGGAAGCTCCCTAGCCATCAGCATGTGCAGGGCAAATCGGAATTTCCTTAAATCCTTCTCCTTAAAAAGATCAAAGAGAGCATAGCTTTGCATCTTATAGTCCTTTTATTGAGAGTTTGTTTCTGCTTCTATTATGTCTGCCTCCTCCCCTGGTCCTTTTTCTTTATTTCTTCAATTATGTAAGCATAAAGTTGGTTTTTAAGTATGCAAGGACATAAAATACCAAGATTTTTAGTGTCTGTGCTGGCCAGAATGAAAATTAAGAGATCTGATGAGAGCTGAAATAACTGAGTTAGTAATTCTGATAAATATCCTGAACATACACTATGGTCTACAATTGAGTATATTGATTCTTAGAACTTACATTGCTGTGCCACACAGTATCCGAGAGGTTGGTTAAATGTTAGCATGTATTTTAGGCAAAAGGTCAGCAAGTTTCTAACTTTTAAGAAGTTTCTGCAAAATTATATCAGCCTCCCCAAAGGCCACCCCCACTTTTTTTTTTTAAATGATGTAATCAGAACTACTTTTCATTCTCTCAGGGATCCATCTATCTTCTGATAAACTTCCTATCTACTTTTCCAAATCAATGTGACCAGTGTATACTTTGATTAGAATTTCCTGTTTTAGAATCCATTACTTTAAAAACAATTTATAAAGGCAAAAGATTGTGGGATTTGTTCTCCTCAAAGGTATAAAGCACAAAGTGAGGCATTATTAATACTTCTGAACACACGTAACAAAAGAAATCATTCAGCACCATTTCAGCATATTCCCCACTCAGGAGATTCATGCATATTTAAATGAATTAATTTATTTTCTGCAATTTGCTCTTTAAGTGCTTAAGTGCTCATTTGCTGTTGCTTATTTCAAGATTCTGTGCCCTTGTTTTCTGAGTCACCAACTTATAGCTTGAGTGCTCCAGGTGTATTTATGCTCCCAAAGTATTTTAAATTACCCATTAGGAAATCCAATTTCCTATTTATAAGACTCAGAAGTGATTTTCCACTGTTACCTTTTTCTTAATTAAGAATATAGGCCTAAATTCACAGCTAAGTTTTTGGTACAATATTTATTTATTGGCTCTATGACAGTCAATATTATAGAATGTCACCAATATTAGACTCTCAGTCACTTAAGATGGGCTACTCTTGGATTCTATTGGGATTGACATTTTGGGTATCCATAAAAATCATCACCGTAACAACATCCACTACTTACACTGTGTGCCAAGCACTGGACATGCTCTATCTCATTTAGTCCTTTCAACATTCCTATGAAGAGTTATTATTTTCTCTATCATTATTTGTTTTACAGATGAGAAAATATAACTTAGAGAGGTGAAACACAAGGTCACATACCTAGCAAGTAGCAGAACCAATATTTAAAGCCCGCTCCGTCGTCCTTCCAAACTTTATAACGATCCATTTGTGTCTAAGGCATGTGATTGTGTTTTGGCAGGTATAGAAATGACTGACTGAGACCCAACTTCTGCTTTTAAAGACACTCAATAATCTCATTCAATAATTTCAGACAGTGATGATTGCAATAAAGAAAACAAAACAGGGTGATGTGCTGGAGAAGCTTTGTTGGTGGGTTGGTCATGCTAATGCAGATCTGGTTATTAGAAACAACCTCCTTAAAGAAGTAACATCTAAGCTAAGACTCAAAAAATACAATGTGGGACATCCACTGAAAGACAGGAAAAATGGTATTCCAGGCAGAAGGAAAAGCAGGTACAAAGGCCTAAGGCAGAAACTGAAAGGTCACTGAGACTAGAGTTAAGTGAGTGAAGGGAAACTGGCACCTAGGCTGGGGAAGAGAGAACAAACCAGGTCATGAGATGCAGGCAAGAGTGTGGCTTTTATGCTAAATGTGAAGGAAAGCCATTAGAGGGTGCCAAACTGGGGAGTGACATAAGTAAGTTTTATTTTGGCTTCAAAAAGATTGCTCTGGTTGTTTTGCAAAGAATGATTAGACAAAGTGATCAGTAAGGAAGGAGACCACTGCAGGATTCCATGGTAGAGATCACCTAGACTAGGATGGGACTAGGAGATGGAGAAAAGGGAAGAATGAGTTTAAGGATTTGGGTTTGAGCTGTTGGGTAGATGGTGGTTTACTGACATGGGGAAAACTGAACAGGTGAGGCAAAAATCAGGTTGTCGTTTATGGTCACCGGGTTAGACAAGGTTTTTAGGCATTCATTCAACAAAGATTTACTGAACAACTCAGTGCTCTTGAGGGCACTAGAGATAAGTTGTTAACAAAGCAGATGAAGTTTCTATGCTCTAGTTAGCTTACATCCCAGGAATCTTGGTACAAATGGAATAATCAGAGAGGGCAGGAAGGGAACTATGTATTTGAGAAACAATGGCATTTAGATGTATTTAAAGCCATGGGTCATGGTAAGATCATTTAGGGAGAATTTACAGATAAAAAGAAGAAAAGGACCCAGGACCAGACCAAGCAAAGGGACATTTTTTATTGAGAAATGGCGTACGCAAAACATATTTGATGACTTCTAGTTTAAAAACTTGTCTTTTTTTTGAAAATACTGACTGACATGGCAAAGTGACCTCCCCTCTATCCCCTATTGTATTTTTAGATTGCTTAGATACAAGTACAAGAAATTTGTTGATGCGCTACTCTCATTTTCTTCTTCCATTCAATACCCTTTTTCTTTTTTTTTTTTTAATTTTCTTTTTCTATTTTTTTTTTCGAGACAGAGTCTCACTCTGTCGCCCAGGCTGGAGTGCAGTGGCTCGATCTAGGCTCACTGCAAGCTCCGTCTCCCAGATTCACACCATTCTCCTGCCTCAGCCTCCCGAGTAGCTGGGACTACAGGGGCCTGCCACCATGCCTGGCTAATTTTTGGTATTTTTAGTAGAGACGGGGTTTCACCGTGTTAGCCAGGATGGTCTCGATCTCCCGACCTCATGATCCACCTGCCTCGGCCTCCGAAAGTGCTGGGATTACAGGTGTGAACCACCACGCCCGGCCAATACGTTCTTGTTTTCTTTTTAAAGAGATAGAGTCTCACTCTGTCGTCCAGGCTGGTGTGCAGGGGCACGATCATGGCTCACTGCAGCCTCGAACTCCTGGACTCAGGCAACCCTCCCACTTCAGCCTCCCGAGTAGCTGGAACTACAGGTGCACACCACCATGCCTAATTTTTTGTATTTTTGCCCAATACCTTCTTTATTAAAAATTCATTCTTTTGGCCAGGGCACTGACTCATGCCTGTAATCCCAATACTTTGGGAGACCAAGGCAGGTGGATTGTTTGAAGCTAGGACTTTGAGACCAGCTTGGGCCACATAGCAAGATCACATATCTACAAAAAATTATCTGGGCATAGTGGCACATGCCTCTAGTTCCAGTTACTTGGGGAGCTGAGGTGGGAGGATTGCTTGAGCCTAGGAGGCAGATGTTGCAGTGAGCCATAATCGTGCTACCACACTCCAGCCTGGGTGAGAGAGCGAGACCTTGTCTCAGAGAAAAAAATTAATTCATCCGAAAAATTACACAGAAAACCCAACTAACTATAAAACTTGAACCATGAAGCTCTAAATAATTTGTGACTGCCATAACAATTAATGGTAAATCTGTAACAGCAGCTGAATCCATGAGTCACCTTCAGATGAGGGGGAAAGCACATACAATTTCCATAACGCTGATTCTAACTCCACAGGTTTCTTTTCAGTTCAAGGAAGTACACTAAATTGACAGTGAGAGGCATGATTTTTAGGAGTAAATTTTAATCTGCTTTAATGAGTTTTTAAAAACTCAGTCAAAATCATGAGTACTTACACTTAGTTACAGAGTACTTGGGGCCTAATTGACAAGTGATTGAGACATATTGTGGCACTTGAGAACCGCTGCCCAAGGGCAGGCTTGCCCACAGTCAGGGCCTCCAGTCCACTCTGCCCACTATTTCCTACTACAATTCTGCTAGAGGGAAATTCAGAACTGAAAAATACTTTATGTTCAACATAGTTTAGTCCATGTTGTGGTTCAAAATGTAACCCACTCTCCTTGATAAGTATTTTAAACTTTCTAAATCCTACCCTTAACCCAGTGCCTTATCCCCGATGCTGTGGTCTCTGTCTTGGTAAAGACTCTTGCCACCTATCAGTTCTGTCATCTCTGAGTGTCTTCACCTTCATACCTAACTCATCATCTCTCATTTCGTTGTCTCTACTTTCAAAGGTGGAGCTAAACACACTTTTCTCGAAGGGCTCCCATCCCCAGTCTGAATTCCATCTTCCATCTTGAGGAATACCACTTCCACACTTCACCCATCCTTTCCCCGTTTCTTCCATCTCTCCCTGGATCTCTGGAGTTTCCTGGTCCTTTTGATCTTTCAACATAAGTAGACTCCTTTCATCTTGGACATAAAGGCCTTCTTGATAATGAAGCCTTCACATGTATATATCTTCTCATATCACTGATAAACTTCTTTTTAAAAGTTTAATTTCCTGCCATTGTGCTTTCAGTATGTTTTTAATACCTCCTTAATGAATAGAAATCTGGCTTCTGTTCCTACTATGCTATTACTCCTCTGCATTTTTAAGAGTGACCAATGCATTTCTTTAGTAAAAATCCAACAATTTTAATCTCTTTTACATAAGATCCAACTTATTAATCCCTCTTTCAATGATAGCTTAATTCTTGGCTAACTTCTTCCTGGCCTGCTCACCGTTCACTCTTTGCCTTTTGTTTTTTATATAGGATCTGCTATTTTTTTTTTTTTTTTTTACTAATCTGTAAATATGACAGTTTCCCAGGGCTAAGTAACCCCTTTAGTTACTTCTTCTAGTTAACAATGACAGAGAAATGTGTAAGATCTGAATATTTAAAAGCAGCAACCCTGATAAGAAATCCTATTATTAATCAATGCCAATTAAGCATCTAATATTAAGGATTTACTAACTACGATGAGCAAAACATGAAGGGCCTATAAACTAAAAGAGTATACAACCTAGTTATGTAGATAAAACATACAAAATAACTGGAACAAACATAAACCCACCTTTTACATATGTGTAACACCATTACGAATGCCTGTTGGAAACAGTAGAGTAAGGTGAACTAAGATTTTTCTGTTTTCTTTCTTTTTGCAAAGCAAATATTACAAGTTTCATGAATGAGGACACAATAATGCAAGAACCAATTTCATTTGCCTTTGTTTTTACAATGATGTCTGCTCTCAAATAAGAGTTCTGTACAATTTTCAGCATCTAAAAGGAGAATGAATCTAAATGAAATGCTTTAGACCTTGACTCACGCTCAGAGCAGTAAAGAAATGAGTCAGAAAAAAACATCCTAGGGAGCAGAGGATGCATTTAAAACTCCAAATCCCCCGAAAGGCAATAATTTCCAAAAATTCCTCCACTGCCACTCCCTAGGTAAGCCCCTGTCTGGACACACACAGAGACACACACACATACACTCACTCAGACTCAAAAACCCTCTTTTGTAATAGGCACATTTTTGGATCGTATTACTTTAAACCATATCAACTTCTGGCAGGGTTTGCAAGTATTTTTACCCTTAAAATGGAACTTATCCTTCATTCTTCTAATTGCTTTAAAAGTTATAATAAAGAACTCTTGCTTGAACATTTTTTACCATAGCACAATTAGTTCCGTGTCCCATTACAGAACTCGTGTGGGTAAAATGCACTTGCTGATTTTAAAAAGGTGGTTAATTACATAAAATATGCAAAGGTACTATTCTGGATGACTAGGAGGGGACACAGAAGACAAGCACCAAATTCTTGAGGCAAATCCATTCTAGTCAAGGGAATAAGAAATATACACAAATAATGATGCTATTTATATGGAAGAGTTACATGGTATACTTTAGGAATTCAAAGGAAAGAGAAATTGCATTTAGTTATAAAAGCTTCATGAAGGATGTGATCTGAAATGGCCCTTGTAGATGAGTAACATTTGTGCAGGGGGAGACGTTAAAGGGAGAACACATTCTGAGAATACCAGGGGGTGAGGTCATGTATTATGGGGAAAATGGAATATGTGTTGGACCTCAAATGCTTTTAATAGGCTCTCAGGAGGAGAGGATAAAATAGTACAATTCTATTACTGAGAATAAAGAAGAAAGACTAATGCTAGAGATGAAAAAGATTTTGAGATAGTTTAGTTCAAAGTTACTCATTTTAAAGAAAGAGAGCTACATAGTAAGGATAGGGGAGAACAGAGCGCATATTTATATCACCATTGCAGCAGCAGGGGATGAGGAGGAGAAGGCTGCCAGAGCTAGCTCTGTCCTCATTCACTTTGTCCTACAAGCACAAGCCAGACTTCTCCTCCCTTTGGTACTGCACCCACCTATAGGGAATGAGCCTCATTTATTAAATTTATATGGTAGTTGGCATGTACCATGGCAGCAGGAAATGGCATCTCTTCACTGTTATCTCTAGAAAATCAGCATTTGGTGGGATACAAGTTAGTGAAAACACCACAAGTTTCAATTTACATTTTTCTTAATTGTATGTCAGATTTCAATTGTCCACAATTTGTTTCTCTCTCCTGGCAGACTTTCCACTTGTACACTGCACATAACTAATTTCTTAAAGGTTAAGATAAAAATTAGTTATCATCTGTAGTTGTTTAAGAAAAGAGAGTCTGAAAGCATTCTTTTTTCCTAAGCACATGAAGACACACACACACACACTTTTTTCCTAAACACGTTTTTCCCTTTTTCCTAAGCACATTAAGACACACACACACACACACACACACACACGAAAAACCGGATTTAGAGATAGATAGTTGCGAGGGAAAACTTGTTAATTTGAAATTAAATGTGTCCAGAAAATAGGTGAGTGGCAAAGGCTGCTGTGCTTCTCCAGAAGTGAAACCTTGCAATTAAGATGAGAAGACAGCCCAAGTGTGACGCTGGCGCTGGAGCGGCCGGGGGATCTCAACACGGCTAATGAATCATCATCAAAGTGATTTATTGACTGCGGCCAGAGCTTCAACTCTGTCTCAGTGTAAATGAGGAATAATAATAATTTCCCAGTACTCGCTTGGCTGTGAACTTCTAAAGAGTGAGAACCTTCAGCAGGAGATGATAAACTGTAGTGATGCCATAGGACGTCTTCTTCCACAATGTTCAAAGCCACTGTCATACAGTGAACTACATCTCATAAAACCGACAAGAGACGGGTATGCACAACGCGATGTCATCCCAACACAGCTTCCAAGCAAAAGTCCCCTGAGTCTCATCCTATTACAGCTTCTCATGGGGACCGTTCATTGCTGCCACACAGGAATGTAAGGAGGAGAGGGATGCCTCCTTAGAATATCAAGCTCCTGACATTTAGGATCTGGACTCACGCGCTTCTCTGTGGCTTCAGCGACCATGGTTTTCAAACCAAAAGAAACCTTGGATACCATCTATCATCATATATACAATCAGTCCTCTTTGTATATATGAAGAATCCATGTTACTTGTAGTACCATTTAATTCATTAGTTACAGAGTCAGACTTTGAACCCTATTGTCATCTTCCCTCCTCATTATGAATTGAAGTAAACAGATACATACTTTGTTTCTGCTACATTTTAAGGAACAGTCAAGGTATAAATTACATACAGAGAAGGTAAGTTATATATTATGCAATAATCTCCAGAGATTTTTTTTTGTCAAGATGTTTAAAGCACTGATTTGAGTGGGAGCTAACACTGAGTACACACGGACACAAAGAAGGGAACCAGAGACATCGGGCCTACTTGAGGGCAGAGGGTGGGAGGCGGGTGGGAGGCGGGTGGGAGGAGGGTGAGGATTGAAAAACTGCCTATCGGGTACCATACTTACTACCTGGATGACAAAATAATATGTATAGCAAACCCCCCAACATGTAATTTATCTAGAGAGCAAACCTGCCATGAACCCTAAAGCTAGAAGTCAAAAAACAAAAAAAATTAAAAAGGCATGGATTTGTTCTTGTTTTTGGCTCTTATAATATTCTCAAAGCCAGAGGATCTTTACCCTCTCTTGCTAGTTCAATCCTACTCTTTTCTCTGGAATGGAAAGAAAATACTGTATAATTCCCTGACGCACCCCTTTAGCTTGGGAATTTACCTGCTCTCCATGTAACCTATGCCTTGATTTTCCTTGAAGTATAGCTATATATGCATATAGCTATGCAAATACTTCACTACTATTTGGGATACATGGGTATATGTAAAAGGTCTCTGATGCAGATACTTCTATTTTGGTCTCCATAATGGGCATTTCTCCAGTTTGATCTCCCCTCCTTTTAATTTAAACCTAGTGTTCTCCAAATATTTTTAGCTTTTTTACAGTTTGATCTCCAAACAATCTAGAGGACAAAGTGGTGGCTCACTGCTGAAAAAGCCCTGCATGCAGTGTAAACCTCCTGCAGCCTTGTCTTCCTAGCTCTATTAACATTGTTCTTTTTCACCCTTTAATCTTTAGACACTCAAAAACACTGTTTTAACCATTTATTCCCCTTTGTGGATGCTAAATATATCTTTTTTCTTCCCTCGAATCCTTACCACAAATTCTTGGAGAACCACGATGAATGCTAACAATTTATAATTACCCTAGAAATCAGATATCACAGTAAGCCTAAGTTACACTTAAATTACACACTACAAATCTACTAGCTTGTGCACTTGTGGTTCATGGAGTGGAAAGGAATCTCTTGGATGGTGCCTGAAACCTGATTTTAACTGCTAAGATGTTTGCTATCTTGTTTGTCTTTGAGCCGGCCCAATTTCAGAAAAATTTCATTGTCATTTAGAAAAATGACTTGGAAATAGGCTATTTCACTACTACCACATCCAACGATTTTAAAAATGGTTATGTAAATAACTAATGATGAATCCATTTTATGTATATAGAGGACTAGGTTAGAAAATATGAACTTAGACAATTCATCTGGCATCTTGTGTCTCATCTTGTTTTCTCATCTATAAAATGGGGATGATAATACTTCACATTTAAAAAAGGTTGATATTATACCAGAATGAGAATGAGTATAGAGATACAACAGGTAGGAGATACATGAAAGACTTATTCAAGATTTAAAGTATTGTTATTTGGAACCAGCAGAAAATTATATCCAGTGTGCCATTCCCAGAGCAAAAGTTTATTCACCTGCACCCTTGATTCTTTCTCTACAACTCATGTAATCACCAAAAGTTATTGCTTTCTTGTCTCAGTGTATTAACTGGATGGTTGAATGCACAGAGCTCACATCTGAATCAGCACAAAACTGAAACCCAGAGGAGGGGAAATAGAAAGGGAGTCGGGCTTACACTGAAGTCATTCTCATCACTCAACGTGCCCACGCAAATACTGGGAAATCAACTCATTTAAACAACTTGGGAGGCAAGCTTGGGTTATAATAATGTTCTTGAATGCAGGTCAGTGAAAAATTGGCCTGCACACAAATTCCCACTTGTCATATTCTCTACAAATGCACATTGATTGTTTTCATATTTAAATGCCCAGAATCAACCACAACAAATGTGTCAGGTTGTTGCGAGTTTTTTAAAAAACAAAACAGGATGAACTATGGCATATGGTAAATTATTGTGGGTTCCTTGTGCTCTCAGCAGAATCACAAAAGGGCAAGGACTTAAGAGAAATCATTTGTGTCTGGTTCAAATCCTACAACATAGAAAATGGAACTGGAGCTGAGTTAATGAAATATATTATTAAATCCCAGTTTGTAGTTGGCTGTGTGTCATTAGTCTTATATGCCTGAAAAATGTAGTATTTGCTTACAAGTAGAATACTATACAGTCTTCAGAATGACATAATCTAAAAAGTAATCTTGTTTTTCCGTGTATTTTTCTCTATAGACAAATAATATCTCCTGCTAATCAACCCCCTCCCCACACTTTGCCTTCTTCATAAAAGCTAGGTCCGAGAGCTTCCCACGATTGCCAGCTGGTGCAATCATTCCTCAATGCTAATACTCGGAACTCATCAAAGGTGGCAGTTTTGTGGTCTATAATCCCCAACTGACCAAATCTCATACGTAATAAAAAACCTAAACTTGTATTATATCAGAGTGTAGGTATATGCGGGTGTGGAAGGGGGAGGAGTAAGAGTGATAGCCATGTAAGTAGTCCACCAGCAGTTTAATGGTGTATGTGTGCTCAGAGAAGTCATTGATAATAAGGACCTTTAGAGTCCTGAGACTCTGATAACATGCGGCCAGAAAGGCAACAAAAACAGGAGGGAGAAAGTTTTGACTCTTTCTTGTTGCCTTTACAGCCACATGTTTTTAGAGTCTCGGGAATTTTATTTCCACATCAGATTGCTGCCTGTTATTGGTATAAAGTATCAGTCTCTCGTATAAGAACAACTTAAAAAGGCTAAAAACAGAAAAGACATGCAAAAAGGCTGGGAAACATATGTCTAAGAAGAGACTGGATAAAACCTGCCACAGAGTGAAGAGTGAGCTCTAGCCTAAGTAAACCTGCTGACTTCCTTCCTGGTTCTGAAGCATCAAAATACACACGTGGCAAAACTTACTACAATTTTGGAGAACAGTAACTACATTGAATGGAAAAGGTAGACCTCATTCCCTGTTGAGGGCATCAAATAAATCCTACTTGCAAAATTTGTTTTGTTTATGTCTTGATTCTTAACTGCAAGTTACCTGAGGCAAGATGAATGACAACACTAAGTTTTTCAAATAGAATACAATTATATACCGTTTTTATACATCGATTCAATTGTACAGATTCAATGGCATATAATTGTATTCAAGAAGTATTATTTTAGAAAATCACTGGATTACTATCTGATATAGTAGGCTGAATAATGGACCACTAAAAAGTCCTCAATTGTAATCCCCGGAACCTGCCAATATGCTACTTACATGGCAAGAGGAACTTTACAGATGTGATTAAGTCTGATTAATCTGATTAGTCTTGGGACGGGATTATCCTTGGCTATCCAGGTGGTCCTAGTGTAGTCACAAGTTCCTTAAAAGAAGAAGGCAGAAGACTCAGAGTCAGAAAAAAAAAAAAAAGTGACACCAGAAAGAGAGGTCAGAAAAAGAGGGAGAGAGATTTGAAGCTGCTATGCTGCCAGTCTTGAGGATGGAGGAAAGGGTTAGGAGCCAAGAAGTGTGGGTGGCCTTTAGAAGCTGGAAAGGGTTAGAAAAAACTTCCCTCTTGCAGCTTGCAGGAGGAATGAAGCTCTGCCAATGCTTGTATTTTAGTCTCATGAGACTCATTTTTGACTGTCCTCCAAACTGTAAAATCATGACTTTGTGTTGTTTTAGGCCACTAAGTTTGTGGTAATTTGTTACAGCAGCAATAGGGAACTGATAAATCTGAAAACTTACATCATGAAAATTTTAACAAATATTGTCAATTTTTTTCATCTACCTATCATCAAACAACACCCATTCTAAGTCTGTCTGTTATCTCTCTATCTATTTATCTATCTTCAAATATACTGTCAAACATAAAAAATTTTCTACACTGTAAAATTCCCTCTATGTCACGTACCCCACATTCTGTATCTTGCCTGCCAACTCTACTTTAATTGGGTTGTTCCTGCTGCCTTGCTGACTTCCCCAGTTTCTCTCTTGAATACCTCAACTTGAAGAGCAAATCTCAGTATTATCCTGATACTAAAACCAGACAAAGACATCACATGAAGAGAAAGCCACAGAACAATACCTGTTAGGAATATGGATGCAAACATCCTCAACAACATAGTCAGAAACCAAATCCAGCAACATATAACAGTAATGATACATTATGACCAAGTGGGATTTATTCCAGGGATGCAAGTTTGATTTAATATCTGAAATTCAATTAATGTAAAACATATCAATAGAAGTTTTAAAATCAAATGTTCATTTCAACAGATGCAGAAAGATACAAAATCCAACACACTTTCATGATATAACCACTCAACAACTGGAAATAGCAAAGAACCCCCTTAATCTAATAAAGGACATCTATGAAAAGCCCACAGTTAACATCATTCTTAAGAACAGAAAACTAGATGCTTTCTTCCTAAGATCAGGAACATAACAAAGATGTACACTCTCAACACTTTTATTCAATATTGTACCTGAGGTTCTAGCGAGGACAATTTGGCAAGAAAAAGGAAGAAAATGCATCCAGATTTGAAAAGAAGTAAAAGTACTTCTATTTGCAGAAATCATGATCTTGTATATAGAAACTCCTAAGAAATCTGCTAAAAATCCATTAGTCTTAAGGAATAAGTTCAGCAAGGTTGCAGGATACAAGATAAATTGCAGAAATCAATTGTATTTCTATACACTTGGAATTAAACCCAAAATAAAATGAATTCCATTCACTACAGCATAAAAACAATACTAAATAATGTAACAAAAGAAGTATACAACTTGTACTATTTAAAAAGAACATGAAAAGAAATTAAATGAGATCTAAATAAATGAAAAGCATTCCATGTTCATGGATTAGAAGACAACATTGTTAAGATGGTTATACTCTCCAAAATACTCTACAGAATCAACACAATCTCTATTAGAATCCTAGCTATAACTTACACAAAATTACTTAAATATAAAAATTAATTCAACACAGATCCAGAACCTAAATGTAAGCACAAAACTGTACATTCTTAAAAGAAAATGTAAGTTTTCATGACATTGGATTTGACAACCAATTCTTAGATATGATGCAAAAAGCATAAGTAACAAGTGAAAAAAATAAGACTTTGTCAACAGTAGTTTTTCTTTTTGCTTTAAAGAACACCATTAAGAAAGCAAAAAGAGCCCACAAAATGGAAGAAAATATTTTCAGATCATATATCTGATAAGGGACTTGTATCTGGAATACATAAAGAACTCTAACAACTCAATGATTAAAAGACAAATAGCTCAATTAAGAAATGGCTAAAGAATCTGCATGAAAGGTATACAAATGGCCAAGAAGTACTTGAAAATACATTCCACATCATTATTCATCAGGGAAATGCAAATCAAAACCACAATGAGATATCACTTCACACATGCCAGATTGGCTAGAATCAAAAAGTGAGATAAAAATAATAAGTGTTGGCAAGGACATGGCAAAATTGGAACTCTCATACACTGTTGGCAGGAATAGAAAATGGTGTAGTCCCTTTGGAAAACAGTCTGGAAGTTCTTCAGCAATTAAAGATACAATAATGCCCAGAAACTCTACTCCTAGGTATATACCCCTCAAAAATGAAGACATGTCTACACAGAAATTTGTACATGAGTATCTATAGCAGCATTACTTGCAATAGGCAAAAGGTGGAAACAATTCAAATGCCCATTAATTGACAAATAGATAAAATGTGGTATAACCATATGGTGGAATATTATGCAGCCATGTAAGTGAATGAAATACTGACAAATTTCTACATTGATGAACCTTAAAATGTTATGCTAAGTGAAAGAAGTCAGTCACAAAAATCCCTATATTACATGATTCAATTCATATGAAAGACTAGAATATCTAGAGATAGGAAATAGAGAAGTAGTTGCTTAGGGCTAGAGCAAAAAGGCATGGGGGGGATGTGAGGGTGACAGCTAAAGGATACATGGTTTCTTTTTGAAAAGATGAACTTTCTAAATTTGTCTGGTGATGACTGTACACATATTTTAATACACTAAATCCAATTTTTTTTTTTTTTTTTTTTTGAGACAGAGTCTTGCTCTGTCGCCCAGGCTGGAGTGCAGTGGCATGATCTCGGCTCACTGCAAGCTCTGCCTCCCGGGTTCAGGCCATTCTCCTGCCCCAGCCTCCCGAGTAGCTGGGACTACAGGCGCCCGCCACCATGCCCGGCTAATTTTTTGTATTTTTAGTAGAGACGGGGTTTCACTGGGTTAGCCAGGGTGGTCTCGATCTCCTGACCTCGTGATCTGCCCGCCTCGGCCTCCCAAAGTGCTGGGATTACAGGCGTGAGCCACCGCGCCCGGCCTACTAAATACTATTGACTATACATGTTCAATGAGTGAATTGTATGATATGTGAATTATATCTCAAAAAATGTTTAAAAAAAACATATCATTTCGTTCTAGCTTAGTCTACTAGAACTAGAATCAATGCTTGCCTCCTAGAAGATCATACCGGTCTGATTCCTCTTGCTTACCTTGGCTCAAAGTCATGGCCATGATCCTTTTTAGACAAAGATAGCATAGCATAGCTCTTTGTGAGACCTCTTCCCAGTACACAAATACGGAAGTGACATAACCAGCCCTTTGTTTCCAGGGCTACCCCTGACCTCTACTTGGAAGTTAAATGGTATTTTGCAATAACAAAATACACTTTTTTAAAAAGACCGCAACAGCTTGTGATCCTTAAAATATCATGAGTGACTGCAATTTGGTTTGTTAACAAATAGTTTTTAAAAGGTAAAATAATGGCTCATACAAATATAAAATGAACATGACAGATATTTTATTTAAGTCATTAATTAATGAGAAAACCTGTAAATAAAAAAAAAAACTGCTTCAAGGAGACTCTACAAAGGACAGACACATCTACAGATAATTGGGAATGCTGACATGAGTTTGCTAATGAATAGGAAACTGGCCAATTCTATAGGGTGAGAATCCACTGCATTTTAACAGAACAAAAGCTCATTTGACTTATACAAACAGTAATCATTTACATTACAATCAGCCCCTTACAAGTTAGCTTCTAACTAAACAGAGTTGTAAAATAATCAAAAACAATGAAGGGCTTAAGTTTCCTATAGAATCAGATAACCCTGAAAGGATCTTTTAGAGACCAGGCCTAACAATCCATCAGAAGACATTCAGGAATCTTTCTGTTTCGTATTTTTCACTGTTCACTTTTATTTTAGGTTCAGGGGTACATGGTCAGGTTTGTTGTATAGGTAAACTGCATTTTATGAAGGTTTGGTATACAGATTATTTTATCACCTGGGTAATAAGCATGGCCCCTGATAGGTATTTTTTCTGATCCTCTCCCTAATCCCACCCTCAAGTGGGCCCCAGTGTCTACTGTTCCACTCTTTGTGTTCATGTATTCTCATTGTTTAGCTCCCACTTATAAGTGAGAATACTTCGTGCGTTATTTGGTTTTCTGTTCCTACATTAGTTTGCTTTGGATAATGACCTCCAGCTCCATCCATGTTAATGCAAAGGACATGATCTCATTCTTCTTAATGGCTGCATAGTGCTCCATGGTTTATATGTATCACATTTTCTTTTCTTTTTTTTTAAAAAAAAAAAACAAACTTTTCTTTTAGGTTTAGGGGTACATAATGAAGGTTATATAAATAAACACATGTCATAGGGGTTTCTTTTGCATATTATTTCATTACTCAAGTACTAAGCCAAGTACACAATAGTTATCTTTTCTGCTCCTCTCCCACTTCCCACCCTCCCCCTTCAAGTAGACATCAGTGTCTATTGTTTCCTTCTTTGTGTTCATAAGTTCTCATCATTTAGCTCCCACTTATAAGTGAGAATATGTGGTATTTGGTTTTCAGTCCCTGTGTTAGTTTGCTAAGGATAATAGTCTCCAGCTCCATCCATCATGTTCCCACAAAAGACATGATCTTGTTCTTTTTTATGGCTGCATAGTATTCCATGGTGTATATTTATCACATTTTCTTTATCCAATCTACTGTTGATGGGCATTTAGGTTGATTCCATGTCTTTGCTATTGTGAATAGTGCTGCAATGAACATATGCATGTGTCTTTATGACAGAAACATTTATATTATTTTGGGTATTTATTCAAAAATAAGATTACTGGGTCAAATAGTAATTCTGTTTTAAATTCTCTGAGGAATTTCCACACTGCTTTCCACAATGGCTGAACTAATTTACACTTCCTCAGCAGAGTATAAAGCATTCCCTTTTTTCTGTGACCCTGCCAGCATCTTTTATTTTTTGACCTTTTAATAATAGTCATTCCAACTGGTGTGAGATGGTATCTCACTGTGGTTTTGATTTGCATTTCTCTAATGATTAGTGGTGTTCAGCATTTTTTTAATATGCTTGTTGGCCACATGTATATCTTCTCTCGAAAAGTGTCAGTTCATGTCCTTTGTCTACTTTTTAACAAGGTTGTTTGTTTTTTGCTTGGAATACAGCTAACCATTCACAATTGCTTCAAAGAGAATAAAATACCTAGGAATCCAACTTACAAGGGACGTGAAGGACCTCTTCAAGGAGAACTACAAACCACTGCTCAAGGAAATAAAAGAGGATACAAAGAAATGGAAGAACATTCCATGCTCATGGGTAGGAAGAATCAATATCGTGAAAATGGCCATACTGCCCAAGGTAATTTATAGATCCAATGCCATCCCCATCAAGCTACAAATGACTTTCTTCACAGAATTGGAAAAAACTACTTTAAAGTTCATATGGAACCAAAAAAGAGCCCACATCGCCAAGTCAATCCTAAGCCAAAAGAACAAAGCTGGAGGCATCACACTACCTGACTTCAAACTATACTACAAGGCTACAGTAACCAAAACAGCATGGTACTGGTACCAAAACAGAGATATAGATCAATGGAACAGAACAGAGCCCTCAGAAATAACGCTGCATATCTACAACCATCTGATCTTTGACAAACCTGAGAAAAACAAGCAATGGGGAAAGGATTCCCTATTTAATAAATGGTGCTGGGAAAACTGGCTAGCCATATGTAGAAAGCTGAAACTGGATCCCTTCCTTACACCTTATACAAAAATTAATTTGAGATGGATTAAAGACTTAAACGTTAGACCTAAAACCATAAAAATCCTAGAAGAAAACCTAGGCATTACCACTCAGGACATAGGCATGGACAAGGACTTCATGTCTAAAACACTAAAAGCAATGGCAACAAAAGCCAAAATTGACAAATGGGATCTAATTAAACTAAAGAGCTTCTGCACAGCAAAAGAAACTACCATCAGAGTGAACAGGCAACCTACACAATGGGAGAAAATTTTCCCAACCTTCTAATCTGACAAAGGGCTAATATCCAGAATCTACAATGAACTCAAACAAATTTACAAGAAAAAAACAAACAACCCCATCAAAAAGTGGGCAAAGGACATGAACAGACACTTCTCAAAAGAAGACATTTATGCAGCCAAAAAACACATGAAAAAATGCTCACCATCACTGGCTATCAGAGAAATGCAAATCAAAACCACAATGAGATACCATCTCACACCAGTTAGAATGGTGATCATTAAAAAGTCAGGAGACAACGGGTGCTGGAGAGGATGTGGAGAAATAGGAACACTTTTACACTGTTGGTGGGACTGTAAACTAGTTCAACCATTGTGGAAGTCAGTGTGGCGATTCCTCAGGGATCTAGAACTAGAAATACCATTTGACCCAGCCATCCCATTACTGAGTATATACCCAAAGGACTATAAATCATGCTACTATAAAGACACATGCACACGTATGTTTATTGCGGCACTATTCACGATAGCAAAGACTTGGAACCAATCCAAATGTCCAACAATGATAGACTGGATTAAGAAAATGTGGCACATATACACCATGGAATACTATGCAGCCATAAAAAATGATGAGTTCATGTCCCTTGTAGGGACATGGATGAAATTGGAAATCATCATTCTCAGTAAACCATCTCAAGAACAAAAAACCAAACACCGCATATTCTCACTCACAGGTGGGAATTGAGCAATGAGAACACATGGACACAGGAAGGGGAACATCACACTCTGGGGACTGTTGTGGGGTGGGGGGAGGGATAGCTTTAGGAGATATACCTAATGCTAAATGACGAGTTAATGGGTGCAGCACACCAGCATGGCACATGTATACATATGTAACTAACCTGCACATTGTGCACATGTACCCTAAAACTTAAAGTACAATAATAATAAAATAAAAAATAAAAAGATCTCTACAATGACAATTGCAAAACATTGCTCAAAGAAATCAGAGATGACAGAAACAAATGGAAAAAGATTGCATGCTCATAAATAGGAAGAATCAATATTGTTAAAATGGCCATACTGTCCTAAGCAATTTAGAGATTCAATGCTATTCCTATTGGACTACCAATGATATTCTTCACAGAATTAGAAAACACTATTTTAAAGTTCTTATGGAACCAAACAAATAGCCTGAATAGCCAAGGCATTCTTAAGCAAAATGAACAAAGCTGGAGACATCGCCTGACTTGAAGCTATGCTACAAGGGTACAGTAACCAAAACAGCATGGTACTGGTACAAAAACAGACACATAGACCAAAGGAACAGAACAGAGAGCCCAGAAGTAATACCACACACCAATAATCATCTGATCTTCAGCAAAGCTGACAAAAACAAGCAATGGGGAAAAGACTCCCTATTTAATAAATGGTGCTGGGGTAGCTGGCTAGCCATATGTAGAAGATTGAAACTGGACCCCTTCCTTACACTACATGCAAACATCAACTCAAGATGGAGTATAGACTTAAATGTAAAACCTAAAACTATAAAAATCCTGGGGATAACCTAAGAAATACCATTCTGGACACAGAATCCAGCAAAGATTTCATGACGAAGACACTAAAAGGAATTGCAAAAAAACCAAAAATTGATAAATGGGACCTAATTAAACTAAAGAGCTTCTGCAGAGCAAAAGAAACTGTCAAGAGAGTAAATAACCTACAGAAAGGGAGAAAATATTTGCAAACTATGCATCTGACAAAGGTCTAATATACAGAGGCTATAAGGAACTTAATTTTCTATTCGATTTGATCTATCAAATTTCATCAGTTCTAACATGGATATTTTCCTATATCTGCAATTATAATCAGTATATTTTTTCTTAGTATACATAAAATAATACACATCTTACAATCAATGGCATCGTAAATGTGATAAAATGCAATCATTTCACCAACTCGTTAACTCGAGAAAAGGGTTTGGGGGTGGAAGACCTCAGCTAGCATCTATTTTAGGAAGGACCAGAGGGGAAAAGATTGCCAATGCCAATTTTATTGTCACCTTTGATCTGTAATGCATCTTTTTTTTTTCTGGAAAAATGTTTTAACATATTTAATTCAATTCAGAGTAAGTTATTGATTATAGAAGACTTACAGTATGAAAGACATCGTCCTTGACTCAGACAAGAAATACTGATGTCACAGTTTCAGAGTGTCTTTTTTAAGCACTGGTCTGCAAAATCAATAATTAATATAATAACAAAGACATCTAAAAACACAAAACATCTCACACATTAGTGGCACTAGCTCACAAGAGGTTATAACCTAAGTGGGAATAGCTATAGCTATACTATGACAACTGCCTACAATCACTTTGTGAGTTGCAGTGGAGTGAGAATTAAGAGCATTTCTCACTGAAAATGCATTATTAGCAAGTGTAATTTTACAGATGCATGAACTGTTCCCTTGTTAGGCTGACACTTAAAAATTTTAATAGAAAACTCCTGCAGAAAACCATGGTACCTGTATATGCTTATTACAGCTTTTTTATTTTCATAGAGATGAAAAATCTTTTCAAACTGTTTTCTCATAATTTCTCTCTTTCAAAACTCTTTCCCCTAGGTTAAAAGAGTTGAGTCTCTTTTAGTCAATGCTGAGAAGTTATTTCCTTGTAATTTACTTCTATATTTCTTTGAAAGAAACGTAAAAGAAAGAACAATGAATACATAATTTCAATCTCAATATGAGTGCTATATAAAGGGGCCTGGGCAAATGGAAGGCAACTCCATTTAATATTTTCCTTAGGCAAAAGTGTAGAAAAGTTAAAAGTTCTGTCCGTCAGAATTTCACTTTTCTTGCCATTACTTTCCATTCTGTGCCATTATCTTCTCTTTCATATCACCTTTGCTTTCCCATGTAGTTACCTTCCTCCTATCTTCTCTTTATCCCAAATTTACATTCTCTTTATTCCAAATTTAAATTTTTTAAACATCAACTTATTTTATATAAGTCCTTCACTTACTAATTGGAAAGAAAGATAAATAGTATTGAAGACTTGATTTCAAATTTTGAGTGCATTAATCCATAATTATGTAAATTTAGGACAATTAGAGATTTTAATTACTATTTCCATATCTGAAAAATACAGACAATCCAACCTGTCACACAGACCTATTGTAATATTTAAAAGACTCTTTAAAAATGTGAAATATCATATGAACATTAATATTACAATTCTGATTATTGTTCCCATCCTTTGTGAAAAGTCAAAAACTTCTGGAAATACCTCAAACCCATACATAGAGTATACTGCCACTTGACTGTATAGGTATTACATGGAATATCAACCTAAATACACCCTGCTAAATTCACCAGGATTATCTAGGAAGGAAACCCAACTTTGAGCTATTAACACCCATTAACACAAATTTATAAATCAGATTAAGTAGCTATCTCCTGGCAGGAGACTGAAAGACTGGAGTAGTTTTAGTAAATTATTGAAGAGAATCTTTGTTCTGGGAATATGTAGAGTATGGAACATGGCTGAGTAGGGAGACAAGGGGAATGGGGAGGATGAAGCTATCATGAGGCAGAAGCCAGTGTGCTGGGTTCTGAAAAATATACAAGAAGGGGCAGAATTCTAGGGTTAATGATTAGGATGAGCAGTGGCTCCATTTAGAACTTCAAAAATCAGTGTAAGACTGGAATTCAGATTTCCCAAAGGTGAAAATATGAGTGTTGGAATGTTTACAATAATGATTTGTATGTTTCCATGAGTTAAAGTTTGAATAGAGTCACTTCAAAATATAATTGTGGCCTCTGAAAAACCTTGCCAGAGCCTTTGCTGTTAACTTTTCCCCTTCAGAGGGTTCCCTGATGCTACTCTTGTCCTACTCAAGCAACCTCAACTAGGAGATGTGGAAGATTTCCATTCTGGCCATATGGTAGCCCATATATCCTGAAATTCTCCTGATACCAGACTCTTAGACATAATACATAACTTATTATAAATGTTCTGTAACTAACATGCTAAGCTCACAAGAAAATAAACTCTTCAGTGGTATAAAATTGAAGGAGCTGGAAAACAGGGCACCTGCACAGAGAATGTTCGCTTCTTTCCTTAACTAAGATGCCTTTCTTTTCAGATACATGTCAATCAAGAGTCAACATGTTGGGCCTCGATAAAGTAGAGTTAGGACTGAGGTTCTATATAAATTCACTGCTACGTCTTTAACAGAAGGGTAGACTTGTGTCTTAGTCTGTTTGGGTTACTCTAATAAAATACCATAAACTAGATAGCTTACAAACATCACAAATTTATTGCTCACAGTTCTGGAGGTGGAGAACTGCAAGATCAAGGTACCACGGATTTGGCATCTGGAACTCCAGATCCATTGCCTGGTTTATAGATGGTACCTTCTTACTGAGTGGTGGAAGAGGCAAGTGTCTCTCTCAGGCCTCTTTTATAAGGGCATTAATCCCATTCACGAGGGTTCATGATCTACTCACCTCCCAATGTCTCCTCCTCCTGATAATATCACATTGATGATTAAGTTTCAACATACAAATTGGGAGTGGAGGCATAAACCTTCAGACCATAGCAACTAGGAAATAACTGGTCTGCCAGAAAAGGTTCGGAACAAGGAAACATCTCTCTATCAGCCTGGGCTTTCACAGAGGCAAAAACTAAAAAAGACACCTCAATTCCTTGTGGTTTTAATTAACACTGAAAGCGTCTTCAGGAAAATCTTATACCAAGGTAGCTAAGTATTCCAGGATTGGTTATACCTCAGGGCACTGGCAGAAGCACCTTAAAATCTCATGTCAAAGAACATGCTCAACCTAACCTTCTACATATTTCCACAGGAAAAAAAAAGACAACCACATATATAAAACACAGGATAAAGTGTCTATCATGAGTGAGAATAAAAGAAATATTTAAAAATAGCAGTATTATCAAAAAGGCAAAAAATTAATAGATGCTGGTGAGGCTGAAGAGAAAAGGAACACATATACTGCTGGTGGGAATGGAAATTAGTTCAGCCATGGTGGAGAGCAGTTTAGCGATTTTTCAAAGAACTCAAAGCAGAATTACCATTTGACCCAGCAATCCCATTATTGGGTATATATCCAAAGAAATAGAAATCATTCTACCATAAAGAACATGTACATGTATGTCCATCACAGCACTAGCCACAATAGCAAAGACACCGAATCAACTGAAATCCTCATCAACGGTAGACTGGATAAATAAAATGTGGTACATATACACCATGGAATATCACACAGCCATAAAAAGAACAAGATCATGCGTTTGCAGCAACATAGATGGAGCTGGTGGCCATTATCCTAAGTGAACTAACACAAAAACAGAAAACCAAATACTACATGTTCTCACTTATAAGTGGAAGTGAAATGTTGAGTTCACATAGACACAAAGAAGGGAACAACAGATGCCAATGTCTAGTTGAGGGTGCAGGGTAAGGACTGAAAAATTACCTATTGGATACTATGCTTATTACCTGGGTGCTAAAATAATCTGTATATAAAACCCCTGTGACATGCAATATACCTATATAGCAAACCTGCACATGTACCTCTGAACCTAAAAGAAACATTAAAAGTAATTGGAAACAGAAAATTTGAGACTCCTTCTCAAAAAATAAAAAAAAGGAAAATAGCAGAATTAGGTCAAAAAAGAGATGAAGAAACTAGAATGCTCAAATACCATATTGTATTCCACCAAATATAAGATACCATGTATTATAATAGGCCCCAATTTTTAAATATCTAAAAAAACTCCTATCAATTAAATTATGATTTTTAACAATCTAATAGATTAAATAATTCATCTCAATTTCTGATATTTTAAAAATCTGCTTACATATTTAAAAAAGTAAATATATAATTAAAATACTGGCAACAAACAAGACGTGATCTTAAATTTTTTGAGATAAAAAAGAGTGAAAAATAAAATCTATGAAATTCAAAACACAATCATTAAATGGCAGATTAGAAACAGCCAAAGACAGAAACAGTGAAAAGAAAGATGAAAACAAACAAACAAACAAACATAGAATGCACAAAGAATAAACAAGGAAAAGGGATGATGAGGCCTAATATGTTTACTAACAGTTCAAGGAGAAAAGAATAGAAAAAAATGGAGGGGAAGCAATCGAAGAAGATAAACGGCTAAGAATTTTCAGAATTGATGAACTATACCAATTATCAGAATGAATAAAAAGCAACTAGAACAAAAGAAACGTTACATGCAAACATATTGTTGTAAAACTTTAGAATATCAAAGCAAAACTTAAGGTCTAGAAAACGTGACAGATTATAAACAAATCAGAACTAATTTCATTGATTGTAGATTTTTTCAACAGAAACAACAGCAATCCATATGAATATGGCTGAAAGAAAACTAAAATAAATTTTTTAAGATATACATAGATAAAATGTTCAAGATGATGAATGAAGCAAAGGCATTTTTTGACAGAAGAGCAGACTCCTAGTCATTCTCTTCTTCCCTACTGATGGAACCTCAGTTTTATTTGGAGTGACAATGTAGTTGGATTCAAAATTGCACACGTAGCCTTCCTTGAAGCTAGGGTGGCTATGTGATACAATTCTGGCCACTGAGGCAAAAGATGAGACACAGGAAGGGTTTCTGAGAATGCCGGGAATCCCTGATGTCTCTGATTCCCGTTACAGATCCTTCCTGCTCCCTTCCCTTTCCTCTCTTCTGATGCCTACTGGGCACAATACAGCTGGAGTTGCAAAAGACATCTTAGATTTTCAGGCAAAGGCTGAGGAAATAATAGAAACCTTGCCCTGTAGGTACTTACCTCTGCACTTTGCTACATGAGGAAACCAACAAAAAGGCTTTTTTTTTAAAGCCACCATTTCAGTCCATTATAGTAACTTAATTCTATTTGTTACAGACTGCAGAAGAAAACTTGATTATTAACAGAAATACGATTGTGTATAGAAAACCAAGTGAGTGTACAGTCACGTTTTCAGATATAATTAATGTTCATCAATATGTTAACATTAAAATAGACAAAAATGAATTATATGTCTATATATCACCAACAGAAAATGTAATTTTTTAAAGTATAATTTATACTAGGACACAAAATATAGGGTTTATAGAAATAAACCTTATAAAAATGCATAGGATGTTTATAGAGAAAGTTATAAAATTATTGAAAGGAATTTAAAAGTTCTAAGTAAATAGAAAGCTAAACTAAATTTGTGGATGGGAAGACTCAATTTCATGTAGAAATTTCCTTCCCCAATTTTTTGAGTCTTCCCAAATTAATCTAGACATTAAATGTAATTGCAGCAAAAATTATAATAGAATTGTGTGAGAGAGGCACTTGTCAAGTTACTTCTAAAATTTATAAAGAAGAGCAGGCCGGTGTGGTGACTCATGCCTGTAATCCCAGCACTTTGGGAGGCCGAGGTGGGTGAATCACAAAGTCAGGAGTTGGAGACAAGCCTGGCCAACCTGGTGAAACCCTGTCTCTACTAAGAATGCAAACAAAACAAAACAAAACAAAAATTAGCTGGGTGTGGTGGCAGTCGTCTGTAATCCCAGTTACTCAGGAGGCCGAGGCAGGAGAATCACTTGAACCCAGGAGGCGGAGGTTGCAGTGAGCCGAAATTGCACCATTGCACTCCAGCCCAGGCGACAGTGAGACACTCCGTCTCGAACAAACAAATGAGCAAAATGCCAGGAATAGAGTGACAATTTTGAAGAACAAGGTCTGAGGACTCAACTTAGCACATTTCAATATTTATTATAAAGCTATGGTAATGAAGGCAGCGTGGCTCCAGCACAGGAACAGGTATGTAAGCCAATGGAACAAAACAGATCCAAGAAACATACCCATACATATGAACACCTGTGCTACACTGCAAATCACTGGAGAAAGGATTAATAAATGATGTTAGGGCAATTCATTATCTTTAAAAAACTAGATCCTTACATCATATACAAAAATCAACTTCAGGTGAAAGAAAAGACCTAAACACGAAACTTAAATGAGAGTATCTTTATGACCATGGGGAATAGAAAGATAACTTACACGAAAATGACTAAACTGATAAATTTTGACTGCATTTAACTCAATAAACTCTGTTCATATAAAAACACCATAAACAAATTGAAAAGCCAAAGTACGGCCAGGAAAAAGAGGCTTCAGAACTTCTAAGAATTAACATCCCAATGGAAAAATAGGCAAAAGAAAGTAGCAATTCACAGAAGAAGAAACCAGCATGAATAATAACTACAAAAAGATGCTTATCCTTATCAGCAGAGACCACAAAAACATATCATTTACACTCATCAGGCTGACAAAAATGATTAAGTTTGGTAATAGCAAGAATTGTTGACGATATGGAGCAGGGGAACTTAATATGTATTCCTGGGCTGAATACACATGGGTACAATCACTGTGTAGAGCAATATGGTGTATCTCACAAAGGTGAAGATGTGATTATCTATGACACAGCTATTTTACTGCCAACTGTATATATCCTAGAGAAACTCTTGTACAAGACACAAGTCAAAGAATATTCATAGCATATTGCTATGAAATAAAAGACTGTAAACATAGGCAGCTTCAGTAATATTTGAAACGTTTCACTCCTGGGTGATCGGTACCTAGGTATCAGTCACACAATTTTTTTTTTTTAAACGTTAGAATGGCATGTGAAATATTGCGAACTGGTAACAGATAAATCCAACTACTTTTAGAACTTGTGGCATCATGTACTTAGAGTGGGTGGAGATAGGTAGAGATCAAGCCACGGGGCCGCACATGAGGACCTTGACAAGTTTCTTCACAAAAACTTGCTTACTCCCATTAACCCAAGAAGTGAGCTGCCCCTGACTAAGTGTCTGCATATTCTTTCTCTTTCTGCAAGCCCACCTTCACCCTGTCCCTTTGTAGCCATGACTGACAAAATAACCCTGACCTCAGGGCTCTTTCACAGACAACAGCACTGAGGAAGGCAGGGACCCTCTCTGTGAATGAAATCTACCCACTTTTCTTCAAGTCAACATGATGTCACATTTATTTTTATTAACTTTTAATGAGGCAATATTACCTATCAGAAGACCCCATGAATTAGCGCTTTTACAACAGGTAATTGATGAAACACTTTGTATTTCAACTTTATTGCTTTGCATATGCCATGAAGTTTTTTTTTTATTTTTATGAAGTTTAGAAAAAATAATTACTTCAAAAGTCAAAGTGATGTGTAACTATATAAATAAGTAATGGCATATTACATGCAGGCCGGATCAAAAGTTATCTCAGGAAGGTTAAGAGCCCTGCCCTCATCATGCTGAAGGCCCCCTTACCAGAGAAAGCCTTACACAGAATTAGGATGTGTGATACGATTTGACTCCAGGTCCCCACCCAAATTGCATGTTGAATTGTATGTAATTCCCAATTGTTGGTGGAGGAACCTGGTGGGAGGTGACGGAATCATGGGAGTGGGCTTCCCCCTTGCTGTTCTCGTGGTAGTGACTGACTTCTCATGAGATTTGATGGTTTAAAAGTCTGTGGCACGTCCCCCATCGCTCTCATTCTCTCTTGCTGCCATGTGAAGAAGGTGCCTGCTTCCCTTTCACCTCCCACCATGACTGTAAGTTTCCTGAGGCCTCCTGGTCATGCTTCCTGGTAAGCCTGCATAACTGTGAGTCAGTTAAACCTCTTTTCTTCATAAATTACCCAGTCTCAGGTAGTTCTTTACAGCAATGTGAGCATGGACTAATACAATGTGCATACTACTGTGGGAAGTATAGGATCAAAGGACATTCTAAAGATAACAGAAGAATCATGTCTAACATATGACTCTTTTTTATTACTATAAGATAAAGGAAGCTGGGGCACCTGCTCCTAGTGCCAACGGTCCTCTTTGCTCAGTGCTCCTTTGTCTTGCTGCCAGCCCTGAAAAGTGTGATCGCTCCTAGATCCAGCAGGAAGTTCATCACTGTCTAGATTGGGTGCCCTTGGAAATAATGAGAACTAGAAAAAATAAAACAGTTGTTTGGGGCCAGAATGTTTTCAAAAAAGCTTCCAATGGGAGCTCAGGTCAATTTCAGCTAAACAGCTTCAAAGCCTGTCACATATTTCTGTGCACTGGAGGAGATGTGTTCTCACAGTCCTTTCAAATTCTGATGAGCTCTCTAAACATTTGTTTCAAAATATCTCTAGTTTTTCCTAATTGTTTCTGCAGTGGCTCATAGAAAGGTCTTTTTACAGGTCTTTTTGTTTCAAAATATTTATTTCTTGGAAAAAAATTTATTTTCTTGTGGGAATCTAAGTGCTTTACTTGTTAGAAAAGAACGATACAGTTCCATATTTTACTTGTACAGCTTTGCCGTATTGGTCAATTAGGAGATGATCCCTTTGACATTCAATCACAACTCTTTGATTAAATTATTACTATCCTTAGAAAGGCTAGAGTTGATTCATTTCACAACGACTGATGGTTCCTTTTGGAATCAGCATTTATCTCATGAACAGGACCCCCTTACTTTTTAATATTTTTAACTCAGATAGTTTTAGTACTAGTAGGACCTAATACAGTTCACAATTACTGGAAAACATTTTAAAATTTAATAAGAGCAGCAAATCTTATGTTAAAGATTTGACTACGAAAATAATTTGCTGCTTCTCTAGCAAAGTAAAGTAGGTTTTTCAAATATACAAAATCGTGAAGACGGTGGGGCAAAGAGTTCTTTGGTATGACATCAAAAATATGATCCATAAAAGAAAAAACATAGACTTAATTAACATTTGTTAATTTAGTTAATTAAATTTCAGAAAATGAAAATATATGCTAAGGGCTAAAAAATTTTTGCAAGTCACACACCTGGGTAAAGGACTTGTATCTAAAATACATAAAGGACTCTTACAACTCAATGTAAAAATAGCCAATTAAAATATGGGTAAAAGAGCTGAATAGACATTTCTCCAATGAAGATATATGAATGTTCCATAAGTACAAGAAAAGATGCTCGACATAATTAGTCATCAGAGAAATGCAAATCAAACCCCCATAAGATGCCACCTTCACATGCTCTAGGATAACTATAAGCCAGAAAACAGATAATAACAAGTGTTGAGAATGTGGGGAAACTGGAACACTCTTACACTGCACATAGAAATGTAAAATGGTTCAGGTACACTGGAAGGTAATCTGGCAGTTCCTCAATAGGTTAAACATAGAGTTATCATATGACCCAGCAATTCCTCCTAGGTATAGACCACAGAGACATTAAAAAAAAAGAAAGAAAGCAAGAAAGAAAGAAACAGAGAAAAAAAGAAAAAAAAAAATCATTCCTTTATGAAAAGGTTCTACTTACTGAGGTTCCACTTGAGGCCTGTGGTTGTAACCTGCATACAAGGCTGTCCAACAGGAATAAGGCCACACCAATCACCCTCCATTCCAGTGTCTACATGCAACCTGTGCTTTCCCTGAAGGAGACAAGAAATGATCATTAAGAAGGGGAAGAGAGAAGGAATGTTAATGTGCACTGAAGACCTGGGCAGGATGCGTCTACAACCCTCACACGGCTTATCATACTTAATCCTCACAAAAAAATGTTTGCAATATGTGCTGAATAATCCTAGGAACCTTCACCCGACTTAATCCTTACAATAATTTTACAAAGTATCTGATATCTTATTGTTAATTATGTTTCAACTATGAGAAAATTGAAGCTTGCAGAGATTAACATAGGACCACACAGATAAGGGATTCCTACCTACACCTGCCAATTCCAGAGACCAAACTCACAGCAATAGGACTGTGGGTTTGAAACCTATCCTAAATGAAAGGTACCACACAAAGAGAAACACACAAAGACAGCTGCTTCTCAGCAGCCATTACAATGTATTCTGCTTTTTTTTTTTTTTTCTTTTTTAAGATGGAGTCTCACTCTGTTGCCGAGGCTGGAGTGCAATGTTGCAATCTTGGCTCACTGCAACCTCTGCCGCCAGGGTTCAAGCAATTCTCCTGCCTCCTGAGTAGCTAGGACTACAGGCGGGCACCACCACACCCAGCTAATTTTATATTTTTAGTAGAGATGGGGTTTCACCACATTGGCCAGGCTGGTCTCGAACTCCTGACCTCAAGTGATCCACCCACCTCAGCCTCCCAAAGTGCTGGGATTGCAGGCATGAGCCACGACACCTGGCCTTGCGTTTTTTGTTTGTTTGCTTGTTTGTTTTCCTAAAAAAGTTTTTATTTTCTTTTAGGTAAGAGCTGCCTTTATTCCTTTTGTATAGAATTCCTCCCCGCCCCAAGTTGATTTATATTGAATAGCTTGCCACACAAATTTGAGATTTGTTTCTTCCTACCATTCTCCATTATATAAATAATTCTCTCTGAAGACAGATATACTAAACATAATACAAATGACCATCCCTAGATGCCAAACATAGCACACTTTTAAAACAAGTGCTCAAAGAGGTATCAAAACCTTCTTTCTAATAGAAGGAGTTGATGAGGCCAGGTGCAGTGGCTCACGCCTGTAATCTCAGCATTTTGGAAGGCTGAGGCGGGCAGATCACCTGAGGTCAGGAGTTCAAGACCAGCCTGGCCAACATGGTGAAACCCTGTCTCTAAAAAAAAAAAAAAAATTAGCTGGGTATGGTGGTGGGTGCCTGTAATCCAAGCTACTCGGGAGGCTGTGGCAGAAGAATTGCTTGAACCCGGGAGGCAGAGGTTGCAGTGAGCCGAGATTGTGCCATTGCACTCCAGCCTGGGCGACAGAGCGATGCTCCATCTCAAAAAAAAAAAAGGAGTTGATGAGACAGATGTTTTAGAAATTCGGATTTCCTTAGCATTACATTAGCTTCAGCAGATAAGGAACAGGAATTGGTGACGACTTATCATGTAGGTGGATCGCCACCCAGTTTCCTGTTGAAGGGCAGTACTCTTAGGGTTCCCATCAGAAAACACAGCAATTTCAGAGGGGTTATAGGTAACCTGTAGCATTCTGGACATTTTGGGGGCAGAGAGTGGAGGGCTCAAGAGAGCACCAGTGGAACAAGGAAAGGAAGGTACACCTTGTCCAGATCTCTGTACTTCTGCATCTGATAACGGTGTTTCTGACAATGAGACCTGTTGTTAGAGTGCGACTTCTCCATCACTTATCAAAGAGGAATTCCTGTGTTCTTGAGCTATCTTATTTTCAGTGTGTTACAGTTAGTTCTTGTCTCTTAATTGATGATTTTCTTTCCTCTGTCTGTGGCCGGCTTAATGGTTTGGCAGTGCCTAGCTGAATACGTTAGCATGTTTGGTGCTCCTAGGTGACTTCTGTTAAGAATGGCGAAGGAAAGAAGGAAGTGTTTTTCAATTTGTGATATTAACTCCCTAAGAGAGTATTCTTCAACTTGTATCGTATAATGCAAAGGAAACAGCACATATACATGCTAAGTTTTATTCTCCCAGGGAGAGGAGGGCTGTTATAAAATCCAATGATTTAAATGACATAGTAGTAAGCATGCTATATATTCATTGCCTTCCTCATTATTTTAAAGAATCAGCAGGCCTTAAAATTTTCAGTCTGGGAATAAACTCGTTTGTGGACTTGAGAAGTCACAGATAGGCCTTAGCCCACAATCAATTAACCATGTTTTCTCTTGTTCCAAAAAGGTGCTTAGCCATATGTGAATGGTCTTTGTGTTTATAAAAATGCAAATACAGTTTTTATGGTTAAATGAGAGCAATATTTTCCTCCTGTATCTTCAAGTCTATATGACATCTTTTGAAAATGAACAACTGTATAAAGGAATTTTTGTTCATTCCCCAGATTTCTTAATTCATAATATGTGCTAGCCTATATGTGACTTGACACAGGCAGGCATACACGCTGACATTAAAGAACTTCCCTATGGATTTATGCCATTACTGGAGACTAGAGGCACATGAACTCATCATTTACTTCCATCTTCTCCCATGAATCATTTCACAGGTTCCTGCTCTGGCCTCTTTTCCGAACTAAGATAACTCTTTGAAGTCAAAGCCAGCCCTATATAGTAAAGAAAGAACAAAAATCAATCACAGTCAGGTTGCTTTTCCAATTGTGGTTATTGCAACACATCTAACAACCTTAATAATATGAAATTGTAATTTAGGGAAAGGTAACACAGATGTTGCTTGGTATGTGTGCTGGAAAGCATACCTACGATCATGTGAAAGACAAACAGCGTAACAGTATTAATTTCCCTAGACTGTCATGTCAGGGTAGAACAAAATACACACAAATATGAAGGGGTGAGAAATCGCTGTCCCTTTGTTTTGTATTATAACTCCACTTTCCAAAGGACAATGACATAACTGAGAGAAAAGATTAAAGCTGACTCTAGATTTTGCCTTTGAAAAATACCAAACATTGACAGGGCATGGTGGCTCATGTCTGTAATCCCAGCAATTTAGGAGGCTGAGGTGGAAGGATCACTTGAACCTAGGAGTTGGAGACAAGCCCAGACAACATAGTGAAACCATGTCTCTACAAAAAAAAAAAAAAAAAAAAAAGAAAGAAAAATATCAGAGAGATATCTAAATTCTGTTTACATACCAACATCCTTAAATCCAATAACTATGCCAAGTTTTGTGCTAAGATATTTCAGTGTGGATATCGCAAAATATACAGCCAATTAACAAGATCATTCAGAAAGCACTGAACAGAAAAAGAACATAAACACATTAGATTTAGTGTAAACAATTCAAGGAGAAGCTGCCAATGCTAGTTTATAAAGTGGCCATGCATTCATCAAGTTGTTGTTAATGCTGAACCTACACTCTGAGGCTAATGGCAGCCACAATTAGTGGCACACGGTTAGACCCTGTATGAATGAAATATTGCTGTAGACGGATTAAACACAAGGCCAGTCTCTGGTAGCTCATTTTTTGTTAGCTGGTCCAGGTACTTTAAAAATTTATCAACAAACACTGCAGGAAATTAAATAGCCTGCAGGAAAGAAGAGTAAAAGAAGTAGACAGAAGTATCTACATTATATTTAGCAGGAAAAAAGGTTACTTCTCCTACACAACAGAGTTTTGTGCTGGTATATTTTCATACTGTGACTGCTCACATAGCTGAAAGTAGTCACAAGATAAAGGGTCTCCCCAGTGAACTTGTAGTTGTAAAACCTCAGAGTTGGAAGTCTTATATATTTTCTTTGATTCTGTTCCACAAATGTGGAATTCAAAATAAAAGTGTATTGGGTTCATTTGAAATAGCCTGTATCAAATTAATGTTGCATGTATATATATTAAATTGAGGGGTGTTCCCTTTGAAAAAGCATTAATATGTTATCTACAGATAGCTTTTAGAATTTCAAATCATGTTAGAACATTTTCTAAAGTGCTTTCCATAGAACATTACTCCCAGGGTCAAATACAGATTGGAAAAATCGCTTTGTCAATTCACCTCTTGGAAACCACGATTTTTGCCAGCATGTTAGATGTTCTAGGCAATCTTGCAGCAAAAACAAGTAAACACAAACCCTGTTTACCTGAATAAGTATTTCCAAAATTTACTTCACCACAGAACCTTCCTCTGCTGCTCAAATATCATCTCGTAATTTCCCATGGAAGCTTCATTTCATGAAATCGACTTAGGAAAATGTTGATTGGGAATAATATTTTTCACACAACACCCAAAACTAGCATATTTTGGTTTAATATTTCCATAGTCAGAACATTTCAAGAATATGTTTTGAACTTAATAACTTCCATTTGATTTTTGTTTTAGAAGTTAGTCAATAACCTCTGGCTGAAATCACATACGTGTTCTGACATGAGCTAGCTGTACTATTAAAGGGTTAATGACAATACTCAACAGTTATCCAAAAGAAAACCTTAATGTAGTTAAGTTAGTTTGTTTATTCAAAAGTCAAAAACATGTATGAAATGCCTACATTTAGAGATAGTAAATAACTCTAATGACAGGCTAATTTCCTTATCAATCGCTTCACATTGGATATTACAAAATAAAACATGACACTGATGTCTCTGCTTTGTTATCACCTCTGCATTTATGCCTTTTTTACAATGGATCATATCTTATCTTCATGCCTTCCTTTTATTCCAGTCAGAGAAAAACCCAACCTTGGCCTCTTCAAAAGATATAGACATCTTAAATGATGACTTCTAGAGACAATATTTATCCCAGAAGTAAGCGTTACTGACAGCAGAAACAGGACAGGTTGCATTGAAAGATATATTTTGAGTTAGTGTGATCTCAGAGTTTTCAAATTACTTTAGATAAATGCTTTTCTTAACATAGCATCTGATCAGGATGCCCATGCTCTCCTGTCTGCTTCTATACTGTTTCTCCATCCTCAATCCAGAGAAACATCAAAGCAAAATGCAAGCTTTACTTTTTTAATGAAATCTCCCTATGTGTTCTAAATAGCAAAGATGACTTCCTCCTGAATGCTACAATTTTAATTATTTATGCTACAAAATGTAGCACTTTGGTACTGTATTGCATCCCTCAAATAGTTTCATGTTGTATCCCTAAAAAGAATAAACTTTCTTTGAAGAACAAGAATCTAATTTTTTTTCTATTGGACTTACAGCACAGTGGAAGGAACATATGTATCAAATAAATACCTGATTGTTTCATTGTTTAAAGAAAACGTATTGATGAAAAGGTGTCAATATGCTTTGAAAAATCTTCTCGCAGTATCTGAGTAGATGAGGGAAGGTCCAGGTGAACTGAAAGGACTCAAGAGACAGACCCATTATTCTTTGATAAGATCAAGCTTGCCCAACCCGCGGCTCACAGGCTAAATGCAGCCCAGGACAGCTTTGAATGTCACCCAACACAAATTCGTAAAGTTTCTTAAAACATTGTGAGATATTTTTGCTATTTTTTTAAAGCTCATCAGCTATGTTAGTGTCAGTGTATTTTATGTGTGGCCCAAGACAATTATTCTTCTTGCAATGTGGCCCAGGGAAGCCAAAAAATTGGACACCCCGATCTAGATAATGTTTGCTTAATTGGATACAAGTAAACTGTACACCAATAATCATGAAGACCCTGTCACTAGTGCTTGAAATACACTTAAAATGTAATTTTATGTGTTTCTGTAAAATGCGGACTACAATATTACCTCCCTGAGTTATTTTCAGGATGAAATAACACGTTGAACGTGCCAAGAATAGCATTTCAAGCACTCATATTATATATGTTGATTTACTTTTCTCCATTTATCAGCTCCTCCAGGTTTAATTTGAACCCACACTTTCTTTCCTTTCTGCTTTTTATTTTTTTAAAAACCTGGCCACTTTGCTCCAGTAATTTTTAAAGAAAAATAAGTGTGATTAGCCCTCATAAGACTAACGTAAAATATTAGCAGAAAGAAGGGAAAAGAAAAACATTTTAATGCTATACCTCCATGAAACATTAAGATACCTTCCTTTTTTTTTTTTTTTTTGAGTCAACGTCTCGATCTGTCGCCCACGCTGGAGGGCAGTGGTGCGATCTTGGCTCACTGTAACCTCCACCCTCACCACGGGTTCAAGCGATTCTCTTGCCCCAGCCTCCTGAGTAGCTGGGGTTACAGGCGCCCAGCACCGCGCCTGGATAATTTTTTTATTTTTAGTAGAGACGGCGTTTCACCATGTTGGTCAGGCTGGTCTCAAACTCCTGACCTCGTGATCTGCCCACCTCAGCCTCTGAAAGTGCTGGGATTACAGGCATGAACGACGGTGCCCAGCCGACATTAAGATATCTTAAGGAGAGTCATTTCTCCAATTTGTCATACAGAAGCTCTAGTTTTTAGTAAATGAATTTTTAAATAAGAGCATACCTCTTTTACTTTGTTCATCATTTTAAAAAAAGTTCTAAGAACTCCTTCTGAAGCCTAATATCTGGTCACTAAACCCAATGTGAAATTCTTCAAGTTATTTTTTGGAATTCTCAACATGAATTTAGCCAAATACTGCGATAACTCAATGTTATCTTTTTTTTAGTGATAGTAATAATTTAAGTAATATTTCATTCAGATTCTAAATATACTAACGTATTTCCCACATTTTCTATAATTGTAAAAGAGTTGATTGGAATGCTGTTACTGCAATACATATTTCAACTTTCTTCCTGTATTATTAACTGCTCCAACTTTGTTACTATAAAAGAGCTACCAAAGAGAGTCCCCTTCAATAGACAATCAGCTTCCCACAATTACTGTAAGCACTAACATTCCCTTCTACCTGAACCCCCCATCTTTTGTCAGATGAGCTATTCATCAATCCCCATGCACTTCGCTTTGATGTTATCTCAGAAGCTACAAGTCATTAAGACTGGCAGGAGAATGGAGGATAAGCGGGGAGATGGTTCAACCGTAGGGAGAACTACTGGAATGATCCTATTCATTATCAAACTCCAGGCAGCGTTTCTGCTAGCTGAGAATGTGGTATGGCTGATGTTCAGCATGCTTAACTGAATGTTGGGTGTCTCGTGATTTTTTTCACTCGTGTTAATAATGCTCATGGGATATTGTTAGTGTTCCTGAAGAAAGTGTGCAGGGAAAGACAACAAATTTGCATTTATTTATTTTGAAAACCAGCATGACTATCAAACTCTGTAACCTGGAAGAAATAATGAGAAAGATCTAGTTAAAGAAAAAACGGGGCGAAAAATGAGTATCTTGTCCAGGCGTGGTGGCTCATGCCTGTAATCCCAGCACTGTGGGAGGCTGAGGCGGGCAGATCACCTGACATCAGGAGTTCGCGACCAGCCTGGCCAACATGGTGAAACGCTGTCTCTATTAAAAATACAAAAAAAAAAAAAAAAAATTAGCCAGGCTTAGTGGCAGGCGCCTGTAATCCCAGCTACTCGGGAGGCTGAGGCAAGAGAATTGCTTGAACCCGGGAGGCGGAAGTTGCAGTGAGCCGAGATCGCGCCATTGCCCTCCAGCCTGGGGAACAAGGGCGAGACTTCGTCTCAAACAAAACAAAACAAAACAAAACAAAACAAAAAAAAAACCACACAAACAAAAGAAAAGAAAAATGAGTATCTTACTTTATTTGGGCAACTAGAATAAAACACCACAAAATGGTAGCTTATAAACAACATAAATTTACTTCTCAAATTTCTGGACCCTGGGAAGCCCAAGATCCATATGCTGGCAGATTCAGTGTCTGGTTAGCACCTGCTTGCTGGTTTACAGATGGCACCTTCTCAGTCTGTCCTCACGTGGGGAAAGTGGCAAGGAGTCTCTCTCAGGCTTCCTTGAGAAGCGTACCCATCCCATTCAAGGGTTCCATTCTCACGACCTAATCATCTCCTAAAGACCCCATTTCCAAACTTGGGGTTTAGGATTTCAATATAGGAGTTTTGCACGGGGGAGGGGAGACACAAACATTCAGACCATAGCAGTGAGGAAACAATTTTTGAGTATTTGCTTGGTGCAAATATTCTGCTGGGCACTATAATTCTCGTAACAACCTTGTGTGGTAGAATTACTGCTAAAATAAAGATTGTAGACTCAGGGCAGTCATGAACTCATTCAGGATAACTCAACTAGTAACAGTAGGTGTGATATCTCAACCCAAGTATGCTGTGATTTTAAAGCCCACTTGTTTTTACTATGTCATCATGTATTTCTAGGCTCTAACTTTAAAAACCAGTCTGGCCCATTTATCTCATTGCTTGCTTTTTCCCCATTCTTCCTTTTTGTTCCCTATATTCACTTTCCAAGTGAAGCTTCTGCATGACCTTGCCTAAAGTTTATCCTAAATAATAAATACTCATACAGTACATGAATGAATAAGTCAGTGAATGCCTATCTTCTTTGACCTCATCCATGTATCTTCAATAGAATGTCCCATTCTCTTTATTTACTATGTTATGTCTCCATTCATTTCGCTGTTCTGTGTTGGTGACTGAATATGCGGAGGATGCAGATAAGTCTGTGTGAAACACTTATTCATGTTTTCAAAACATGTCTATTGGGTTTTCCAGAAGTTCACAAAGAATGGTTAAAGCAAAATCAATAACTGGGCTATGAACAAGAAAACTGAGATACAATAGTCATTTTTTTAAAAAAAATCCAGTATCATAAAGCAAGAACAAACAGGACAATTTTGCTTCTCCTCTCCCCCAATCTTAGAAAATATTAATGAAAAGCAGGTAGGCTTAATATTCAGATGGTACAAGTCCCAACACTCAGTTCAGATGCCACCGAATCCACTATCCTTCTCAGAATCCTTTGTTGAACTTGTAATCTGGGCTACTTGCATACCTTCTGCTCTCCACACACACTATTTCAAGTCTAATTCCCTTACCAGAAGATAAATGCCTCAAGGAGAGAAGCAGATCTTATTGATTTTTTTTTTTTTTAATTTTGAGATGGGTTCTGGCTACGTTGATCAGGCTGGCCTCAAACCCCTGGGCTCAAGTGATCCTCCTGCCTCAGCCTCCTGAGGAGCTGGGAGTATTACGTACACAGTAGGAGTACAATAAATATTATGAAAAGGAAAACACTAAGCTTAGTAGTTTCCATATAACAACTCTTGACCTTCTTCATCTGCCATCTACCACCTTACTACCCCATTTATTTGTTCCCATTTACATTAAGATTCCTAGAAAGCACTGTCTAAATTCACTGTCTCCAGTTCTTCTCCTCTATTCTGTCTTTGATATAGTTTTCATATTTGTCCCTGCCCAAATCTCGTGTTGAATTGTAATCTCCAACATTGGATGTGGGGCCTGGTGGGAGGTGACTGGATCATGAGGGTCGATTTCTCATGAATGGTTTAGCACCATCTCCTTGATGCTATTCTTGTGAGAGTGAGTTCTTGTGAGATCTAGTCATTTAAAAGTGTGTGGCACCGCCCCCCACTCTCTTGCTTCTGCTTTTGCTGTGTAATGCACCTGCTCCCCCTTCACCTTCTGCCATGATTGGAAGCTTCCTGAGGCCTCCCCAGAAACAGATGCTGCTATGCTTCCTGTATAGCCTGCAGAACCTAGAGCCAATTAAACCTCTTCTTTTATAAATTACCCAGTCTCAGGGATTTCTTTATAGTGGTGCAAGAACGACCTAATACTGTCTTAGAGTCATACCAAATAAGCTTTTGCCCCCATCACTCTTCCAAACTGGCTTTCACTGAGAAATCCAATGACCTCCAAGTTGCTAAATTCAATGGTCAACTATTAGTTTTCATTTGAGTTGACCTATCAGCAGTGTTTGCAATGGGTTATCATTCTCTCTTTTTGATAAATTATCTTTACTTTGCTTCCAGAATACCACACTCTTTTGATTTTCCTCTTAACCCATGTGTCTTTCACTGGCTCCTCCCCTTCTTTTCAAACTCTCAATGATGGAGGGTCTAAACTCCTTACTCTCAGCAAGATCCTCCTCCCTCATATGCCCATATTCACACTCTTTGTGATCTCAATCATCTAGATGTTGTGGAATCCCAAATTTGGATCTCTAGCTCAGACTTCTCTCCCAAACTCTGCTTTTGCATGTCCAATTGCCTATTTTACATATCTTGACCTTTTACCTCAAACCCACCCCATTCACAGCTTTTGATCTCAGTTGAGAGCTACTCCATCTTTCCAACTGCTTAGGCCAAAGGATTTCTTCTTTTCCCATACCCCACATCTAACCCATAAAGAAATCTTATTGACCCTATTCTAAATAGTTTCAGAATTCCTATCACTTCCTATCACATCTCACAGTCTCATTCATTACCACCCTGTGCACTTTGCCATAATAAGGTCTCCTCTTGCCTCACTAGAGTCTGTTCCCAAACCAGCAGTTGAAAATGATCCCTTTAAAAAGTAAATCAGACCCACCTACCTCCAGGCTGACCCCTTCCCTCAAGAGAAACACTCCCAGGTTTCAGAAAGCATTCCATTTTCTTTTTCTAACTCTTGAGAAGTCTGGGGATACTATAGATTCTGTCCATGGAGTCTGAGGAAATCACTGTCATTGTTAGTGAATCCTTCTTTTGAACTTGCCTGGGTTAATCTACCCTGCATGCAGCGTGACCATTAAGAGTACTGTAAGCCAGGCACGGTGGCTCATGCCTGTAATCCCAGCACTTTGGGAGGCCAAGGCGGGTGGATCACCTGAGGTCAGGAGTTCGGGACCAGCCTGGTCAACATGGCGAAACATTGTCTCTACTAAAAATACAAAAATTAGCCAGGCATGGTGGCGGGTGCCTGTAATTCCAGCTACTTGGGAGGCTGAGACAGGAGAATCACTTGAACCCAGGAGACGGAGGTTGCAGTGAGTCGAGATCATGCCACTGCACTCCAGCCTGGGTGACAGAGCAAGACTCTGTCTCAGACGGATGGATGGATAGACAGACAGACAGAAAGACAGACAGACAGACAGACAGACAGAGTATTGTAGGTGCTAGAGAAAGACTTCATGGATTTCAATCCCTTTCTATCATGTCTAAGTTTCATTTTCTTTAACTACAAAACCAGAATAAAAACGTTGCTTTGGGAACTTAATGGCTTGAAATGCAAAGCCCTTAGAATAGTGCCTGCCAAAGAGTAAATGCTCCAAAAACATCTGCTATCATTATGTTTAGAAAACAAACGGATTAAATCACAGGTAACACAATTAATTACTTTTACTTTTAGAAAGTCAGTGTACCTGCCTCTCATTTTGGGGATCTTGAATGTTGGGATACAGTTGTCTTCTGAAAGCAACTTGAGAAGTACTTCATAACCTACAACCTACTGTGTTTGGGCAAAAATGTCAGAATAAACACTCCTTTCAAGTTATGTAGATTACAATCTTCATTGTTATAGTGGTCTTATTTTGATACCTCTTCTATATCAGATACTTTGACATGAGAAATGTAAAAGCACTGATACTGGGGTGTGTGTGTGTGTGTGTGTGTGTGTGTGTGTGTTGGAAGGGAAATATATAGATTTTTATCCTTTAAGGTAAAATTGTGGTAATATTTCTGAGAAAAATATGCCTTAATACAACTAAGCTTTCCATTTTGATGCTAGAAAGATTATTGTAATGAGAGTACAATTAAGCATACTAGATGTGACAAGTTGGGTTAGAATTAACAACTGATATTAAGCGGCCTTTACACTTGTCACAAACCAAGCGCACTTCAGGAGAACATGATCACCCTCACCCTGGACTTGACTCAACTACCCAGTCTTCTCCCCTCTCCTGTTCATAAAGGTCTGTGTGTCTGTGTTTGTCTACCACTCTCTTCCCTATTTCTCTGTGGCAATCAAGCTCCAAAACAGCGCCCAGTGAACCTTGCCTCCTGGTATTTGTGCCCTTGCATTCCCTGCACCGAATAAGCTAACCTGTATGACCAACAGGACACTGCAGAAGTGCGGGTGTATTGTAACTTCTGAAGCTAGATCATTAAAAAAAAAATACAGCTGCCCTCTTGCTTGCTATTGAAGATTACTTGCTCTGGGGGAAGCCAATCCTTATGTCATGAGGACACTCAAGCAGCCCTTTAGAGAGGTCCGTATTGAGAGGAATCCAACCTCACACCCATCGCTGCCACCAGCTGGTACCAACTTGTCAGCCACATGGAATCTGATGCCTGACACCAGGACAACCAAGCTATACAAGACCCTAAGCTTGGAACGTCCAGCTAAGACCAAATTCCTGACCCACAGAGAAGCTTTGAAAGATAATAAATGTTTACTGTTGTGTTAAGCCACCAAGTTTTCGGGCAATTTGTTACACAGCAATGGATAACTAACACACTCTCAATCTCTTGCTGTCCCTCTCCAGATGGCTTTGTCTGCACTATTTTATCTTTGTATGCCCACTGCCTTTTTTCCTTGTCATTCCTTGTGCTCTTTCTGCTTTTTTAGGCCACCATAAAACAGAAAAATCATTTTTGGTGTTTTTTTATGTGTTTGTTCAAAAGAGTTTAAGGGTCTCTTAAAATTGTAAAAAATAAGAAGTTTTATTTATTTATTTTTGTTTCTAAAATAAAAGAAAATGACCAATTTTCCCTCCTCTTCTCTGGGAGTTATCTGGACTGTTTTTTTTCCCCTGCTTATCTTTGTTTTCTCCTGGGCTATCAGTCTGAGAAAGGTAATAGTGAAGTCAGAGAATAAAGGTTCCTCAACAGTTATTTAATGAAGATGGAAACATAATCATTAAAACAGAACACTTTACGCTTAACAGCACTGAAAATGCTCAAACACACTGTACTGTATGTGATTGCTGACAAAGCCTCCATCTGAACAAGAATGAACCACATGTCATAATGAATTTGGCATACTGGGGAAAAAAGCATTAAAAATATTATACATTAACTATCTCCGTTCCTGTCCAAAAACCACTTATGCTGTCTTCATTCAAATAAATGGTAAAATATGACCATACTGTTATACTGAATTTGATTGGACCTTGTAAAGTTTTCAAAATTGGATGGTCCAACTCCAGACACATTTCAAAAGGAACATGCAAAAAACTGTTCTCTACCCTGTATTGTCTACTTTTCTAGTATTTTTAATACAATAAAATATTTTAGTTTTACAGTTATCAATTTTTGGTATCCTAGAAACTCCACAATGATGAAAAAGAACAGGTGCTCACAACAAAGCAGAATTACCAACATATTTATGGCCTTATCGTTTGACAGGGAAGGTCAAACCTCTCAGAGTTTATTCATAACCCTGCATCGGCTTTCAATTCTTTGAAAATTGCTCCTTGATACCCGACTTCCCTGAAATCACAGAGAGTGGCAGCCACTCTCTTAAGGTATAAATCAGATTCTAAATAACTGATAGTGCTTTTTTCCTCTAGACATGGACAAGAAAAGCACTGCATTTTCATTGCTGAATGCCAGTACTTAGAAAGACCAGTGCACCAAGGATGTTTTTAGGGCTTAATTTCTAAAGTCATCTATAAGAAACTGCCTTTGAGATTTTTTTTTTAAAAAAGGTCCGGCTCTTGTGTGTCCCTGGCATTTTAATAACCTCTCTTCTTTCGTTCTCCAAATTCAAATTTAACGCAATCGCAAACTTAGTGACTGTCCATCACTATAAGTTCTATGACGATGTAGCTGTTCCATACTTAAGAAGATGTGGATAATTTTGGCTCACTATAATACCAGCTGATGACACAACGGCAAGTGAAAATAGTCACACAGATGCATAGGCAACTAACAATTTAGAAAAAAAAGTAAAATTAAGGACAAATAGAGTAAGACAGGAAAAAATCTTGTGTTTTTTTCTCTATGAGATATCAGTAATTGTTGCAGGGCCAATTAAGAAGTAGGTCATGGGAACTCTTTATTGTAATAATTAGTAACATTATTTAAAAATATTTGGCATTTAGCAGCTCAGTCACGGTAGCTGGACATTTCTTCTGAAATGTGCTTATACACCTGGTGAACAGTCTGAAAGCCATACAATGTGAAAAACAGGAATCTTTAATCTGCTGCCATGTTTTCAACTCACGAGTTATCAATACACCCTTTATAAAAATAATGAAATGCTGCTTTTTCATTTAGCTGTTTATCTCAATAAAATTAATATAATCATATTAAGGTTCATCCAGATGTCTGTTTTATCATAAAATACTGGCATTTGATTTCAGTTGCTATATTTAAGTTTCAATTCATACTTGGTTGGCATCAAACAGCACCAAGAGAATCAGCATCATTGTAGTGAGAATCAGCATAGACTCTGGCATTTGGCTACCTGGGAACAAGTTCTATTCTGCTACTTATTGGCTGTGTGACTTTGGACAGTTAAATTAATCTCTCTGTGTCTCAATTCCTTAATTTTCAAAATTGAGGTAATATTTGTCATGGCCAATAACTGAGATGGTTTTAATATGAGAACAAGCACTTGCATCAATTCAAAAGGCAGCAGTTGTCACAACATGCGATATGAATGAAAGTTCATTGTATAGCACTATACATGTGCTGTTGTAAGGCACACATGATAGAGAACTCCAATGAGTAGGTATGAATGGCACTAAATCCAGTGAACGTCCTTGGAAGTCTGTAAAGGAACCCATCTCCTGCAGGGTATCAAAAGCTGAGGATTAGGTCTAGGACTTCATTATAGGTAGCAGAGCTCCCTTGAAGGTTGAATTCTCAGCATATTCTTTTTCCCAAGTCTGCTACATCGAGGTCAGGGAACTAACTGGGAAGGAGTAGGACCCAGAAAAACAGAATAGGAAAATCTGAGTTCAAGAACTCAAAAAACTTTGCAGAGAATGATGGTTTCCAGCTTCATCCATGTCCCTACAAAGGACATGAACTCATCATTTTTTATGGCTGCATAGTATTCCACGGTGTAAATGTGCCACATTTTCTTAATCCAGTCTATCATTGTTGAACATTTTGGTTGGTTCCAAGTCTTTGCTATTGTGAACAGTGCCGCAATAAACATACGTGTGCATGTGTCTTTATAGAAGCATGATTTATAATCTTTTGGGTATATACACAATGAGAACACATGGACACAGGAAAGGGAATGTCACACACCGGGGACTGTTGTGGGGTGGGGGGAGGGGGGAGGGATAGCATTAGGAGATACACCTAATGCTAAATGATGAGTTAATGGGTACAGCACACAACATGGCACATGTATACATATGTAACAAACCTGCACATTGTGCACATGTACCCTAAAACTTAAAGTATAATAAAAATAAATAAATACATAAAAAAAAGCTTTGCATTGCTTGATTCATCTGAAATCTACAGATTTCAGAAGTGGCTCTTTCTTTCCAGTTAACAGCTAGCACTCCCCTTCTCCTTGAGATTATTTAGAACCTCTGCCTTATAAGGGAACATGTCACCCTTCCAGATTTACCCCTCTTATCCCCTCCTGGCCACCAGTTCAATAACAAAGGTGAAGGTCCAACATAACCCAGCCATGAAAGGGCTGGCACTGCTGAGGGAAGAAGGGACTACATTCCAATAGAGCTAAGGACTGGTCCCCAAAGATGCTGGATCAAACAGGGTGAAACCTAAGGTAAGATAAGGGCTAGTTTATGGATAATGAAGCACTTTGGCATGACAGAGAATGTACCACCCTACAGAGGACTCTAGTAGACAGTGGTAATAAAACTCCAGTTGGCTCTGGAAAGTTGGGAAGAAGTGATGGTTTACTGTAAATGAAATTTAAATTTCTAGAATTTCAATGGCAAATGGCGAAGGATGGAAGGGATCCAAAGGCTCAGAGAAGTGAGCACGCTAGAGTAGATATGCCACCCGAAGCCAAAGTCCATCAGTTAACTCTGTTCTATGAGAAGCTGGAGGACAAAAGTGAGAAGGAATGAGCTAGTGAAAGGGATACCAGCATCCAAAAGAAGTCCTGTGGAAGCTGTCCTCTATAGACTAAGGCTGGTAAGAAAAGATGCAAATGGTAGAAGATGCTACACAGAACTGGGCTCCAGGAGAGCAACTGAGATGACAGGATCCTACCATAACAGACCAGATGATGGCCACTAACTGTCAAAAGCAGGGTAGGCTCAATTATCAGAACTAGTGACAAGACTAGTTACAGCCAGGGGCACCTTAACCGCAAAAAACTTTGGAGATGGTTACTAGGACACAAAGTTCCAGGAGACAAGATAAATGGATTGCAACAGAAATATTGCTTCATTTATAGGATTAAAATAAATCAGTTAATAAATTCATGACCTTTTGCCCCATTTCTGGCCATAAGCCAGTTCTCAGAAGTATAAACAATGGTATATATTTCAGTATAAACTGAAAGAGAGGATGAGTTCTCAGGAGGAAGGACTCTGTCCACTCATTTATATAACTGATGATTCCCTAGTCCTTCCCTAAAGAGATCCACAAGTGTTTACTGAGGTGACCATGGGAACCTCTGGGGTAACCACTGGGCAAAGGAGGACATCCATACATTGCATGGAGATGAACCATCACTGCTGAATAAGAACCTGAGTTGATATTAAGACCCAGGGACCTGAAGCATCATTGTGGCCCACTGTCAAAGTGGGGGTAGATGGGGTAGGGAGAGTAATAAACGGAGTCCGTGACCTAGTCTGGCTCACAGTGAGCCCACTCAGTCCATGAACTATCTGGTGCTTGACTATATGGTTAGAATGAACATACTCAATAGTTGGCAGAATTTCCACACTGGTTCCTTGGCCTGTGGGATAAAAGCTACTATAGTGAGGAAGGCCAGGTAGAAGCATCTGAAACTGTCACTCCTCTCTCTCCTCCTCATTAAGAAGATAATTTAAAGATAACATGGAATCCAGGAGAGAAAGAGATCAGAGTCACTCTTAAAGAGTGACTCCCTCACATCCTCATTTAATGCTTTACTCTGGTCAGCAACAAAAATCAGAAAGATGTGAGAGAATGACGAAGTACTACAAACTCAACCAAGTAGTAGCCCCAGTTGTAGTTACTCTGCCAAATGTGGTATCTGCTAGAGAATATTAATACAGCTTCGTGGCAAAGGAGGCTAGGGTACATCCTAGACTCCCCAGCAGTGGCCCGTAGTAGCCAATGCGAGGTGCGATGCACACTGCTTCTCAGCCTTCCATGTGCATGCCTTCATTTCTCCTTTTTTTTTTTTTTTAACTGTGTGAAATAGACATGAACCCTGGCTAACTCTGGAAACTATGTTGATAATAATAGAGCCTAAAACACTTTAGGTGCCTAAATGGCTGTGGGGACAAAAGTATCCCACTGAGCTGTTCAACAGCATAGAGTTGTCATGTAAACACAAGATATTCTTCTTTGGAATTTGAACGAGCAAAAAGGGAGGCATTAAAAATATGCAAACAGAGAATAGGGGATTACAACAAAGGGTTAACAGGAAAGAGTTGAAAGCTAGTGTAAGAGTCACAACCACTGACTGATGAAAAACTTTGCTTTCATTCCATGCATTTGACTTGTAACCATGCAGGTAATGGTTTCATGTTGCCATGAAGTATTAATATATTTAGTAGCTTTGTTCTCTCCAATATTATTAGTTTATTCTAAAAAGAGGAGTACATTTTTCCTTTTTTTTTTTGAGATGGAGTCTGGCTCTGTCCCCCAGGGTGGAGTACAGTGGCACGATCTCAGCTCCCTGCAACCTCCATGTCCCGGGTTCAAGTGATTCTCCTGCCTCAGCCTCTAGAGTAGCTGGGATTACAGGCGCCCACCACCACACTTGGCTAATTTTTGTATTTTTCATAGAGATGGCGGTTTCACCATGTTGGCCAGGCTGGTCTTGAACTCCTGGCCAGGCTGGTCTCGAACTCCTGACCTTAGGTGATCCGCCCGCCTTGGCCTCCAAAAGTGTTAGGATTACAGGCATGAGCCTCCGCGTCTGGCCTTTTTTTCCCAAAGTTAATGTCATATTCTATAAAAGGGAATGTTTGGTATGGAACTGTAAAAGTTTGAATACAAGTAAATAAGGATTTAGAAAGATATTCAAGGATTAGGAATACAGAAAACAGAACATGATTAGTCTCAATCCTTAGAGTAGCTCAAAATATAACTGAGAAATTAAGAAATAAGTAAGTAAAGACAGAGACTATGTGTCAGTGTTAGAAACAAGAAGAACCCTGAAATAATGGGCCTCCGTTAGTACAAGAGTGTTGCGACAACAAGCTCAGAGCTAGCCATTACTTCTTGATAAACAAACTTACAAACCTGTTACCATAAATTATAAATTAATCTATACTGGTCAGGCGCAGTGGCTCACGCCTGTAATCCCAGAATTTTGGGAGGCCAAGGCAGGCGGATCACTTGAGGTCAGGAGTTCAAGACCAGCCTGGCCAACATGGTGAGCCCCGTCTCTACTAAAAGTACAAAAATTAGCTAGGCATGGTGGGGAGCATCTGTAATCCCAGTTACTCGGCAGGCTGAGGCAGGAGAATTGCTTGAACTGGGGAGGGGGAGGTTGCAGTGAGCCGAGATGGCACCACTGCACTCCAGCCTGAAAAACAAAAGTGAAACTACATCTCAAAAAATAAATAAATAAAACAAACAATAAATTAACAAATTAATTAACCTATACTAATCCTGTACTCTGTCATTAAAAACAAACAAAAAAAAAACTTTTGTTAAATCTTACTGAGAAGGTCAAAAGATTTTTCCATAACATAAAATGGTTGGCTTAAATTTCCAAGAAGTATTTATTTGTAAGTTTTAGGCCAGAATATGGTTGGGTTTGTTTTGGTGTAGAAATCTTTTTTGTCACCTAACACCATAACTGTTTCTCATTGAAAATCAACTTTACTCAATATAAGTTAACTTACTGTGACATCACTGACCTAATTTTAAATAATTCAAAATTTTGAAAATGACTGACACTTTCCTCCAAGTAAGAAACACAGGTAAAGGTATATTTCCTCTGTATTAGTCCATTTTCATGCTGCTGATGAAGACATACCCAAGACTGGGGAAAAAAAGAGGTTTAATTGGACTTACAGTTCCACATGGCTGGGGAGGCCTCAGAATCATGGTAGGAGGCAAAAGGCACTTCTTACATGGCAGTGGCAAGAGAAAATGAGGAAGAAGCAAAAGTGGAAACCCGTGAGAAACTCATCAGATCTCGTGAGATTTATTCATTATCACGAGAATAGCACTAGAAAGACCGGTCCCCATGATTCAATTACCCCTCATGTGGGAATTCTGGGAGACACAATTCAAGTTGAGGTTTGGGTGGGGACACAGCTCATCTTCCTTTTAAAATACACTTTCAAGTAAAATAATTAACAGATAACTTCACATCTCAATGCAGAATCTCAAAACAGTCAAATTCTAACTTTGATACTAAAAAGTTACCTTCATTGAGAAATACAGTCCTGCTCCTTTACACATTGCTAGAGACACTGAAATAGTCATTTACAGACTTGTTGAATTTTATTTTTTATATTTTAATCAAAATGTCTTATTTGGTAGTTCTACCCCCCAGAGTGAAATAGACTGAAACTCATCAACAAATTCATTGAGAGAAAGAGATAATTAAATATGTCATCCACTGCTCTTCAATTATTTTTGCCAAATTTTGTGAAGTTACCCTCTGAATACGGAGATTTTAGCAGTCCAGGTACGATCATTCCTCTGCCGCTTTATATAACCCATATTCTTACAATGTGCAGGTTAAAACAAGGCCAATGGCCTCATTGCTGAATTAAGATTTTCATATTGTACATGCCTGAAAGGAAAATGTGACCTGAAATGGGCAGAATAATTCTAGGATTCCCTGGTTATAAACATACCTTGAAAGGCATTTGCCATCCAGCCACATCTTGTCTCTAACTATTAATGTAACCTTGGGTAGAGAACTAGACTTCGTGGTGCCTCTGACTTCAAGTATTTTAGCCACATCAGCAAAATCAACCCTCATGTGGAGGAGGATAAAAAGGGGAGTAGACAGAAGACTCTCATCTTCAAGCATTCCCATCCCACTGGGAGGAATATCCCCAGCATGAGAATGAGCACATCAATTTTCCTAAAATCTGATACTATCATACATCGGTTTCCTCTCACTCCTATCACGCTAATTCCTTCTTGACCATCAGCCCTCTGATTATAATTTGACTTCTAATATGGTATGTTTTTGGGAGGGGAAGCAGTGAAAAAACATAAGATAATATGGACCTCACATTTTCTTGATACTGTTATTTTCTTATAAATTACCAAAGTATTAATGAGAGATCAAGCTGCACACTATTTCAATTACTATCATAGATATATTTCTTGTTATGATGAGTGAAATTAGTTTTATAGTCTTCCATTTTTAAACAGGTATGCTGTATGAGGAAGGAGGCTTTGTTTTTCACCTTTAATTATTCTCTAATTTTGCCAGACAAGCCAATAGAAAAAAAACAAAAAGCAGAAGATGGGTCAAAACTTGTATGCATTGCTTTTACATGAAACACATTACTACAAATTCACCTCTGTCCATATTACCCAGGTTCAGCCTTGGTCCCCATCCTAAGACCAGTCTATACAGGATTGTTAGGTCACTTTCCGAAAATCTCAAGGCTGTTGTGAAAACATAGACCAAATAAATGGGTATAGTGCCTAGTGTAGGAGAAAGAATAACCAATAATACCAAATTGCTGTTTGTCTTAAAAGCACCGTAATTTGAATGCTTTTACATCCTAGCATCTCCATAAATGACATACATTCACAGTACAGAGTTTGGGCATACTGTCCAAGTAGAAATTAAAATGTGAACCCTTACATTCTGACTCTAAGTTGGACATCACAGTGGATATAAGAAGTTATCGGAAAAATATAATTTTGTGGTCATTTTACATTCTCAATGAATTTTAAATACTACTTAAAAATTAGCTGTTCAATTTTTTATAACCTTTGGACACTGGTGGAACAGGAGCTAGGTTTGCACATGCATCCAATAGAGATAAATTAGGATTCATTTTGAAGGAGTTGTCTTATCCAACTTTCTTTTTGTTAAGAAAAAAAATCTGACATTACAAAGTATAAAAGGAAAGTTTTAAAAACCAGGCAGTTTTTCCCCTATTAAATAGTTTCTACTTATATTCGTCTTCTGAAAGTTACAGGATGATGCCTTATTAGCTTTGAGTATTAATAAATGACCTCATTCAATTTAAGCAAGTTATAAAAAAAAGTATTCTGAAGGGAAAGAGTGCTGCTACTTCCTCAAACGAGGAAAGTTAGTATCCAAACGTTATCATAAATAATGTACTTTTGCAAGTAAAAGAATGATATGTATGACATATATATATATAATATATATACACTTTTAAGATAAGTAGCCACACATTTTACTACTACTTCCTCAAATGAGGAAAGTTAGTATCTAAATGTTATCATAAATAATGTACTTTTGCAAGTAAAAGAATGATATGTATGATATATATATATATATACACTTTTAAGATAAGTAGCCACACATTTTAACTCATCACTTTTCAGATACTAATGAACAAAAACATATAGGTTCTCAGTCCCTTCTCCCCTAGCCTAAACTTCTACAGTTTCTGCTGCATAAGAAGTCTGCATGGTATGGCAAAGGGCAGTGTCATAAGAGCACAAAATTAAGGTAAATAGAATGCTTAATGACCTCATAGAAATCTAGTTCTCTTGACCCATTTGAATTGTACTCTTCACTTGCCCTCCACGATTAAATGTGTTAATGCTTATGCATCGTGCTCAATAGTTCATTTGGTACTTCTTACTGAATAGGAAACTTTTAGACTAATCCAGTTTTAAAATAAAGGAAGGTGTAAAAGCTAACAACATTATAAAGTTAGGAGTGATGTATAAAAAATGTGAAAGAATTAGGGCAAAATAGAATATAAAGCTCCTGTACCTATGAGCACTCAGCGTTTCAGCACTGCTAAGATGAGTTGCTAAAATTGAGATGTGTCAAGATTTACCATTTCAGAGCTTGAGTCTAGGTTATGACAAATCTTCTAAGCACTTAAAAGTTAAATGAGTACGGAGTGGATAATGAGATTTTTTCTTTCTCTAAAATGTAAACCTGATGAATGATGCCTGAAAGCACCACCAGTCATTTTTATGAGTCCTCAGCAAAGCAATACAAGGCATTTTTGTTTTGTTGTTGTTTTTTTCTTTCTCTGTACCTAAAAGGAAGATTTTCTTTATTTTAGCTTTTCTAGGATGGTCACATCCCCTTTTGGAGACAATGTTACCTCTACAAACTTAAATAGCTAAGACAATATACTTTCTTCCTACATAATAAAAATCAAACTATAAATATAGTTTAGGATATAAATTGTAAATATGTATTAATAATTTTATATCCTAATTAGGATTTTAGGATTATTTACAACAACCAAAAGTACATACATGTGATAATGAATTGGTTACAATTTATAAAAAGTCAAATTGCAGATATACAATTGTGTATAATATGAATAATTTTTTATATGAAAACGGAAAGTAAATCCTGTAAAAAAGAAATATAGTGTGAGAGGAATCTAAAATTAATTATCTTTGTGAACCTTAAAAAAAAGTATATTACTATTAATGTTTGATTCAAATATTTTTTCTGTTGTTTTCAAGCCCAGTTGTCAAAGATCAACTTCTAACATCAAAGACCTGACAAGAATTGTATGAAAGTGTCCTATTTCTATTGAAAAAAACCTCATCAATTAAAGTATTATTTTTATTAACAATAATTCTGAAGTATTTTTTACCATGTAAAAAAGGATACGCACCTACAGGTCTATAAACATTTTCTTCTCAAGGAAGATGGTCTTGAAAATATAATATTCAATGCTTGATAACTTAATCCCATGAACATATTATAAATTTGCATCAAAAATATCTATTTCCATATTCAATTTAAATATGAGAGTCACCTTGAACTGTTTCTTAGAATCTAAATGTAAAATGGAGAAATATCACCATTTACAAAGGGAACAGTAAAATGTTCTATGAAATATATCCAGAGAACCCTTGAAACAAGCTAAGGGGGCCAGAGGGGAAGAGGACACATAGGGTTGGAATTGCACATTTCTTTGGGAACCGTGACTATATATTGATTAAATATTTGGGATAAAAAATATGATAAAAATTATATATGTAGCAAAATAAAAAAATCCACTATGATGCAATTCAAAGTGCCTTCTGCAATTTCTTTTCTTTTTCTTTTCCTTTTTTTTTTTTTTGTTTTTTGAGATGGAGTCTCACTCTGTTGCCCAGACTAGAGTACAGTGGCGCGATTTCGGCTCACTGCAACCTCTGCCTCCTGGGTTCAAGCAATTCTCCTGCCTCAGCCTCCTGAGTAGCTAGGAATACAGGTGCATGCCACCATGCCCAGCTAATTTTTGTATTTATTGTAGAGATGGGGTTTCACCATGTTGGCCAGGCTGGTCTCAAACTCCTGACCTCAGTTGATCTGCCCCCCTCGGCCTCCCAAAGTGCTGGTATTACAGGCATGAGCCACTGCTCCCAGCTCCAATTTATTAAGTAGAAATTTTGTCAATAGCTTTAAACAACAAAGTCCAGTTTAAAAAAAAGAAGAAAACCTTCAAGAAACAAAAAAACAATTTTAAAGGTTGATACTAACAAAACCTCATCTTTATGCCAGATTCACATGTCTGACTACTTGCTTAAGAATTCTACCTGAAGGTTCAATGCATCTCTAACCTAATACAGCCAAACAGAAACTCCTGTTCCCCACTCTAGCCTACCCTATTTCTCTCTCATTTTTCAGAATATTTGTAAATCGTACCGTCATCCAACAAGCCAAAGATTAAACTGATAAATCTGTTCAACAAAGGGCATCATGAACAAAGCTAACAGACCGATGATGGTGTTAGAAAAGGTATTCTGTAATGTTAAAAACTGACATGATATTCATATTTAAAATATACAAGGAACAACTACAAATCAGTTTAAAAAATACATCATCTACATATAAATATGGGTAAAATCTAGTACCCACAGGAAGAGGTGTTCAGACTCATTAGTAATTATAGAAATTTAAATAAATACAGTGAGTTACCACATGATTCCTATATACTTATATCCAGAAATTTTGATAATATGAAATGTTGGTGGGGAAATGGGGCTAATTCTAAAACACAAATTAAAAAAAAAAAAAACCATGTTGCTGGCCTGCTAAGACCATTCCAGATAGCAATCTGACACTAGTCAAATAAAACAAGGACATGTCTTATGTTCTAACAATTTCCTTCCTAGGTATATATCCCAAAGAAATACACAGGTCCTTAAGGGCATATATGTGAGTCTGTTTATTACATTATTTGTGGTAGTAGAGCTGAGTTGGGTTGGGACACTAAGATTTTGAAGCAATGTGCTATCCATCAGAGAGTGGATGGGCAAATGTACTAGTTGTCCATCACATAGTGCTATTAAAAGGAAAAGAATCAATGCAGACATAACAACATAGATAGATCTTAAAAATATAATGCTAAGTAAAAAAAGATCGTCAGAAAAGACATGAAGACATGAATGAAGCTTAAATTTACATCACTAAACAAAACAAGCTATTCTAAAAAGACTACATACTGTATTATTTCAATTATATAACATTCTGGATAAAGAAAAACTATAAGAAGACTAAAACGATCAGTCTCCCTGGTGTATGGGAAAAGTGGGGAGCAATGAATATGCAAAGCTCGAGGGATTTTTAGGGTCTTGAAACTATACTTCATGGTATTTGGTGGCTACATGATATTATAGGATTCTTATTTATCAAAACCTATAGGGCTTTACACAACACAGAGTGAACGTTATTGTATTCAAATTTTAAAAAATCATTTAGAAAGTTGGAGGATCTCCGCAAAGAATGTAGACTGTGACAAGAAAATCTAATTGTATTACAAATATATGGAACAACCTCATTGTATGGGGTAAGAAAGGTACTGACCTAACTTTGGAAATGAATAGAATCCGTAAAAGTAAAGGCAAAAGGACCTGCACATAACTACTGCACTCGAGCTAATAAAGTTGTTTCCTACAGGGGTACACGTTAACAATTCTTATATCTGCCTACAAGTTCTTCATCTCCATCTGAGACCACCGCAGCCTGGATTTCATGGTCCATATCATTATCAGCATTTTGGTCAACGCCATCCAATAAGTCTCTAGGGAGCTCCAAACTTTCCCACATTTTCCTGTCTTCTCCTGAGCCCTCCAAACTGTTCCAACCTCTGCCTATTACCCAGTTCTAAAGTTGCTTCCACATTTTCAGGTATCTTTACAGCAGCGCCCCACTCCTGGGACCAATTTATCATGTTAGTCCATTCTCATGCTGCTATAAAGAACCGTCCGAGACTGGGTAATTTATAAAGGAAACAGGTTTAGTTGACTCACAGTTCCACATGGCCAGTTAGGCCTCAGAAAACTTACAATCATGGTGGAAGTGGAAGCAAACATCCTTCACATGGTGGCAAGAAGGAGAAGTGCCACGCAAAGGAGAAAAAGCCACTTATAAAACTATCAGATCTTGTAAAAACTCACTCACTATTAGGAGAACAGCATTAACTGCCCCCATGATTCAATTATATCCACCTGGTCCCACCCTCGAGACATGGGATTATTTCAATTCAAGGTGAGATTGAATGGTGGGGACACAGAGCCAAACCATATCACCACCTATATCAGAACTTCCCCCACAGACATTTTTTAACTGTTCTGATTACAGCTTTAGAATTAATTACACAGATACAGAGGAAACAGAAATTATTAAGTGACATAGTGCCATAAAATCAGTTCAGATTTTGGAAAACTCCATAGAACAAATGACAATGTTTTTTCAAAAAAAAAGTTAAAGGAGAAAAAGAAGAATAAGACAAAGAAGGAGAAGAAGAAAAAATGGAGACAGAGAGACTTATAGATTAAAACGGATTTTAAAGAAATAGCCAATTGCAACGTGTGGATGTTGTTTGGATCCCTATTCAAATAACAAACTATGGAGAAAACATAATAAACTATGTTTTCAAACTATGGAGAAAACATAACAAACAATGGAGAAAACATAAACACTACATTTTACCATATTAAGTAATGATTTTTAACTTTATTTAGGTGTAATAATGGCACTGTAGTTACGGTTTTTAAATTATACTTTAAGTTATAGGATACATGTGCAGGTTTGCTACATAGGTATACATGTGCCATGGTGGTTTGGGGCACCCATCAACCCGTCATCTACATTAGGTATTTCTCCTAATGCTCTCCCACTCCTAGCGCCCCACCCCCTGACAAGCCCCAGTGTGTGATGTTCCCCTCTCTGTGTCCATGTGTTCTCATTGTTCAACTCCCACTTAGGAGTGAGAACATGCGGTGTTTTGTTTTCTGTTCTTGTGTTAGTTTGCTGAGAATGATGGTTTCCAGCGTCATCCACGTCCTTGCAAAGGACATGAACTCATCCTTTTTTATGGCTGCATAGTATTCCATGGTGTATATGTGCCACATTTTCTTGATCCAGTCTGTCATTGATGAGCATTTGGGTTGTTTCCAAGTCTTTGCTATTGTGAACAGTGCCGCAATAAACATACATGTGCATGTGTCTTTATAGTAGAATGGTTTGGTATGTATAAAAATATCTTTAAAAAGTCATAAAAACAAAATATATTTTGCAAATCACATACAAACAAAAAGATAAAATGATATATTACGATGGTTTCCTATGTAATGTAAAGGAAATCTAGAGAACGACAGAAAAAATAATCAGCAAATCCAAACCAAACAATGAAACAAAGTGATCAGTGATGATAACGTGCCATGAAATAAGGAGCATGATTAATGCAACTATTTCCACTAGAAGCCCAAAGTAAAGAAACCAAACAAAAGCAAAACACAATAGTAATTTTATATGCATGGCCCTAAACATTTTAATTTTCATGAAATTAATGTGAATCATTTCAGTCTTACAAATGAAGACACTGAGACTGACAGAGTTCCTCAGGATTGGCAGTCAGTATACCACCACAGTCAAGCCTCAAACTTCCCACTCAGAGTCAGAAGCCCCAGAACACCTAAACTTGTATGAAGTAATTTAAAATTTCCAGCCCTAACAAACCACCGGATTGTGACGCCATGTTGCTTCTTCATACACTCGCTTATGAAATATCTATGCTCTAATTAAATATGATATACAGTCTCCTAGTTCCATTTCAGTTATGAATGCTTCCCTTTCTTTGTGTCTAGTTCCTTTCTAGAAGAGCCCTGTTGCAATAAACTTGTTTTTCACTTCTATACTTATTTTTTAAGAGTTTTTAACATGAACAGATGCTGAATTTTGTTAAATGCTTTTTCTACATCTATTGAGATGTTCATGTAGCTTCTTTTTTGGGGTATAAATGCACATTTCCAAGTAAAAAGCATTGTAGATAAAAGGAACAGAGAATGAAATTTTGAGCATCGATTTATTAATGTTGCACATCAAATTTTATGCTAAGTTCTAGTTAGAGTTGGTTTCATAAATTGTTTTAAATGAAGTGTATGTTAAGGATAATTTTTTAAAAATTATACACTATTTAGCTTTAGAAATAAAATTCTTTAAGACAACCTGGATGACATGCAGCATTAAGTGTTGCTGCTAATAATCTTAAAGCCACATTTAACCTATTCAAAGTTCTGTCATGAATGTAGCCACAATGAACTAGTGCTTTCAAGGGCAGCAATCTGTACATCTAAGATGTAAGTTCAATGAACACAACGTAAGATCTGCATACTGAGTTGTATCTATGGCCAATTGGTCTAGGCTCTTGTCATTAGAAACTGCTTCAATTTGTTTTTCTCAGGGAGAGGATAATGTAGCAATTAAGGGCATGAAACAGTGCCTGTGTGACCAGAATGCTGGGTATATGCCATCTCTGTACCTTGCTAGCTGTAAATAATACCTTGTGCTTATGTTTTTTCACCTGAGATATTGGAAAAATAAGAATAGCTACTTTACAGAATTGTTGTGAGCTTGTTATACAAGTTAACAAAAAACAAAAACAAACAAGTTAATATACATAATCACTCAGCATGGCGCTGGACACATGGTGAGACTCTGTCAGCATTAGCCATGATCACTATTTTCATTATGAATGAAGAGCCTGGCTGCTCCCCACGTTTGATAATTGTTATTGATAACTAAATGTGAAGCTCCTATCTATGAATATCACTAAACCCTCTCCATGCTAACTTATAGGACAATGAGGTACGTAAGAATTTGTCTGAAATAGCTGGTTCCCAAGGGGAAGTCCATGGATAGACAGGCTCAGGGCTTCTATAAACTCCTCAGATAATATTTAAAATTTTAAGTGCGTTTATAAAGGTACATTTTTATGGAGAGAAGGTTGACAGTTTTTATCACATTCTCAAATGGGTTTATGACCCAGAAAAGTTAAGAATCTCTTTAAACTCTAAAAGATAAAATCCAAACTCTTTCCCTGGCACAGGAGCTGATATCTAATTGCTTCTCTGCCCACCTTTTTAGCCTTATCTACCACCATCTCCTTTTCTCTCCGAGACACAACAGGTTTTCACCAGTTCTCCCAAATAAACTGTGCAGTGTCTTAACTGCACACATTTTGCTCATCTTGTCCCCTCTAGTGGTCTCCTGATCCCTTCCCTCTTGGTAACACTGATTCTTCTGCCTATTTTGAGGCAGGCTCAGGAACGCCCTCCTCCAGGAATCCTTCCTACGCCAGTCTGTGGCATGGCATGTGCTGCTTCTCTGGGCTCCCATAATATTCTCTACATACTTGCAATGCTGTTTTTTTAAAAAATCTCATTCTATAGCGTTGTTATATTTAGTGAAGAGACGGTTAGCTCTTTGAGAATAAATTATCCACCTTCAATCCAGCAAAGTGCCTGATACAAATAAGTCCTTAATAATATTTTGATCGAATGAATACATTTTAAAAATTGTTCAATGCCTTTTATTTTCATATGGCTTTCTCTGCTCCTGGAAATACTATATAGTATGAAATAAGCTCAGAAAAAAATGTTAAGCTTTCAATTACTATTACCAAAATTTCAAAGAGTGCCCACTTCTTAATAGGCTAGCATCACTCAGGAGAAAATCAATCCTCCTCCACTGTCCCTTGAGCAACATTGTTGTATGTTAAACTTGCCTGATAAAATGAGACCAATGTTCTATACTCTGTGCCTTTTACCTTGAGGACTCCTACTAGGGATAAAATTGGCTTACTGTCATAAGACAATTGGAAAGGCCAATGTCTCCACAATGAATCAATTTTGGGGGTCCTCTGTCATCATGCCTTTTTCCACAGAGGAAGCAATCCCGTTCCTCATCAACACTATCTCAGCTAAAACAGAATATTCTTCCTTCTTGATAAGAAAACTGATTACATCTATTCCTTTCTTTCTATTTAGAAATTTATCTACATGCAATAGCAGGTGGCAGGTAACTGGGTGCAGTGGCTCACACTTGTAATCCCAGTGCGTTGAGAAATCAAGGTGGGAGGATTGCTTGAGGCCAGGAGTTCAAGACCAGCCTGGACAATCTAGCAAGGCCCTACTTGTAAACAAAATTTTTTTTTAATTAGCCGGGTGTGATGGTACATGCCTATGGTCCCAGCTAATTGGGAGACTGAGGCAGGAGGATCGCTTGAACCCGGGAGGCGGAGGTTGCAGTGAGCCAAGATCGCGCCACTGCACTCCAGCCTGGCAACAGAGTGAGACTCCATCTCAAAAAAAAAAAAAGTCTGTATGTATGATAATTTTCATAATTAAAAAATTGATTGGGGAGAAAAAAGCCATATAGATTTTTTCAATGCTGATATGGATATGTCCCCACTCAAATCTCATCTTGAATTTTAGCTTCCATAATTCCCATGTATTGTGAGAGGGACCCAGTGGGAGGTAAACAAATCATGGGGGCAGGTTTTTCCCATGCTGTTCTTGTGATACTGATTAAATCTCACAAGATCTGATGGTTTTATAAAGGGCAGTTCCTCTGCACACTCTCTCTTCCCTGCCACCATGTCAGATGTGCTTTTGCTCCTCTTTCACCTTCTGCCATGATTGTGAGGCCTCCCCAGCCAGGCGGAACTGTGAGTCCATTAAACCTCTTTTTCTTTATAAATTACCCAGTCTTGGGTACGTCTTTATTAGCAGTGTGAGAACAGACTAATACAAATGCTTACTCCTAGGTGAACCTCATAGTGCGCAGAAGATATGTAAAACTGGTTATTTTTTTCTTAATCCTTTTGGAGCCTTCCATATGTATCCAATAACATTTAGAGAGTAACTGTGGATTCTTATAAAGAAAAGGTATAGAAGCAGCATTCAGAAAATTCCTAGATTGTTGATGGATTTGCCATGGATTCACTATGTTGTCCTATGCATAATTTCTTCATCTCAGAAGTAGGAAAAATGTACCTAGCCTGCTTACTTAAAAGGGCTGCTGGGAGAAGCAAATGAGATGATGATGAAGGTAGTTCATAAATTGTAAAAGTGTTAAGTGGACCAAAGTGTTCAGTATATAAGTAAAAATGTTATTGTTTTTTAATCTTCCATCCTTTTGGATACAGAGGATATTTCATAAATCATGCACGGCGGTCAAGAGATTTAGTATATTAATATTCAGTATATCTTCAATGTTTAGACTATCAGATCTACTTAATATTTTATAAGCAGTTTCTCAGTCTGATTCAGAAAACAATATGAAATTGGGAATACCTCTCCTCTTCTATGTTTATTCAAACTAAGTTTCTCTTTCTGTGTGTGTCTATCACCTTAGGTTATATCCTGCTAACCTGCTTTCAGACTCTGAAACTTTTTAAAAAAAAATTCCACTGGTATACTATTCTGTATATATGTAAGTCAAGTATCATAATTCAGATAATAACAAAGTTATGAAGAATTAATTAGAGCTTTTAAAAGACAAACACACTAGTTTTCAAAAAAAAAAAAAAAAAACAACAACAACAAAAAAAACCAAATCCTTCTCAATAGACCTAAGATCTAGAATCCTTACTTTCCTTTTTCTTAGTAAAACTGTGTGGTGCGTGTGTGTACTTATATATTACATGTGTTCTATGTATATGTGTGTATTGTGGGGGAGGGAGACATCTTACACAATTCCTTGAAAGAGCTTTAAAATATCTAGGGTAAATGTATGGTCTGAATAAATACCCTCCAGCCCCACCTGTCCCAGCTTAACTTTCTTTGTAAAATTTTCCACTTTTCTTCACTTTTAGTTTTGATTACTTTCAGAACAAGTAAGATGAAAATTCTCCCACATTTGGAGGAAAAAACCTTAATTGGCCGAGAACTAGAACAACCCAGCTGGAGCTGTATGGAGCTCTTTATATAGAAACTTTCACTTATGCCAATCTTCTTCCCAGAGGCTCATTTCATTTCCCTGCTGGTAACACTCAAATCACTTCACAGTTCATTGATAACTGCATTGGCAACCTTTTGTTTTCAATCAAAGGAAGATGCTGCAGCAATGCTCAATTGAACTAAGTATACATGACACAGTGTACCAGTGTCCTTGCCACAGAGGACTGTGGGAGGGGGGATAAAGGAAAAGATGACATCCTGCATCCAATATTCCATTACTTTACCTAGAATTGGATTATGATAAATTATGGTGACAGAGCTCAGACAAATGCTGATGCCATCTTTTCTATTGTTGCACCTGCACACAACACTCTTATGGATTGCATCAAGTCTCCAAATTGATTCTCTGTCACTCATGGTTGAAAATGAAAGGCCAATGTACAAATAAGTTTTTAAACAATTTCCATGAAGATTGAATTTGATATTTCCTCCCTTACTGCTTTGAAATCACTGAGGGTCACAATAGGTTTTTGCTGATGAACACCTTTCTATAAATCTTCCTTGGTGAAAGACTTCTCTAAGGTCAAGGAACCTCTATGCTGTGTGGGTGAGAGGCAGGTATCAGGGTAGTGTTTCACTCCTTTCCCCTTGAAACATCATCATACCTAGGTTGCTTTAAAGCCCACCACCACCACCACCACCACCACCACCATTATCTGCATGTATTTGATGTATTTGTCCAGCAGTAACATGCTACCAACCACCAAAAGAAACAATTACTGTCCCAAGTAAGCACCCAAAATACAAGGAAAAGGCAAGTGTCAAATGCGAAATAAGTGGATCAAGTTATAGCCTCTGACTCTTAACCAGGGATGTCCAGGCAGCCCACATTTTATAAGAGGAGGCAATACTGGATGCTTCTGGTAATGGAATAATACATTTAGATTATCTAAAACTTCCTATTTATTTAGACTTGGCTAGCATTAAACTGTGAAAATTGTTATTTCATCTTTTATCAAAATACGCAATTATTTGTTTTTTAAAGTTCAGAAACAAGAAAAGTTATAACTCAATAAATTTTGTTTTAGGTTTAGAGTATTTGAGGCCCAAAGGAGAAAAAAAAATTTAAAAAAAGTGTTTGGTTGTTCCTAATGTTCCTCATGCACTTGCCTCCCAATTCATCTGTTGAAACCTAATCACCAATGTGATAGTATTAAGAGGTAGAGCCTTAGGGAGGCAATTTAGTAATGAGGGCAGAGCCCTCATGAATGGGATTAGTACCTTTAAAAAAGAGGCCCTAGAGAGCTTAGTTGCCCCTTTCGCCATGGAAGAACACAGTAAGAAAGAGCCAACCAGCCAAGGGGCCCTCACCAGACACTGAATCTACTGGCGTCTTGATCTTGGACTTCCCAATCTCCATAACTATGAGAGATGAATTTGTTGTTTATAAAACCAAGTTTATGGTATTTTGTTATAGCAGCCGGAATGAAGACAAAAGAAGATAAAAATGATCCAGATGAAGGAGGTTTAGAGGGTTTATTTGGAAATGCTCCATAGAAGACAAAAATTTTGAGTAGGGTTTTAAAAGACAAGAATTACTTAAAAATATTTTTGAAAGTGTACAGTGAGTTCAAAAAAGCAGAGAAAAGAGTAGTTGTGGAATGTTCGAACCAGTTTTCCCTAGACCAGAAAAGGAGTCTAAAAGGTTTGACACAGAGTTCCACCATGCCTTAGCCCCATACCACAGATGTTCAAGTAGAAGAGGTGTCGAAGGGTTTATAAGAGATGTGGAGCTGGGGTTTGGGCCAGGAGATTCTTTTTCTTTTTCTTTTTTCTTGAAGAAAGTATTGGTTAAAAGTAGGGTGAAAAGTACTTCTCCAGTGTATGCTGGTATAATTAGTGTCCATGAATATCTGCAGCACTTTACAAACATGCAGCATAGTAGCTCTCAGTCATGCTGCGCAAGATACAAAGGCAAAATCCCAAATACGTGTGCCATGGTTTTGTTTTTAACTTGGAAAAATGGTCTCACCAAAACAGTTTTATAAGCCATTATTAGTTCCCAGTTTAGCACAAAAAAATCAACTTCTATAAGGGAACAACAAAAAAGGGTAAACAATAATACAAAAGAAAACAAATGTATTTCAACTGCCCTTCCCATTTAATACTCAACTCATAGTAATATAGTTTCTACCCATACTGTGCCATAAAAACGTATCAAAATTTCTTCCTGGCTTTCTACCTTATCAAATTTCTTCCTGGCTGCCAAATCCATTGTATCCTATTTATTCTTGATATCCAAGCTCATCACTCTTTTGCCTTTTTACATATTGACAATTTTCAAGGTATACCTCCAGGCCAGAACATATATCCTTTTAGGCAATTCCATTTGGTTCCAAAGATAGATCTTTCTCTTTATATCCCAGAGTCAACTGCTGATCTTCACATTTTGATCTGCTCTTCCCATTTGCTCTATCTCAAAGAAGAACAGCACCCAGTTCCCTAATGCAGGATGCAGTTATTATACCGACTCCTCCCTCTGCATTTCTACGATGAAGACTTCTGAGCACACATCCCAACAAACTCCATCATTTTTCCTTCACTCTCATGTTTACTTAAGTTTACTCACCATTTGTTCCTTGGATTTCCAAGAGAATTGGTTGGCCTCTATTTCTTCCATAAACAATCTATACTCCCACCAAATTAAACTTTCTAAAATGTCAATCAAATGCCACTCCTTTGATTAAAAAAACCCTTAAAACCTGACCTTTATTCTCAATATAGAGACCATCTTCCTGGGGATTCAAGCAAGCCCTCATGCTCTAGACCCTGCTTCCCTCCAGCTGCACCTCCAATGGCTCCCCGTGATCCAGCAATTTGCTGTTCCCCAAATGTGCCAAGTTCTCTTGCTTTATATTCCTTCCACATTAAATGTCACTATTCCTTTCTTTGCCTGACTTCTTAGCAGTCTTGAGTTCAGATATCATCTCCATATCACATATGGAGTCTTGATATCATTTCTTAGAAACTATTCAAGTCTCCAAAACTGATTCTCCATCACTCATGGCTGAAAGGAAAGGCCAATGTTCACGTAAGTTTTCAAACAGTTTCCATGAAGATTGAATTCGGTATTTCCTCCTATACTGCTTTGGAATCACTGAGGGATCACCTTAAGTTTTTGCTGATGGATATCTTCCTATAAATCTTTCTCAGTGAAAGGCTTCTTTAAGGTCAAAGAGCCTGCATGCTGCATGGGTGAGTGGCAGGTATTAGGGTTGGGGACCACCGGCCCTGTGTCCCGTCTGGGTAAGATGCTTTATTCCTGCCATCCCCCTTGCTCCCAGTGTTTTCTCATACATATTTCTGAATTTTAATATTTATTCTGTCTCTTGTACTAAACTGTGAGCAGCAGAATAAAGGCAGTGCCTTTTATTTCTGTACTCTGAATGCCTACCACAGTGTCTAACACATCATAGGTATTTACTGAATGTTTGTTTTTGAAGTATCCTACTCTGTGAATCAACAAAACAGACAACAATAGCTACAAGGTAAAGACAAGTGTGTAGTTTAACTTCTTAAATGAAAATTAGTTTAATTAAACATGGATAAAACCATAGAGGAAAATTTTCTATGGAGATTTAAAGGGAACACTAGGGCACTTAAAAAATGAGAACTGTATAGCTCTGGAATTTTATTGTCTTATTTCATACTAAAATACAAGGTTTTCCTGCTTATATGTATGAGATTAACACATACTACAACAGGATAGGTTTTTGTGTTATTTTTTTAAATGTCATGTAGAGGAGGAGGAAACAACACAAAAGAAAGGGGAAAGAGAAGAAGGAGAGAATGAGTATTGAAAATTGTTCCCTAGAAAGCCGGGCAACAATTGAAGAGAGGGAAAAGAAGAGGAGGCTTAGCGAAGATGTGTCTGTGTGTATTCCATGTGAAGAAGAACCTGCTGCATGGCATGGCAGAGCAAACAAGCCAAAGAAAGGACAGAGCTAGGCAAGGACACAATTTGAAGGTAAAGAGTATTTCGGCCAGGCGTTGAACCCTGAGTGGCAAAACTTTCCCAGGGCAACAAGCTGAGGTGGGTGTAGGCCAGGTAGGAACAGGTATTCACAATGCGCCTTTTGGAAGGCGGAGGGAGGTTGGGAAGGTCAGTGTAACAGGGCATTTCTGGTATGAAATGCCTAGTGGTCCTTTTTCAGACTATTACTGCATCAGATCTTTTTCAATTTCAGTATCAATCACCTACCAAAGAAACACTGCATATAACCTTGGGCAGATCACATAAATGTCTCTGAAATTGCTCATCTATAAAACGATCTCTAAAGCTTTACACTATTCACACTATTTAATAGTTTATTATATTTAATAATACATATTTAATAGTTCTGTGATACTATGTAGTTTATACTAGGAATTCTAAAAGGCCAAGCAACAATAAAAATTACATGAAAGATACAGAGGAAGAATAAAATAATAATGATTATTCCAAAGAAGGGAATTAAAACGGGTAATAAATAGTGTGGGAAGATTTCAGTGTTGTCTAGAATTGAGAACTCTCTGTCGCCTACTCAAAATCACACTGAGAATCACTTCTTTGATGTTATCACTGATGAGGTTGTGCTGGACATGTGCACACAAGGGTAGACCGACCCAAACGCCCAGTTCTCAGCAGAAACCATCAGGCATAGCAAATTTATATCATGAATATTCAGCTTCTATCAAACTCCCAGCATATTTTATCATATTCATTACCAGCATTACAAATGTATAATGTAAATAATGTTAGGACATTATATAGTAAATAATTGATCTGGTGAAAGAGAAAAAAAAAACAAGCAGCAGTAAAGCATGACTAAAATGATGAGGAAGAAATATTTACAACATATTTGCAAGTTTGCTCAAGTGAGATAAAAACTGACAGAAGTCTTCTCTGTGCCACCTTCTCCTATATCAGATACTGGAATCCTGAGCGGGAATCACCGAGCAAGGTTTAGGATAATGTAAAAGCCATGCCTTATTAACTCTTGGACATCTCATTTCTTGGTTATAAATCCTATTAACTTGTATTACAAACTGCCATAAAACTTGGAGATAAAAGATAATTTATGCTCAGTGTACAGAAGCTAATGTTTCTGTACTCCTGAGAAGCACAGGACCAGAAAATGAGAAAGAATGTATGTGAAACCTAGAGCCACCCGCACTCCACACAGGCAGCATGATAAACATGGCTCTGAGCACCTGACTCTTCAGCAGGAAGATGGCCTAACTAGTTACTGACATCAGCGATGTTTCATATCTGAAATGTCTGTCATCTATTTCATAGCATCCCCTCCTCATAAAAGGTGATGATGTCTTATCAAGAACACATTTTTGGAAGTAAAAGAAGGATGTTTATTTAAAGGAAGGGACTATTATGCATCCTATTTTGAATTTTCTATTTTTCGAATGGCAAATTGAACATTCCTACAAAGTAAATGCTACCTACCAAGGTTTTCACTCATAATTACATTTTGACCCATAGTAAGTGAAATATGCCAAAAATACAATATGAAAAACCTTACATGCTAAAAAAAACAACCAGCTAAAAAAATTCCAAACACCTTCCCATATTCATTTTAACTGGAACTACCTCATTGTATCCTTGTTTTAAAATTCAATTTATAACTAATAAAAATACACCACAGAGAGGGGACTGAAAAGAGAACACAGACTTTAGACTGAAACAACTATACACTTTAAGTGAATTGCTACTATGACATATAGGTCAGTCCGAAATGACTAAAATAATCTTAATGAATGGAAGATAATTACTTATTTACACAACCTAGTCTCATGAGAGTCTCATATGTAAACACTCCAAAAGAAACACAGAACATCACAGAAAGACTAAGATGATATGAGGATAGGCTTTTTTAAAAAGATCAAGAAAAGTGCATTCTGGTTCCAGGGACTAGGACTATTCTAGCCAATTAAAATTAGTGTAGCAGATATAACACAAGCTCTCTTACCAAGTTACTAGACTAAAAAAATGATCAGATAAACAGTTGCTGTAAGATGACTTATTCCTCCTACTATTATCTTTAATTTCAGATCATCTAATTGAAAAAAAATTCTGGAACACTCTAGGCTCAAATCTAACACTCGTAATAATTAACATTTATATTGAATTTTTACCACTTTTAACATACTTTAGCAAAGCTTAATGGTAAATCACTTAGTCTGCTTAAATGATGAAAGATTATTATTAGATGTAAATTTTATTATAAAACTTCAGAAAGTCATTTTTCCTTAAGGATACAGCAACAAGATGAGGTAGATCCTTAAAGTGCATCCAAGATTTATTTTACTTGAAAATAATATCATAGTGGAAAAAACATATATGTACACATATACACACACACATATATTTATACATACACATGCATACACCAACTGGCCATCAGTTACACACTGCTTATGGACAATTACCAGCCTATGGGCTGTGACTTGTTTCAAGAGTTTATTATTTGCATCTTAGTCCATTAACCCCATGAAGGAGGAAATGTAATGTTGTGGAAAAAGTGTTGAGACAAAACACTTCACTGTGTGACCATATTATCCTGCTTTTCTCCCAGTATTGTTATAAGGCTCAGATGAGATGCTTCTTGTAAAAGTATCAGTATTATCTTCCTCCTCAACAACTATATGTTAACTTTAATTTAAAAAAATTTAAAAATTTAGAGTTTTGAAGTCATTCTTTATTTGGCGCTAAAGCACACGAGACATTTTCTTAAGCCTACTTTTGCAATATTTTTAAATGATTTCAGTTTAAATTTATAACATTTCTCCTGCCCATCCGGACTGTGACTGTATGTTCTAAAAATAATGAACAGTCTGCTGTAGATGTCCATTCTGAATACCTTCCCCAAAGTATGCACACCATGTAATGTATAGGCACATTTAGTGCATGTATCACATATATTAATGATGCAGTTATATGAAGTAACACCTGACAGAGCCATTTCAGCCCCAGTGGTGCAAGTCTCATTTCTAGGATGTAGAATGCTTCTGTGCAGTAATTTTATAGTAGTTTTTTTTTTGTTTTTTGAGACGACGTTTTGCTCTTGTTGCCCAGGTTAGAGCACAGTGGCGCAATCTCAGCTCACTGCAACCTCCACCTCCCATGTTCAAGCAATTCTCCTGTTTCAGCCTTCCAAGTAGCTGGGATTACAGGCATGCACCACCACGCCTGGCTAATTTTGTATTTTTAGTAGAGACAGGGTTTCACTATGTTGGTCAGGCTGGTCTCAAACTCCTGACCTCAGGTGACAGGCCCGTGTCGGCCTCCCAAAGTGCTGGGATTATAGGCATGAGCCACCACACCCGGTCTCTAGTAGTTTTTAACTGATTTTTAGTATTAATCCCATTCACGGGTATACAATTAAAACTTGTTACCAATATGGTGGATCACATGAGATCCATCCATACCTTAAACCCCCAAACATATTCACTTCAACATATGCATTTGTGTTACTAATTTTCTTGCTATTCCCTTACTAAAAGTGATAGAAAAGCAGAGAGCCAGGCTGTGTCTCGATAAAGAACTCCCTAGAACAGAGTGGCCAAGACGAGCAAAGGCTGCACTGCTAACCCCACAGGTGGAAGCCTGTGCCTGCCATTGTCACTCCCTTAAAGAACAGAGAGTGTAATTTTGCATGTTCTTTTTGCACCACACTATGTAATAATTACTTCATTAGGATAAGGTAATTTTGTAGTTATTCCAATGACACAAAATCAAAATTATCACAGAGAGAATCTACATTGCATTATATTTGGGGATTTGGCTATGCAGGTACCCTTAACATGTTTACCACTTTAGAGAACTGGGGATTCCACCTTAATAACTAACTAAAGCCTAACACATTGTATGTTACATTCCTATAAGTTATGTAGGGTCATGATTCCAGAATTTCTTTCAAGATATCCATGTCTGGCAGTTTGAGAAAGAATTGCTTTGTAAGTCAGTGTTTCCTCTTCCTGGGCCCACAAGCTTCATTTCCTAGACTGCCTTTGCAGTTGGGCTGGGGCGGCAGAACTTCATTCCTGCAGAAGGTGACACAGGTTATAGGCAGGCCTGGCCTGTAAAAAACATGGTGCCACATTCTAGTAATCAGTTTCCCTGCTTCAGCAATGTGTTCCAGTTAGCTTAGATATAAAATGTGGGATGCCTCTCAAGCCACATCAGATATTCTATTAATAAGAAAAAAAAACTTAATAAACCTAATCTTGGAAAGCCTCTCAGATCTGGAGTTGATCATCACTGCAACATAGACGGAGGGGGGGGTGGGAAGTAACTGAGGTACAGAGGCAATATGATAGATTAGTGCCCTGGCCAACTGAAAACAATACAAATACTAAAAAAAAAAAATTAAGAGAATCTTCTAAAATGCATCAAATGTATCTTTAAAAAAAAAAGAATTCTAGGAGGCAGAGGCTGCAGTAAGCCTAGATCACGCCACTGCACTCCAGCCTGGGCAACAGAGGGAGACTCTGTCTCCAAAAAAAAAAAAAAAAAAAAGAAAGAAAAGGAAAGAAATAAGAATTTTGCCCAGAAGCCAAAAACTACATTTTGATATAAAAAGAAGGCCAAGGCTAACTTTCATCTGGAGAGTGTTTAGCAAATCAGATGAACCTGAGCTTCAGTTTCTAAAGCCCCCAACTAGGGAAGGTTGTCAGAAGACAAAGCCCAAGGCCTGCCCAAGGTTGACGTCTAAAAGGATGCTGTACCACGTAAAGCAGAGATCCAAAATATCAAGATGAATATGAACAACACTCCCACTGGTCTGCTAGGAAAAGTGGCCAACCAAACTTTGGCACTCCATAACTGAGAAGATGAGAAAAGTCTCCCCTGAGCATTTGTAACCAGACATCAGATTCTCAGCAGTGTTACATTCAGAGTCTACACTGACAACGTGGTCCAAAATAGTCTCAGACAAAATGTCCTAAGTACTTAGTGCTCCCACAGAACTGGGCTACAAGTCCACTCAGCAGCCAGGCAAAAGCAAATGTAAATTCTCCTTGGATTTACTTTTAACCCACACCTCAAATAATTCCCACACTTAAAGTTCTCAGAAATGTGAGGTCCTGCCAAAAATCATAAAACAGAGAAGGAATTGAGGTCACGAAATGTGAAAGCAAAAGTGAACACAAAAGGCAGCTGGCTTACATTAGAATTATTCTAGACTATAAAACCAGTTTGATAATTATGTTTTAAGAAAGAGCCCCTTGAAAATGTGAGTAAAGGGCAAGCGTGTAAGAAAGAATAATCATGGCAGGAATTAAAAACGCAGAGGGTGGGTCTAGCGGCAGATAGGTAGAGCTGAAGCGGGACAGTGAACAGAACACAGAGGTGGTGAAGAACTTCAGAATGAAGCCCAGAGAGATTAAGACATAGAAAATATGAAAGTGCTGAGATATATATGATACAAGTAGAGGATCTTAAATACATTTAATTGGAGGTACAGAAGAAAAGAGAAAAAGAATAGGGCAATATTTGAAAACATAATGATTGAGAGTTTTCCAGAAATGATGACAGACAACAATCTATAGATGGAAGAAAATCCAATGAATCCCAAGCCAAATGCATTTCAGAAAGCTCATAATTATACCAATTATAGGGAAAACACAGAAACCCAAAACAGTAAAAATACCTTAATGTAGAATTCATATTTTAGATGTGGCTTTTTCTATCAGTGAATCTGCCAATTATAATTTTAAAAAGTATTGTACTGCATCTTTAACTAGTAATATATTGACCAGAGCATCTATACAGAGACAAGTTATGACTGAATACTTTAGCAGTCATACCATCAATTCAGTGCAATAGAACAAAGCTCATTGCTTCACAATAGTAGTAAGTTTCAAACTTCAGAAGCTGTTGGGAGTCTATGGGTATTTAACAAACATATAAATTGATAAGAAATCTAAAAAGCATATCTGTACTGCTAACCAAAATCTTTTAATGACTTTCCAAAACCTATGGCAAAAAGAAGTTCACATTCCATTGTGTGGAATTTAAAGCTCTTCACAATCAGTATCCCAATTAGTTTTGTATCTTATCTTCTGGCATTCTTCCATACCACAGCCCATATTGTAGCTGCACAGCCCATATTTTAGCTGCACAGAATTACCTGCAAATCCTATAACACATCCTGCATCTCCATGTTTCTTCCCTGGCTCTTCTTGCATTAAATAACTTTCCCATCATCTTCCACAGCAAGAATCTACTCATCCTTGAAGATTCTGTTGAATTGTAAGCTTAGTAGAAGGTACATTGCATGAAAGGATTTCTGTTTGTATTGTTAACTGCTCTATCCCTAGAAAGGAGCCTGGCAAATAGCAGGTACTCAGTAAACGTTTGTTGAATTAATTGAGTGAATACAATGTGAGTGCCTCTGTGAAGACTTTTCTTACTACACACATGCTCCAGTTTTCTATTATTTCATTTTTTGGTACTAATCTTTCAACATTGCATTGTGATTACATTTGTATAAATGGATCTTTCATTGCACTTAATCTGGAGAGCAAAGATCACATGCAACTATTTATTTTTATCCTTAATTGCTAGGCAGTGCAACAAATACGTAGAAGGCAGTCTGTAACGGTTGACAAAATACATGGATAGTATAGTTTGAAATCTGAATTCTTCTTCTCCCCTTCCATATTTATCCAGAAAGCAACATGGCTAGGACACGCAAAGATCCAGGAAAAAAATGCAAAACTGGCTAAAGAATAGTGAGCATGCACTAAACCCACCCTATTAACCAAACTACAATTTCTAGTAATGCCAGGCTACAGATGGTGGGTAGCAACAGGGTAGCAGCAAAATATAAGTAGTAGACCACAATGAGAGGCAAAAATGGAAAGTACTGTCCACTATCTTTTAAAAAAAAGGTTACCAAATGATATTTTAAAACTGAAATCCACCAATAAACCTCATAAAATTTGTTTGTTTAGTAAGAATTCTGTTCTATGCACTACATTGAGAGAAAATGTCGTTAATGTTTATCACTGGAAATGAAAGACATCATTAGAAATTATTCTGAGACAGAGAAACTAATCACCAGGCAACTTATGAATAGTAAAAGCTAAAGACTGTCTTCTAAGTGCCTAACGAAATCAAACCCAGTTTCCAGTTATATCCAATGATAATGACAACACTCAAAATACGTAAGAATTACATTAGCAACATTTGCCAAACCTTGTGTTTCCCCTATTGAGGTTTTTCTCAAATGTCATTCACATTCAGCTGTTCAAAACGCAAAAGTGCTCAATTTAATTCTTAGTCAATTTAGAGTTACAACACTTTCTCTTGTTTTTTAGACACAATAAAATGAAAACTTTCAGGATTCTCCTTCACATTTTTGCTGGTCAGTGACCTGGGGCAAAACTAAAGTGGCCACAAGAAAGCGCACATGTTCAATTCCACTCACAGTTCGAAGACCCAAGCAGGGCCAATGTTTTCTTCTAGTCTACTCAAGTGGTAGAAGCTTTGTGAAGGAAAGGGCTCACATTATATTCACTTTTGACTCACTGGTTGGAGCAGGTAGATCAGCGATTCCTCTTGGATTATTATAATTGGAAAAGGAGTGATGTGAGTCGCTTGGAACAAGGTATTCACAGATGCCATAATCTGGTCAAAACGCCCAGCAAGGCCTCCCAGTGTCACGATCACATCAACCTAAGCAAGGAAGGTAAAACTGGGAGTCACATAGAGTCACATACAAAAAATAAGTAAAAATACAGAATATTGGTGTTTAAGTTTTAAAATAATACATTAAAAAGGCTTAATGTGTGATCCATAAAGATGGCATGACTTTAGAATAATAACCTGTTAACCAAGCACCAACAGAACCTATTCAATTCCTAGAGAAATAGGTGGTATCAGGTCATGAAGCCAAATGTTGTGTTTCTCTGGTTCAATGGTTATACCAGTGATTTTGCAAAGTGCTTTACATACAAGAAGTTCAAGAGTTTGACGAATGAATAAATGAAGACATTGCAAGAAAAGACTCATTAGCCTAAAGAAGAAATAGATTAATTGCCATACTGTGGGAATGTATACTTCAAAATGGGGTTCCATAACAGCACTAAAAGTAAATTATAGAGAAGAACCAAGTTCTGAAATGAGTTTCCTATCTGTGACCTTATCAGAATGTAAGAAGAATGGGAATTTTTACTAAGGGTAACATGCTTCACATTAAGCTTAAAATATTTTAAGACAGGCAAACCAATAGCTAAAAGATTATAACTGGATTGTTTGTAACACAAAGGATAAATGCTTCAGGGGCTGGATACCCCAGTTTCCATGATGTGATTATTACACACTGCATGCCTGTACTAAAATATCTGTATGTTCCCCAGAAATATATACATCTAGTATGTACCCAGGAACATCAAAAATTAAAAATCAAAGAAACCAGGCAGGCCGGGCACGGTGGCTCACGCCTGTAATCCCAGCACTTTGGGAGGCCGAGGTGGGCGGATCACGAGGTCAAGACATCGAGATCATCCTGGCCAACAAGATGAAACCCTGTCTCTACTAAAAATACAAAAATTAGCTGGGCCCACGTGGTGGTGCGCACCTGTAGTCCCAGCTACTGGGGAGGCTGAGGCAGGAGAATCACTTGAACCCAGGAGGCAGAGGTTGCGGTTAGCCGAGATTGCGCCACTGCACTCCAGCCTGGGCGACAGAGTGAGACTCCGTCTCACAAAAAAGAAAAAAAGAAACAGAAACCAGGCAAACCATACATCTAAAGGATCTATTATTCTCCTTGGACATCTTTTTAGAATTCGAAGAATTAGGTTTTGTGGCTCAGAAAGACCATGTACTCTAGGGAGTATGTATTACTCCAAATACACAGGCAATTTCCAGGACATCTGTTAATATTCAGAGGAAAGAGTTAACTTGTAAGCCATTAGACAAAGACTTATCAAAGGGATGGCTTCTGTTTGTGATATCAAGTTAGGTAACTGATTTCTATTTATGTTTAGGAGGCCTTATTAAAAGGGCCTCTACAGACCAGTTGGGAAAGGCCCAGAGATTATTTATGACTTCAGAAAAACTACAGCATTTGCTTTAAACTGAAGAGAAATACATAAATAAGAAATTGTATATAAAATATAGAGAAAGTTCTAAGGCTGCAGTAAAAAGCTCATGGCATATGCCTATCCACATAATCCTAAATTCATATCAGAAGCAAGGCCTGATAAAAGTTTATTCACTATACAGAATCCGAAATCCCCTTTCTAGGTTCTCAATTTTTCATTACTATACGCTAAGCCTTGAGGGATCCCATAACCTTTAAGACTGAAATTTAATCCCCATCTTCTACAATGGGATATCATGATGAACAGGCAATATCTGTAAATCAATCATTAAATTTTTCAGAAGAAAGTAGCAGCAAGATTACTTCTCATCACTACTCATTTTCCCTACAGGAAGTATTTAGCAAGATTGATTAAAAACACTAGAGGATCAATGCAAGCTGCAGGTGGGACAGAAAAGGAATTGGCTTTGGATCATTTTTGCAGTTCTTTAGTTCTGGCTGTAAGTAGGACATTTGAAATTCACAGAGATATCGGAAAGAGGACAGAGTGTTCAATCTAAAATAGACCATTTATAGACTGCAAGTGTGTCTTTTCTACATGAACCCAAACCCTGGTGCATTTATTTCTAACATCACCCAGTCATACTTGGTTATAAACATTGACATACTTGTGAATCTCTCCTTCTAGAGGAGGCCTATGAATCACAGCCGCTAGCACAGTGTTTGCAACAGAGTAGACAACAGGTATTTACTGAGCTTCCCTTGAGCATATAAATACTCAGGAAAAACTGAATAAATAACCAGAGAGGCAAGAAGCTAATTATTCAGCTGAGTTAACATCACCTAACTCCTACAAAATAGTACTTTCTTACTTGGAAATGATTCCAACAGGTAGTAGCTTTTGAAAAAAAGCAAACACATCATACTTATTAGCTCAGATATACATCTGATGCTTTTAAAAGCTTTAGTTACAAGCTAATGACAAGAAAAATTCAACCAGTGTTTGTTGATCATTTACCATGTGCTAGGAAATATCCTAAACACTTAGGATATATCGGCAAAAATACATAAGCCCCTGCCTTCATGGAGTTAATATTCAAATGAAGGATAATATACACTTGATAAAAAGGTTTTTTTAAATGAATATATAAGTTAGAATGTGAAAAAGGTGAAAAATATATAGATATTTAAAATATATAGATATTTAAAATATATAGATATGATCTATATATTTTAAAAAGTCAGCATGCTGAGTGTGTTGAGAATAAACTGTGGAAAGGCAAGAAGGAAAGTCAGGAGATATAAAGAGATCATTATAGTAATACAGATAAGAGATAAGTTTGCTACCCCTTATTACTCCATCAAACATGATTATTCATGGCATCTACACAGCAAAACTCAGTGGTCAATTCCCAGTCCTTTTATTACTTAATCCTTCAGCAATATCTGACAAGTGAAAAAAGGTAAGGATAGCTTAAGAGACTTATGGGACACCATCAAGTATAACAATTTAAACATTATTGGTGTACTAGAAGAACAAGAGAAAGAGAAAAGAACAGAAAATATATTTGAAGAAATAATGGCAGAAAACATCCCCAGCCTGGGGAAGGAAATAGAAAGCAAATACAAGAAGCCTACGATATATCAAATAAGATAAATCCAAAAAAGACCCACACCAAGACACATCACTGTCAAAATGTCAAAAGTTAGGGTGTTGAAAGCAGCAAGGAAAAAGTGAATTGTCACATGTAAAGGAATCTCCACAAAAGCATCAGTGTATTTCTCAGCAGAAATATTGCAGGCCAGAAGGGAGTTAAATGATACATTCAAAATCCAGAAGGGGGATGGGGGTTGTTCTGTCAACCAAGAATACTATTCCCAGCAATCTTGTCTTTTGAAAATGAAGAGGTAATAAACACTTACTCAGACAAACAAAAACTGAGAGAGCTTATCATCACTAGACTTGTCTTATGAGAAATGCCAAAGGGAGTTCTTCAAGCAGAAGAAGAGGATACTAATTAGTAACATTAAAATATATGGAAGTATAAAACTTTAAGTATAAAAGCAAGTATATTGTCAAATCCAATACACTCTAATAACGAAACAGTGCTGGGTAAACAATTATACCTCTAGTATAAAGGATAAAAGGCAAAATTACCAAAAACAAAACTACAGCTTTAATAATTTTTCAAGTGATTATATATTATAAAAAACATAAAACAAGACATTAAAAACATAAAATGTGGGAAGTAGAAGAGTAAATGTGTAGTATGCGTTATGTGATCAAAATTAAGCTGTTATCAATTTAAAATAGCCAGTTTTAAGTATAAGATGTTTTACGTAAGCCTCAGGGTAACCACAAAGCAAAATCCTATAAGAGATACACAAAAGATAAGAAGAAAAAATCTAAAGCATACTACTCCAGGGAGCCATCAAACCACAAAGGAAGAACACAAGAGGAAAAAAAGAACAGAAGATCTAAAAAACAATTGCTCTACAGAAAACAATGAACAAAATGGCACTAGTAAGTCTGCACTTATCAATAATTATTTAAATGTAAATGGATTAACTTTTCCAATCAAAAAGCATAGAGTGGTTGAATATATTGTTTTAAAGACTCAACATGGAATGCCTTTTTTATTCCTTCATTTTCAGTCTATGAGTGTCCTTTAAAGACTTACTTTACTTTAAAGGATACTCATAGGCTGAAGGTGAAGGAATAAAAAAGACATTCCATGAAAATGGAAGCAAAAAGAATGCAGGGGCAGCTGTACATAATACAAACAAAATAGACTTTAGGCAGAAAACAGTAAAAATAGACAAAGAAGATTCTTATATACTGACAAAGGGATCAATTCATCAAGAGGATATAACAATTGTAAATATATGTCCACCCAACATTAGAGCACCTAAATATATAAAGTAAACATTAAGAGATCTGAAAGGAGACAAAGACTTCAACACAATATTAGTAGAAGATTTCAATACCCCACTTTAAACATTAGAAACATTAGACAGGTCATCCAGACAGAAAATCAGTAAGAAAACACTGGACTTGAACTATACTTTAAAGTACCACAAATGAACCCAAAAGACATATACAGAACATTCTATCCAACAGCAACAGAAGACACACTCTTCTTAAGTGCACACGGAACATTCTCCAGAATAGATCATATGTTAGGTCATGGAACAAGTCTAACAAATTTAAGAAGATAAAAATCATATTAAGTACTTCAACATAGTCCTGAAAGTCTTAGCCAGAGCAATTAGGCAAGAGAAAGAAATAAAAAGCATCCAAACAGGAAAGGATGAAGTGAAATTGTATCTGTTTGTTGATGTCATGATCTTATTAATATACACAGAAAATCCTAAAGAAGCTACCAAAAAATGGTTTAAACTGATAAATTCAGTAAAGTTCTAGGGTGCAAAATAAAAAATCAGTAGTTTCTATATAGTAACAACGAACCGTCTGAAAAAGAAGTGAAGAAAACAATCCCATTAATAATAGGATCAAAACATGTTTAGGAGTATATTTAATCAAATTATAAGTGAAAGATCTGAATACTAAAAACTATAAAACATTAACAAAAAATTAAAGATGACACAAATAAAAGATATCCCATGTTCTTGAATTGGAAGAATTAATACTGTTAAAATATCCATATTACTCACAATGCTACAGATTCAATGTAATCCCTATAAAAATTCCAATGTAGTTCTTCACAGAAATAGAAAAAAACATTCCTAAAATTCATATGGAGTCATAAAAGACACCAAATAGACAAAGCAATAATCAATAAAAAGAATAAAGCTGGAGGTATCACACTACCAGATTTCAAAATATATTACAATGCTATAGTAATCAAAACAGCATGATACTGACATAAAAACAGATACATCAACCCATGCAATAGGATAGGGAGCTCCAAAATAAACCCACGTATCTATGGTCAATTGATTTGCAACAAAATTGTGAAGAACACACATTGGAGAAAGTGTAGTCTCTTCAATAAATGATGTTGGGAAAACTAGATATCTACATAAGAAAGAAAGAAATTGGAGGCCAGGCATGGTAGTTCATGCTTGTAATCCCAGAACTTACGGAGGCCAAAGCAAGAGGACTGCTTGAGGCCAGGAGTTCAAGACCAGCCTAGGTAACATAGCAAGATCCCATCTCTACCAAATAAATAAATAAATAAATAAATAAATAAATAAATAAATAAAAGATAAAAAGTAAAAAAAAATTAGCTTTGCATGGTGGCACGCATCTGTAGTCCTAGCTACTTGGAAAGCTAAGGCAGAAGGATCGCTTGAGTCTAGGAGTTGCTTGGGTCCTTACCTCACCCCTTATGAAAGAATCAACTCAAAATATATTAAGGATTTACACATACGAGCAGAAACCATAAAACATAAGAAGAAAACATGCAGAAAACGCTCTATGACCGACATTGTTTTGGGTAGAAACTTCTTAGATACTGACCCCAAAATCACAAGTTACAAGGGCTAAAATAGACAAATGGGATTGGTTCAAACTGAAAGGCATCTGCACAGCAATAGAAACAATTAATAAAGGAGGCACCCATGAGCTGGGAGAAAATACTTGCAAATCATACATCAGATAAGGGGCTACTTTTCAAAATATACAAGAAACTCAGACTACCCTGTAACAAGATAACAAATAACCCTTTTAAAATATAGGCAAAGGATTTGAAGACATTTCTCAAAAGAAAACATAGAAATGGCCAACAGATATGTGAAGAAATGCTCAACATGCTTTAAACATCAGATGAATGCAAATTAAAACCACAATGAATTATCACCTCACAACTTTTAGATTGGCTATTATCAAAGAGTTGAAAGATAAGTGTTGGTGAAGATGTGGGGAAAAGGGAAACCTTATACATACACTGTTGGTGGTTTTACAAATTAGTACAGCTATTTTTCAAAAAAATGTATGGAATTTCCTCTAAAAACTGAAAATAGAATCATGATATGATCCAGCAATCCCACTACTGGGACATACCCAGTGGAATGGAAATCGGTATGCTGATGAGATACCTGCATTCCTGCATTCATTGCAGCATTATTCACAATAGTCAAGATATGGAAATAACCCAAGTATCCACCTAATGGGTTAAAAACTGTGGTATACATAAATAATGGAATACAATTCAGCCTTTAAAAATAAACTAGGAAATTCTATCATTTGTGACATGAATGAACCTATATAAGCCAGAAACAAAGAAACAAATACTGTCTGATCTCATATGTGGAATCTATAAAAGTCAAACTCATAGAAGTAGAGAGTAAAATGATAATTATCAGAGCCTGGTGTTGTATGGGGGAAAAAAAGACATTGGTCAATGAGTACAAAGTTACAGTTAGAAGAAATAAGGTCTGGTGTTCTATTTCACAGCACAGTGATGACAGTTAATAATGTATTATATATTTCAAAAGAGCTAAAAGTGAGGATTTTCAATGTTCTCACCACAAAGAAATGATAAATACTTAAAGTGATGGATACTCAAATTATCCTGATTTGATCATTCCGCAATGTATATACATGTATCAAAACATCACTGTGTACCCCATAAACATATAGTCAATTAAAAGTTTAAAAAATATTCGTGCATACATACATAAAGCTACTCAGCACATACCTATTATGCCGTATTTTAAATATATAAAATGTAAAATATCAATTTCTGACTGCTTTCCATATATTTCCTAAAGTCAGGATATTTTACATGGACCTTTTTGTTTACAAGATGAGTGTGATGGGAATAAAGGTGGCCTGTGGTTTTCATATGCAATCCCATCTAGCGAAAAGGACCTTGAAACCCTGGATTAAAACATTGGAGGTCTAGCTATAGCACTGTATGCCACTTAAGTAGCCATGGAACCACATATATGTTACATGACCTCTTGGTGATCTAGGTCACTCATCTGTAAAGGAAGGGGATGCACTAAATTCATTATCATATTTTTCAAGATTCTTTTCACGTTTAAGTCCATATAAGGTTCTCTGTTTTCCACCATAAGTTAAATAGTCATAGTGTGTATTTTGTTTAGAAAATAAATGCAAAACTCAGCTTTGCATTATTTACCTTAATAGAATCATGACAAGACTGGTTGAGGGACATATAGCACCAAAAGAGAAGTAATTTCATTTTTCTATTATAGCAGTAAAAATCTTTTAGTAAATAAGTGACAAGTTTTACTCCATTTGTCCTCAAAAAGACTTAAGAGACAGTATGCATGAAGTCTACAGCAGGCACACTGGCTGTCAGCATGTTTTAATTACATTTACTTCCCATAAATTGAATTCTAGAAATGCATAAATGGATAATTTCTTTGTGGCTCTCCCTGATAGGGTGATCATACAATTTAATGTACAAACTGAGATACTTTTGAAAGTAAAAATGGGGCATTATAAATAAATTACACCAAGAATACAGGCATAAACTGGGACTATCCCATGTAAACCAAGGCACATGTTTACCCTACTGTCTGAGAGTTACAACTAACATTAGTATAGCAACTTAACAAAATTAAACACTAGGGTATAAAAAATTTAGATTATGCTTAATAAGCTTCCTTTAACTCTCAAAGATGTGTACTGCACTCTAGTGAGGCTTCAATAGAATAATGAAATTCTTGGTTTGTTTGATTCCATAATTTGAAGATGGAAGAGCCAATACAGCGTTTGGAGGAATGAGTGGGATCAAGATAGAGCAAGAACAAATAATCTGACCAAAAAAAAAAAAAGGCAATACTAAAACATGTTTTAGTAAGCCTATAAAATAATTCTACTGATTAATATGAAGCTCAATGAGAAACCAGAGAAAGTAAAGAACTCGTATTTTATAGTACCAAGGTATGTTATATGAACAAACACAGGATATATCTTGTTGCATCTTGTCAGGCTATGGAAGCACTACTACAGGGATCCTGTTTACATTTCAAGCAGGCTACATTATAATGTAAGGTCCAGTTTCATGTAAGCATGTTTGGGTGAGATAGAAATAATGCCTCTTGCAGTGGCAAAATTTTGAGGCTTCCATTCATAGATAAGAAAACCAAGGAAATTCTAGATTTATCTCAAATAATTCTTATTTCATCACTGTTGCCACAGCCTTAATTCAGAAATCATAATTCTCACATGGATAATTCCACTGGCATTCTTATCTACAATGTTGCCTCTATAACCAAGTAGTCTTTCAATTGGTTATGACAGTAAGTTTTCCAAATATTAAATCTGGCTTGCCAATGTTCTGCTTAAAATTAGGTATTGGTGCCGGGCATGGTGGCTCACGCCTGTAATCCCAGCACTTTAGGAGGCTGAGGTGGGCAGATCATGAGGTCAGGAGATCAAGACCATCCTGGCTAACATGGTGAAACCCCATCTCTACTAAAAATACAAAAACTTAGCTGGGCGTGGTGGCGGGCGCCTGTAGTCCCAGCTACTCGTGAGGCTGAGGCAGGAGAATGGTGTGAACCTGGGAGGTGGAGGTTGCAGTGAGACGAGATTGCACCACTGTACTCCAGCCTGGGCGACAGAGCAAGACTCCATCTCAAAAAAAAAAAAAAAAAAAAATTAGGTATTGGTTCTTCAGGCTCCACAAGATGAAGTCCATTTGCCTCCAGTCCTGTCTCATAAATCACATCTTCAACTCCCACCCCACATTTACATTCTAGAAATACAATCAGCCCTCTGTATCCATGGGTTCTGCATCCATTGGTTTCAACCAACTATGGATCAAAAATATACAGAAAAAAAACTGTGTCCGTACTGAACATGGGCAGATTTTTTTCCTTGTCATTATTCCTTAATCAATACAGTATAACAATTATTACATAGTATTGACATTGCATTAGGTATTATAAATAATCTAGAGATGACTTAAAGTATACAGAATGATGTACATAGGTTATATGCAAATACTATGCCATTTTGTATCAGGGACATGAGCATCCACAGATTTTGGTATGCACAGTAGGTCCTGGAACAAATCCCCCATAGATACCAAGGGACAACCATACTTTAATTCTCAGAACACGGCTGGGCGTGGTGGCTCACGCCTATAATTCCAGCACTCCTGGGAGGCCGAGGCAGGTAGATCACCTGAAGTCAGGAGTTTGAGACCAGCCTGACCAATATGATGAAACCTCGTCTCTACTAAAAACACAAAAATCAGCCGGAGATGGTGGCATGAGCCTGTTATCGCATGGTGGTGCACATCTGTAGTCCCAGCTACTTGGGAGGCTGAGGCAGGAGAATCGCTTGAACCCGGGAGGAGGAGGTTGCAGTGATCCAAGGTCGTGCCATTGCACTCCAGCCTGGGCAACGAGCAAAACTCCATTTCAAAAAAAAAAAAAAATCTCAGAAAACCTCACAAGATTTCCAACTTTAGTGCTTAAACTATCACCTGTCCGCTCCTTTCCTTGTAAAGCATTTAATTACTGTAAGTATTTCCAAAAGATGCCTACCTCCACCACCTAAAAAAGTGAACTTGATTGGATAGAGTGTTTTCATCCTACTTTTCTAAACTCTTAACATAGTGTTAATAAGAAATGTCATAAATGTGTTGTCTTAGCTCTGGCAGCTTTAACAAATTAGACTGAGTAGCTAAACAACATTTATTTTTCACAGGTCTGGAGGCTGGGAAGCCCAAGAGCAAGGTGTCAGCAGATGCAGTTCTGGTGAGGACCCTCTACCTGGTTTGCAGATGGCCATCTATTCATTGCATCCTCACATGGTCACGGCAGAGAGTAGAGAGAGAGAAACAAGCTCTTTTTTTTATAAGGGCTAATCCCATTCATGAAGTCTCCACCCTCCTGAACGAATTACCTTCCAAAGGCCCAACCTCCTAAATACAATCACACTGGGGGTAGGATTTCAACATATGAATTTTGGGAGACACGAACACTCAGTCTATAACACATGATTATAAAAAATCTTTTTTTCAACATGTTATTTTTTTAAAAAAGGTGTTTTTAAAAAAGGAGGAGGAACCACACATGAAGAGTCAGCAATGTACACAAGCTTCTTTGCATTTGAAAAACTACGGGAGCTGTGATGAAGATCTGTGCTAAGATATGCGTCTGCTATAAATCATAATTCCCCCGGTAAAAGTTTTAGCATAAAATCCCAGGCAGTCTATACTCTCATTAACTCTCTAGCACTGATGCCCCTGTACCTCTCTGGAGAGCTCAGCCAAGGGACTCCAACTTCCTTGCATAAGTGGAAGAAGAAAGTCTTGCTGGCAGAGGTCCCTGACACACTAAGATAGGAACCAGCAGGAGAAGAGTCCAGGAGAGAATGACCAATCCCAGTGAAGTTCTCTGCTAGCTTGTTAAAGGAAGCAAATGTAAATATTGCCTGAACCCAGGGTGTATGTGTGATTATTACATTCTCTCAGGACTGCCTATTCTTTGACATTCCAGAATTAAGGGGTTTACCTTTAACTTTGAATACTCAAAATAAACACTCCCCTTATTCTGGTTAGCCCTTACTATACCTTCAAGACTCAGCAGACTGACCACCTCCACTAGGAAGGAGTCTTTGAACACTCTAGGCTGGAAAACGTTTGCTTCAATGGGCTTCTCACCCACCCTATCAGACTTCTACTGTAGCACTACTGACAGTGTATCCAGATAATCTGATTACAAGTGCATCCACCCCCAAAGACAGGACAGTCTTAGAGTCAGAAACTGGGTCTCATTCAGTTTGCATTTCTCAATCTATAATACTTAGCAGAGTGCCTGGCACATGCAAAATAGATGTTTGTTTAGCTGAATAGTTATAGTTTTGAGCTTTCAATTTTGTCAGAAAAGATCAATCAGCACCAAGTATATACTTTAAGGCTAATTTCTGAGGTCTCTATTCCTTTCTCAAATTCTTGATGGAGAAAATGACTAAAGTATTGTTCTTCAAAGAACACTGTAATTGGTTCATTACTGTCATTAGATTTTCCATCCTTCAATGCAGCTTGCATACAACCATTACATTATTTTTCTAAATTGCCTTATGATTTTCTGTTCAAAATTTTTTAATAGCTTACCATTATCTATATAGATCAAGGTTCAAATTTCTTATCTAGAAATTAAAGATTCTTCATATGTTGACCCCAAACAACCTAAATCTGTGACTGCTGTGACATTTCTCCTCCTTTAGAGCACTCCCTAGCTACAATGGATGCAGTGCTTTTATCATAGGTGTGTTCTGTTTACCCTCAGATTGCTTCAAAGAATCTCTGAAAGCACTTTAATTTCAGGTACTCTGGTCATGACAATGTATAGGACAATGACAGAGAGTTCACTCCCTGAACAATGAAAACCTTTTCTGATTCACCCTAGGCAAGGATTTTGAATCTTTTAATTAAACATTTCAAGCCTGGTTGCCTTATGATTTTGTAATAATCGTGGTTGTAATAATAGTGCTTTCCTCACAAAGCTGTCTTGAATATTGATATTTCCTTGATTAACTGGACTATAGGTTTTCAAGCCAGATCAGTGAGATCCCTATAGATGGGACATTTTTTGCATATAAACAAAAACAATAACCTTATATCTAGAAAATGTAGAAATGTGTTATTTTTCTTCCCCATATAAATACACCATGGGACAGAAAGGGCAAATAAGCAGGTATTTACATTTCCCTATATCAGAAGTGAGTGATAAACGAGAGGTGAATGGAATAAAAAAACCGTTGTGGGAAGTTTCTTTTTTAACATAATTTTATTCAACTTATCTTTGCTGAAAATTAAATTCTTTGAGGAGAAGAGCAGGAATTATGAGTAAATAACAATACATAAAATTAGTGTCTGTATAAACAGCATAGATATTATAAAACCTACTAGAGGTAATTATGGTGTCCGAACCTCTCATATTCTCAGGATATGAAGATATTTTAGTGAATTCAAAGGCATTCCTTTTGAATTACGGGGGTTATGAGGAATGGAAAGATCCATTGTTTGTGGTTTAGAATGGTCATAATACCTAGTGTAGCATCTTTAACACACTAGGTGTTTAGTGTAAAATGAAAAATAAAAGTGTGACTTATATTCAGAAACAATTAGCTATTTGAAGACAGTCTTTTGAAAGGATATTACAATTTTATTTTATAAATGTTGCTTGGTACACAATTGAAAACATTCCAAAATTTATTGTTGAAGTCTTACTCAAAAAGTACCAAGTATTGTTTACTCTGGCTAAAAATTCTCTAACATACATAATGCCCCGCTAAAGTTGAATACCTGAAAGAACACGAACCAGTCACTCCTTCCCTTTCCATGGAAAATGGGTTATGATAGCTCAGAATCTGTATCCTCTTTCTTCAGTCACACCCACCAATGATCAAGTTGACAAAAGACAATTTTCCAAGCCACTTTGGAACTGATTGACTGTGATAAAGACATGCTCTGGTCCCAGGAGATTAGTATATCTGTACTTGTGATCATTTCTTAATAGCAACTATCCTCTCTTTCATTATCATGATTCGTTTTAATCTAAGAATATTTCTTGCTTGAATTCAGCCATGAAATAAGTCTTAGTCGCACAGTCTTATTGAAAGTGATACATGAAACACCTGGCTTCCATGTCTGCATAAATTAGATTTGGCTATTTGTACTATTTTTGGTGTATTATTTCCCCCAAAGTTTAGTGGTTTAAAACCCTCTCCACTTTTTATTGCCCAGTTATAACAGGTGGCCATCAGACTTGCTGTAGTGCAATCCTTAGATCTAGCAATCTGGTGTAACATACACAGTTTACATTAATTATCCCCTTTCCACCTTCTGGGAGAACACAGAGCATTTTGATTGCAAATTTTGTACTTTGCCATTAACATTCTGGTTTCTAGATATGCACTGGACCATTTCATAATGCCAAATGAGAATGTTAAACATATTACTGTAGTGACATTAATTAAAGTGTATTTCTTGCAATGCAGTTAAGTTTGCTTCACAATGCAGTAAGTTTGCTTCACAAGTTGAAGCAACCCCAAGGTTGACCTTAAAATGATAAGCAATGCTATTTGCTATTTTACTTAAACGTATTCCATATCCATGAGCATCAAAGTAAATCTGTAATCTGGGATAAAATATTTGTTCAAATAATAATTTCCTCTCTAAAATAATTCCCTTTATTTATATGAATGCTTTACAAAAAAATCAGAATCTTTAGGGTCAATCTGATACGCATCTAAATTCTCTAGTAGAAATAGATGAGGAAACAGAATTAAACTGCAATCAATATAACTTGATTTAGATATTCCTATTTCCTATATGTTTCAAGATACCCTGATCCGGTTGTTCATATTGAGAATTATATACATCGACATATATGTTCACAGGGGAAGGTACACAGCAGATTCAGGAAAGAAGCTAGAATCATCTTATTTCTACTCCATGCATCTGGATTTTCGTATGCCATTTTCTGTTTTGAAACGGCACGTTAACCATGGAGTGCTAAGTACAAATGGGAAAGCAGAGGGTCATGGACACAACAGAAACATCTTCTACTTCCAGCTACTAACAGAAGAGATGGATAGAAAGTGAATACTATAGGATTCCATCTTCTTCTTTAACTTACATGGAACTTTCTGAGATACCTAGGCTCATCACCTAACACAAAGCAAAAAATTACATGCATCTCTTTTCTTCATTACCTATTTAATCACCACTAAAAATATATCGATCTGACATATGTAGACCTGTAATGACCAGTAACATCATTACAGTTTTTCAGTCATGACTTAAACTATAAGCCAAACTTTTATTTTTGTTTGTTTGTTTTTGAGACAGGGTCTCACTCTGTTGCCCAGGCTGGAGTGCAGTGGTGCGAGAACGGCTAAACTGCAGCCTCGACCTCCAAGTCTCAAGCTATCCTCTCCCCTTGGCCTCCCAAGTAACTGAGACTAAAGGCATGCACGACTACACCCTGCTAATTTTTGCTTGTTTGTTTTTATAGACGAGGTCTCACTATGTTGCTCAGGATGGTCTCAAACTTCTGGGCTCAAGCAATCCTCTGCCTCAGCCTCCCAAAGTGCTGAAGTTATTGGCATTAGCCCCTGTGCCCAGCCCCAAAACATTTCTTAAAAATATAGACAGTATTATCATTGTGGACAATCATAATTATAGATATAGGGACTACCACATGTAATATTTCTGGCTAAGGAATATACAGAATGAGGACAAATTTTATAATCTACTAAGTAATTTCAGGATGTTCTATTATATGTGAATTTTTCTTACAAAAGTCCTCAATACATAGTTTCTCCATCTGTAATTTCTGCATTCTCACAATGCGGTAATTCAAAATAAAATACTCCTTTTCATGTAAGGTCAGCGTGTCTTTTGCAGAGGAGCCCCACACCAACCAAATCTGGAATTCTCTGCATTAATAAGAAATTTTATCTGGCAAGTGAGTCATCAAGCTGAGATTCCTGGTAAGCAGATAAACTTAACCCTTGTCTTGGGGCCTATAAAAAGCATGCTTCTCCTCCGGCAGGGATGGATTAGGTTGCCACAGCCTCTAAGGTAGTAAGCTTTTTATATCCGTAGCAACATCTCCCAAGTCACTTCAAAGCACTGGGTTTATCTATTTTCTCTTGTTGCACAGCACTATAAAAAAGATTGCTGATCTCTAAGAAGCAGAAATAGAGATGTGAATTCCTCTTTTGAAGGCTTCTCCAAAATGATCTAGGAAATAGCCTGCTAACACAGGCTGATGCCCAGAAATCTGTTCCTTCTCTTTGCCTCTTTGTCTGATACTTAGCTTGCACTGCGTTTGTTCCAAAATCTGAACATATTAAGTAGCTACTTTGGCACTCAACAAACAGAACAATGTTGTTATATACTAAAAAGCAAGGATTGGTGTATGTAGACATATTTATGTGTAACTGAATGATTGAATATATATATAAATAAATATATGTGTCATGTTACTTTCTAGAATCTTATGAAAATTATCAATTTAAGCTTACCATATCCCTTTGAGGTACACTGGCACAGGCAAAAAGGTAGTGAAACTTGTCATAAAAGTATTACGATGCCTCGGTTACACAGCTGATGTTGGAATTGAACAGTATTCCTTTCACTGTTTCTTCTTCAAGAAAGACAGCAAGATTTATTATTATCAAGTTCACAATGGCAATGGCATATGAGACAAGCTTTATGTATTCTCATGTTTTAGCTCTTGACTTTTACAAATAACTTAGAACTTGGAGGAAGCAGTTCCAAAAAGTTATAAAATACCAATTAAGGAAATGAGAGGAAGATATATGGACTGTACAATTTTTACTTACACACAACATACATCCTATTGAAGATCCTCTGTTGTAGGTAAAAATACTGAAGGTATTTATAATCAAATAATCATACACAATCATATAATACTGGATATATAACCATTTACAACATAATTATATATATAATCATGTAATAGTAGATATAATAATGGATATTTCCATGTACTGCCAAAATAAAAAATTTCTCAAGGGGTAAGTTCTGTGGCAATAGAATAAGCCCTGTTAAGTTAAAGCAGATACTTAATGTTTGCTAACATTTGATAAGAGTTTGTTACAACAAGATTCTTCTGTATTTGTTTAACTACTGATTCATTTAATAAATATTTATGAAGTGCCCGCTATGTGCCAGGTATTGCTTTAAATGCTGAGGACACAGCAGAGTACAAACATGCAGAATTCCCTGTCCATGTGAAGTTTATAATATATTGAATGAATATGTAATAGAAACAAACATCCTAAATATGTAGTATGTCAGATGGTGACAAGAAAATGGAGCAGGGGAAGATATAAGGATGGCTTAACCAAGGGATTCAAGAGGTAGAGCTGAGGGGTGCTGCCTTAAATATGATGTTCACAGAAGGCTTCAACATGAGCTGCAATTTCATTAGAAAAAAACTATATTATTCCATTTTCTCAAAAAGGAATTATATATAAATAACTGCAGAGTAATCTATCCAAAAGAAGTTGAATCTATTCTGAAGAGGCAAGTTACAGTATTTATTACAGTAGTCTAAATCATTCTATGGTCACCTGTAAATCTGTCTCCTCTATTAGACCGAAGGCTGTTTGAGATTATGGACTTAGTCACGAAATCACAGCATACTGACTTAAACAGAACAGATATTAAGTAAAAGTTTGTTAAGGTGACTGGAAGAAGATACCTAATAGCCTCTATAGTATATCTAAGAGGAGGAAGTTTGCCTGTGGAACTCTAATATGAACTTTTGCCTAATTTTAGGGTAATATAACCTTTCATGAGCATAAGGCCTATAATGTCCATACTAGGATTAGCAAGGGTAGAGCAGATCCTTCCTTTTTTCTCCACACAAAGGCAAGGTACAAAAATAGTTACCTGGGTTGTACATCTCACTCTCTGTTGGATTCCACTATTAAATATAGAGATACATTTAATATATATAGGTTCTCTGGGAATAGGGGAAGTTCCAGAACTCACCTGGGAAATACATTAACATGTAATAAGTTCTCAGTTTAATTCAAGTTTCTGATATTGAGAGTTCTTGTAAAATTAGAGTATGTCCAAAAAAAAAAAAAAAAACCCACAATACTCTATTGAGAGTCCCATGAACCTGGGTAAAAAACTGTAACTAATTTAAGAGATTTCTAAGACATACTCTAATTCTTAAGTGATATTATTCCACAAAATCTATTACATTTAGTTGCACAAGAGTGTATTACAATTATTACCACCACTATCGCTAATTTTTAAAATAAGGACTTCCTATGGGACGGGCACTGAAATACGTGCTTTACCATGTAATGCTCTGTTATAGGTGGGTTAGTATTTTTACTTTACAGATGAGAAAATCCAGGCTTAAAGAACTTAAATACTGGCCGGGCGCGGTGGCTCACACCTGTAATCCCAGCACTTTGGGAGGCCAAGGTGGGTGGATCACCTGAGGTCAGGAGTTCAAGACCAGGCTGGCCAACAAGGTGAAACCTCATCTCTACTAAAACTACAAACACTAGCTGGGCATGGTGGTGTGCGCCTCTAATACCAGCTACTCGGGAGGCTGAGGCAGGAGGATTGCTTGAACCCAGGAGGTGGAGGTTGCAGTGAGCTGAGATCACAGCACTGCACTCTAGTCTGGGTGACAGAGTTCTCAAAAAAAAAAAAAAAAAAAAAAGAAAGAAAGAAAGAAAAAGAAAAAAAAAAACAGCAACAACAAAAAAAAACTTAAATATCTTTCTACTGTCATGCAGCTAAAAAGAGTGCCAGGCCTATCCTGAGCACCTGAATACCTGACTTCTAATTACAGTGCTTTGAAGATTAACATTTTATTAAAGTTTAAGGTGGTATTATTACTTTCAATAATAAGCATATTCATTGTCACAATTGGTAGAGACAAGCAAGATTCTAAAGCACCTGGACACATGTCACAGGAGAATTAACATGGCATCAAGAATGCTAGCAACAAGAGTCCTGAAGAAAGTTCTATACGCCAGCTAAGTTTTAGCATAATGTCCTTTGGAATAGAGAAAACTGATGTTATTAGAAATGCATTTATTCATTAAATAAATATTTCTTGAATACATAACAATGAGAGACAATAAAAAATTTAAAGCAGATATAGATTTAAGATATATTATATGAATTTTGGTAAGATAATGTACTGAAGGGGGCGAGCAGAGGCTAATATAGTAACCCAAGTGAGAAATGATAAATGTTTGAACTCATATAGTGGCAGCAAGACTGCCATAGGACAGAGATCTGAAGAATTTCAGGGAACTGTGACCAACTGTCAAGGGATGGTAGAGTAAGGCATAAACTTACTCTTAGGTTTCCGCCAGGCAGTTGGATGGTAGTGCCATTGAATGAGAAAGGAAATATAAAAAGAGAAAACGAGATTCTTGTGAGACTAATAATGAATTTTGTTTTAGACAATAAAATGAAGTTCCTCTGGTCGTCCAGTTAGCAAGGAGAAAAACAGCTTTGGAGTTTAGGATTAAAGGTACGAATTAGGTACAAATTTGGAGTTTAGGATTAAAGGTACAAATTAATGAATGGCACAGAAGTGGTAAGTGAAGGTCACAGAAACAAGATAAAGAGGAGAAAAGCAGGTATGTCAGAATGTCAGCACAGGCAATGCCCAAGAGAAAATGAGAGGCTGAAGGAGACCAGGACAGAGACTGACAGGCAAGAAGAAGAGGCAGGAATACATAGGTTAGTACTTCTAGAGTTAATCCTGATAAAAACATATCTAGTGGCAGTTCTACCTTTGATAGAGTCTTACCATATTTTGAAATTTATCCCTTGGGAAAGTGGGAAAGTTGAGAGCATCTGGGCTGTCTCCATAGTTTAAAGACCATCAAATGTCTACCTAAGATTTTCTACCAGGCATAATTTTCATGTAAAACAGTTGTCTAAATATGCATCAGAAACTCACAATTTAAAATTTCCTGAGGAAATATTTTAAAGGTGGGAGAGTCCACAAAAGGCATTGTTTTTTTTTTGTTTTTTGTTTTTTGTTTTTTTGCCTAAGTACTAAGAAGCACTTGCCTTTATTCTATATTACTGTGAGCCATTCACTAAAAGATTACACCTGTTCTAGGGTAATAGCATATTTGAAACAGTGAATATATTTTCTCAATGAAATGTTGTGTTTTGGAATAATTTTAGATTTACTAAAAAGTTCCAAAAATAGTACAAGGAGTATACTCTTCATCCAGTTTTCAGCAGTGTTAACATCTTGTCTAAACACAGTACATAGGATACAACTAAGACTGACATTGGTCACTACTATTAACTAAACTTTCAAGCTTATTCAGATTTCAACAGCTTTCCCTAATGTCCTATTTTTCCACTACACAACAGAAATCAGGTTACCATACTGCAGTTAGTTGTCATGTCTTCTTCATCTCCTCTGGCCATAACAATTTCTCAGTCTTTCTCTGTTGGCCTTAAAAATGTTGGTCAGGCATTTGATGGAATATTCTTCAACTTGGAGTTCTTTGACTACTTTAAAGGTTAAAGTGGAATTGTGGATTTTAGAGAAGAACTCCACAAGTGCCCTTCTCAACTTATATCCATGTAGGAGGGCATTACTAGTATGATATAACGATGTTATTAATGTTTTTCACTTGATTAATGTGGTATCTGCCAGGATTCTCCACTATAAAGATTTTTTCCTTTTCAGAATACATTTTTACACATACACACACATATATTTTCCTTTAGATCATGCCAAAGATACCAGTTCATGAAAGCAGGCTGTACTGAGACACCAGAGTACCTGGAAAGATATCTCTTGGGGTACTATCATGGTTTTTCCTGCAACCCAATGAGTCACATCTTTTTATGCTGCTGAGTAATTAGTCCAATCAGACAGTTAGCCTTAAATTGTATTTTCAATGGAGGAGAATGTTCATATTTAGTATGAAAATAAAACAAATCCACCAGTCCATTGCAGAAAAGTAATGTACACCTAAATCCAATACTGATAATTAGAAGATAAAACAAAATATTCTAAGCTCATAGAATTTGCTGCTGTATAAAGATAATGTATCTATCTGAGAAATGCCATGTAGACATTAAATAGAAAGACTGTTCTTAACAGAGTCCTAATGGTCAAGAGTTAATAACTTCAATTTGGACATACTCAAATTATACAGAAATGTCTTAAAATATGTAAATCACAATTCAGTACTTGCCCAGCCTATTAAGAAAATAAAAAAGAATAATATGTAATAAACCTATGGCCTTCAGTATTATTTAATTCAGTCATTTATGTGTGTGTGTAGCTGTATGTATATATATATATACACACACACATATATATATAATATAAGCATTTGCCCTCATTCATATAACCTACTCACCATCCTTCATTATTTGATTTAAAAACTGCTTAAGAAATTACATGGCATAATATAAGCTGGCTAAAATGTACTGAGGTTTTAGCAAATAAAACTAGTATTGGTTTAAATCTCTAAAGCATTCAGATTGAAATTAATGGAAACTTTTCTGCTCAGATTTTGTCTAATATATAGTCTATGTTTAAAATTGAAGTAACTGATTCTGTTGCCATATAATACTAGTAAATATCCTAAAGAGACCTATCCTGTTATTCTTAGGGCCTCATAATCTTAATTTATTTCTGCTTTATTGTAAAGAACATGCATCTTATATGTTTAGATGTTTAGAGAGACAGCTTTTAATGTTTTCCACCAAATCCCAGGGTTTAGATCTCAAGTGTGTATCACAGCATCCGAAAATATATGTGTCCTTTGAAGACTCAGACATATCAGATGGCATCCTGATAATGTAGTATTCATGACTCAGTTACAGATAAACAATGTGGCAACATGAAAGCAAAGCCTTAAAAAGTCCCAGGTATGAGAGAATCCTTTTGTGGAAGAGTAAATGTTAAGGGTGATTGGGTTTCAATTAGATGGATACATGAACTAAAAAGGTAATTTAGGGGAATTTAAAAAAAGTAATCTCATGTTCTAGATAGTAAACTCCTTTAGGATCAGGACAGACCTAATTCAAATTCTATGAATTTCTAACATATAGTTCTTTAATATATTAAATACTATTTTGCATTTTATTTACATTACAATTAACATTTTATAGTAAGAGGCCTATTATAAAATATACTTTGATTATAAATTCATATTTATAATTTAATAAGTAGAAATAAAAAATATATAATAATTTGATATGATTTATTAGATGGAGAAGAGGCATATAAAGATTTGATACAGTTTATGTGTATTATCAGGAGAAATTTTAAAAAGGCTTCATGATCTCATATGGAGACAGGAGTATGGGTGGAGGGAAATCTTGTATTATTTTCCCTTCTAATGTTGCTTTTCTCTTGCTATAACATCAAATAAAATACAGTGTTGACCTTCCAAGTTAAATGTAAAGTCAGGTGGAAGCTCACAGATACTCCACTTCCTCAGATTTAATATAATCACTCTGCCCACTTTTTAATGGGGTTGTTTTTCTCATGTAAATCTGTTTAAATTCCTTATAGATGCTGAATATTAGACCTTTATCAGATGCACAGATTGCAAAAATTTTCTCCCATTCTGTAGGTTGTCTGTTTACTGTTTATAGTTTCTATTGCTGTGCAGAAGCTCTTTAGTTTAATTACATACCATTTGTCAATTTTTGCTTTTGTTCCAATTGCTTTTGGTGTCTTCATCATGAAATCTTTGCCCGTGCCTATTTCCTGAATGGCATTGCCTAGGTTTTCTTCTAGAGTTTTGAGAGTTTTGGGTGTTACATTTAAGTCTTTCATCTATCTCGAGTTGACTTTTGTATATGGTGTAAGGAAGTGGTCCAGTTTCTGTTTTCTGTATATGACTAGCCAGTTCTCCCAGCACCATTTACTAAACAGGGAATCTTTCCCCCATTGCTTGTTTTTGTCAGGTTTGTCAAAAATCAGATGGTTATAGGTGTGTGGTCTTATTTCTGGGTTCTCTGTTCTGCTCCATTGGTCTATCTGTCTTTTCTTGTACTGCAGCCCTGTGGTATAGTTTGAAGTCGGGTAGCGTGATACCTCCAAGCTCTGTTGTTTTTGCTTAGGATTGCCTTGGTTATTTGGGCTGTTTTTTTGGTTCCATATTAATTTTAAATTAGTTTTTTTCTACTTCTGTGAAGAATGTGTTGGTAGTTTTATTATTCAATTATTCAATGGGAACAGCATTGAATCTATTAATTACTTTGGGCAGTATAGCCATTTTCATGATATTGATTCTTCCTGTCCATGAGCATGGAATGTTTTTCCATTTGTTTGGGTCATCTCTGATTTCTTAGAGCCGTGGTTTGTAGTTCTCCTTGAAGAAGTCCTTCACTTTCCTCATTAGCTGTATTCCTAGGTATTTTATTCTTTTTGTGGCAATTATGAGTGGGGAGTTCATTCATGGTTTGCTCTCAGCTTGCCTGTTGTTGGTGTATAGGAATGCTACTGATTTTTGCACATTGATTTTGTATCCTGAGACTTTGCCGAAGCTGCTTATCAGCTTAAGAAGCTTTTAGGCTGAGACAATGGGGTTTTCTAGATATAGGATCAGGTCATCTGCAAACAAAGATAGTTGGACTTCCTCTCTTCCTAGTTGAATAGCCTTTATTTCTTTCTCTTGCCCGACAGGCCTGCCTACAACTTCCAATACTATGTTGAATAGGAGCGCTGAGAGAGGGCATCCTTGTCTTGTTATAAAATAACTCTTATCTTTCGGGGAGGTACCAAGATGGCCGAATAGGAACAGCTCCAGTCTACAGCTCCCAGCCTGAGCGATGCAGAAGACGGGTGATTTCTGCATTTCCAACGGAGGTACTGGGTTCATCTCACTGGGGCTTGTTGGACAGTGGGTGCAGGACAATGGGTGCAGTCCACGGACTATGAGCCAAAGCAGGGCGATGCATCACCTCACCCGGGAAGTGCAAGAGGTCGGGGAATTACATTTCCTAGCCAAGGGAAGCCGTGATAGACGGCACCTGGAAAATCAGTCACTCCCACCCTAATACTGCGCTTTTCCAATGGTCTTAGCAAACGGCACACCAGGAGATTACATACCATGCCTGGCTCAGAGGGTCCTATGCCCACAGCAGTCTGAGATTGAACTGGAAGGTGGCAGCGAGGCTGGGTGGGGGTCCGGGGAGGGCACCCGCCATTGCTGAGGCTTGAGTAGGTAAACAAAGCGGCCCGGAAGCTCCAACTGGGTGGAGCCCACCACAGCTCAAGGAGGCCTGCCTGCCTGTGTAAACTCCACCTCTGGGGGCAGGGCATAGCTGAACAAAAGGCAGCAGAAACTTCTCCAGACTTAAACATTCCTGTCTGACAGCTTTGAAGAGAGTAGTGGTTCTCCCAGGATGGAGTTTGAGATCTGAGAACAGACAGACTGCCTCCTCAAGTGGGTTCCTGACCCCCCAGTCGCCTAACTAGGAGGCACCTCCCGGTAGGGGTCGACTGACACCTCATATGGCTCAGTGCCCCTGAGACGAAGCTTCCAGAAGAATGATCAGGCAGCAACATTTGCCGTTCTGTAATATTTGTGGCTCTGCAGCCTTTGCTGGTGGTACCTAGGCAAACAGGGTCTGGAGTGGGCCTCCAGCAAACTCCAACAGACCTGCAGCTGAGGGTACGGACTGTTAGAAGGAAAACTAACAAACAGAAAGGACAGCCACATCAAAACCCCATCTGTACGTCACCATCATCAAAGACCAAAGGTAGATAAAACCACAAAGATGGAGAGGAACCAGAACAGAAAAGCTGAAAATTCTAAAAATCAGAGCGCCTCTTCTCCTCCAAAGGAATGCAGCTCCTCGCCAGCAACAGAACAAAGCTGGATGGAGAATGACTTTGACGAGTTAAGAGAAGAAGGCTTTAGAAGATCGGTAATAATAAACTTCTCTGAGCTAAAGGAGGATGTTCGAACCCATCGCAAAGAAGCTAAAAACCTTGAAAAAAGATGGGACGAATGGCTAACTAGAATAAACAGCGTAGAGAAGACCTTAAATGACCTGATGGAGCTGAAAACCATGGCACGAGAACTACACGATGCATGCACAAGCTTCAGAGAAAGCAAGAAAGATCTAAAATTGACACCCTAACATCACAATTAAAAGATCTAGAGAAGCAAGAGTAAACACATTCAAAAGCTAGCAGAAGGCAAGAAATAACTAAGATCAGAGCAGAACTGAAGGAAATAGAGACACAAAAAAACCCTTCAAAAAATCATGAATGCAGGAGCTGGTTTTTTGAAAAGATCGACAAAATTGATAGACCGCTAGCAAGACTAATAAAGAAGAAAAGACAGAAGAATCAAATAGACGCAATAAAAAATGATAAAGGGGATATCACCACCGATCCCACAGAGATACAAACTGCCATCAGAGAATACTATAAACACCTCTACGCAAATAAACTAGAAAATCTAGAAGAAATGGATAAATTCCTGGACACATAGACACTCCCAAGACTAAACTAGGAAGAAGTTGAATCCCTGAATAGACCAATAACAGGCTCTGAAATTGAGGCAATAATTAAGAGCCTACCAACCAAAAAAAGTCCAGGACCAGATGTATTCACAGCCAATTTCTACCAGAGGTACAAAGAGGAGCTAGTACCGTTCCTTCTGAAACTATTCCAATCAACAGAAAAAGAGGGAATCCTCCCTAACTCATTTTATGAGGCCAGCATCATCCTGATACCAAAGCCTGGCAGAGACACAACAAAAAAAAAGATAATTTTAGACCAATCTCCCTGATGAACATCGATGCAAAAATCCTCAATAAAACATTGGCAAACTGAATCCAGCAGCACATCAAAAAGCTTATCCACCATGATCAAGTTGGCTTCATCCCTGGGATGCAAGGCTGCTTCAACATATGCAAATCAATAAACATAAGCCATCATATAAACAGAACCAAAGACAAAAACCACATGATTATCTCAATAGATGCAGAAAAGGCCTTTGACAAAATTCAACAGCGCTTCATGCTAAAAACTCTCAATAAATTAGGTATTGATGGGACATATCTCAAAATAATAAGAGCTATTTATGACAAACCCACAGCCAATATCATACTGAATGGGCAAACACTGGAAGCATTCCCTTTGAAAACTGGCCCAAGACATGGATGCCTTCTCTCACCACTCCTATTCAACATAGTGATGGAAGTTCTGGCCAGGGCAATTAGGCAGGAGAAAGAAATAAAAGGTATTCAATTAGGAAAAGAGGAAGTCAAATTGTCCCTGTTTGCAGATGACATGATTGTATATTTAGAAAACCCCATCATCTCAGCCCAAAATCTCCTTAAGCTGATAAGCAACCTCAGCAAAGTCTCAGGATACAAAATCAATGTGCAAAAATCACAAGCATTCCTATACACCAATAACAGACAAACAGAGAGCCAAATCATGTGTGAACTCCCATTCATAATTGCTTCAAAGAAAATAAAATACCTAGGAATCCAACTTACAAGGGATGTGAAGGACCTCTTCAAGGAGAACTACAAACCACTGCTCAATGAAATAAAAGAGGACAAAAAGAAATGGAACAACATTCCATGCTCATGGATAGGAAGAATCAATATCGTGAAAATGGCCATACTGTCCAAGGTAATTTGTAGATTCAATGCCATCCCCATCAAGCTACCAATGACTTTCTTCACAGAATTGGAAAAAACTACTTTAAAGTTCATATGGAACCAAAAAAGAGCCTGCATTGCCAAGACAATCCTAAGCCAAAAGAACAAAGCTGGAGGCATCATGCTATCTGACTTCAAACTACACTACAAGGCTACAATAATCAAAACAGCATGGTACTGGTACCAAAACGGAGATATAGACCAATGGAACAGAACAGAGCCCTCAGAAATAATACCACACATCTACAACCATCTGATCTTTGATAAACCTGACAAAAACAAGCAATAGGTAAAGGATTCCCTATTTAATAAATGCTGCTAGGAAAACTGGCTAGCCATATGTAGAAAGCTGAAACTGGATCCCTTACTTACATCTTATACAAAAATTAATTCGAGATGGATTAAAGACTTAAATGTCAGACCTAAAACCATAAAAACCCTAGAAGAAAACCTAGGCATTGCCATTCAGGACATAGGCATGGGCAAGGACTTCATGTCTAAAACACCAAAAGCAATGGCAACAAAAGCCAAAATTGACAAATGGGATCTAATTAAACTAAAGAGCTTCTGCACAGCAAAAGAAACTACCATCAGAGCAAACAGGCAACCTACGGAATGGCAGAAAATTTTTGCAATCTACCCATCTGACAAAGGGCTAATATCCAGAATCTACAAAGAACTTAAACAAATTTACAAGAAAAAAATCAAACAACCCATCAACAAGTGGGCAAAGGATATGAACAGACACTTCTCATAAGAAGACATTTATGCAGCTAACAGACAGATGAAAAAATGCTCATCATCACTGGCCATCAGAGAAATGCAAATCAAGACCACAATGAGAGACCATCTCACACCAGTTAGAATGGCAATCATTAAAAAGTGAGGAAACAACAGGTACTGGAGAGGATGTGGAGAAATAGGAACACTTTTACACTGCTGGTGGGACTGTAAACTAGTTCAACCAGTGTGGAAGACAGTGTGGCGATTCCTCAAGAATCTAGAACTAGAAATACCATTTGACCCAGTCATCCCATTACTGAGTATAAAGGATTATAAATCATGCTGCTATCAAGACACATGCACACGTATGTTTATTGCGGCACTATTCACAATAGCAAAGACTTGGAACCAACCCAAATGTCCATCAGTGATAGACTAGATTAAGAAAATGTAGCACATATACACCATGGAATACTATGCAGCCATAGAAAAGGATGAGTTCATGTCCTTTGTAGGGACATGGATAAAGCTGGAAACCATCATTCTGAGCAAACTATCCCAAGGACAGAAAACCAAACACCGCATGTTCTTACTCATAGGTGGGAATTGAACAATGAGAACACTTGGACACAGGGTGGGGAACACCACACACCGGGGCCTGTCGTGGGGTGGGGGTAGTGGGGAGGGATAGCATTAGGAGATATACCTAATGTAAATGACGAGTTAATGGGTGCAGTGCACCAACATGGCACAACTATACATATGTAACAAACCTGCACATTGTGCACATGTACCCTAGAACTTAAAGTATAAAAAAAAAACAAAAATAAAAAATACAATAAAATAACTCTTATCTTTCAAGCCTCTGCAAGTAAGTTAGATGCTTCTTCACAATGTACTATTCTTTGTCCAATGTAGTATATAAAGCAACAGGCTTTAAGTACTTCTCTGGGTCTTCACTTCTTTATGTGGGCTCCCATGCCATGTAAAATTTGTATGAAATAAAATTTTATGCTTTGTTCTTGTTAATCTATCTCAGGTCAATTTAATTCTCAAGGCCCAGTCAGGACCCTACGAGGATGGAGATAGGAGTTGTGCCCACTCCTACAAAGTGCTATACACACTCTGTGTGCACTACAGTACTTCCTGAAACACTCTTCTCCCCTTTGCTGTCTGATATAGTCTGGATGTTTGTCCCCTCCAAATCTCATGTTGAAATGTGATCCCCAATTTCTGCAGTGGAGCCTGGTGGGAGGTGTTTGGGACATGGGGGTGGATCCCTCATGAATAGCTTAGTGCCACCTTTGTGCTAATGAGTAAGTTCTCACTCTATTAGTTCACAAGAGAACTGGTTCTTTTTTTTTTTTTTTTTTCTGAGGTGGAGTCTTGCTCTGTTGCCCAGGCTGGAGGGCAGTGGTGCGATCTCAGCTCACTGCAACCTCCGCTATAGGATATCGGTCAGGGTGGTGGGAGATTATAAAGTTATAGGAAACAGACACAAACCTTCTTGGAAGGCCAGTGGGTTTGCATAGCTTCAGTGAAGGATTTGGCTGAAGGCAACTGAATTCTCTTAAAAGCTTAGGGCAAAGATACATAGGAATGTAAAGGAGTTTATCTAAATAGCTTTTTTACTCATGTGGTCCTAAGACCAACCTTTGATCATCTGTGGGCTCATGACTGCTCTCTACTCAGGAGATCAACAATGTAAATTACCCTCTAGTGGTGTTTACTTGAGAACTTTGTCATTTAATTTGTACTAAATAAACGCAAACTTTGCCATTTTATGGAGGCGAAAGCTGCAGACTCAGGCGTCAGAGCCCCTTAGTCCCACTGACAGGCAAAATACCTGTGTCAGTGTATGTCTTTCATCTGTTGCTGGGTCAGGGTCTGCGGGTTGGACCCGGCACTCTGCCTCCTGGGTTCAAGTGATTCTCCCTCCTCAGCCTCCCAAGTAGCTGGGACTACAGGTGTGTGCCATCACCCCAGCTAATTTTTTTATTTTTAGTAGAGATGGGGTTTCACCATGTTAGCCAGGATGGTCTCGATCTCCTGACCTCGTGATCTGCCCACCACAACCTCCCAAAGTGCTGGGATTATAGGTGTGAGCCACCATGCTGGGCCAAGAGAACTGGTTCTTACGAAGAGCCTGTCATCTTTCTCGCTCCCTTCTTGCCATGTGACAGGCCTGCTGCCCCTTCACCTTTTGCCATGAGTAAAAGCTTCCTGAGGGGTCATGAGAAGCCAAATAGATTCTGATGCCATGCTCGTACAGCCAGCATAGGCATACACCAAATACAACTCTTACCTTTATAAATTACCCAGCCTCAGGTATTCCTTTATAGCAATGCAAAATGGACTAATGCACTGTCTACCTCCTATTTGCTTACTATGTCTCAGCCTTCTCTAAAAAGCCTTCTCCTAACTGTGTTATGTTCCACTCTCCTGTGTGTTCTTGTGGTGCATAAAACGTACCAAACTTTCAAGGAATACTTCTTTTATGCAAAATACTGCTGTCAAGTTATGAACAAGCAAACCTGAGCTCAGCTTCATGGGCTGTACAGTCAAGCTGGCAAGAATGACTTTAGGCAAACAATTAGAAACAATTAGTAAAATGATCAAAATTGTTCAGAATACCCTAAAGAAAAAATAAAGGAGGGTATGGAAATGTAGAGTAACTAAACCTAACCTAGAGTGATAGTTAAGGACAGCCAGTCAAACTCTGCCATGCCCACTATTCTAAGTGAAGTAACTCAGAAATGGAAAACCAAATACTGCATTTTCTCACTTATAAGTGGGAGCTAACCTAAGAGTGTGCAAAGGCATAGTGATACAATGGACACAGAAGACTCAGAAGAGGAGAGGGTGGGAGGGGGTTGAGGGATGAAAAACTACCTATTGGGTACAATGTACACTACACTGGGGTAACAGGTGCACTCAACTCTCGGACTTCAATAATGTACAATTCATCCATGTAACCAAAAACCACATGTACCCCAAAACCCATTGAAATAAAAAATATATAAAAATAAATAAATGTATCAGACCTGAAAAAAAAAAAAAAAGAAAAAGAAGCCCTCTAGCATGCATGGTCTAGACAAAGAAAAGGAAAAATAAGATTCCAAGCAGAGGGGGCAACATATATAAAAACACATTAAAGTAGGAGGGAGGAGAAAATGCGGCATAGTTTAAGAACAAGGAGAAACACTGGTGTAGGATGGGGCTGGAGAATGCATTGGGTCCAAAGCATGTTGGGGCCTGAGGCAGCACAGGCAGTGTACCACTGCATTGCTCTTCAAAAAAGAACTCACTGTTAGGCTGTGTGGAGGCCAGTCATCCGTCATCAGCCCCCGCTGCAACCCCTTCAGGAGGCAGCACATCACAGCCACCAAGTCTGTACTCTTCCTTGGCAACCTCTAAGCCAAGTCCACCCTCCTCATGAGCACCCTCTAGTCTGTGACTAAGCACAGTTGGAGTACAAGGTTGTTGCTATTTCTGCCCAGTGCAGGGGCCCTCTAACAGCTACTCTTGCTTCCAGAGTCCCCACCAGATTGGCCAAGACTGTCAGATTTGTTTGCAGATCATACCCTCCTCTCTCAGTTTGGGGCTCTCTCTAGATCTGGGCCTTGTTGAGTTTAAGATATGATGATTTGTTTCAAGCCTCAACGACAGAATACTGTATTACTGATACTATCGATTAGACACAACTCATTAGACTCACATAATTGCGTCTTAGCTTTTAATCATGTCAGTGGAGGTGATGGGAAAAACAAAAGACAGCTGTGAATATTTACACTGTTTTTCCAAAGAAACACCAAATCACTGATATCTGGATGAAATAAGTAACTCTCAATTTGCTGTTTCCTGCTTTCATTAAACAAATACTTAATTATATCAATTTACTGCTGGAAATATCACAATACATTTGATATAGATCAGCAAAGCTACATCAGAGATGAGAAATGTTCACTCAATTATTTTTGTTTGAGTTCGCAGATTGAGCTACTTGCCAATTGTGATAGTTAGCAAGGTTTTATTTCAAAGGGAGAAAAGAATTTACTACTAACTGCAACTTAGTAAATATATGCTACAGTGTATCTTTAACAAACTTTTGCTAGAGAGTAAATTTTTGTTAGAGCTGCCACTCTGATATCTATCCCATCCTGCCAAATATGTTTTAGCCACGTAGTTTGAATATATAAGCCACGTGGATTGATCCCACACCTGGCTCCAGCCCAAGACAATCAGGATTCTCTCGTTCTCCTTTGCCAAAAGCAAGAGTGGTTTAATGGAGAGATCTTAAGGGTTAAGTCCAATGATGGTGGGAAGTGATGTATCTCACCAGCTCTATGTCTTAATCCCCCTACATGTGAAGGGTAAAATGTTACTGCAGGTGGCAGTTGGAGACAATCAAGGAAGCTAGTGTGAAGACAAAACCTACAAAGTGAAGCCAAGATAAATAAAAGAAAAAGGGCATGAGTTCTGATTAAGCTCTGTCTCAAGACTGCCCTACATCACTTGGTTATTGAGAGCAGGTTGACATGTGTTTTCTGTTACTTGTACTATCAAAATCGTTCTAATATACAAGGGTGTTTTCCTACTTTTCTTGGTTTAAAATTACACAACTGATCATTCATCTCAGCTTAAAACTTATTGCCCCTGCTAGTGGGGGAAAAAAAGGTCAATTGTCATTCATTGCTTCAGGTTTAATTTTGTAGCTGTTCATTAAACACAGTCTTAAGAAACTTTGCATACCATTTCAACAGGTATCAAACAATAAAGTATAAACTGGTGTACTAATTAATGCAATTAAACATTTGGATGCTAGGTGAAAATCAGTACTGAATACCTTAAAGAGCACAGAATGCAAAGCAGTAGACTCTTCTCTGGCTTAAAAAAAGCTGATATTCGTTTAAATAAAAATTTGCAATGATAGCCCAGGGGCCAAATCAAGGCCATATTTGTTTTGCCTATATAATATGTAAATAGACACAGTCCAAAAATACATATAGCTCTTCATGGCAACAATCAACTAGAGACGAATAGTAGCTAGTCGCTTTCAGGCAAGAATGAGTTCCCAGTTTTGATTACTTGACACACGGTCCAGTTCACCCATTTTATTACCATGCCACTGTAAGATGTTTACATTTGTGTTCCCTGGTTTAAGTGCACATGTTAATGTTTTGGCAGCTAAGTGCAGACTTATCTGCTCTACAGGGGAAAAAAAACCTGACAGCAATTTAAAAAAAAAGAAAAAGCACAAAAGTAAATATCCATTTCAGCTGAGTGAAAAAATAAACACAAATTGTTTTCACATCCTTGGAATAACCACCAAATACATGTATATATTACCTTTAAGTCTTTTTCTTCTATCTTCTTTTGGAGCATTTTAAGGCACTTAGTAAAGTCAGTGTGGTCTTGATCAGGAGTTGAAATGAGCTCACATCCCTATGTATTAAAGTAAAAGAAAAGGTAAGAATAAGTAGTAAATTCACCTTTATGAACAAGATCAAGAGTTACAAAAGTAAAGATAAGGTATCAATAGACATATCCTATTATGCCTTTACTATTCCTGTATCATTAGAATCATTATCATTATCTTTTTTATTTCACATCATGGGACATTTCAGGAATGGTATTAGAGTGTTACAATAATGGACTGATTATGACAATCGTTTTATTTAAGAAAGTATAGATTATACTACATTAATGGGTCTTTAAAAAATACTTATGTGATGACATTCACGATTAACATAAGGACTTTGATACATGTATAATAAATTATATTCTCAACTACCTGAAATTGAAATGAAACTATTTTGATGAAACTTTGAAGTTCTTTAAGCAGAAATGACAAGTTTACATGAATGAAAAAACTAATCTGAATATTGAAGTAATAATAAAAGTTTACATTTTAAGTAAAACCAAGACAGCTGTCCTATAATATTATTTGATAAAAGCCTCTTTCTCCCTTGTGAGACACAGAACAAGGAGCTATGCCTGTGTAAATATGTCTCCTGGATTATCTTTTGGACATCATGAAATGAATTTATAAGTTCTTTGCCTTCTCTACAAGATAACTTACCCAGTGAAAAACACTGCAATATATTTATAAGTATGAAGCCACAAAAGTGCCAGTTTGTTGGCACTAGTGAACTTGGATGGCTAAAGAGACCGTATTTTTGAAATGACACCTTTTCCTCCAATGTCATACAGAGGCAAAGGTACATAAAAGTGAGCACGATGGGACTTCAGACTTCTTAATTCAGGAATAAAACAATTCTTGGACTCTGACAAACAGCTGAGTAAGGGAAAGTTAAATATAATCTAGTATATAAAGTTGCCATTCAAAGAGTTTTCAAGGATACAAAACACCCATACTGCCTCTTAAATTATTCTAAGAACCATTCTCGGTAGATTTAAAGGTTCTTCTTTTACTTCAAGGTCTCTTTAATTGTGTCAAGCTCAACCTGTGCTTCATTCATTTATGACTGTCCTACAATATAGTGACCAATGAAAAAATTAACTTCTCATCATTCAGAAATACATTATGCTCTAAAAGATGTATATGTCATCTTTACAAGATCATCGACATATACTTTCTCGACCCTAAAAGAACATTGACATTTACTATAATCACCAAGCAAGGACATAAAGAAGTGACCCTTCTCAGGTTAACACTCCTAAAAAGGAAGATAGAAGCATATGGCAGGGCATACAGGAATATTAGCATGGTTGAACAGAACAGACTGCCACCAAACCAAAAATCATTACACTGAAAGTTCCTCAAGGGCAGGTTCATTCATTATTGTTTCCAGTGCCAGGCACCAGTTTGTTGCATAGTAAATGTTCAATAAATGTTTAAATAATATTCTTGAGGAAGAAAATGGATTTTTACAAATACACTTATAAAAATGTACACTGGCTAGGGGGTACAATCGTGCAGTATCTTATTGCTAAATATACCATAAATGACAACGAAAGTTGTCTTCCTCTTTTAAATGTTAAAAATAGACATACTCACCAAAAAGGAAATAAAATTTAAATGGCAAATAGAAACTACAACATAATGGACGATTAATAGATCACTATCTACCTTCACAGAATCCATATAGAAAGCCATTGGGAAAAAGACAGTTAAACAAAACCCAGGAAGTAATCTATCTAGTACTATCGCAACATTTTGTAGATTAAGAAAATAAAAACAAGAGATAAAAATTGACTGGCTGACAACTGGACAGCTAGGTAGTAATTAGCAGAAAAGCCATGAGTAGAAATCCTATTTCTTTACTCTCACAAAGTAAAACAAAAGTTCTGAGATAGCTGATTGAAAAATGTCAGATGACATCTCTAGAGTTAGTTTCACAAAAAGGATACTATAAAAAGAAAAGCTACTTGAAACATATGAGCAAGGCCGGAATATCTTACTTTACCTCATCATTTACAATAAACACATAGAAATGCTTGGCTCAGGACACGGAGAGAGATTATTAGCACTGAGAAAATCAGACTGAATCTAAACCAAGAACGTCTATTAAACTCGTTGAAGGTGTTTAACTGCCAAACAGCAGCCATTCACAAGGTGAAATGGTTCTAATCTCATTACAGACTGAGAATGAACTCACTAGAAGTGGAAATAGCTCTAATAACAGGGCAGCGTCCGACAGTTAGAAAGGAGACCCGAGAAACAAAATCTTAACCAAAGTGCAATAACAGGCCTGTGGCCAACTAAGGATGTGTTCACTGTTTTCTGGGTCTTAGGGTAACATACTAAGATCTAAGAGAGGAGAAACAGAAAGGTAAAGATGAGAAACTACTAAGACCCTGCAAACAAGGAATAATGTAGAAATACTATAAGGTATCAAGCAATACTCACCTACTATATATTAATATTTATGATTATTTTTATATAGAATAAAGCCCAATTTCCTAGCATCAGAAGCACTGAGGTGCTGTGAAAAATTCCACTGATATGATATTTTCTTAAAAAAAAAGACAACCCTCATATTCACTAAGGACTGAGAAGATATTAAAGCCATGAAATTTAGCAAAGTAAGAAAGTATATGACTTTCTAATAAGTTGTTTGTAATGTTAGTTTCCTAATAGAAAGGTACAAAACATAGACTTATGATGCCAGTGAGTGGGAATTTTTGTTTCAACTACTTCTATCTTTGATTTTTTTTCTCAGTTACATAAAATATATTGTTTTTAGGATACAATGTATGATGTTATGAACCAACAAGTGGCTCCATTTTTCAGATTATACTTTTGCTTTTTTGGTTTTTTCTTTTTGAGACAGGGTCTCCCTCTGTCCTACAGGATGGAGTGCAATGGCACAATCACAGCTCGCTGCAGCCTTCACCTTCTGGACTCAAGCAATCCTCCCATCTCAGCCTCCCAAGTAGCTGGGACTACAGGCGTGCACCACCATGCTCAGCTAATTTGTGATGGGGTTTTGCCATGTTACCCAGGCTGGTCTCAAATCCCTGGGCTCAAGCAATCCTACAGCCTTGGCCCCCCACAGTGCTGGGATTATAGATGTGAGCCACCACACCTGGCTAATTAGTCTTAAAATATAATTTTTCACATATACATGGAAAGAGTATCAAAGACTCAGAGGGACAGAAAGATAAGAAAAGTTATCTATTGAGTCAATGATATTTTTCGTGGAACTCAAACAAACGATTATGATTTACATGAAAGAATAAGGGACCAAAAAAAAGCAAACGCAATTTTGCAAAAGGACACGGTAGTTGAACTTGCCTTTCGGGATATTCAGATATACAAAGTAATTAACACAACAGGGTACTGGCAAAATGAAACAGTAGAATATCAGCACCACGGAAGCACAGGTATTTGCTTGTGTGATTCACAGCTGTCTTCTAGGAACTAGAACAGTGACTGGCACAAAGAAAGTGTTCTTTGTGCCATATGGTTGGTAAATAGATACCTGAACAGAATTGGGAAGACAGAAATATATACAGATGCATATTTGAAAACGTACTAGCAAAGTCTCCAAACATTTACAAAAAACAACAGAAAAGAAAATGATTGCAGTAGGTAGTATTTTAAACAAGGTGCGAAAATAAATATAAATCTGAAGAGAAAGAACTGATAAATTCAGCTACTTTTAACTAAGACCCTTCTTTCATCAATAAACAATATGCATAAAGTAAAAAAAGAAAGCTTCAAAATGAAAGAAGGTATTTTCCACGAATATAACTAAAAACAAAAGGTTACTATCCAGAATACATAAAGAATTTGTAAAAATCTATAAAGAATGAATAACTGGATGGAAAAACAGGCAAAATATTTTAATAGGCAAGTTAAAGAACAGCAAACCTGAAAAAGCCAATTGTATTAATCTATTTTCATGCTGCTGATAAAGCCATACCCAAGACTGGGCAATTTACAAAAGAAATAGGTTTAATGGGAGTTACAGTTCCACGTGGCTGGGGAGGCTTCATAATCATGGCAGAAGGAAAGGAGGACCAAGCCACATCCTACGTGGATGGCAGCAGGCAAAGAGAGCTTGTTCAGGAAAACTCCCCTTTTTAAAACCATCAGATTTCATGAGACTTATTCACTACCACGAGAACAGCACAAGAAAGACCTGCCCCCCATGATTTAATTACCTCCCACCAGGTCCCTCCCACAACCCGTGAGAATTCCAAATGAGATTTTGGTGGGGACACAGTCAAACCATATCACCAATACACATGAAAAAGCAAATAGACCTGTAGGATTGCTTGAGCGCAGAAAATGGAGACAAGCCTCGGTAACACAGCAAAAGCCCATCACTACAAAAAAAATTAGCCAAACATGGTGGTGCACACTTTGGAAGGCTGAGGTGGGAGAATTGCTTGGGCCCAGGAGGTCGAGGCTGCAGTGAGCCATGAAAGCAAATACACAAAATATTTTAATAGGCAAGTTAAAGACTAGCAAAACAGAAAAAGCCAATACACATGAAAGGATGTTGATTTTCACCAGTAATCAGATAAGCCCAAATAAAAATCACTGATATACACTTGTCGTACCTTACATTAACAAAAAAACTTGTGGCGTATTTAAACACTGGGTTATTCTATGACAAAAATGAATGAACAACAACAAAAATAATAGAAGAATAAATGTATGATACATTCATGAGTTACAGAATCACACAGGCAGTATAACTGCATATATACACACAATGTAAAAACATGCTTATTACCTTTACATAGGATTTAGTGTTGCTTTTGTTAAAGTATTAACAAATGTAAGAGAATAAAAATTTTTAGATTTAACCATAAGAAAGGGCCACAGAAGTCTTGAACTGTATAGGTAGCATTTATTAAGTTGGGTTGTGGTTACAAAAGTATTTGGTTTATTATTTTTTATACTTGTACATATCTTAAACATTTCTGATATGGCTTGGCTGTGTCCTCATCTTGAATTGTAGTTCCCATAATCCCCAAGTATTGTGGGAGGGACCAGGTGGGAAGTTATTGAATCTTGGGAGCAGTTTCCTCCATTCTGTTGACTCATGATACTGAGTGAGTCTCATGAGATCTGATGGTTTTATAAGCATCTGACATTTCCCCTGCTTGCACTTACTCCATCTCGCCTCCCTATGAAGAAAGTTCCTGTTTATCCTTTGCCATCTGCTACGATTCTAAGTTTCCTGAGGCCTCCCCAGCAACACAAAACTGTGAATCAATTAAAGCTCTTTCTTTTATAAATTACCCAGACTTTGGTATTTCTTCATAGCAGTGTGAGAACAATAATACAGTAAGTACCAGGAGAAGGGTGCTGCTGTAAATATGCCTGAAAATGAAGAAGCAACTTTGGAACTGGGTAACAGACAGAGGTTGGAACCATTTGGAGGACGCAGAAGACAGGGAAGTGTGTGAAAGTTTAGAACTTCCTAGAGACTTGGAGGGTTAAGAAGACAGGAAGATGTGGGGAAGTTTAGAACTTCCTAAAGACTTGTTGAATGGCTTTGACCAAAATGCTGATAGTGATATGAACAATGTAGTCCAGGCTGAGGTGGTCTCAGATGGAGATGAGGAACTTCTTGGGAACTGGAGCAAAGGTGACTCTTGCTATGCTTTAGCAAAGAGACTGGCGGCATTTTGCCCCTGTCACAGAAATACGTGGAACTTTGAACTTGAGAGAGATGACTTAGGATATCTGGCAGAAGAAACTTCTAAGCATTAAAGCATTGAAGAGTAAGCAGAGCATAAAAATTTGGAAAATTCACAGCCTGATGATGCGATAGAAAAGAGAAACACATTTTCTGGAGGAGAAATTCAAGTCGCTGCAGAAATTTGCATAAGTAACAAAGAATGGAATGTTAATCCAAAGACAATGAGGAAAATATCTCCAGGGAATGTCAGAGACCTTCACAGCAGCCCCTCCCAACACAGGCCCAGTGGCCTAGGAGGAAAAAAATTGTTTCATGTGCTGCGCCCAGGGTTCCCCTGCTCTGTGCAGCCTCGGGATATCGTGCCTGTATCCTAGCTGCTTCAGTCCCAGCTGTGGCTAAAAGGGGACATGATAAAGCTCGGGCCATTGCCTCAGAGGGTCCAAGCCCCAAGCCTTGGCAGCTTACTAATGGTGTTGGGCGTGAAAGTGCACAGAAATCAAGAAGTGAGGTTTGGGAACCTCTAACCAAGATTTCAGAAGATGTACAGAAATGCCTGAATGTCCAGGCAGAAGTTTGCTACAGGGGCAGAGCCCTCATGGAGAACCTCTGCTAGGGCAGTGCAGAGGGGAAATGTGGAGTCAGAGCCCACACACAGAGTTCTGACTGGGGCACTGCCTAGTAGAGCTGTGAGAGGAGGGCCACCATTCTCTATACCCCAGAATGGTAGACCCAGCAACAGCTTGCACTTCCACCTGGAAAAGCTGCAAGCACTCAATGCCAGCCTGTGAAAGCAGCCAAGAGTGAGGCTAGTCTGTACCCTGCAAAGCCACAGGGGTGGAGCTGCCCAAGGCTGTGAGAACTGACCTCTTGCATCAGCATGACCTGGACATGAGACATGGGGTCAAAGTAGATCATTTTGGAACTTTAAGGTTTAATGACTGCCTTATTGGATTTTAGACTTGCATAGGGCCTGTAGCCCCATTGTTTTTTGGCCAATTTCTCCCATTTGGAATGTGTATATTTACTCACTAGTAAGTAACTAACTTGCTTTTGATTTTACATGTTCATAAGCAGAAGGGACTTGCCTTATCTCAGATTTGGACTTGGACTTTTGAGTTCATGTGGGAATGAGTTAAGACTTTGGGGGGACTCTTGGGAAGGAATGATTGTGTTTTGAAATGTGAGGACATGAGATATGGGAGGAGCCAGGGCCAGCATGATATGGTTTGGTTGTGTCACCACCTAAACCACATCTTGAATTGTAAACCCCATAATCCCCACAAGTCGTGGGAAGGTCCTGGTGGGAAGTAATTGAATCATGGTGGCAGTCTCCCCCATGCTGTTCTTGTGATAGTGAATAAATCTGATAAGATATGATGGTTTTATAAGCGTCTTGCATTTCCCCTGTTTGCTCTCACTCCATCATACCACCCTGTTTAGAAGGTGCTTGCTTCTTCTTGGCCTTCTGCCATGATTGTAAGTTTCCTGAGTCCTCCCCAGCAATGTGGAACTGTGAGTCAATTAAACCTCTTTCCTTTATACCCAGTCTCAGGTATTCCTTCATATCAGCATGAGAATGGACTAATATAATTTCATACTATTTTTAAAGTCATTTCGTGCTTATTACTAAGGAGTGGGGTCAGTGTTGATTTACTTTGATATCCCCAGTACCTAGAACAATGAATAATACACAGTAAGCATACATTAAACATTTGGTATATGATCAAATTGAGTCCTTTCTTTATCCCTCACACTAAGCTGGTACAAATTTACAGTGACAGGAAATTTCTAACTAGCCCATTGCATATCTCAATAATTCTATTAAAATTCCATAAAATTATTGTATCAAGTATATCTCCCTGTACTGTCTTGTAACTGGTCTTAGTAGTACCTTCTTAAGATTGTATAGAAAAGGTCATACATTTCATTTAAATTAGAAAACTGTGTTTCATTTTCTTATCTCCATTCCATTGATCCTGAGATATTTAG